>NC_000001.11:37053835-37678835 GCF_000001405.40 Homo sapiens
ATACTATTACCATTCCCAGCACAGGGAGGAAACTGAGCTCTGAGAGCTAAGGTTACTTACCCAGAATCACATGGCATGCAAATGGCAGAGCCTAGATGGGGATTAAGATTTATCTGATTCCCAAACCGTGGCCTTGACATTCTTATCCTAGTTTTCATAGGCCCCTACTAAAATTAGTGCATATTTTTGGGTGTCTGAGTACTTTTTTAGATAGGATGCAGAGCCTTCACCAGTTTTTCAAAGATGCCCACAATCCAAAAGAGGTTGAGGTCTCTGGGGCTCAGCCATGCCATACAGAGCTGGCCCTGTAGGGTTCTGGGCAAAGTGGGTGAGATGCTAAGTATCTTGGAGGAAGGTTCCCCACAAGGGAATTGCCAGGCCCAAGCTCAGGCCTGTCTCTGGGGCATTTAACACCCAGGAGTGCCCGGAAGCTTTTTATCCACTCAGTTCAGATGTTGGTGTCATGAAGACAGTTGTCCCTCTGCATTCTTGAGGGCAGCAATGAGCACTTGATTTTCTGAACTCTAGCAAGTCCTAACCTAGACTCTTGGCCCCTTGAAACTGCCCAAGCCAGGGAGATGGATGCTTTCATCAATAGGAATCTATGCCCTGGCTAATGGGTCTGAAAACTCAAGAAGCCAGGCTTCTGTGTCAGAGTATTCATAACTTCTCCATCCCAATGACTAAATTGATCAGCAAATTCTGTTTCCTTCTGAGTGATCATTGGTGAGCAGGTAGGAACCAGCCCCTCCACAACACCGCCCCCTCAGTAATAGCTCATGATTACCCTGATCGGGCAGCCGGCAGCTGGAGCAAGACCGTACAAGATAACTGATTGTTCATAATTGTCAACCAAATTGCATCCATGGTATCGAGCTTTAAAAATGGACCAAAAGAAGCATCTCTTATTGATCCCTTCAGGTTACAAACAAGATGCGACTGCTCCTCAGAACCGGAGACTGGGTTGGCATTGATTTTTATTCTTTTTCTCCTTTGAATAACCTGCAGTGGAATTTGAGAGCTGCTTTTTAACCTGAAATTTCTCAAGGTCTTGCTTTTCTGGAGGTTGCGGGAGAAGGGCTGTCAAAGATGGCTATTGTCCTGAGATACGGCTACACAAGCTGAGTAATTGGCTTCCTCATTGGAAGGGGGCAAGGGTGGCCCACCTCCTCTGACCCTCACCGTGACCCCTCTGCCCTCCTACGTCTCTGGTATAAGGCCTCTCTGCTGTGCATAAAATCCTCCACAAACCCCAAATTCAAGGGACTGGAAGGCCAGTAAACAGCCAGTCACATGATTGGCACTCAATAAATATCTGTCAACTGAATGCCCAATCAAAGCTAAAGATCAGTCAACTCTCCAGACATTGCCACATTTTCGATGTTTGATGATACGAACACTCAGCCTTTGCCACATCTGAAAAAATGGTAATAATGACACCTAATAACAATTACTTTTTTTTTTGAGACGAGGTCTTGCTCTATCGCCCAGGCTGAAGTGCAATGACAAGATGGTAAGTCACTGCTGCCTGGAACTACTGGGCCCAAGGGATCCTCCTGCCTCAGCCTCCTGAGTAGCTGGGACCACAGGTGCACACTGCCATGCCTGGCTAATTTTTTTTCTACTTTTTGTAGAGAAAAGGTCTTGCTTTGTTGCCCAGGCTGGTCTCAAACTCCCGACCTCAATCAGTCCTCCTGCCTCAGTCTCCCAAAGTGCTAGTATTACAGGCAACCATGCCCAGCCTTCACATTTTAATAACATGATTTTATCTTATTCTCACAGGAGCCCTATAAAGTAGGTATTATTTTTTCTCCCATTGTATGGATGAGGAAACAGAGGCAGAGAGAGGTGAAGTAATGTGTTCAAGGTCCCTGTGTGAAGCCAGGATCCACATTTGCAGGTATCAGATGTTGAAAAGTAGACTGCTACATGGTACTGCCTCCTGCACAGCAGGAGGAAGTCTCCAGTGCAGGAAGGATTGAGATCCAGCCAACAAACACTTGCTGGGTAGCCTACTGTGCTCTGAGCACCCTGCTGGCTGCTCTCTTCCCTGGTAGCCCATGTGGTCCTCACGTTTGCTTGGCAAAGCAGGTGTCATTACTGCTGCTTTACTGCTGGGGAAATACAAGCTCAGAAAGGAGAAATAATTCATCCACGGTCACACGGTCAGTAAGCAGAAAAGCTGTGATATGAACCCAGATCAGTATATCCCCCAAAGACCTGTGCAAAAAAGCACAGCAATGACATAAAAAAAGCCATCTCATACGTTACCCTTACCATTTGCAGCCCATGTTCTGTTCCATATTCTATAATAATCACCAGAAAGGGATTATTACTCCCATTTTACAGGCAAGGAAACAGACACACCCCAGAACATTAACACTGCTTTTCTTAGTTTTTGGTTAAGCCATACCTCAGGCCCATTTGATTCCAGGAAACTTTCTGCCAACAAGCAGGCTCGCTCCCTGGATGGGAAATGAGAACTGGCAGGCATCAATGGTGGTCTGGGCTCTGGAACAGGCAGCAAAATGCCCTGTTGACAGATCTCCACTCACCATCAGATGGACGGTGTCTTCCAAGACCCCAGGGAAGGGCCTGGAGTTTATTTCAGAAGTCTGGGCTCAGCCTCAAGCTAATGAGGGCGGAGGCAGCCTGGCAGGGCAGCAGTGAGGAGTGGGGCAGAGCCCTCTTGGCAGGCCCTTGCTTAATGAAATCGCCGGCTGGGAGGTGAGGAGGCAGCTTGCCCTCCAGCTCCATCTCCACAGCTACCGAGCCCTTCTGCCCTCCCCCTGCTGGGTGGGCCCAGACAGCAGCTGTCTCTTTAACAAACATCTCAGCCATTATACCCAAAAGCCTGGAAGCTACCAGAGAAGGCCTGGAGTTCGTGGACAGTGCTCAGGAGCACGGCAGCAGGGCAACTCCTAGGCTGCCCGCAGAAGCGAGCTATCCCCCCAGGTGACACGAAGGGCTCCAGTGACATTCCTCCTGCCAGGTGTTCCTGCCAGGAAAGAAAATAGAACATTTCCTGAGATCTGAATTAAAATCTCTTCTGTTTTTCTTTAGTTTTCTTTTCAAATATAACATTTATTAATGGTTTTTTTGTTTATGTAGGCTTGGTTTTTGACACCTGCTTTATTTTAAAACCACTTTCTTGATCTTCACAGATATGAGGATGCTTGTTTTGCCCTGGTTCTTTTTTTGTTTGTTTGTTTTTTGTTTTTTTTTTGAGATGAAGTCTCGCTCTGTTGCCCAGGCTGGAGTACAGTGGTAGGATCTTGGCTCACTGCAACCTCCACCTCCTGGGTTCGAGCGATTCTCCTGCCTCAGCCTCCCTATTAACTAGGATTACAGGCGCATGCCCGGCTAATTTTTGTATATTTAGTAGAGACAGGGTTTCACCATGTTGGCCAGGCTGGTCTCAAACTCCTGACCTCAGATGATCTGCCCACCTCGGCCTCCCAAATTGCCTTGTTTTTTGATGGTCAACCTGGAAATGATTTAAATGTACCAATGATAGGAGGTGAGTTAATAAGGATACAGAACACCTAAAGGACCCGTTCTTCAACTTTAACTTGTATTAGAATCACCCAGAGGGCTCGTTAGAATACAGATTCCTGGGCTCCATCCACAGAGTTTCTAATGCAGTAGGTCTGGGGTGGGGCTTGCAAATTTGCATTTCCAACGAGTTCCCACGTGAGCTAATGTTTGCAGATCACCAGTCTGATCTGCAGAATACTATGCAGACATTAAAAATAGTGTTGTAGAAGAATAGATGTTGATTTGAGAAAATGTTACATGATCTGTTGCAAAGTGAAAAGGACAGGCTGCAAAACAGTCTGGGTAATGCCGTCAGTATGAGTGCAAATATAAATATAAATGCATACGTATGCACAGAAAGGAGAACGATGAGGATATGACCCACAGAGGAAGCAGAATGTAGTGATCTGTGCGGGCTCAGGGTCAGGCACATTTGGATTTGGACTCCAGCCCAGCTACTTCTCACCTCGTTCAAATGACATTGAACAAACTGTATGACAAGCAGAGGAAACAGTGTGTACAAAGGCCTTGTGGCCAGGAGTAGACTGGATTAGAGGAATGGGGAGCAGCAGTGTGACTGGAGCAGAAACAGCTAGGAAAAGCATAGTAGAAGACGAGTCTAGAGAAAGGCCCAGTGAATCTCAAAGCATCACTTTCCTAATCTGTACAATGGGAATAATAACAGTACCACCCTATGGGGTTGCTATGGGAACAAAATAAGACCACATATGAAAAGCTCCAGTCCAATGGCTGGTATATATTATAATATAAGCTCAAAACCTTACAGACTCTACATCAATACTCTTAACAGTGAGAATGGGTGGAGAGTGGGTTTAGGTCCATTTTAGAATTTGTCTTTTTCTATGTTTGACAAGTTCCCAGGTTGAGTATTATGTTACTTTATAATTAAGAAAAAAAAAACCCAATAACTATTACATGTATACTAATTACCTCTGAAACTCCCCAACTTCTTGTGTTCAGATTTCTTCAGACATAAGCAGCATTTAAAAAACAACCCCTAAACTTCGAAATGGAAAAAAAAAAAAAGTTTTAAAGGCAAATTCAAAGTTTGGGATCTTTAAGAAGCCTCACGCACTCCAAACCCTGTCCATCACAGTCCCACTGTCTGTGGTCCTGTGATACAGATCTTGGCAGCTGCTCTGGTCACAGTGCCCTCCATCCCTCAAATGCAGACCACGCTGGCCACAGGGCCTTTGCACATACTGTTTCCTGTGCCTGTCATACCCAATTTCCCTTTTGTGCAATTAACTGAGATTCAGATCTCAGCTCAAATATCATTTCCTCAGGGAAACGTTTTCTGGTTTCTCAGATTCAAGGGAATGCTTCTGTTGGTGATGTTGTAGCCTCATGTCCTATTCTTCAGAGAACTTGTCAGTTTTCATTTTAAATCGATCCAGATGTTTATTTGTTTAATATCTTCCTAATAGGCCTGCAAGCCCCTGAGGGGAGAAACCTGGTCTGTTTCACTCACTATGCATCTCTGCTCCTAGTTCAGTGCCCACAAATAGAAGGTACTCAGTAATGCTTTCACGTATGAATGGATGAACAAGTAAATGAATGCACTTCCTTTCATCTCTCCCTTCCTCTGAGTTCTTCAGGCCTGCCTCCCACTCCCCACTGTCCCAGGGGTCTTCTTCTTGCTCTGAGTTCTTTGTTCTCCCCATCTCACCAATTCTTCATTGTGGTCTCTTTGGGGTCTTCCTCTTTCTGTATCTCTAAGGTCCCTGTCTTGCTGGACTGAGGGTCCGTCCTGTTTCATGGCCCCAGGACAGGGTGACATTCCCAGTCTGGGCTGGGAGCAGGCAGAGGACAATGACACTATCCCAAAAAAGGCCTGAGCCTACTGTGTTCAGGTTTCCTCCCTGAAGGCAGAGATGATCATTGCTCAGAGCCCCAAGGTGTCCCCAGGGCTCACACAGACCCTAAATGGCAATCCTTGTGAGTTTGAGGTTTGATGGGGTGGTGGATTTACAGGGGAGCTCTGAGCGGGAGAGATAGATGAACACTCCGAATGTAGGCCCTGGCCAGAGACCATTGTGGGAAATGGGAAAATCTCATTGGCTGCCAAACTCCCCCTCCCCACGTATGGTCTTCTGACACTTCCCCAAATGATTTCGTTGACCATGTGGCAAACGTCTTTGTGTTTGAAGAAACTACAGTGAGTTGTGGGAAATAGAACAGTCACTTGGCAGTGCATCAGGGAAAGCTTGCTCCTTTCTTTAGTTTCGTGTTGTGTGTATTTTTTTTTTTTTTCTCATGAAAGCTGCATGTGATTTTTCTAGACGAAAACAGGTCCGTATGGGCTGGAGTGAGAAGTTGTCAGCAAAGTCTTTTTTTTTTACTTTAAGTTCTAGGATACATGCAGGTTTGTTGCATAGGTATACATGTGCCATGGTGGTTTGCTGCACCTATCAACCCGTCATCTAGGTTTTAAGCCCCGCATGCATTAGGTACGTGTCCTAAAGCTCCCTCTCCACTTTCCCTCAACCCCCGTGACAGGCCCCCGTGTGTGATGTTCCCCTCCCTGTGTCCATGTGTTCTCGTTGTTCAACTCCCATGAGAAGTTGTCAGTAGAATCTTTACTGAGAAATTTGACACCTACTCTTGGTAGGGAAAGCCCAGGGACCCTAGAGGACAGGAAAGCAAGAGTCTTGGGGACAAGTCTGGACAGTGCTTCTGCACCTACATCATTGTATGGGATGATACCCTACTGTGGTCCTTCTAAGGTAGGGCTGCCCAGTAAAAATACAATGATGCAAGCATCAAATGCCAACCTCATGGTAATTTTAAATGTTCTACATTTCTGACGTTTTTAGGAGTAAAAGAAATGAAACAGGTAAAATTGATTTTATCCCTATATTTTATTTAACCCAACATATTTGAAATATTATTATTCCAACATGTAATCAATGTATTTGATGGGTGAGTGAGCTATGTTACATTCTGTTTTTCATACAAAGTTGTTGGCATCTGGTGTGTGTTTTGTAATTGTCGTGCATCTCAACGTGGAGCGGCCACATTTCAAGCACTCGGCAGGTGATGACCATAGCAGACAGCAAAGTCTCAGACTTCAAGGGTCAAGGAGCTTCTTTCACCATGGGCTTCACCTCTGAAATTGGACAGCACTACCTCACTGGCTCCTCTTCCTCTGGTAGTTTTATTAGATCCTATAACTCCAACTGACTTCCAAATGCCAGAGTGCCCAGGTGATTGCTTTCTGTCCCTTGAAATCATACTTATGTGCCAAGGATGATTTACCCCTCCAGCCCTCATCTCTCCACTGAACTTGGCCTAGTACAGCCCATTGCCTGCTCACAGCACCCCTCGATGCAGGCCTCTCAAGGCAAGCCTGTCTAAGGCAGAACTCTTGCTTTTCTCCACTTGCCCAGATCCATCCTGACTCCAGCTTTCCCCAGCTCAGTATATGACACCATCCTCACCCAAGGTCACATAAAGGTCATCCTTCCTTGAGTCATCTCTTTATCTTATCTCCACCTCCAAACTTCCATGAACATACAGCCTCTGCCACTAAAGTATATCTCGAGACAGTTTATTTTGTTTGTTTCCACCCTGATCATGCTGGGGCCTAGCCACCATCTCCCTCCTGCACTGCTGCATTGGTCTCCTAGCTGGCCTCCTGCAATAATTCCCCATACAAAATCATGATCATTTAAACCTATCAACCCGAATACATTCACATTTCTCCTCTACTTAAAACCCTCCATGTACTTAGAATAAATTGGAAACTCCTTACCATAGCATAGATGACAAAGCCATATGTTACTTCATCTTTGTCCGTACCCTCATCTTCCACTCTGCCTCTCATTTCCCTCCTGCCACCCTGGGCTCTCTCTGCTCCTGGAACACGCCGTGTTTGTTGTAGCCTCCAGGCCTTTGCCCTTGCTGTTTCCTCTGTCTACCATGTCACTTCCTGCAATGGTGGGCAGGGGTCTTCTCTAGCTATCCTTTCTAAACTGTCCCTCCCCACTTCCCCAGTCATGATCACATCGCCCTATTTTATATCCTTTAAATCATTTATGACTCTCTGGAATTTTTTTCACCTATTTACTGGTTGGCTTGTATTTCTTTGTTTCTCTCCATGCAGTTATAAGCTACATGAGAGCAGGGGCTTTCTCTGCCTTTCCAGTGGCTGCCACAGGGTAGGTACTCACTAAGTAATTGCTGAATGAATAAATGAATGAATGAATGAATCTGAGTTCGAATCCCATCTCCACCAATTAATTACTGTGTAGCCATGAACAAGTAACTTAACCTCAAGGAGCCTCCGTTTCCTCCTCTATAAGATGGAGAAGTAACAGTAATAATAGCTTTATTCATCAGCTATTGCTACAGTGAGAACAATGCCAATATCTTGTCGCTTATGACAACAAACATTTCTTTCTTGCTCTCATTATATAAGGGCTGCAGCTTGCCTGCACTTGGCTGGATTTCACATGTCTTTTTGCTCCGGGTCCTAGGCTGAAGAAATAATGATTATCTAAGATACACCATTCTCCATTCTCTTGGTGGAGGCTGGAGGAAGCACGCAAGCAGAAGATGCTCTTAAAAGCCTCTTCCAGGAACTAGGACACTCTCCCAGCCACCTATAGTCCATTGATCAAAGCAAGTTACATGGACAAGCTGAAAGTTGATGGGGAGAGGCTGTAAAATCCTCTTGCAAGGTGAGGGGGTGAAGAGTTGGGGACAATAATCCAATCTACTGTAATAGCTAACACTTGTGTATTGCTCACTATGTGTCAGGCACTATTCCAAGCATTGAGGTGGATGCAGTCATCGCTATTACCCAGATGAGGAAACAGAGGCACACAGGTTAAATTACATGGCCAAGGCCACAGCCAGGAGGTGGGTCATCATCATTGTCCTGGCCCTGCATCATTGCCTGATCTCTGGTTCACAGTGATTTATAGGTCACCATGGTTAATATGCCTGAACCCCAGGAAATACTTTCTCTGGGGTGCCTGTGGCAGGTATTCAAGTAGTGATTCTTTTTAGAAAGCATCCTCCTTTATATAAAGAAGGATTTTTTTCTAGATCCACCCACCCTGGCCTGGTTCATGTGATGTCAAACACTCACCAGGAGCTAGGACAGGCATGGGAAGGACAGATGTCTGATGGCCCTCTGGGTATATCTGCATTCCTGCAGAGATCCTCACATCCACATGCTCCCTAGATGTTCTGTAGGAGCGCAAAGGTGGCCTTTGCCCAAAGGTGGCCTTCGCCAAAAGGTGGCCTTCGCCCAAAGGTGTCCTTCGCCCAAAGTGGCCTTTGCCCAAAGGTAGTTTTCACCACAGTGCTGCCAGGCAATGTTCAACCACTCTCATCTCTCCCCAAAGCTTATTGACCTAAAAACTTCAGCCTCCTTTAGGGAGAAAAGAGCTAATACTTAACAAGTGCTGGATGCCCAAATCCTCAAATTCTCCAAACAGACTTACAAGGTAGGCATACCTCATTTTACAGATGAGAAAATTGAGGCTCAGAGGAGTGAAGCAACTTGCTCAAGATCACAAGCCAAGAAGTGACGAAGTCAGCAATCGAACCCAGATAGCCAGCTCTCATCTCCGAACTGACACTCTTTCTGCAGTGGCAAGGCTTTTATCACTGAGGAGGAAGAAACACAATTGCCCTGTGCTAGCAAGGTGCTCCATGGAGACTTGTTTCACATCATTTCACCTTCCTCCCTCTCACCTCCAGTGTCACTGCACATGCTGTGTCCTTGGGCACAGGCGCAGGGATGAGTTCATTTATTGATCTCTCACACATTTGGTCACTCATTCAGTTATTCACCTACTCACTAATCCCTCCACCCATTCATTCAATGATGTATGTATCCGTTTATCCCTTCATTCTGTAAGTCCTGACCAGATATGCTTCACACTCTGGGTTGTGAGGTGGAAGTTCTTCTTCCCCAGTAAGTGAGATATCAGAATGAAATCCAATTGAGGGTTTGGAAAAACAAGCTCATTCCAGGTATGAATGAGCATCCAAAGTGGCTGGGGAGGAGGCCTGACCTCCCGGTGGGATGCTGGGAAGGCAGCTTCTGAAGGACAGGCAGCACCATGGAGGCGGGAGAGAGTGGTCCAGCCCCCAAGCTGCGGTGCTGTCAGGAAGGAGACACCTCCCTAGAGCCAGGGAATTTGGGGATCAGAAATTCTGAGTACCTTTAGACCTCGGCACAGGGAGTGAGATAGGTGACTTCCTCCTTGTGGGGACTCAGGAAGCAAGAGAGAACATAAGTATGCTTCAGCCACCAGCCACAGAGTGATGGAGAACTATGATTACCTCCTGGCCCTGGTTGGCAGCCTCGGGGCCTTTGTTACTGGTTGGCTTCTTTCTCTCTCTTTTTTTTTGAGACAGAGTCTCGCTCTGTCACCAGGCTGGAGTGCAGTGGCACAATCTCAGTTCACTGCAACTGGTTGGCTTCTCTTAACCAGGGTTTAGTGTAGATATCTAGAATGGACAAAAAAAGGGTGGAGACTAGAAAAGGCTACGTCTGCATCCATTAAAATATCCAGATAAAACATCTAAGAATACAAGGTTAACACATCAACCAGATGTGCGCCTGCACAAAGCCCACCATCTGTAGGTTTGGAAACACTGTGTGGCCCACCAAAGCTTTCCCTCTTGCTCAGATGTTGGGTGTTGCAGAGACGCAGCCAGCGACAGAGAGTGACAGGGAAGAGAGGAGCAGAAGGGCGAGGGGAGGAGGAAGGAGGTGTTGCCAAATGATTAAAAAATTAAAGGGATTTTTATGCAGAGAAAATATTTAGCTTGGCATTGTCTTCTCAACCAAACGTTGGCTTCCAAGAGAAAACACTGGTGTTGGCAGCAAATGTTTGCAGAATGGAAACAATTGTCTCCTTCCCAGCAGCCATAGAAAATGCCTTTGTTTGGGCTGATGGTGCCTGGGCCAAAAACAGCATCTTCAGAGCTGCCCCCAATTTCTGAGAGGCTGCTGGAAGGGAGGGGAGTCATGTGGATCCATTGTCCCCATCCCACCTGCCAGTCTCACAGGTGATGCTGTGCAGAATGGCAGCATCCCTCTCTCCAGGGCTTGGGAGGTGGGGAGGCTGAGAGAAGGCAGGTGAGAGGCAGGAGGGAGGGAAACAGAGAAGGGTGATGAGAGAGGCAGGCAGTTGCAGCTGTGTGGAAGGTGCTTGAGCACAGATGGTGTGGTGGAAGAACTGATTGGGATCCTGCAACAATGGTATCCTCAGGGTGATAGTGACCTCCCAGCTACCTGTCCCCAAACCTTGCTCTGCTTCAAAAGCACCTGGAGGAGTCTTGATAATCATAATAGAGAAGAAGCATGGCTTTAACACATTGCCTTACCAAATTCTCATCGACAAACAAGATACCCTAGGAACCTCATTTTTACAGGAGAGAAACTGAGGCAGAGAGGGTGAGGCTTTGCTCCAAATCGCAGATGTTAGGAAACAAGATTAGAAACCAGAGGTCAAGGGCTTACCCACTAGGCAAACAAGACCCACTGCCTTGGAGGCTCTGGACTGGGGCCTGGGAACCTGTGTTGCTTAATGCAGCCGGTCCCTGACCCAGCACAGGGACGTCCTCATGGGTGCAGCGCTCTGGGGATTTCCCCCCATCCTCACTCCATGGGAGATTTTGTCATGGGGCTCCATGACTTTTTTTTTTCTTAAAAAGAGATGTTTGAAAACCACTAGGCTAGATCAAACCATCTGAAAGAGAAGGCAGAGAGGCTCCAGGAGGCCTCTGGGGAACGTGGCTCTGCCTCTGCCCAGAAGCCAGGGCTCTGCAGACCTCCCACTCCCCTCCCTGAGCCTGGCGAGCAGGTGCAGGGGAGAGCGGTGTCAGCACCAGTGCCCTGAATGCCCAGAATGCTGCCCCTGCCTCCTTTCCTGGACCCCCCTTCAGTCAATTTCCACCAGGAGAGCCGGCTGCCTGGGGTAGGCAGCGACAGGATGGGGTCGCTGTCTCAAGAAGGCCCCTCTGAAAATGGACCTGGAGTTATTGACACGTTTCTTTAGATTCTCCTCTTTGGTCACACATAGGCATCTTGTACCAGATCAATTGCGCTGACACGCTCTTGTTCTTTGTGTATTCTTTCATTTGTTCATTCATTCGTTTATTCAAGGCTGCCTGTGGGCCAGGCCCTGTAGCAGGCTTTGAGAAATTGAGATACTGGGGAAATCATTCCTGCCCTCCTGCTGGCCTGGTGGGGCATGACCAATCAAGGAAACCACAGTCAGAGGCAACTCAGCTTTCTGTCTCCAGTCCAGGGCTCTCTGCTGACTCCCAACTCGTCCCTTTAACTGCCCACTGGCCGTCCACCTGGACAGCAACCTAAGGCAGCCAGAACAGAGCTCTCGCTCTTCCCAGACCTGTGCCACCCAGCTCTGCCATCTCGGTGTATGACAACGCTATCTTCCAGGTTCTCCAGAAAAACCTTGGCATCATCCTTACTCTTCCCTCACACCCACCCCACATCTAATATGCCAGCAGCCCTGTCGGCTCTAGCTCTGAGTGCACCCAGAATCTGACCACTTCCCACTACCTCCACCACCCCAGCCCGGTCCAGGCTGCCATCGATTACCTCTGGGGTGGCACCTTAGCCTTCTTCCCAGCCCCTGTTGGTGCAGTAGCCGGAGAGATCCTGAGACATCAAATGAGGTCAGCCTTCTGCCCAAAACCCTACAGTGACTCCTGTTTCATTCAGAGCCAAAGCCAAAACCCTCACCAGGGCCCCTCAGACATGGCTTCCTCCTCCTCTCCCGGCGCCCCCACCCAGGCATACCTTGCTGTTCTTTGAACCCACCAGGCACTCCACACTCTGGCTGTTGCAGTGGTTGTTTCCTCCACCCCAAATGCTCTTCCCATGTTCTCATAGCTTACTGTCCCTTCCTCCAGGTCTTTACTCAATGTCAGCCTCCCTGTTTAACATGGCAGCCCCTCCTTACCCTGACCCCAATATTCGCCCTCCTACCTTTTCTCCATAATGCTTGTCCCCACCTTCCTACCACACTGGGCACACTGGGTATCTGGTTTATTGCCCATCTCCCTGGCCTCCCTCTGCCCCACCAAGAATGTAAGCTCCACGGGGGCAAGGACATCTGCTCCTTTTGTTCATGGAGGAGCTGTGTCTTCAGTGTCTAGGGCAGTGCCTGGCACGTAGTAGGGCCTCAGTACATATGTTCGAATGAATGGATGAATGAACAGGAGGAGCTGTTGGTCTGGCCAGGATGGTGACCAGGAAGGGCAGGGTGGGGGCAGTTCCATGATTTCTGAGCCAGTAGATCTTTAACAGAAAATCTCTGCCTCCCCATCATGGGCAGAAAGTATAGCAAGGGAGGTCAGGAAGGGGCATGGAGCTCTTATTATCCCACCTTCCCCTACATATAATTACTACAATGAGTTTGTGGTTCTCATTTTCTTTCTTCTTCCTCTCCCCCTTCCTCCCTCATTCCCCTCTTTCCTTCCTCCCTCCCTCCTTCCCCATCTTCATCCCTTCCTCCCTTTGTTTTGACATACAAACACATACATCCATGCCTAAACAATTATCTTTTAGCTGGGCTTCTTTTTGATCTTTATAAACAAGGCATCAAATACGGTGTAGTTTCCTGAGACTTGCTTTTTCAGTCTACATTATGTTACTAGAATTTATCCAAGTTATTGTGTGTCACTGCAGCTCATTCATTTTTCATTGCTCTATATTGTTCTATTGTGTGAATTTTACCAGTTTATTTAGCCATTCTCCCAGCATTGGACTTGTGGCTTGTTTCCAGGCTTCAGTGTTTTTATGTTTATTTTTATGAACACTGCTGCTGTAAGTCTTCATGTATGTGTCTCCTGGGGCACAGGTGCAAGGGTTTCTGTGCATATGTACCTAGGAGTGGAATTGCTAGGGCATAGTTTTTGACTTGTTCAACTTTACAAGACAAGGTCAAATTGGGTATCATCATAGTTGGGCCAATTTGTACATCTAGCTGCATTCCAAGTTGTGCCCATCCACATCCTCTTCCACATGTGGTGTCTTAGATTTCTGTATTCTTACCAATTCAATGGGCATAAGTGGGCACACATTGTGGTCTTTCCCCAAACTCTTCACAATTCTTTCCACCTTCACAGTCCTGACACTGGCCAGAGGGTGGAGCATCCAAGTTAGTTTTTCTAATATCTAAGCAAGAACTGCCAAGCTTAGCTTGGAATACTTGACCCAGAATGGGCCCAGGGTCCCACAACCCTAGAGCAGGCTGCCTAGAGAAGCCCTTTCCACCTCTGGCTCTACAGGGAGGCCTCTCTTTTTTCTCCTCCTCTTCTCCTCTCCTGGAGCCATAATAGTCATTCTCCCCAGGCCACTGTCACACCTTCCTCAACCCAAACCAATATTTTCATGAAAATGGGCCAAGGCCCATTCCAGAGAGAGGGAGAGAGAAAGGCACCTCACCCACAGGCCTTCTCAAAGGCTTCATTTGGGGAAAGATTACTTTTGTTCTGTTTTTTTCCGACATTTCTTCCCCCACTCTGCCAGGCCTTCTTCGGCCCCTTCAACCCTCATACTCACTTGCTCTTGACCCCTCCTGACCAGGGCTGCCATGGAGGGAGGGACACCAGGAGCCACATCCAGGCCAGGGGAGTGAGTGCCTCTGGCCTGCCCTGGGCCCCCACCTTTCCCTCTGGCTGCTGGTTGTGACGCTTTCCAAATGTTCTGGAGGAGCACAGCTGGCAGTGGTCGCCAAGTCTTTCCCCCACCCCAAGTCTCCCACTAGGCTGATGCTCCTCCTGGATGCTGCACAAAGCCCCCCAAATGCACGCACGCCCTGACTTCATTTGCTGCCACCACCCAAGGTGAGTCTTAAGCCCCACTCTGTCCTCTTTCTTCCCTCCAGGCCGCTTCTCTGCACCATCTTCAGCACACTCCCGCTCAGCTGGTCAGAACACAAAAGGCCTCCATCACTGTCTGCAGAGGTAGCTGGCTCCAGCCATGGGCACGGGTGCTTCTGCTGGGTTGGCACCAAAGTCTCATTAGTCAGGCTGCCAGACATCTCCAAGTTCATTTCCTATTTCCACCTTTGGCTTCTCTCCCTGTCCCCACCTCCCTGTCAAATCAAGGGTGCTTTCTCCAAAGTTCTCTTGATCAAGAGGAAATAAGAGTACTTGAACTTGGGGCTCCACATTCCCTATTCAGATTCAGGGCTCCTCTCTTTGTCCAGGCATTTAAATTCCAACTTAATGGTTCTCTTGAACTCCCACAAATGCCAAGAATTGGTGCCTAGCAGATGCCCAATAAATTTGTTGAACAAATGAATGAACACTATGTTTTTTCCCCCTTTCCTGGGAATGCGTTCCCTAAGGAGTTTCTCCTAAGCTGCTCCATATGTTATGTCCACTCCTCACCCCTTTCTCTCGGATCAACCAGCCTCAAATCCTCCAGCTGTCTCCCATGGTTGCTTGCTCATGTTTTCTTACTCTCCTTTGTCAAAATGTCCTCTCCCAGCTCCTCCTGAGTTGCCCTGGGACCATAGACTCCAGATCATATTCCGTCTACCCAGCTCAGCCCTCGGGGAGGCAGGATTGATCAGTGGTTGAGCCAGGCTTTTTGTCAGGCAGTCGGGTGGGTAAGTAAGGACCAGCACGTGTGACTCGATGCATTTGCATCTCCCTTCCCTGACATGCCTTCCTCCTGCTCCATCACTCCGCCTCTAAGCCAAGCGTAATTGCTCAATCTAATTTAATAGACGTGCAGAAAGGCTGCAAGTGGAGTGAACTCGGCTCAGCCTCCCCAGGGGCAGGTGTGATGGGCATGTTTTGAGCCTCCTACTCACTGTGTAGGCCCCCAGGAATCAGGAGGGGGGCAGGGGAAGAGGGACTGTAGCAGTGGCCCCTGCAGGGGTTAGAACTGCCTCAATGGAGTCTCAGCCCACTTTGGCCAAGGGACAGGTGTGGACTGGTCAAGAGGAATTCTGCATCTGGCTTTTAAAATAGGTTGTCTTTAAAAAATATCATGGCCTTACATTTTTATTGCGCTTTATCATTCCCATTCAGCATCTGACAAGCTCTCACTGAACAGCTGGGGATGTGAGGATGGCCAGGACATGTCCCTGTCCTCACAGAGTTCCAAATGGGGCAGGGGAATGAGGTAACTTACAAGGAAGGGGAAACCATCTGGCTAGGGGCAGGAGCAAGGAGCTGTAGGATCACAGGGGAACAAACACCTAATGCTGCTTGGGTGGATCATGGCAGGTTCCAGGGCAGGCGCCACACCTCAAGTGGGTCCTCATACCTCAGAAGGAATTTGTTCAGCAAGCAAGTGATGGGAGGGCATTCCCAGGAGAGAAAACAGCCTTGCAAAGGTGCAGCAGCAAGGAAGAGCAGGGTGCGTTTGCAGAATTTGACATTGTGCAGTATGACCGGCCTGTAGTGCAGGAGGGGCCAGGAGGTGGCGAGGCTGACAATGAGATTAGGGAGGGAAATAAGAAGGCTCAGGTCACACAGGGGCCTCGAAGGGCCTCCAAACTGCCTGGGGAAGTGGGGGCTGAGGTATCTTTATTCCCCTTTTACAGATGGCAAAACAGAGGCTCAGAAATATTAAACAACTCTGTCTGGGTGGCTCAACCAATACTTAACTCACATCACTCCCAAACAGGCCTTGTTTGATTTCTTTAAAGATTTGTTAAATATGATCAATTTATTTACTTACTTTGGCCAGATATCTTGGCTCCCTTGGCTGGACCCCATGGCCCTAGAGAGCAGGATCCCTAGCCCCTGCCTTTTTCATCCAGCAGTAGAGGTGGCTGTCCAGACCCTCAAGAATCCTTCCCTGACTGGAAACAGAGAGCCTCCAGGCCCCAGAGAGCTTTAGCTGGCTTTGGTGGCCAGCGGGGCACTTGTCTAATCTCCAAAGAAAGGCAGAGGAAAATGGATTACGGAGCAAAGCCCTCTCTGCAGCGTGAGATCAACAGTTGCCCACGGCCCAGGGGAGGAGAAGCCACTGCCGGGAAAAGGCTTAACAGCATCAGGGACTCTAAGACCCCAATCTCCCTTCCCTTGTCCTCACCCTCCAGAATCCTTTGAAAGCAGGTAGAATTGAAGGAGGCCACAGATTATGGCCCAAAATGTTCAGAGAATTGAATGAGGGATTAGCTACTTAATGGCCATTGACTTTAATGATCCCAGGCTCAGAATCACTGAGCTTTCTGAAGCCGGGAGCACATGCTGTCTCCTTGCACACACCATGTATACATGGATACGCATACTATGGATGAGCACACTGTGTGCGGAGGGTGTATGTGGACAGATCTGTGTAGAAATGGTGCATGCTATAGACACATCTTGTGTCTGTGTGCTTACAGGAACGTGTGTGTGTGTGTGTGTGTGCATGTAAATGCCCATCTGTGCAGCTAAGTGTAAGTGCCAGGTGCCCTTTGGTGCACTCTCCTGTTCATTTGTATTTGTCTTTGCTAAGTTTACATTCATGCACATTGCTCTGTGTACTGCATGCTTGTGCTTGTCCACACAGGCCTATGTGCCTCAGTGCACTATATGCCTCTGCCTATGCATGTGTAGTCTATGTGCTTGGCACACATGCTTGTCTGCGTGCAGGCTTCACTGTATGTAGAATGTGCAGTCTGTGTTCCTATGACATTAACTTCCATCTTTTGAGTCCTTGAATGTATCAAGCTCTTTTCTTCCGCAAGGCCTCTGCACGTGCATGCGTTCCCCATGCCTCAAACCCTCTCTCCCCTGCTATCTACCTCCTCATCCAACTGTATTCCTCATCCAAGTGCGTATTCCCTGCTACTTTTCTCATAGTGTCCTGTTATTTTTCTTCATGCACTTATTTCCATTTGTTAGTCTATCTTTTGTGTATGTGTTGTCTATTCTTTCTCTCCCCACCTCCCCCCACCCCACAGACAGTAAGCTCCATGACTTAGGGACCACATCTCTTTGTAATGCTGCTGTCTTCTGTGCCTTGCACAGTGTCTGCTATATAGTCAGTTTTCCACTAGTATTTATTACTTTCTGCATGTGTGTGCCTGTGTGTGGGTTTAGCACTTACCTCGGAGTTAGCCAAACTTGTCTGTCTGGATGCCCATGCCTATCTCTTTATCTGTGTGCACATGTCTGTGTGTAGGTGTGTGTGTAGTAAGAACCTGTATATGTATGTGCATGTGTGCGACTGCATGTATTAAAAATGACAGGACTTTTATTTCTTCAGCTCATCCCTGCCTCAGCTGGGGTGTCTTAGGTCCTGGATGGAATCCAAGAAAGAAAAGCTGGGGAATTTCTAGAACAGCCTGGAAACAGGACCCTGTCCCGAAGGCGAACAGAGCAAATTCCCCAAAGGGCAGCACCTGCGCACCAGCCACGAAGTGGGGACAGTGGCAGCTGTGGGCACCCCTGACTGTGGAAATCATCCTGGGGGTGACTGCAGGGCCAAGCATACTCCAGTTGTGGGCCCTTGAGAAGGGACGGGGCATGTGAGAAATGAGCTGATGTCCCCACTTGTGTCGGGCACTGTTATTTGCTCATAACTACGCATTCATTCAGCAAACGTCATAAGGACCTCCTCCAGGCCATGTCCTGAGCTGGGCTCTGGGATGGGGCCTCAGCAAGGCAGTCACATGAGCCACAACAAGGACTTCACTTATCGTGACACCAGCAGCCAGGCTGCCTGCAGCTGACTTATCTGGCTGCCCTCGCAGCTGGACTCTGAGCTCTATAAGGGCAGAGACCAGGGGCCCGTCTTGTTCACCATTGTGTCCTCAGTGCCTGGAGGTGCTTGCTGAATATCAGTTAAATGAGAATAAATGAATGAATAAATGAATGACTGCCCAATCTCTCCCCCATATGAACAGAGAAAGAACAACTCCATTTGCCTACTGCCTTAAAACTCGCTGAGAGCTTTGCCATCCCCTCTCCCATGTGTCATCTCACCCTCACAAACATGAGGCCCCTGTAAGTCTCTTTACCTACAAAAGTGCAGAGAGTGTAAAAATAAAACAAAACTAGGAAAAGGAGTGGCTAATAGAACAACAGGCTGCAGAAATAGAATGCTCTAAAAGCAAACACGGTCAAAGGCAATATAAGGACTAAATAAAGTCTGCTAATAAGACATACTTGGGGGAAAACAGCTAACCTGGTTTAAAGAACTGTTAATAGCCCAGCCTGAATACCAGCGAAATCCTTCTGGCTGAAATGACTGCAGACCCCCAACCCTCTGCCCAGCCAGCATCCAATCTAAGGGAGGTGGAACCACATCAGGGAGGCTGCCCGGGGCATTCTGCTGCCTGGAGCTGCAGCTCCTTCCCTGCAAAATGCAGATCAGAAGACCCACACCCCCTGCACACACGTGCTTTTTATGAAGATGAAATGACAGGAGCCTGGCAGGTATCAGGTGATCAGTCCATGCTGGCTTCTTCCCTTGCAAACAGATTTTCTACTGCAAAATGGTTTGTGATGTGTGTTCTTTGGCTTGGGGTTTAACAGACCCAAATTAATAATATTAGCTACTGCTTATTGATTCATTGAGTACGTGTGTGCCAGATGCTGGGCTGAGCACTTTACACGTCTCCTTGATCAATCCGCAGAACAAATCTATTATTAGTCCCATTTAACAGATGAGGAAACTGAGGCTCAGAGGGGTTAAATAGACTCAGCTCCAGGTCACACAAGCTGATGAATAAAAGAAGCCAGGTTTGAGGACCGATTCCAGAGCCTGAGTTTCTAACGTGTGCTTTACAGCAAAATTACTTAGCAATGCCACTTTTTTCTGAGTCTCAAGATCCCATTCTGTGAAACAAAAGAGTTAGATTAGACCAGGCATTTTCAGAAGTTTTTCAGTGGCTCAACCCTTTTATTGAAACAGAAGCCCAATGTGTGAAATAAATAAAAAGGGAGCCGCTCTGATTAACACATGATCCTCTCTCCCACCCGTTTACTGCCCCCAAGGCAGCCCCTGAGGCACCCCTGGGAACAGACTTTGAATAACTCCAGAAACGATTATCTCTAAGGGCTTTGCCAGCTCTAACGTCCTGGGATTCTACTCAATTAACACTTGTGGATGTGCTGGAGGGTGGAGAGATTATGGAGAGTAACTCTAGAAGATGGAGGAGAGGCGGTGTAACTACCGTCATCCCCTGTCCCCACTTATAAAGGTGGAAATCAACGAAAACCACAAAGATAATAAGAAAAAGCTACCCTGAAGAACACTGCATGGGGCCCTGGGCAAAGGCACTCCAAGCTGGGGCGCAAACTGGACAAGCTGGGGGATGGAAGCCCAGCTCCCCATCCCCTGTGTAAGGGGCTCACCAGCCTCTCTCAGGCATGACTGGGAGCCCAGGCCTGGTTAGAGAACCTTTGTTTGGAGTCCTGATTTATGCAGCTTCTCACTGCAAACTATGCATTAAGTTGCCAGCGAAGATTCAAAATTGTAAAATAATTGTGGTGGTGAAATTATTCACAAATCCATCCAGGCCCAGTGCGTCGGGAAGGCAGTCAGATTTACATTGAGCACATGGTGACATAACTCAGGCTAAAGAGATAAGCTTGTTACGCTCCTGACAGAAGCAATTCCCCAGGGACTGCTGGGTAATGCCAGGCCAATTACACACCCAGCCCAAGGAAGGGAAGGCATGTCCCCACTGATGGTGACATGCAGTGACAAGGGGGGTAGGTCATGCCTGAGGGGAAGCATCTTTGTGATACCTGAGCAAGCGCACGGAGGCAGGGGCTGGGGCATCCTTCTTCTTAGGCAAGGAGGCCACGTGGACAGTCATGGGAGCATCTTGCAGTTGGGTGTAGCTCTGAAGTCAGGCAGTGAATCAGCTGGCTGGTGTACTAACCAAACTACGCTGCGCTCATGGAGGAGGCAACCGCATCCTTTAAATGATAAAATGGATTCTTTCTTCCCTTTTGGGTGGCTGCATTCATTTTGGCAGGACCAGGTGCCAGGTGTTAGGTGGACAAGCATCAGGTGTGCCAGGATGGTTTTGTCAATATCTCTCCTCTGAGTCTTTACTTGAATACTTTTTTTCTTTCTGGCCAGTTTAAGTTGCTTTATATGGCACTTTACCAAGGAGGCAGGTGTTTTTTATATTCAACACAACAGTGTTTTCACTCTTATTAAATAAAGCTGGCCATGATAATAGCTAACAATATTTGAATGCTGCTAAGAGTTTTATAAACGTGATTTCAACTTGAGCCTCTAGAGCAGTGGTTCAAACTTCAGCCCAAATCAGAATCACCTGGAGGGTTTTCTAAGTCACAGATCGCTGCATCCCAGCTCCAGAGTTTCTGATGCAGAACGTAGGGTCTGAGAATGGGCATTTCTAACCAGTTCCCCAGTAATCATGAGGCTTCTGGTCTGGGGATCACTCTTGGAGAGCACTGGTCTAAAGAAAAGTAGGTACCAAGAAGCTTCAAAGGCAGCTGCATGCTCATTCTGCAGCCTGATTGCCTGAGTTCAGATCCTGGATTCCCCTACTTTCTGGCTATGTGACCCTGGACAAGTCGCTTAACCTCTCTGTGTCTCAGTTTCTCCAAACGGGCATAATAATAGTAACTAGCTCATAAGGCTCTTACCAGGATCAAATAAACTAACACACTGCACAGCTCTTAGAAGAGTGCTTGGCACATGGCAGACACTTGGTAAACATGAGCTAGCATGATTTTAATAGCCCATGTTCACACTAGTACTAAGCGGAAGCTACATCCAGCTCCTGCAGCCCTAAGCCGACCCATGCAACTGACCCATGGTGCCTCCATAACACCTCCTCTCTGGTCTCAGAGCTCTAACCATGACATTGTCTCGTGAGCTGGGGCTGGTGACCCTATAGGATTGTCAGCAAGGGCAGCAACCTTCAGAGGCAGCATGGGGAGAGGCAGGGGCACTGGTCTTGGAGTCAGGAGCTCCAGGCCACAGTTCGGGTGCTGCTTCTGCTCCCTGTGGGATCCGGTGTTCCCCTCTGAGACTGAGTTCTCTTACCTGGGAACAACAGGGCCTACCCCACCTACCTGCCAGACGGTCAGGACAGGAAGAGATGCTGTGTGTTAAAATGCCCCATAAACTGTGAAGGGTCTCTATGAGTTAGCTCTATTATTGAGAGTGGTGAGAATGGACAGGGAGTAGTCTCAGCACGTTTATTGTGCCTGTCTGAGCAGGGCCAAAATGAGAGGGGAAGGTGTGAGACCACAGGGAACAAGAATTAAGTTTCAAGAACTGCCTGTGCCACCCTGGTGCCTGGTGCCCACACTGCTTCTGAGGGCAATAGCCTTCCCCAGCTCTCCCTGCCTGGGAGGCCACTTTGTGTGCTGTGTGGCTCTCTTGGACACCGCTGATCCTCGAGTAGCCAATACTTACAGCCTCTGACCTATGACCTGGGGTCAAAACATGAGCTAGGCCAATCAGACTCCTCTCTCAGGAGCTGAACAAGGAATGCTGAAAGACCAAGTCTGCTGGCAGCATTGCTGGAGGTGAAAGGATGCCACAAGGCAGAGAACCACGGCACGTCAAAGCCACATACAAGCTGAGGCTTGAAAAGCAGAGATGGTTCCGAGCCGCGCTTCTCAGACTTGAATGTGCATCTGAATCACCCTGCGATCTCATTAAAATAAATAGGTCTGAGGTGGAACCCAGTTGCTGCTGCAGCTTCTGCTGCTGGTCCAGGGACCGCACTTTGAGTTGTAAGATACAGAGTAGGGTGTGAAGAAGCTGGCTGGTAAAGGGAGGAGGACAGCGCAGAAGCTCAGAGAAAAGAGGACCCAGACCATGCCAAGCACAGGAAAAAGCTAACTCCAGCAGCTCTGGGGCCCTGAAATGCTTCCGGGTCCAGGCCACATGCATGGCTGGGATAAACTCTGGTCTTTCCTAAGGAAACCTGGGTTGGTCTTTGCTGCAAGTAGAGGAATTAGACCAAGACAGCAGCCTCCTCCTGCCCTCTTTGTCAGGGTAATGATGCTTCCAACGTAGTTGCTCAATTGCCCCCTCCACCTGCCCCAAGACATACATACTCTTTCAATTGTTGCACCTGTGATCCCTGGTGGGCCTCACACAGGGTCAGGAACACAGAGACAAGCAAGTCACAAAGTCTGCCCTTTGCAAAGCTCATAGGCCTGCTTCTCCCTTCTTGCAGTCTCTCTCCCAGGCTCCACAACCATCATCCAGAGGAGGATGAAGCTGGTGCCTGGGGCCCAAAATGATCAGGAAGGATCTGTGGGGAGTAGGTTCTTGGAGCCTGTGGACTGACAGGGAGTAAGGCCAGAAACCAGAGATGGTGCCTTATGCCTGGATGGGACATGTGGCTCCAGATGCCTATTTTATTAGAAGATCCAGAAAAAAAACATCATTATCTTCATGTACAAATAGGGGGTAAGACAAAATTAGAGAGTGGCAAAATTAGGGGGTGGAATAAAAAATACATGTACATTTTTAAGATTAAAAGGTGGGGTTTCAAAATCAAAAATCCTGCCTGACTTTGAGCTCCGCTTTCTTCTAGGAGGTGTCCTTTAACCAAAAGTTTGACTAGCACTTTCTTGCTGAGCAGGCTGGAGTTGAAAGAGCAGCAGGGGTCTCAGGCAGCTGCCCCTGGCCTCCTCTGGCTCTGGGTTAATGATTCCCACATCAGGTCTGAGTTCCCAGGCCCCACTGGGTCATCAGGCCCTGCACCACCACTGAATTGAGGCCAGAATCTCCAGTAGTTAAACTTTTCTCATCCTCTTACTTGCTCACTCTGTCTCAAGCCTACCATCTTGATTTCATCTATAACTGAAGGTATTGATCAACTATCAAGTTCTAAGGTGCCAATGATGCAAAGATACATCGACCTGGTCCCCCTGCTTCAGAGATATTCTTACCTAATGCAGGAGACAGACATCTAGACAGCAAATTACATCCTTACTAGAGGAGTAATCGGATTGTGGTAGAGGCATGAGGAGGGTGTGATGAATTGTGTTGGAGAAGTTAGAGAGGCTCCAGAGAGGAGATGCCACTGGCTCTTGGGTTAAAGGGTGAACTGAAGTTTCCTAAGATGAGGAAGATGTAAAGGGCATTCTAGGTAGGGAAGCAGCTGATAGCTGGAGCACATATGTTCCTGGGAACACTGGGGCTTCCACATTGTTATTCCTTCCATTTATTTCATCGATATGTATTAAATGCCTGCTTCACAGCCCCTGGAGGGACTGGGTGTGAGGGGTACAGTGGTACGCCTGACACCTTCAGTCCTTGCACTTGGGGAGCTTATGTTCTAGGCAGGTGACTTTCTCACCCCAGTAATGGAGCCAGGTCATAAAGGAGTCTGAATACCATGCTAAGGAACTATAGCTTGGACTCAAACATCGATGCAACTCAAACTTTTCTGTTAAACAAACCCTACTAGAAGACAGCATTTTGCAAAGCCAGGCAGTTTCTCTGAAATCCTGTGTTTTAATCTTAAAAATGCATACATATGTTGTATTCTACTCCCTAATATTGCCATGTTTGTTTGCACGTGAAGATAACATTTTTTTTTCTGACTCTTCTAATACAATAGGCATCTGGGATCCATGTAACATGTTTGCCTGGGGCTTCGAATCCCCCTCGTTGTATCCGAGCACATCTGTGGGTGGCTCAGTTGTAGGTGCCAGAGCAAAGACCCAGATTGCTGGAGGATCTGGCCAGGCTGTGTCCCTCCCCAGGATGCTTTGCTCAGCCTTGGCTCCTTGAAAGGGTGGTGCCAGACTATGCACGAGGGTGCTCCGTCTCTTCTGTACGGTGACGAGGCCATCAACCCCACCTGGATTGTGGCTCCTGTTCATGAAGAGATTTTACTTCAAGTGCTTTTCATTCAGAATTGGAAGCTTTAATATGTTTTACAGGAAGCCCTTTTATGTGCCAATAAAAAACGACCGATTATAGCAGACGACGAAAAGCAGCTAGCGCCTCGGAGACACTGTATGTTTAGAAAGAGCAGATACACTTCCCACGAGAATGACACGATCAGATCCCTTCTCGTTCATTATGGAATCAGGCAGAGAAGACCTGTCGTTAGAGAAATGCAGAGCTTTTCACAATCGCTGCACACACATGTGTGTGTGTGTGTGTGTGTGTGTGTGTGTGTGTGTGAAAGAGAGAGAGGGGGAGGAAGAGAGAGAGAGACATGAATAACGCTCTCTGGCTCCACTAGTTTAATACCTTCCTTTCTTCTTTGTTGAAGAAGGGATGGACGAGAGCCAGAGGCAGTAAGCCATGACCACTAAAGGCAATTAATTCGGCATTTTAATGACTATTTATTCTCCACAGATACCAAAAACCCTCTCCATTTCTAGAATCAGCAAAAGCCAGAGTCGGAGAGGCTTGAGAGACCATCCCCTCCTCCACCCAGTGAGCACAAATGGAAGTCTCATGTTCTGAAGGAGACAGCCTGAAGTCCTTTCACTTTCCCTGGGAGAGTGTTATGGGGGCGATTCCCCTTCCCCCATCCTGAGATCAGGAGGTGAGGAGAAGAGGGAACATCCTGGGGTTGGCTTGTGAATCCAGGGACAGTGCACATGGAGCCATGGTCCTCAGGTCCTAATGCCTGGCCTGGGAGCTGGGGCTTTGCATCTTTTCTGTGCATGGTGAGATGCTAAGCAGCCTCCCTGGCCTCACTCACTGGATGCCAGTAGTGGGTGGAGCCCTTTGCAACCCTCAGCTGTGACAACCAAACCTGTCTCCAGGTACTGCCAAGTGTCCCCTGGGGGGCAAAGTCACCCCCATTTTAGAGCCACTGGCTTCTCCAGTTCCTAGAAAGGAACTGCAGGGTTGGAGGAGGCGCCCTGTCCTGTCCAAGAAAGTGTGCACCCCTCCTCCTGTGGCACAGGTGGCCTGGCTTGATGGCTAAGTGAAAAGCCAGGTGGACGTGAGACTCCTGGGGTCTAAAGGCTAAAGTGTTAGCTCTCACTTTGAACTCCAGTGCCGGCACAGGTTCAAGCCCAGAGGAGGCATCACATAAAAGGAAGCAGAAAAGTGTGGACTTCCTGGGCTCCAATCTTGGCTGTGCCACACACTACTGTACGACCTTAGGCCAGTGGCTCTCAAAAGGGGTTGACTTTGCCCCCCAGGGACAATTGGAAATACCTGGAGACATTTTTGGTTGTCAAAACAGAGGGTTGCAAAGAGCTCCACTCACTACTGGCATCCAGCGAATGGAGGCCCGGGATGCTGCTTAGCCTTCTGCCATGCACAGAACAGTCCCCCTTCACAAAGAATTATCAGACCAAAATGTCAATAGGGATGAGGCTGAGAAACCCTGCTCTAAGAAAATTACTGAACATTGACTTCACTCCAGCCTGGGCAACCGAGTCAGATGCCATCTCAAAAAACAGAGTAAACGGCTCTCCCTCCCCCTCCGCCTCCCTCTCCCTCTCCCTCCTCTCCCCACGGTCTCCCTCTCCCTCTCTTTCCACGGTCTCCCTCTCATGCCGAGCAGAAGCTGGACTGCACTGCTGCCATCTCGGCTCACTGCAACCTCCCTGCCTGATTCTCCTGCCTCAGCTTGCCGAGTGCCTGCGATTGCAGGCGCGCGCCGCCACGCCTGACTGGTTTTCGTATTTTTTTGGTGGAGACGGGGTTTCGCTGTGTTGGCCGGGCTGGTCTCCAGCTCCTAACCGCGAGTGATCTGCCAGCCTCGGCCTCCCGAGGTGCCGGGATTGCAGACGGAGTCTCGTTCACTCAGTGCTCAATGGTGCCCCCGCTGGAGTGCAGTGGCGTGATCTCGGCTCGCTACAACCTCCACCTCCCAGCCGCCTGCCTTGGCCTCCCAAAGAGCCGAGATTGCAGCCTCTGCCCGGCCGCCACCCCGTCTGGGAAGTGAGGAGCGTCTCTGCCTGGCCGCCCATCGTCTGGGATGTGAGGAGCCCCTCTGCCTGGCTGCCCAGTCTGGAAAGTGAGGAGCGTCTCTGCCCGGCCGCCATCCCATCTAGGAAGTGAGGAGCGCCTCTTCCCCGCCGCCATCCCATCTAGGAGGTGAGGAGCGTCTCTGCCCGGCCGCCCATCATCTGAGATGTGGGGAGCACCTCTGCCCCGCCGCCCCATCTGGGATGTGAGGAGCGCCTCTGCCCTGCCGCGACCCCGTCTGGGAGGTGAGGAGCGTCTCTGCCCGGCCGCCCCGTCTGAGACGTGAGGAGACCCTCTTCCTGGCAACCGCCTCGTCTGAGAAGTGAGGAGCCCCTCTGCCCCGAAGCCGCCCCGTCTGAGAAGTGAGGAGCCCCTCCGTCCGGCAGCCACCCTGTCTGGGAAGTGAGGAGCGTCTCCGCCCGGCAGCCACCCCGTCCGGGAGGGAGGTGGGGGTCAGCCCCCGCCAGGCCAGCCGCCCCGTCCGGGAGGGAGGTGGGGGGGTCAGCCCCCTGCCCGACCAGCCACCCCGTCCGGGAGGTGAGGGGCGCCTCTGCCCGGCCACCCATACTGGGAAGTGAGGAGCCTCTCTGCCCGGCCAGCTGCCCCGTCCGGGAGGGAGGTGGGGGGGGTGGGGGTCGGCCAGCCGCCCCGTCCGGGAGGGAGGTGGGGGGGTCAGCCCCCTGCCCGGCCAGCCGCCCCGTCCGGGAGGGAGGTGGGGGGGGTCAGCCCCCCGCCCGGCCAGCTGCCCCGTCCGGGAGGTGAGGGGCTCCTCTGCCCGGCCGCCCCTACTGGGAAGTGAGGAGCCCCTCTGCCTGGCCAGCCGCCCCCCGTCTGGGAGGGAGTTGGGGGGGTCGGCCAGCCACCCCGTCCGGGAGGGAGGTGGGGGGGTCAGCCCCCCGCCCGGCCAGCCGCCCCGTCTGGGAGGTGAGGGGCACCTCTGCCCGGCTGCCCCTACTGGGAAGTGAGGAGCCCCTCTGCCCGGCCAGCCGCCCTGTCCGGGAGGGAGGTGGGGGGGTCAGTCCCCCGCCCGGCCAGCTGCCCCGTCCGGGAGGTGAGGGGCGCCTCTGCCTGGCCACCCCTACTGGGAAGTGAGGAGCCCCTCTGCCCGGCCAGCCGCCCCGTCCGGGAGGGAGGTGGGGGGGTCAGTCCCCCGCCCGGCCAGCTGCCCCGTCCGGGAGGTGAGGGGCGCCTCTGCCTGGCCACCCCTACTGGGAAGTGAGGAGCCCCTCTGCCCGGCCAGCCACCCCGTCCAGGAGGGAGGTGGGGGGGGTCAGCCCCCGGCCTGGCCAGCCGCCCCGTCCGGGAGGTGAGGGGCGCCTCTGCCCGGCCGCCCCTACTGGGAAGTGAGGAGCCCCTCTGCCCGGCCACGACCCCGTCTGGGAGGTGTACCCAACAGCTCATTGAGAACGGGCCATGATGACAATGGCGGTTGTGTGGAATAGAAAGGCGGGAAAGGTGGGGAAAAGATTGAGAAATCGGATGGTTGCCGTGTCTGTGTAGAGAGAAGTAGACATGGGAGACTTTTCATTTTGTTCTGTACTAAGAAAAATTCTTCTGCCTTGGGATCCTGTTGATCGGTGACCTTACCCCCAACCCTGTGCTCTCTGAAACAGGTGCTGTGTCCACTCAGGGTTGAATGGATTAAGGGCGGTGCAAGATGTGCTTTGTTAAACAGATGCTTGAAGGCAGCATGCTCCTTAAGAGTCATCACCACTCCCTAATCTCAAGTACACAGGGACACAAACACTGCGGAAGGCCGCAGGGTCCTCTGCCTAGGAAAACCAGAGACCTTTGTTCACTTGTTTATCTGCTGACCTTCCCTCCACTATTGTCCTATGACCCTGCCAAATCCCCCTCTGCGAGAAACACCCAAGAATGATCAATAAAAAAAAAAAAAAAAAAAAAAAACCAGAGTAAACGAATAAGCAAAACTTTACGGCATGTTGAAAGCTACAGAATTGCTATAGAGAAGAAACTCAGGATCGGAATTTGAGAGAGTGACCCATAGGAGAATTACCATAAAATTGTCTGCATAACAACCACACTGCTTTTACGTTGCCTCTTACAGATCAATAAAAATAGCAAAGTTTTCTATTAAAAAAAAAAGAAAATTACTGAACATTTCTGTGCCTCAGTTTCCTCATCTATAAAATAGACATGGTACTAATAGAACCCACCTCCAGGGGCTGTTGTGAAGATTAAATTGATTCTTGCATACCGAGTATCTAGAACAGTGCCTGCCACAGAATAAACCCTGCAAATGTGCAGTCTCAATGCTATGATTATCATCTGAGACAGAAGAAGCCAGTGCTCGGAAGGAGTTCAGCAGAGTGTGTGGGAGACTGGAGGTCCCGTGCCAGAAATGGTGAAAGGGGCCAAAGCCTGGGTAGAATTCTGTGTGCCCGAATGGACAGTACAGAGCCCGGCAGGCCAGATGAAGAGGAGATGGAGGGCAAAGGGGACCTGAGCAACTTCCCCAAGCCCTGGCTGGTATCTGAGTGTTCTGTCAATGCAGCGCCAACAGCCAGGGAGTAGGTGAGTAGTAACCTCAGTCCATTGCGTCATGACTTATGCTCCAAGCTCACGGGAGGCTTCCTTCCCCACCTGCCCCATGGCTACCCTCACTCTCCACATAATGAAGCTGCTGCGGGCACAGGAGAATGGTCTTTGGTCCCTAAAACTGGGCAGTGAATGGGAACTGGAAGCAGCCCAAGCTCTGAGTTCCGGATGGCATAAAAGTTCTGCTGAGTCCTGTACTGGTTTGAATTGTGTCTCCAGAAGATATGTCTACCCAGAAAGAACCTCAGAATGTGACTTTATTTGGAATAAGAGTCTTTGCAGATGTAATTAAGGTAATGATCTCGAGATGAGATCATCAGCCTAAATTGGGGGGCAGGGGACAAACCTAACAATGGGTGTTCTTATAAGAGGCAGAAAAGGGGAAGACAGAGACACAAAGAGGGGGAGGGAAAGTGGGGATGGAAGCAGGATTAGAGCAATGCAGCTACAAGCCAAGGAGCCCCAAGGACTGCCGGAAGCAGCCAGGGGCCAGGAGAGAGGAGGGGAACAGACTCTCCCTCAGCACCTCCAGAAGGAGCATACCCTGCTGACACCTTGACCTTGGAGTTCTGCTCTCTGGAACTGGGAAAAAATACATTTCTGTTGCTGAAACCACCAGGATTGTGGTCATTTGTTAGAGCAGCCCCAGGAACCTAACATAGTCCCCATAACAGAGAGACCTCAAGGCTGAAAGGCACCATCGGATGAGGAAGCTGGGCAGGAAGCTCAGAGCTTGGCTCTGGTCCATGGTCACCTTTGAGGGTCTGGGGCAAAGCTTTCAGCGTCTTGTCCTCAGATAACTCCCCAGTAACAGGGACCTTTTCTTCCCCAAATCCCAGAACTCTCCACACTTGGCAAGATCTATGTCTCCGGACCAGTTAACAAGGCCACTGGCCGGTTAGGTTAAGGCAGCGTCAACAACCAACTGTGTGGGAAGCAAAGAAGAAAAGAGAGAAAAAAACCAAGTACAACCGAAGCTTTATTCATTGTCCGGGCTATTTAGCAGGAGGAGTTGAAAAGAAAGTAGTTAGCTGTTAGAGGAAAAAATGGAAAACTCTGGTCCCTCATTAATCTCGCTGCCCTCCATGTCAAACGCCCATTGTCAGGGTGGGCACAAAGGCTGCCACAGTTTGCGGCAGAGAAGCTAAGGGCCAGGCGAATGGGAATGCACAGGCCCGGGCGAGAACGGTTCCATATTGAAAGTGTTTTCTCCGCAGCCAGAGGTGCCCATTTCCAGTCTTTTTCAATTTGTACACTTTTTCTCCAATGACTCCTCGAGGGTAATTACAGTTCTTTTCACAAATGAAGTATGGAAGATACGAAAGAGAGGCGAAGCTGTCAATAGTTCTGCAGGAATGTGCGGGGCTGTCTCCGGGAGACACAGAAGGCATCGATCCTCCCTCCTGCAGAACTCAGAGCATGAATGGAAGGCGCCCTGGGGGAGGCTGGGGGGACATCGCCTTAGCCTCCCAGGGGCCCTGGTGCCTGAGGAGAGAAGGTTCTGAGCCCCAGGCAGGGCTCAGAATAGAAGAGGGTGGGTTTCCTCTGCCTCCAGCCAAGTGTTTGAAGACCAACGGTATTGTATTTTTTTTGTATTTTCGTTCCTTGGATGAATGATCCGAGGGCCCCAGCCACAGGCAGCGAGCAACCACTCTCTGCAGTGTGAGAAGCTCTGGGTGGCCAGGAGCTGGCATTTCTGCCAGTGACTTCAGGATGGTCAAAAGGCATCTACTTACCGACAGGTACACGGTGCCCAGCCGCAGGAGACTGTGGAGTTGTTGGAATCAAACAGACATCCTCAGGCTGGACCAAGTGGCTGAGAATGCAGGATAAAATGTCATAAATACATATGTGCAATTTGCCCTTGGGTCCCAAACCCACCTTTGGGCCATCAGCTGCCCTGCTGCATAGCTCTAGAATTGTGAGTTAACAGTGAGCTCAGTATCAGCTGACACATGGGAAAACATTCTTCAGGCCAGGCACCACACTCAGGGCTTATAGCAATGTCCCACTGGATCCTCACAACAGCCCTAAGAGGTTCATACTATTGTTATCCCTAGTTTGTAAACAAATACACAAATGCTGAGAGTAATGAAGCGACTTTTCCAAGGTCCACACTGAAAGTGGAGGGATGGAAGCAGGATCGCTGGCTGCAAGGCCCTGTTCTTAACTGCTGCCCAAGCTGCCAAACAGGCTATTCTAATGTGGCTGCTTCAGCAGAACACTTATCCCAAACGAAGTGACCATCTGTTCTGTGGCTCAGGCCACAGCACAGTGGGATGGGATGCTCAGGCCTCAGTGCCATGCTTCCAGAAGGACATGAAGGGTAAAGGAACCAGCATATGCAACATCTCCCTCTGCCTGTCCTTCCAGACCCTCACCCCCACCACGCCTGGCCTAGACCTCCTGCAGACCTCTTCTCTCTGGACTCTCCTCCGGGGGTTCAGTCCATAGGCTCCTTTCCAGCACTCAGCATTGCTTCCTTCCCCATTCTTCGAGTTGCCACTGCCATCACATTGACCCCATTCTTGCAACACCCTCAACCACCTTGTCTCCTTTTTCCATTTCACCCAGAAAAATGTGAAGTCTGGTTTAATCCAACTGTTTTTTTTCTTTTTCTTTTTCTTTTTTTTTTTTTTTGCCTAGGCACTTGGGTTTCTGAGGGGAGTAGGACTGGACAATATAATATTGCAGGTGGGTCATGGTCTTCATTGTGGGTTGGGCCTGCAGCCCTTCCAGCGATGACCTTCCACACATCAACTTGGTCTGAAGTCCCCCTACTGGCCTTTTCAGGCCTCGACCCTTCTTGGCAAGCCTCTTCCCTCCGCTACCACACGACTTACTCTGAGCGTAGGATCTCACCTCTGCTGGAGAGAAAAAGGCCAATTTGTGGGGAGTAGGAGGCACTCTATCAACTCATTGCCTCAAAATTTTTCTAAACAGCTTTTTACATACCATAATTTACATACCGTAAAATTTACTCATTTGAAGTGTACAATTCAATGATTTTTAGTGTATTGACAGAGTTGCACAACCATCACCACATTTAATCTCTGAACGTTTCCACCACCTAAAAAAAAATATATTATGCCCATGTGTGGTCACTCTGCAACTGCACCCCCAGCCCTGGTCAGCCACTAATCTGCTTTCTGTCTCTATAGGTTTACCTTTCCTGGACATTTCAGATCAGTGGAATCATGCAGTATGTAGTCCTTGGCGTCTGACTTCTTTAGTTCAGCCTAATGTTTTTGCAATTCATCCATGTTGTAGTATGTATCAGTAGTGGACTCCTTTTTAATGGGGCATAGTATTCCATTGTATGGATAGAACACATTTTGATTATCTATTCACCAGCTGATGGACCTGTGGGTAGTTTCCACTTTTTGGCTGTTATGAATAATATTGCTGTGAGCATTAATGTACAAGTCTTTATGTGGACATATGTTTTTATGTGGACATATGGGTAGATACCTAGCATATTACCTCAATCTTAGAGGTTAATCTCTCTCCTCCCCTCTTTTCTCCCCAGTGTCAATAACTAAGATATGTCTCCTCAAATTAGAGGAGAATTCTTCATCTGGGCTCTGAATTCTCTCTTTTCCTGTTGCCCTGGAGGTCTTGTTCCATCAGTCATTCCTTCTCTCTCATACCAGCATATTCCTCCATAAAAATGAGGCTAATATTAAGACATACCTCAACGTGTTTTTGTGAGGATTAAATGAGTAATACATGTTAGGTGCAGAGTCTAAGATGGCCCCATGATCCCTGCCTCCGTCTGTTCAGGCCCTTTGAGTGTGGGTGAGACACATGTCTTGCTTCTAACTAAATGAATATGTCAAAAGTAATGGGATGCCCCTCCCATTATTATGATACATTATGTAAGACTCCATCTCAGCAGACTAGAGGTAGAGCCTCTCCATGCTGGCTTGATGAAGGAAATGACCCTGTTGGAGAAGTGCACATGGCAAGGAACTGTGGCATCCTCCAGGGACTGCTCATGGCCTGTGCAACTGCAAGCAGCTTCTGGGAACTGTAGGTAGCCTCTAGGGCCCAAGGGAATCCCTGGCCAACAGCCCTCAAGAAGCCAGTGTCCTCAGTGCTACAACCAAAAGGACATGAGTTCTTCCAACAATCTGAGTGAGCTTAGAAGAGGATTCTTCACCCTTCGAGCCTCCAGATGAGAATGCAGTCCAGCTAATGCCTTGATTGTACTATGGAGATCCAATATCTCCAATGTACCCTGTAAGGCCATAAGCAGAGTGCCTGACAAGCCATGTTAGAACCCACAGAAACTTTGAGACAACAAATGTGTGTTGTTTTATGCTGCTAAATTTGTGGTAACTTAGTACACAGCAATGGAAAATAAATGCACACATAAAGGACTTAGAAGAGAAGCTGGCACTGCCAGTAGTCTATGACTATTGGTTGGTTTTAATGATGGTAGCACATCAGCCCATTCCCTTGGATTATAACCAAGCAAAGCTCATCTAAAAAAAAAAAATTGACAGAAACAAGCAAACCTTCTTCACTTTTCACCTCTGACAAATTTCTTCTGAGTGTTTTCTGTATTTATTTCTTGCCCTTCCATTCACTCCCATTTTGCTGCAATTTACTTCCTCTCTCTCCTTCAGTCCTTTGATGCTCCTGAAGGTCACCAATCATCTCCTAGTTACTAAATCTGATGGATGTTTTGGGTCCCTCCTGTATTTGACTTCTCTGTGGCCTTTGGTGTCGGTGACTGAAGAGCTTTAGAGCTTTGTCCAAAGGAGATATCCACTGAATCTAAGCCTTTCAGGAAGACCCAAGAGTGATCAGACCCTGCTAGGCTGACTCCTGGTAGCATTCATTCATTCATTCATCCATTCACACCTTTGCACATTTTCTGGATACTGCAGATGCAGCATTAAAGCACTCAATAGTATAGGCACAGTCCCTGTTCTCAAGGGAGATCACACATTAGGCATAGGGAGAGATTAAAATAAGTCAACAATTAAGCAATAAGATTTCAGAGAGTGGTAAGTATGATGATGACAGTAAGACAGAGTGAAGTGACAGACAATGCAACATAGAGGAGCTACCTTAGACTGAGTGGTTGGAATAGGCTTTTCTAGAGGGGAGGCATTCAAGCTGAGGTGTGAATGAAAATAAGAAACCAGCCACGGGAAGATCTGGGGGAACAGCATCCTAGACTGGGATACAGTAAATACAAGGGCTGTCAAGTGGGAAAAATTCATGGGGTGTCCAAAGAATAGAAAGGTCAGTGTGGCTGCAGTAGAATTGAGCAAGCAAGAAAAGGGTAGAAGATGAGATCAGAGACATCAGCCGGGCCAGATCACTCAGGGCCCTGTCAACTGCAGAGGGGAGTTTGGGTTTTATTCCAAGGGTAGCAGTGAAACATTATAGGTTTAAAGCAGGAAAGTCATTGATCTGATCTTTGTTTTACAAAGATCACGTTGGTAGCTTCATGAAGAATAGATTATTTTGCAGGGGCAAAAGCAGAGACTAGGTGGATGGCAATTGCGTGGTGCAAGGGAGAAATCAGGGTGGCTTTGACTAGGGATTTAGGTCGGGTTTCCCAGGACACAGACTCTGGAATTCAGTGATTTGCATGCAGGTAATTTAATGGAGAGTGTACTCAAGAATAACACCTGGGGGGTAGGAGTTAGGTCGGGGGGAAAAAAGCATTGCACGGAAAGAAAAATTAAACTGGCATGAAGTTGCAACAGAGCTGTCAACCACCCCAAGGGAAGCTCCAGAGCTGGAAGAGTCCCTCAGAGCTGTCCTGAACATAGGCAAGAGGGCCAGGCTTTCAGAGCTCAGAATCAACCAGCCACTGTGTATAGAGTGTAGACCTAGGGAGGGGGCACAGCCTCAGGCAAGGGGGTTCTCTTCAGCTGAGGGGAATTCCTGGAGAAGGATGCAGCAGCTGAAGATGGAGTGTCTGGGCACATCACAGCATCCCCTGTAGGGGGTAGCTGTAGAAACCCAGAGAATTGAGCAGCCAGAATAGAATCCCTAGGTAGAACTCATGGAACTCAGAACTGGCCTGGTTGTGGAAGAGGAGAACATGAGAAGAATCCAAGACAACTAAGGGCGTCTGGCTGGATGGTGGTGACATTTCTTGAGATGAAGTAGCTCAGGTGGGGAAAAACAGGTTTTTGTGAGGAAATTAAGAGCTTGGTTTTGACCATGTGCTCTCTAAGAGGCCAATAGACAGCCACAGGGCTCTGTCAACTCTGCAGTGTACCAGGTGAGTCTGGGGCTCAGTAGAAGGTCAAGGTTAATACACAGTTTGGGGACCTCTCGGTCCTCCAACTAAAGATGAGATGTCTACAAAAGACACTGAAGAGAGGCCATGAAGCAGGAGGGAATCAAGGAGAGACAGTGACCCAGAAGCTAAGAGAGGGACTGTTAATCAGGAAGAGGGAGGAGTCATCAGATTGAGTGCCAATGAGAAGCAACCATTGGATTTGGCAAGATGGAGATTGAGGGAAATCCTGATATGAGCAGTTTGCGGGGAGCAGTGGGAACAGAAACCTGAGTAGAGAAGATCAAGGGGAGAAGCCGAGGTGGAGAGGTGATTGTAGTGACTGTAGACAGTTACTTAATTTAAAATGTCTTGTTGCGCATAGCAGGGAAGTCAGACGATATCTGCAGGAAGATGTCTAGTCAATGGAGACGGGTTATTCCAGAGCATGTGCATCCACAGATGAGGATGTTCTAGCAGAGGGGAAGAGGGAATGGAAGGAGGAAAGTCCTTGAGAAAACTAGCTAGAGTGGAGTCCAGGGCATGTATAAAGGGTTTGGACCTGATAGGCACTCATCCATGTAACCAGATACCAGTAAGTTAGTAGACTTGGTTGGGAAAAGATGAGGAAGTTTCATCATGCCAATGAAACATGAGGTCAGGTGAGAAGAAAAAGGGGCATATGGGGGATTTGAGGAGCAATTTCTTAGTCTTCCGTGGGGAAGGCCAGGCCCAAGACCTGCATCTTAGGAACACATCTACATGGGTTTCAGGAGGCTGCTTGGTGAACACTCAGAACAAAGGAGGCTGGCTGAACAAAGGGACTAGAGCTGCCTCATCCTGCCACTTCCATTCACCTTGCCCTTGAGATGGTCTGGCCATCGGTACCTGAAACCCCAAAGATGTATGGCTAGCGCCCTCTGTATCTGTCATGGGGACAGAATTTTCTGAAGCTCTGCCTTGCAGGCCAAGGTTTTCTCACTTCTGGATAGCCCTGGGAGGGGCACTGACCATCTTTTATCTAGGGACTCTCACTTCCTTCTACTGTGACCAACTCCCCTTTGACCAATACATTCTTATATTTCCTAGACATACAAAATAGGCTACAGTCCAGTAGTCCTAGCCCCAAAGCTATTTTTCATCTTTAGATGACCTAGCATCTCTCTGCTCTGATCCACTGATTCAAATGGACTCTCAGAAGCTTATTGATTTCCCTTGTTTCCAGGTTCTCCAGTGCCGCTCTCATAAAGAATGAGCTGCGGTTTCTATTTTCCAGTGTTCTCCTTTCTTTCAGTGTCCCTCTTTTCTTACTTTCCTCCTGCCTTTCAGACCTTGCCTTCTTAAATCCTCTGAGGTCTTCCCTCCCCTTAGGCATTGAGCGTTGTAGGTGCCACCTCCAAGTCTCTTTTCTTCTGAACTCCACACACTCTTCCCTGGATTCCCTTGGCTGCCACTCATGCATTGGCAACCTGATGAATTCCAAATAATTATTGCCCATGTAGAACCCTGTCCTGAGCTACAGACTGGTAGATCCAACACCTCCATTTAATCTCCATCACAAGTCTAGGGTCACCATCATGGTGAAACACTTCCTGACCACTCTGCTGCCTTCGGCATTCTATTCCCTGTACAGATTTCAATCTTGGCATCTTATAACATTAATTTTTATTAGACTTTATTTTTTTAGAGCAATTTTAGGTTGACTGCTAAACTGAGCAGAAAGTTAAGATAATTTCCGCGTACCCTTGGCTCCCACATACACACACAGCCTTCCTCATTACCAACATCTCCCACCAGGGAACTACATTTGTTGTAATCTATGAATTGATGACACATCATTATCACCCAAACTCCATTAGATTTACATTAGGAATTGCTCTTGGTTATTCTATGGGTTTTGACAAATTTATATTGATGTGTACCCACCATTAGAGTGTCATACAGAGTAGTTTCACTGCCCTAAAAATCCTCTGTGCTCTGCCTATTCATCCCTCCTTTCCTCCTAATTCCTGGCAACCACTAATCTTTTTACTACATTGCCTTTTCCAGAGCATCATATAGTTGGAATCATGCAGGGTGTATCGTTTTCAGATTGGCTTCTTTCACTTAGTAATATACATTTAAGTTTCCTCCATGTCTTTTGTGCTCGATAGCTCATTTCCTTTTAGTGCTGAATAATATTCCATGATATGGATGTGCCGTAGTTTTTTTATCCATTGGTTTACTGAAGGATATTTGTAATACTAATTTTCACACTTATCAGGAGGAAGGTGGCTGTCTTCATAACCCCAGCACCTAGTAGAGTGCCTGGTACACTGTTGATTCTCAATAAAGCCTTCTTAAATGAATAAATGAACAAACGAACAAGTGAATAAATAGCATGCCACTGATATTTGCAACTCCATATGTTTTAAAGCTAAATATAATCTCTCCTTCTAATCCCTCCCTCCCGTCATCTCCCAAATGGTACAGATACTCTTCTTAGATTTTCTGTCTCATAGAATTTAGCCTAGGATAAAAATCTGAAGATACCTGGTTCTCCTTTCTCCTTCACCTCCTACATCCAGCTACTCCCCAGTTTCTGTTGATTTTACCCTCGAATGTCTTCCAGTTGTCCCTTGTTCGCCATACCCTTTACCATCACTGATGTCCAGGTCTTAGTCATTTCTCACCTGGATTATTTCAACAGCCCACCGCCCCGCCCCCCGCCTGCCACCCGGCTTATTCTCTCTCCTGCCAGGGCACTCTTCACACTGGCCACCTGACTAGACTTCCTAAAGTATTCCCTCTCCTACTTAAAATTTGGCAATAAGCCCTCTTGCTTTTGGGATTGCAATGGAATGCCTAATGAAGATATTTTAAAGTTACTCATGATCCAGCCCCTGAGACAGCACATGTAAAGCTCTCAGCACAGTGTCTGAAACATGAAAAGTACAATAAGTGTTCATATTAATACCATTGTTACTATATAGCCTGGAGATGAGAAGAGTTTGTGAGGACATAAGAATTATCATCAAGTGTCTGGTGATCGGGCATATGAAATTTGCATCAGATCCTTCTGCCTTGTCCCAAGAGACATAATTGGACCAATGGATGGAGGCTGCGGAGGGGCAAGTTTTATTTAATTGAGAGGAGACATGTCTAACAGATGGAGGCATCTGAGAACCAGAAGGGAGTGCACGCCCCCTTTGATGAAGGAGTGCAATCAGAAGCCAAGATATTCTTGAATTCTGGTTGAGTCATTCACTGAATTCCCAAAGCCCACATAGTTTTTTAAGAGGGTTCAAGCATCTGCAGTCAGGGCAGGGGTGTGGACCACGTGAACCTAATGGGCACTTCCCAACCCACAGGCTCTTGCAATGGTGGTAAGAGCCCTGCCCAGTGCCAGCTCTAAAGGCCCCACTGCTCCCATCCTGTCAGATGGGAACCCTGCGTCTTACCTCCTTCCCATTCCCTTTATTCCCACAGCCATCACTCCCTCTCTGCAGCCTGTGCTCTTTTGTTAGCCTATGGACATCCTTGGAGCCTGTCTCCTCCTCCCAGTCCAATCCATCCTCCACCACACTTACAAAATGAGCTTCTTAAGTCAATAGCTGAGACCCTTTCATTCTTCTCTTCAAAAACTTTTGAGACCCCCAGTCTCCACCCCATTGCTTCCATCATAAACTCCAAATACCTAAGTTGGTAGTTCCTGGCTACATGAACTCTGGGGTCAGATAAAGTCAAGTTTGAATCCTGACTCTGCCACTGATGGACTGACCTTGGGCAAATCACTTGTCCCTTTGAAATTCAGTTTCCTCATTTGCATATTGAGGATGATCATGCTGACCTCAAAATATAGCCATGGGGATAAAGGGAGAGTTGTGAAGTCTCTAGCAGGTGCTGAAAGCATTGTGGCCTCAGGGCACCATGTCCCAGTGCACACTCCCAGCATCATCTCCCACCCACCTGCCATACTGCAGCCCACTGTCTGTCTCCCAGTACAGCACACACATCATGTCACTGAACATCTGTCAAGGCCATCCCTGTAGGCTGGATTACTCCTCACCAGATTTGGCACATTTTAAAACCCTGCTCATCCTTCTAGGGGGAGCTCCAAACTCACTCCTTCCGTGAGCCTTTTTCCTGTAGATCTCCATCAGAACCAATTGTCCCAACACATTCACTCCCACAGCATTTTGGCTGAATCTGCATCAGAGCACCTCCACTACCTAGTTTGTCCTATGTCTGGTTCTCTTTAGATCATAAGCTCCTTGAGGACAGGAACCTTGCCTGGTCCATCAGCCCAGTGTATGCAAGGTATCCTTGAACTGGAAGGTAAATACATGGGCCTAAGAAAATGTTAAAATAGCTTGGAAATGAAGGATCCTCAATAAATGTTAGTTATATAAGTAGATGGATGGGAAAGAAGTACAGTCAGTGAAACCCGGGGTCTCCCCGCAGCAGCGCTGTCTGCTTTCACTGAAGCCCTGGGGCTGATGGCCTCTGGGGAAGGATAGCTGTAAAGGGAGGTTGTAGCTCCATCTCCAATCTTCCATCTCCAGAACTTCCCCAAGGAGCTCTCTGCTCTGAATCTTCAACCCCAAATGTCCTTCTCATTGAACAATCCAGAGACAAGAAGGAGAGGCCTCCAGTTGACCTCCTCTGGTCAGGCACCTCCTGTCCTATAGGCAAAGGCTCTGCTTGGCTGCCTCAGCCTCTCTGTGGAGCAACCCAGCCTGCTGGGCCCAGATCTCAGAGAAAGAGGCAGCCTGAGTAGCTACTTAGCCTGGGTCTGGGATTCCCTGTTGGCTTCTGGGAAGGTGGAGGGCAAAAACGCAGACCACCAAGGGGGCCTATGAAAGGAGAGGGCAAGGAGGACAGCCAGACTGTCTAGCTCAGCTGAGCCCAAAACCTCCCAGCCCAGACTGGGTACCTAGGCTAGAAGCCACATCCACCCAAGAGGATTGTGTCCAGTGCTCAGAGCCTGGATTGGCTCAAATAGTCAAGAAATCCAGTGTTGACCAGACTACTGAGAAGTGCAGAGTCCGTGGACTAGCTCCGCACACAGACACACACACACTCTCACACACATGCACGCACACCAAGGATGAGCTTAGTTCCTCTCTCTCTGTCCCACTCTCTGGGATGAGTGTTGCAACCCACAGTTCAGGTGCCCATTCCTGGCAAACTCCAGGCCTCCTGGAACCCCCATAGTCTAGGCTAAAGGAGGAGGGATGCAGGCTACTGTTTATTCACAACTGGCCAAGGTGGGTGGGAATCTGAAGCTCTTACTGCCACCACTCCCACTTTCATTTTAATGAAATGAAACCACCCCACAGCCTCCACCCTGAAACCTTCCTAAGGTAAGAGTGAAATCGATTTTCCTTTTTAACTCGAAAGCAAGATAAACACATGGCACCCTTAGGGGCGGAGGGGAAGCACTTTAAATAGCACATCTCTGGGAGCAGGCTGCTGCATGCAGAGTTTGTCACAGACGAAGGCTGAATGCAAATCACAGAGGCAGCAGCTGGGCCCCACCAGCCCCCAGGGAACAGGTGAGAGGCAGCACCTTTGCCCCATGTACCCTCCGCCTCCCATAGAGCCTGCAAGAGCATCCACAGGCTGATCCCTGTTCCCACAGACTCTGACCTGGAAACTGTCTATCGGGCCATCATCACCTATGCTCACTGCCCTGCAGTGATGGAGAGCTTATTACCCCTCAAGGCAGCCCATGCAGCTCTCCTACTGGAAACTTCTCCCCTTATTGACCCAGCACAGGCATTCCCAGCAACTTACCCCATTGATGGATTCTGTCCTGCACCCTGTATCCCTCCCCAACTCATTAGCTCCTCATGCTCCGGCATGACTCTGCAGGGATGGGAAAGCCAAGATCTTGCCCTCCCCCCACCACAGTCTTCTTTTCTTCTGTCTGACCCCCAGGACCCTCAGCCATTCCTCAGGGGATCCTGTCTCTGCATAGAGAGGCTCTCTGCACCCCTTATTCATCTTAGTCGGTGTTGGGGAAAAGTCTCCAGACAGGATGAAGAGGAGGAGGAGGAAATGGTTTGGGGCAGGGTAACTGACATTGACTGAGCACTTGCTCTATGCCAGATCGTGTATTCGGGATTTGTTTACATTATCTCATTTAATCCTCACAACAGCTCTGTGATTTAGGGACTATGATTCCCAGTTTACAGGTGAGGAAACAGCGTCATAGGCATTTCAACAACCTGTCCCGGATCTCTAAAGCAGTGAGTTGCTTTTAATCACTAACCGTATTTTCCCAAGGAATCATCCTTTTCACTTTTCTGATTGATCATTTTGGATTGTTGTAGCCTCTGCATAAAAGGGAGCCCACCTCATATTTGGGGTACAGCAAGAGGCAGAAAGAGGCAAGGTAAGGGAGCCGGACTTCCCGTGACCAAAGCCAGCCAGACAGCATCACAGACTTTACAGGAGAGGGTGGAGGAGGATGCCTCCTGCTAGGCCACACAAATCAGTGTGATGCAGGGCTTGTGTGAGCACATCGGCTTTGATGGCAGACAGCTGGGTTCAAGTCTTGGGTCTGTCCCTTATTAACTGTGCAAAGTTAGGCAGGGGTCCCCTATACTCCTGCTCCAATCTCAAAGTCTAGGATGTGATGGTGGCTGTGGTCCCTGGGGGCATGTCAGGGACCCTTCACGAGAGGGGTGACACCACAGATGTGGGAAAGTGTGCCCAATTTCCATATCACAGGGGCAACTCTTTTCTCCGAAAATGTGCTGGGGACAGAGCGGGTGGCCAAGGGCCAAGGAAGTGCCTGACGCATCAGGAAGTCAGCCAGTCCCTGTGCAAATACTGCCTGAGCTCTGACAGCATGCCTGACCCTATATCTGTGTGGAGGACACAGAGCAGGTCTCAACATTGCCCCTACCCCATAGGCATCCAAACCCTGGCTGGGGAGGCAGACTGGCCCGCACAGGTAAACAGTGGCTATGGGAGCTGAGACATGGAGGCCTACCTCAGCCAGGGGAGTCCAGGAGAGCCTCCCAAAAAACACGACACTGAAGTTTGAGAGGGAATGAAAGTCATGCAGGGGGAGGCCAAGGAAAGGTAGGAAGAAGGTGTGACAATGTGACAGGCCTGAGAACAAACACAGCAGAGCCAGGAGGTCTGTGCTTCCCAACTGGTGTGGCTGGGAGGCTGGCTGTGTGCGGGAAGGGCCCATCAGTCACAGGGCAGAGGCCAAGACAGCAGCAGGAGACGGTGGCTCTCAACAGGGATGCTGAGCCCAGGGCACCAAGGACCCAGGTGGGGAAACCAGGACACAGATTTGGTGGAATTGGCTAACGGGGTGGTGAGGAGGATGAGGTGAGTACTGGGTAGGGTGGGTGGTTTCAAGGTGCCTGTGGGACATATTGGAGGACAGTTCTGTCAGAAGATGGATTATAGGAGTGGCCCTCGGCAGAGAGGTCTCAGGTGCATCATCACAGCGTGCCTACTGGGCTGTCATTCCTAACTCTGCACGCCCTCCCTGGGGTAGAATTTTATATCCTTGTTATGCATCCTCGACTCGCACGATGTGCCTATTGCAAAATCTTCCTCTGGAGTAGGTGGAGTTTATATCCCTGCTCTCCTCCCCTTTGTTGACCTTTGGGCGGGCCCATGTAACTTGCTGTAATGAGTGGCAAATGGATGGAAGTAACAGCATTGCAGTTCTGAAAGAAGCCTCCAGGAGGCATTGCCTGCTTCCACTCTCTTCTGTTGAGGGTCCGCCCTCCCCATGAGCCCAGACTGCCCTGGGGCTTGCAGTGAACATAAATGGAGTGCACTGAAGCCTCACCTGGAGCCTGAAGGCCAGCCTAGTCCAACTGAGGCCAATCAAGACCAGCCAAGTCACAGCCAATCTACAGACTCTTGAATATGAAATAAATATTTGTGGTTGTAGAAGGTTTAGGTTTTGGGATGGTTGTTATGGAGCGTTATTGCAACAGAAACCTGACTAATACACTGGGCATAGAGGACACCCCCCAGGGAGAACAGATAGAATGTGGTGGGGAGAGAGCCTTGCATGCTCAGGACAGCAGCATTAGGAGAAAGGAGAAGGAACCCAGGCTGGGAGACCAAAGTGTAACCTGTGAGGTGGGAGGAAAACCAAGGGAGGTACAAGGCCTGAAAACACGGAAGGAAGCATTATCAACCCAGCCTGGGGTGATGTGAGAGGGCTGCTGGGGCTGGACCCTCAACACTGGCCAGGGCTTCTCAGGCTGTGGACCCTTGAGGAGGTGGAGTTTGGGTTGGAAGGAGACAGAATGGTGGGGACATGTTTGAGGTTGGGCTCTGCTTAGCAGGGCAGGGCAAATGGAGAAATAATGGGTCCAAAGGAGCTTCATTCCATAAATCTTGATCAGAAGCTCAAGAGATGCAGAATAGGACCGAGAAAAGGGAGACAGCAGAACCAGAGGTCACTTCCTGCAGTGGGCAAATGGCCCAGGCCCTGCCCGGAGGTGTCAGGGCCCACCAGGGAGTCTGCCATGCCTTGTGAGGACACCTCAGAAAGAAACCCCGGGAGAGTCCATAGGATGGCTGCAGAATGGAGGGGGTGGGGCCACCCATCCTCTTCCACAGCCCATCTCGAGGCTGCTGCCTGGAGTCTGAGGCTGCCAGAGCCTACCTGGAGTGACTTGGTCCCTCATGGGCTAAGCCTGAGACCCCGGCCCTAGCAGCCGTAATGGCTGCGGCACCGGCACCAGAGCTTCCCTCTGGGCACAGTCCCACACCCAACCACCCGGGGAGCCAGGAAGCACAGAGGCCTATTTTGCATTTAAAAGTCCCATTTGTACATGCAACAGAATATTATGCAGCTATTTAACACGAAGCTGTCAATCTGTATTTATTGACATGGAAAAATGTCCGCAACATATTGTCGGGAGAAAAAATCATTTACACAACAGCATGTGGAGTCTCCTCCTGTTCACTTAAAACCATGTACATATGTGTTTACATTCAGACAGGGATGTCTGGAGAGTGTTCACCACAATAGAACCAGGTTTGTTTCTGGGGGGTAGGGTTTGGGGTTGATTTCTTATTTTCTTTTTGGTTTATTTCTGTGACTGAATTTTTATAATAATAAACCTATATTATACTTAAAAAAAACACAACACTTTTCCAAAAAAAACTCCACTATGCTATTTAGTCAATGTTTTAATAAAGGACATGGGCTGAAGGAGTGTCTTGTTGCCCCCTCTGTGCCTCTCTCTTCCATCCTGCCTCTCTTCCCTAATCCTCCCTCTGATCTCCTCCAAAGACACATGCAGGGGCCTGCCCTGGGGCCAAGGCTTTGGAGTCAGGTGACTCAGGTTGCAATGTCAGCTCTGTAGAAAATGGGCATGAGAATTTCCCATGAGGTTGTTTAAGAACTAAGTAAGATAAATTAGGTGGAGGCCCTGAACTGTCCTCCACCCCCTCCACACTTGGTGTTGAGTGTATCTCCTGGTTGGTGGCAAGCACACCACAGGAATGCAAAGGCCAGAGGTGCAGAAGCCTGGGGAATACAGCCTGTCCCTGGTAGGCAGGAACACTGCCTGGAAGCACCTGTGTCACTCACAACCTCCATAAATGTAAGTTAATGTGCATTTTTAACTAATGCGTTTCTCCAGGGGCTGGCAAACTAAATCCCATAGCCACGTTCAGCCCACAACCTGTTTTCCTGTGGCTGTGGGGCTAAGAATGGTCCTTATGTTTTTAAAGGGTCAAAACAAACCAGAAAAAAAAAAAGAGTATGTGGCAGAGACTATATGTGGCCCTCGAAGTCTAAAATATCGGACTTCAAGTCTAATATTGCATATGTGCTTGCATATACACAAACACACATGGCATTTTGCAGAAAATATTTGCGGACTCCTCTATCCAGTAGTGGCTTAGGAGCAGAGTGCAGGAGCACCTCCATAATACTCTGACGGTGGCAGAGTGACAGCTCATAAGAAGGGGAAACGTCACAAGGAAGAAGCACAGAACTGTCTTTCTGCACCATATAGCGGGTGCGAACGCTCATGTTTCCAAGGCAGGAAGAGAAGCATTATCTTCGAGATCCTCTGGTGAGGGAGGCAGGGATGTGAGTAAGATATCTGGGATGATTTCCATCCCAGAGAGTAAGATGGAGTTTTGGGGTTGAAGGGAAGAGCTTCAATTATGCAGAAAATGTATCCTGTGAGTTGGGTACTGTTATCATCTCTGCTTTGGGAAGTGCACACTTAGAGAGAGAAAGTTAGGTCAAGGTCATACCACTGTGAGCGGAGAGCAGAGATTTGAGCCCAGGCAGCATAACCCTAGGTTCTGTGTCCTAAACTTTGCCTACGCGGTTGTTCTTGGGTAGGTGAGGGTCGGTTAGATGTGGGTCTCCAGGTTCTTCTTGGAACATCAATGACTCATCTAAGTGGACCCCTGGGGGCCACTGGTGCCACCCACCCAATTGGTCAGGTCTGACTGTGAGGCCCAGCTTCTGCAGAGAGGTCAGAGGCCCTTTGTGGAAAGAGGGAAGGGAACACCCACATTCTGGTCACTGGCTAGATGGGCCATGCTGGATGCCCCACATACTACATCATCTCCTTCCATCTTCACAAACACCCGCAGTATCGGGACACTGACCCCATTTTGCAGGAGGAAAATTGAGGCCCCAGGAACTAACACAAAGTCATGCAGACTGTAAATGGCAGGTTCTGGAGTTGAAACTAGCTCTCTCTAATTCCGAAGCCCTTGCCTTTCCTGCTCCACAATGCTGCCTCTTTTGCGGGGTGGGTGGGGGCATCTCCTCCTTGTCTGTCTCTGGGGGCACCTCCTTCTGCACAAGCAGGTATATCAGCAAGTGAGCCGCCTGCTCAGCTCCCACCAACTCTGTCCCACAGAACCTGAGCCAGTCAAGTGTAGCAGGATTGGGTCTGCTGAGGCAGACTAATGAAGCAATTTAAAAACAATCGTTTGGAACACACAGACATCTGGGTAATAATAGACTACAAGACAACTGACCAGCGAATTTTCTCAGGGCCACTAATGGAGCAAGATCTACCTCAGCACATGCAGATGGCAAGAAACTCATTGGCAGTCCCACAGGTATCTTTGTGAGGTTTGGAGATATATCCACTTCACAGGATCAGCCCATCCACTCCTCTGGCATGGCCTGGCTGGGCACTGCACGTGTGTGTCTGAGGAATGCTCCTAAGCAGACACACACAGAAACACAGGTACATTTACAGCTTGACATGATCATGCATATACACAGCTGTGCATACATTTGCATATATGTGGAAGGCCATCAATGCCCACATATACTCTCATGCACATTTGCAAGCACACATGGGCATACACAAACATATATGCATGCACTTCTTGGTAGAATACAATATTGACCCCAATTCACCACCTCTGCCTATATTTCCACTGAGGGGGCAGAATACATTTCCCTGCCCCTTGACTTTGTGCTTGGTCATGTGACTTGCTTTAGCCAATAGAATAAGGCAGATGTGATGGAGTGGCAGTTCCAAGGCTAGGCCTTAAGAGACCTCTTGCCTTTATGTCAATACTATGAAAAGAACATGCCTGGGCTAGCCCTTGGTCCCAGCAGGAAGATGAGACACGTGAAGCAGAGATGCTCCAGCAAAGCCCAGCCTAGATCAGCCCAGCCCAGCCAATGCACAGATGTGTGGCAATGACAAATGGAGTGGTCTGTTATACAGCAAGAGTTAACCAATACACACCCAGAGAGACACATGCACACAGAGACATGTAGAGAGGAATCCTTCATTACCCAGGAGGGACAGGTTCCAGGATCCCCCCAGGTACCAAAATCTGATGATGCTTAAGTCCCTTATATAGAATGGGGTAGTGTTTTTGTATAACCTAGATTACTTACAATACTTAATCCAGTGTAAATAGTTGTTATACTGGATTGTTTTTAAAATTTGTATTATTTTTTATTGTTGCATTGTTATTTTTTAAAAAATATTTTTGATCCTTGGCTGAATTCAAGAATGTGGAACCCACAGATACGGAGCACCTATTGTACATGCATCCAAACAGCCCCCATACACATACATGCATATACCTGCATGTGCACACGCACTCTCCTGCACACACACATTTCCAAACACAAACACCAGGTTACCCACGTGGAAAAGGGCTTATAGGAGACAACAGTGAGAATTAAGCCCTTTCTTATCCCGCCTTCATTTCCAGGAGACTCTCTCTTGCTGCCAGCAGAGAGGTGAATGTGAGATATTTGCCCCAAAATTCTTTAATAGACTTCACGTCCTGCAGCCTCTGGCCCCAGAGTGGCAGGGTTTTCTGGAGCCTCCTCTGAGCAGCTCTGACAGAGGGCTCCAGGGCTGATTCAGATCACAGCTCCTTCAGAAAGGAGGAACAGGCTGTCACCTTGTGACTTGGAAGCAAGAACAAAAGGAACTGCAGAAGTGGCATGGGTGGGGCAGGGTGGAGCTTCTCCAGCCGTGGGGGCATCTGAAGGGCACGGGCTCTGGGTCCTCTCCCTCCACACCCTGGACAATTCATCCAGGTGAGCAGGTATCCGAGACTCAGTGAGGCTTGCCCCACAGAAGCGCCCACGGCCATGTCTGTCCCTGGACTGAGCTGGGCCTTCCTCACAGAAAACCTGCCTCTGCCTCCCTGTGAAGTGGCGTGACATGGGCTCTGGGCAGATGTCACATGTGTCTTGGACATTGGTGGCTAGATATGAACATGGGCTCAGTAAAGGGGTATAGCTCACGGGGTTGGAGGTGGGAGTGAGGGTGGTGCCCAGGCTCTTAAACCAAACGACCTGGACTCCAATCGTATCTCCACCATTCCTAGCTTCTCTGTGGCTCAGTTTACACATCTACAAAATGGAAACTGCAAGAGTGCCTACTCTACAGGAGTTTTGTGAGGATGAAATGAGATCACTGCTATGACAGGCCCTAACTCAGTGCCTGGCATAGAAGCCACAATGAATGGTAAGTGCTATTCCTACCACTTTAGACGACTAGCTCCTAAGGGCTAAAGCTGTAGTAGCTAGCTTTGTTCAATTTTGTGCCCCAGGGCTTGACACATAGTATGCATTCAATACAAATAATAAATGAATAAACTAATGAATGAGGATAGAGAGGGCAGAATGAGTAAGAATGAAGGTCTCCAAGGTCTTTAGGGGCATGGATCAGGGTTAGATTACAAGACAGGTGGGGGCTGCTAGATGTCACGAGTGGCGATGGTGTGTAAAGCCCCTTCCATGGACATGGCTCCTGTGGCTTCCCAAGCATGTTCACATCTGCTGTTGGTTAAATCCTCACTACTGTCCACATTTCAGAGATGGTTTAACTAAGGGTGGCAGAGGATGAGTTGGCTCTTTTGACTCCAAATCCCAGGAGCTCTCTATGAGTCCCATAGCTTCTCTCAGAGTGAGGAGGACTTCTGAGATCCTCTACTCCAACTTCTTTCTCATGGGAAGATAAATCTGAGAAGAAAAATAACCATCTCAAGATCAGTGAGGAGGACCCTGTGTTTATTGAATCTGAGCTCAGTGCATCCTCCCAGGTCCCCTGAACATCCTGTGACACAGGCATGATCTAATCCATGTACCTGCAAGCTGGAGACACATACAGGTAAGAAAGAATTCCAGTACAATGATGATAGATCAATACCAAATTAAAACAATTAAAAAAGCCTTCACAGTAAGAACAAGAAGGAAGAGCAGGAGAAGAAGGAGCAGGAGGAGGAGGAAGAGAAGAAAAGAAGAGGAAGAAAAGAAGGAGGAGGAAGAGGAGAAGAAGAAGAAGAAGGAGGAGGAGAAGAAGAAGAAGAAGAAGGAGGAGGAGGAGGAGGAAGAGGAGGAGGAAGAGGAAGAGGAGGGAGGAGGAGGAAGAGGAGGAGGAGGAAGAGGAGGAGGTAGAGGAGGAGGAGGAAGAGGAGGAGGAAGAAGAGGAAGAGGAGGAGGAGGAGAAAAGGAGAAGAGAAAGAAGAACAGAAAGAAAAGGAGAGGATTAGGAGGAGGAGGAGGAGAAGGAAAGGAAGAAGAAGAAAAGAAGAAGAAGGAGAAGGAGGAGGAGGACGACGAGAAGGAGTAGAAGGAGGAGGAGAGAAAGACAAGAAGGAGGAAGAGGGGAGAAGAAGGAGGAGGAGGAGAGAAGGAGAAGGAGGAGGAGGAGAGAAGGAGAAGAAGGAGGAGGAGAGAAAGAGAAGAGAAAGAAGAAGAGAAAGAAAAAGAGAGGATTAGGAGGAGGAGAAGAAGAAGAAGGAAGAGGAGGAGGAGGAGGAAAGAGAAGAAAAAGAAAGAAAAACAAAGAAGAAGAAGAAAGTAGAAGAAATTCCAGCACTCAAGTCACAGGCATGGGAAGAAATCAGCCTGTGTACATGTGAGATCAAAATATCTGGATGAAGAGGAAAAATGAAAAAATCCAGCCACCCAATCAACAAGCATTTGTTAAGCTCCCACAGCAAGCCAGTGTTCTATGCTAATAGCTAGGGTCATAAATATAGATAAGATGCAGACCCTACCCTCCAAGGGGCCACAGTCTAGGGGGAGACAGATGTGTGAGCAGAAGTTCTCAGTGTAGGCTGGGCATGGTGGCTCATGCCTGTAATCCCAGCAGTTTGGGAGGCCAAAGTGGGTGAATCACTCAAGGTCAGCAGTTCGAGACCAGCCTGGCCAACATGGCAAACCCCTGACTCTACTAAAAATACAAAATTAGCCAAGTGTAGTGGTGCATATCTGTAGTCCCAGCTACTCGGGAGGCTGAGGCAGGAGAATCACTTGAACCTGGAAGGCAGAGTTTGCAGTGAGCCGAGATCCTGCCATTGCACTCCAGCCTGGGCGACAAGAGTGAAACTCCATCTATAAAAAAAGAAAAGAAGAAGTTCTCAGTGTAGGGCAGTACTTGCCAAGATAGAAAATGCTAAGTTCATGGAGAATTGGAGGCTTCTAACCCAGACTGGAGCGATCAGGCAAGCAGAGCCAAACAGAAGCCCAGGAGCCTTTTGGAAGACTCATTCCCTGCTGCCTATTCAAACCAATATGGTCTATCCATTTTGGTGAGAGTCTCAGCCTGTTCTCTAGGTCCTAAGCAATTTAGCTCTGCCCCCACATTTGCATCTTCTCTCCCAAAGCAAAAGTCTAAAACAGACCTTCCTATTCTCCTTTTCCCTTGAGGGTCTTATTCCCTGCCAACAAACACACACATATACTTCCAGCTGTTTCTCAAAGGATTCCTTCCAGGACCTGAGGGAGTTCTGCTAAACAAAATTTCCTCCATGTCTGTACATTTCCAGTGAAAGATGTAAAGCTTTTTATAAGGAGGTGTCCCAGGCAGCAGCTTGGCTGGGTCGCTCCCTAATCTGGTGCAGCAGGGAAGTATCCCTGAAGGAGATGACAGTTGTGTTGAGTTTTGAAGGAAGAATAAGTTTGTGTATGCAGGGTGAAGGGTAGAAAGGAAGCTCCAGAGAGACCTACATGTGCAAGGTGTAGGATGATGAAAAAGCCTGACTTGCTCAAGAAACGATAAGCAGTTCCCCATGGCTGCCATAGAAAGATAGAAAAAAAGAGTAGCCAAGTAACTAGGGAGGCCAGCAGGCCCCAGGCTGGGGGGGTGCCTCAGACTGGCTGTTGTCAAGTGGATCCCAAGGAGGACAATGGAAGGAAGCTAAGAAGTTCTTTGGGGGTAGAGAGTACAGAGGTAGGACAGCTATAGGCTTGGGGAGGAAGAGAGGGAGACAATCCTGGCTTGGTCCTGAGTACAGCTTCCTCCTGTTGCACACCTGTGTGTTCATCTAACAATGATTTGTGTTTAGAGATGAGATCAAAGGGGCTTGATCTCGTGTGGTCTGTGGGCCATGGCGGGCACTTAGGATTTAATTCTGAGTGATATTGGGAAGCCACTGGAGAGGAGGAAAGATAGACTGAACGGACTGGAAGAAGTCACATTGGGGCTGGGTATAGACAGGTAGCTGTCTGAAGCCTGAACCTTGGGGCCCTTTGATGCTCAGGGTTGGGAGATAATAGGGATGTGCAAAGGGGACTGAGGAACAATCAGAGGATGAAACCAAGTGGAGCAGGAGCTTCAAGGAGGAAGGCACAGCCACCTGCCACCTGCTGCTACTGAGGGTGGAGGACTGACCATTGGATTTGACATTGTGGGGGCAGAGAAGTCATGCTGGCAGAGTCAGGGTTTGAAGCCTGATGGCAGTGTGCTCAAGAGAGAGTGGGAGGAGAGGTCATGGAGACCAGCAATGACTACTCTCTCTGGGAGTTTTGCTTCAGAGGGAAGCAGAGAAATGGGCATGGAGCTGTCAGGGCAAGTGAGATCCAAGAGAGGGTTCTTTTAAGATTAGATATATTATTAAGCATTGCATTTATAGTGGGAATAATCCAGTCATGATGGGAGAAGTTGACAAAGCAGAGGACATCTCCAGGGTGCTGTCCTTGAGGAGGTTCGAGGGGATGAAATTCAGGGGACAAGTGCTGGCCAGCCTTGCACAGGAGCTGGGGTGCTTCCTCCACTGTCACCAGAGAGAGGACAACCACCACCGAGTGGGCACAGATGCAAGGAGGTCTATAGAGGTGGGGGCGGGAGTTTGGGAAGTTCACTTCTGATTGCTTCTGTTTTCTCAGAGAAATAAAAAGCAAGGTAATCAGCTGACCATGAGGAGTGGGGAAGAGTGGCTGGAGGTGATTTCTCCCTGAGGTTATTTTTCCCTCGGGGGCAGCCTGTGGGCTGGACCTCACTGCATCTGTCCTGACTTACTGGGGGTAAGAAGAAAGGACACAGGTGCTTCTGCCCTGAGCTGTTGGACTCTCCCACACCTGCCCAGCACCCTAGAGGGCACATAGAGTGCTCCACTAGCAGCCCAGACCACTCATCACTTTTCCTGTTGTCCAGAAATAGGCCCTTAGGGCAAAGAGTGCCCAGCCAGCCCTGTCCCCCTATCCAGCCCTCCCCACAGGCTTTGGCTAGTCCCAGCTCTGGCAAGTGAAGGAGTGGCAGTGGTGGAGGAAGTGGCTGAGAATCACAGGAATTCTGCAGGTGTCTTCTGGAGGCAGTGCCTGCAGCCAGCCCTGCTCACAGCCAGCGACAAATCTTGTACCCAGAGACTCTTTGGTGTTACTGCTAAACTGTGTGATTACACTTGTCACACATCTCGGAGGAAGGCAGAAAGGCTTCCTGTGTCTTCAGGTGCCTGCATGATGGAAGAGGAGAAGCCGCTGTCAGCTCGGGTCTCCTCCGCCCTCCCTGACTCTGGCTCCTGCTTGCAACAGTGGGATGGGACAATGTGGGGACAAACCTCCAACCTCAGCAAGAGCAACTTGTTTAGGGAGCTAGGCCATGTGCCATCTGCTCTGCACCCAGTAGCTCATTTAATTCTCATGATGGCTGCAAGTTAGTTCTAACATCACCCACACTTTACAAAGGATGGCCCTGAGGCTCAGAGAAGTTACTTGCTCAAGGCCACCCATCTGGGAAATGGCAGAGAGAGGACTTGAATCTAGGTCCTTCTACTGAGACATCTGCCATTCTGCTCTTTGCTGAGGCCATTTCTTTATTTATAAACCTCCCACATCTGCCCAGGACCCCAAATAGCCCAGAGAGTGCTCCACTAGCAGCCTGGGGCCTCTACAGTTCTTCTCAGCACTTCTCCTGATAGGGTTTTCCAGAAATGAATCACTAAGGGCCTTAAGTGCCCAACCCTGTCCAGCTCTCTCCCCAGCCAATCCATTCAGGGTCAGACTGTCTGGGTTTAATCCTGTCTCAGTCATTTACTACATAAGTGACCTTGGACATGGCACACAATGCTTCCTAAGTCTCTATCTCTCCATCTGTAAAATGGGGCTGTGATAGTGTTTCTCTCCCAGGATCGATGCAATAGCCTTTGCCATGCTGAGCCTCATCCTCCTCTTCTCAACATGCCCCAGAATATGGCATCAAAACCCCAGGTGAGGGCAGGACCAGAGCAGGCCATCTCCTCCCTCATTCTAGATACCAGACCTCTATTGATACAATCTCAGAGCCACATCCCTCCTTTGGTTCACATAAAGCTTGTGGACCCCTCCGCCTCCCAGGTCTTTTTAACATAAATATCAACAAGCTAATTGAACTTTACCTTAAAGAAAGTAAGTACACCCAAGCTGGGAAAGAGGGAAATACAAAGCTCTTTTCTGGAGGCCTGTGTGGTAGCATGCACCTGTTCCCATTATCCAGGAGCCATCAGATAGGTGTTCTATGGAGATGAAGTTGATTGTAAATGCAAATTGGGAGTGGGCTGGAGATTGACTGGGAGGAAGCAAAACAGTGGGTGAAGGCCTGGAGGTGGGAAGCAAGTGATGAGCAAGAGAGAAGGCAGAGTCAGAAAGGAGCCAGAGCCAGGCCTGAGTTCCCCACTGCAGGAGATGAGGTTGGGAGAAGCCCTGCTGCCAGTTCAGCAAAAGCTCTGCAAGCGTGAGAACCAGAAGAGCCCTGGAGAATCCTGACAAGCTGAGGTGGCCGCTTAGCACCATGGTGGGGACTGTGTGGCCAGAGGAGGCCACCAGCTACTGCAAAGACCAAAGGGACCTAATGTGCACTGAGCATAGTTCATTTAATTCACACACAAACTTGTGAGGCCAATGTGATTATGCCCCTCATACACACAAGGCAATAAGGTCACTTGGCTCTATGCCTGGAGGGAACGCCCCAAGAAAGCATTTGCGAAAGCTTCTTGCAAACTTCCAATGACAGAGAGCTCAGGCCCATAATTATGAGGCTCTATAACTAGTGCATGTTAACACCAGGTTCACACAGGTAGATGAATTTGACTCCATAGCCGTGGTACACAGGACTTGGAAATCTCCTGATGGGCCTTCCCAACTCTTGGACCAGGCTTTCTGTAAGATGCTTCAAATACGACATCATGCCTCCCCTCATGCTCTCTGCCCCAGAGGAGAGCTTTGAAAGCCAGGTGCTACAGGTTGGGGAGGACAGCATCTGTGGTCTGCCCACCAAGAGGTCTCAGATTGTGGAAGGAAGAGCCTGTTACTCTGGGGCCACTTGTGGTTGGAAAGGGACTGGGCTGGGCTGGAGTGAGACAGAGAAACATAGAGAGACAAGAGGTGGGAGAGGGGAGAGGGAGCTGAAATCCAACAGGCTCTCCTGAATGGACTGTCCTATGGAGCCCAAGAAGATGTCAGTTTTTTCCTCCACCTGGAACAGCAAAAAGTTAGAGATCCCCTGATTATGGGGACCCCGAAGCTATCAGCAGGAGGAGGCAAACAAGTGAAGATACGGAGCCCAGTGGATGGCACATTTACCAACCCTTCATACTCGGCCTACAGCAGACATCACCAATCAATCATGGCACTCTTTCTTGACAAGGCTGGATGGTGGTGGTTTTAGACAACACCACATACCCTGAGGGCCTTGAGCCCCGGTGGATAAGCCTCTAGCAACAGAAACATTGTGGACAGCTTGGAAGACCAGACTGAACTTGACCCTGGAGGTCAAGGGCAAATCTCTAACAGAACCTTAAAACCACTTTGACAACTCATTGGCTCAGGAGACAATTAGGTCATTTGGTGCATTTGGGACCAGACTTCTTGTCTTCCTTTCTCCTGGCATTGGTCACAAGTGGCCAGTGATTGAGCCCTGAGCCCACAGAGAACAGGACGTGGCAGAGACCAGCATGCCACCTGTATTCTCCATTCTGGCCAGTGTTCTATATCTTGTCTATGTGGGCTTAGGGCCCAGCACACAACAGCTGCAATCAATGCTTGGGAAACTGAATGACCAAGGCCATGGTGCCAGCTCCACTCAGTGTCTGGCCTCTTACTTTCCTGGAATAATCTAATCAAAGACTCAGGACTATTTTTAACTGATTAAGAGGGTAGTCTGGAATCAGGATTTCTGTTTTAGCAGCTGCACTGCCGACAAGGTGCTACTACAAACAACTGCAATTATTCTCGAACACTCAGAGCAAGTGTCATCTGAGCTTCTGCTGGCCTGACAAGAGCTCCCGTTTTATCATTGTCAGCCCCTCTACACTTGGCCATTGGGATGAATTAGGGCAGCAGGAGAGACAATCATCTGCTAAGGGTATCCTTACAGCCTGAGCCTGCACGATTAGCCGAATGTTCTCAGTATCACTTACGGGACAGGAGGTCCCCGTGGCAATGCAGTCGGGATATGATTGCTGACTTTAAATAATGAGGAGCCTCCAGATCCATGTGCAGATCCAAAGCTGCGGCTCTGCCTAGGAAACAGCCACTGAGAGCATAGGGGAGGCTGAAAAAAATGAATGCTTGAAGGGGACTGAGGCCAACTGTGCACCCAGAGACTGGCCTGGGAGGAGAATAGTTAGCAATGAACACTCCAACATGCTTCTCCACTCTGGCCAGCTTTCGGAGCTCCACCCTACATTCCCTCTTGCTATAGAGGGTTTTAGGGCAGAGGAGGCACATTCCAGCATCCCCCATCCTCTGCCTATGGCAAGCATTGCTAGTTGATCAGGGCATTCTTTATTGCCCAGGCTGCATGTAGATTGCCTCAATCCAGAGCTCCAGCCAGGCACTATCAATTGAACACGTGATAAAACTTAGTCACTTGTCTTGCTTTATCATCTTTTTATGGTAAAGTTGTGTCAGAATGGGAATTATTGACCTTCCCACTACTGGCTATGAAGGGCCATCTTGGCATTTGCTTTGCCTTTCATGTGCTAGTGCAGGGCACTAGAGAGGGCACTGTGGTTTCAAGCAGTATGCTTGGTGCCAGAAGGCTGGGAGTGACTGACCCATGTGGGACCTTATCAAGTGCTGATTAGATAGGGGGCATTTAATATTTTGTCTGCCCAGCTTGCAGTATTCTGCAAGCAGCTGCCCCTTCTTTGGTATAACTCCTCTCCACTATCCAACAATGATTGTGGTTTTGATGGGACTGCCATTCATAAAACCTACCCTATGGCTACATTGACCTGTTCAGTTGTAGACAAATCATGAACCAGAGACCTTTGCAAAGACAGACAAAGGCATTCCTTGAGAGTTTTGGACCCAGAACTAAGAGAAGAGGGGCTGGCCCTCTTTGGAGGTTAAACTGTGGAGTATAATGCAAAGAAAATGCCAGTGGACATTTCTTGACAATAGAAGAAGTTAGTCAGAGGGGATATTGTGAACACATAAATGAGCAAAATGGAACAAGAGAGGTAGAGGATAAGAAAGATAAAGATAGAGGTAAGAGAGAGAGACAGAACCCAGTTCCTCTTCTCCCCCAGACCAGGCTATCCCTCCTCAACACTCACATGAGTCTTCTAATAAATTTCCCTTTGGGGCTACTTTCTTGAAGCTGGGTTTCTGTCACTTGAAACTAAGAACCTGGACATGTACCACTGCATAGCAAAGACCCACAGGAAGAAGATAAGACTCCTGGGCAAGACTCCTGGAGGCAAGCCTCAGCAGCTCCCTAGGATAATCGTCTACCGTGGGATGCAGGTAGTCATGGCCCTCAGAGGAGCCTGACCTCGCTGGCAACCACAAATATTGAAGGGATCTGGACCATCCCACTTTTTATGAAGTTCACTTCTGTGGGCTGGTCCTGGGATGCCATGCTGCCTAAACCCATGGTCCTCTTGTGTATCATGAGGTCAACAGATTGTTCTAAGATTCGGTGAGGCAGGTTGATCTCTGTGTTCTCTACTTTGCTCCAGGGTTCTCATGGAGTGGGATAATATGCTGGGTACAGTAAGGAATGCATACATTCCTGGTAAGACAGGCCAAATCTCAGCATTGGCCTCATGCCTAGAGCGGCAGCATTTCACACTCTTCCCTGCAGGACACACACTTCTTAAAATAGCTAGGGTAGTACAGAGTCTTCCACAACACTCACATAGTCATCCATGGTTTCAGCACAGGTCTGTTGGCACCTACTCTCTGCTAGATCAGGAGATGGGCACCTCAGGTATGTGGTCCTGGCCTTGAGGAAGGCTCAGGCTAGTGGGGCACAGAGGCACATAATAGAATACAGTGCAGTCATTTTCATCAGACAGGGGTGTAAAGGATCTTTACAGGGGTGTAAACGGCATAGAGGGAAAATGGCAAGTCAGCCTGAGGGATCAGAGCAGGCGTCACTAAAGAAGTGACCTGTTAACCCAGGAGGCGGAGCTTGCAGTGAGCCAAGATTGCATCACTGCACTCCAGCCTGAGCGACAGAGCAAGACTCCGTCTCAAAAAAAAAAAAAAAAAAAGAAGTAGTGACATGTGGACTGGGGTGGTGGCTCACTCTTGTAATCCCAGCACTTTGGGGGGCTGAGGCTGGTGGATCTCCTGAGTTCAGGAGTTCAAGACCAGCCTGGCCAACATGGTGAAACACTGTCTCTACTACAAATACAAATTAGCCGGGCATGGTGGTGTGTGCCTGTAGTCCCAGCTACTCAGGAGGCTGAAGCAGGAGAATCACTTGAACCTGGAAGGCAGAGGTTGCAGTGAGCCGAGATTGTGCCACTGTACTCCAGCCTGGGCGATAGAGTGAGACCCTGTCTCAAACAAACAAACAAAAAAAAAAAAAAAAAGAGAGAAGTGACATGTGAACTGAATAAGGGCTCATTTAGAAGACAGGATGCCAGGATTTTCCTGAAATTTCCAGAGCTTCCCAAGTATGGTAAGTTCTATGCTCTCATCCTTCCAACGGATATTCCTATACAGTAGAGACTAGAGAGCTAGAGCTGCATTTCTCTGACACCTTCTGATAAGTAGGTTTGCGTGTGTGATCTAGGTTTCTCCAAGTAGAAAGACCAGATGAGACGTAGAAGGCAGAAGTGAGCCACAGGCAGTGGTAGCAGTGGGGTCTCCTAGAGAAGCTCCCACTAGGGCTGCAGTCAATTCCCAGGTCTTAGGTGCTGAGCAGTGGGAGGTGGTGGCCATGGGGTTTCCCTAGAAAAGCTCTACTGTTTGCAGAATATTTCTCCTGTCATTATTTCCTGATCCTCCTAGCAATTCTATGAGCTACCTGATCCCTGTAATAAACCCCTTTCTACTCAAACTAGCTGGAGAAGGTTCTGTCTGCAAGAACAACTCCAAGTATTGCACTAGGTTCTGCTGTGGTCTTCATTCCATTCTGGCATTGTGATACAGTGGCCAGGAGCATTAACTCTTGGTATCCAATAGACCTTGGTTCAAATCCCAGCCCTATCATTTTCTGTGAGACCTTGGGACTGAGGTTGACTTCTCCTCCTGTAAGATGGTGATTATGATATGTACCTCATGGTATTATAAAGTTCAAATGAGATCATATATGTAAAGAACATACTACTGACATATAGCAAGTGCTGGATACAGGATGAAGATTATTATTCTTACAGCCTAAGTTTCTTTGTGAGCCAACCCAGGCTTCACATTGGCTATGAAAAGTCAATTTAAGAGTAGACAAAAGAATATTCATGGCAAAAAAAGGGGACCTTGACAATCTAGAGGGTGAATTGAACAAGATGAAACACATGCAGGAACTTGCAGGGGTAAATGCAAAGTCCTAATCTCGGGTAAAGAAAATCTGAACAAAGGCAGACAGGCTGAGACACAGAGCTTGGTTGCAATTACATGAGACAGATTTGTAGTGTTTAGACAACTGACCAACATGTATCACTAGGGTGATGTGTCACTAGAAACAAACACAGTCTTTGGCTGTATTAATAGAGTCAGAGTACATAGAAAGAGGGAGGTAACAGTGCTGTTCTACTCTGTGTTGACAGCCCACATCTACAAGATTTAACTTGTGAAATCCTTATCATGAGAGGATACAGCTATACTACCTTGAGTTCAGAAAAACCAACCAATATTGGGAGAGAACTAAGATAACAACTAATATCTATGGTTCTTTTAACATGTGCCAGAAGTCATTCAAAACACATTCTTAACTCTTTCCCCAGCAGGATAGACTTGGACTTGCAGAAGTGGGGATGGGCTATGTAGAATCAGACTTGGTTTTAACAATGGCATGACAAGAATGACAAATGTGGGGCACTCATGCCATTATCAGCCCCTCCCATCCCTTGGCAGACATCACTAGTCAATTACAAAAATTGATCTCACTGATCCCAAATGTGGTTTCTAAAACATCCCCTTCAACCAATATTGCACTCAATCAAAGATAAATCCTATAGGTATGTCAATCACCACATGGACAGGATGGGCAAGTGGTGACTGTGCTGTGAATTGTAGCCAACCAAGAAGAGACGGAACTTCTTCTAAAGTGAGCTGAGAAACATAAGAGAAGGCTGGCAGAGCCTCCTGGAGGCAGACACAGCCCAGCCGCTTATTCTTTGCCTCACAGGTACAGAAACTTGGTATTGTTAATGCACCCAGAATGGATCCAACTGTGTGACAGAGACAATACTGTATGTTCACCAAGTCCCATTTTATTTTCTTCTTCCTGGGCACACAAGAAGACTACATTTCCCAGCTTCCCTCACAATTAAGTTGTGGCCATGTGAATGGGTTCTGCCCAATGGGTGAGAGCAGAATCGGTAGATATCACTTCTAAGCCAGATCATAAAACCCACCTGGGAGAGTGATTATCCATGCTTTTTCTTCTCCTTCATCAGTGACCTTGGAGGTCAGGTACTGAAGACATCCACCGGGCAAGATGAAAGGAGCCTGAATCCCTGAGTCACCAAAGAGGAAAGCTCCAAGGGTTACTACCCAACCCACATCAGACTGTGACGTGAGCGAAAAGTAACCTTTGTTGTGTTAAGCTACCAAGATGTCAGAGTATATTTATTAATGTGGCAGAGCCCAGCCTAGCCTGACTACAGCAGATTGACACAACTCTGTGTGTGTTTCTCCAATGTGGACTGGGATCACCGGCATTAGAAACACCCAAGAAGCCTGTTAGACCTGCATAGTCTTGGCTCCACTTCAGAGGACCTGGAAGCATAGATGCTGGGAGGGCCCAGGAATTTACAATTTTAGCAAGTAGCCTAGTCATTCTTATTCTCCCTGAAGTTTCAAAACCACTTGCTGCTCAGCCACCCTCATAGAAGCCAATTTATCACTTTATAATGAGAAATAGAATTGTCAAGCAGAGCAGAACCTGGGGTCAGCTGACCAGTGCTATCTTTTCCCACGGACACATGTAAATGGAAAGAAATGGAATTCCCATCTGAAGGCAACTTGGGGGTCTAGAATTAGATCCAGAGAGTTGATAAAGGAGATCTTAAAGGATGTCAGCATGAGCCATGGTGGTCTGAGACCCTCTTCCCTCCACCAACCATCACTGCACATTTCATTCTGGGGTGATGTCCTGTGCAGACCAAATAGGGCACCTTCTTCCCAAGACCATGCTGGAAGCATCGAGACAATGCTGGGCTTCTGGACCCATTCTCTTTACACCTTAAAGACCACCCCTTCTGCCTCCCCAGCCATTCCTCAGACACGGGCCAACATAATGAATTAGGGAAAGCCCATGAGGCCACCCCTGGAGATGTCACACAGTGCCTGGGTATCTCCTTACCATGCATCTTCAGCATGGGGCTCAGCAGGGAGGGATGCACATACCTGCACCTGCTGTATAGATTGAGTCTCACCTGGCCTTCACCTAAGGCATAAGGCTACCTGCTCCCCAAGTCTGCTGACCATGGGCTCCAGGGCCCATGGATTTGAGTCACAGCTCTGCCACATACTGAGTGGGAAAATTGGAACAAGCCACTTCATCTCTCCAAACTGCAGTTTCTTTGCCTGTCAAATAAGGATCAAATAATAGCCACCTTTCACAGTTGTGATGGTTGCATGAGATACATATTTTTTGACAGCCCCAAGCCTCACCCTACATATAGGATGTTCAATAAAACACCGAATGGACTGTGTGACATGTGTGATGTTTGTGGTGGGAGAGGCAGAGGGGATGGACAGCATGGAGATTAAGAGTCTGCATTTTCAGGTTAGAAAGGCCTCTGTTTGAATAGTCAAGTACTAACTGTGTGGCCTCAATTTCCATAGCTATAAAATGGGAATGGGAATCCCTTCATCACAGGATTCTTGTAAAGATTAAATAAGCTAAGTGAATGGAAGCCATTACTGTGTATCTGTATGTGTATGTGTATGTGTGTGTAACCTGGTGAATAGATGTTGTGTTTGTGTATTTGTGTGTGTGATAATATCGTTAACATTTCTTGGGTGCTTCCTACATGGCAGGCACTCTTCTAAGCACTGTACTTAATTCACTTGAATTCTCACAACAATCTGAGGCAGACAGTCTCTCATTTAACAGATGTGGAAGTTGAGCTGTAGAGTTTACTTATGTTGACCTCACTGAAGGTATCCATAATCCTTCCATTTCTCCTCTGATGCTGCTTTCCCCGCTCTGGTGCCAAGAGGTGGGAAGAGTAGATGCAGCCCCTAGCCCTTGGTGGAAGCCCAGGGCTCACCTTGTTCATCCCCCAGGAACCTTATGTCCTGGGGAGCTCCATGTAGGTTTTGGGTGTGAAAAGTGGGAGTAGACGAGCAGAAGACACAGGGTTGTTGTCAGTTCTGCAGAATCCCAGAGCCCTGGAGCCTTGAGAGGTCGGTATGTCCACTGCCTATCCTTGAGCTCTGGCAGGACCAGGACTGACCTGGTGTGATTTCCTTGTGATTTGCAGAATACATCCAGGGACCTGGTAAAGTCATAAAAAGCAAGGCTGTCATGCCCTGCTACCCAGTGATTCCTTCTTAAGTGCTCACCTTAGAGAAATGCTTGCCATGAGCACCTGGAGACACCAGCAGAAATCTTCACAGCAGTGGTGATCATAAAACCCCAAACTGGGTGAGCAGGGTGGATCAGAGCCACTTTGTGGACTACTACACTTACAGCCATATGAATATCCTGCAGGAATCTTAGAAACAAAGTTGATGGAAAAGTTGCTAAATACATACACTTTTTTTTTGATTTACAAGAAGCCACTGACTCTACATTTTTAAAGAAAACAAGGGAATGATAAACCTAAAATTCAGAGAGTCACCTGTGGCAGGGAACGGGGGCCCCAGTTAGAGAGAAGCACCCCAGAGTTTCAGTGGCTTCAGAATGTTCTAGCTTTTAGGTTGATGTATTAGTCCGTTTTCACACTGCTGTAAAGAACTACCTGAGACTGGGTAATTTATAAAGAAAAGAGGTTTATTTGATTCACAATTCCACAGGCTTAACAGAAAGCATGACTGGGAGGCCTCAGGAAACTTACAATCATGGTGGAAGGCCAAGGGGAAGGAAGCTTGTCCTACCATGATGGAACAGGAGGGAGAGAGAGAGCAAAGTAGGAAGTGCCACACACTTTTTCTTTTTCTTTTTTTTTTTTCCTTTGAGATGGAGTCTCACTCTGTCACCCAGGCCAGAATGCAGTGGCACGATCTCAGCTCACTGCAACCTGTGCCTCTTGGGTTCAAGCAATTATCCTGCCTCAGCCTCCCAAGCAGCTGGGATTACAGGCATGGACCACCATGACCAGCTAATTTTTCTATCTTTAGTAGAGATGGGGTTTCATTATGTTGGCCAGGCTGGTCTCGAACTCTTGACTTCAAGTGATCTGTCCACCTCAGCCTCCCAAAGTGCTGGGATTACAGGTGTGAGCCACTGCACCCAGCCACCACACACTTTTAAACCATTGATCTCATGAGAATTCACTCACTATCATGAGAACAACAAGGGGGAAATCTGCCCCCATGATTCAATCACCTCCTGCCAGGCTCCTCCTCCAATACGACATGAGATTTGGGTGGGGACACAAATCCAAACCATATCAGTTGGGGTGGAAACACTGGTGTTTGTTTTGTTGTCTTCATAACTTATATATTATTTATATATATACTATATATATAGCTTTTATATAAATCGGATTAAATGAACAGAATAAAATAAATGAATTTCTTATTCTTTTATTGATTTTTGTTGAGATGGAGTCTTGCTATGTTGCCCAGGCTGGGGTGCAGTGGTGCCATCTCAGCTCATTGCAACCTGCGCCTCCTGGGTTCAGGTGATTCTCCTGTCTCAGCCTCCCAAGTAGCTGGGACTAAAGGCAACTGCCACCATGCCCAGCTAATTTTTGTACTTTTAGTAGAGATGGGGTTTCGCTATGTTGTCCAGGCTGGTCTTGAACTCTGACCTCAGGTGATCCGCCCGCCTTGGCCTCCCAAAGTGCTGGGATTACAGGGGTGAGTGCCCACGCCCAGCTTGCCTTATTCTTATATAGCATTAGACAAGCAATTTCATATGATAGTAACAACCAATTTCCATCCTGTTTGTGTTGAGTTCTTACCATCACATTAGAAATGGCAAATATTCATAGTATTTTTTGGACCAGGTCCTGTTCTGAGCATGCTACATGTATTAACATATTTAACCTCCATGCAAATCTATGAGGTAAGTTACAATTATTATCTACATTTTGTAGCTGAGGAAACTGAGTTAGAGAGGTTATTTTGCCTGAGGACACACACCCACGCAGGACTCAAAGCCAACCTGCTCTACTCTTGAGCCTCCGTTCCTAGCCCTTGGGCACCACAGCCTTTTGTGAGCCCATAGTTTGCCTTGATGTGCCTGTTTATTCCTCACACTGACCCTCTCAGGAGTAGGTTATTATCCTGTCTTCTAGATAAGGAAACCAGGGCTTACAGTTACATGCCTGTTCTATGTGGCCCTCTGCCTCCAGCAGGCGGGGAACACGTTCACATACCACTTCCCTCTCCTCGCCCATGGCAGATCCAGCTATCTGATCAGGGCACCCACTCAGGCCCTTCTCCAGGATGGTTGCTATTAATCCATCAGAATCAGCCCACACCTTGAAACCTATTTGCCACTTCTTCACCCTAAATGACCTCCACTCCTGCAGGTCCTCAGAGACATTCCCAGCACTATTACCTGAAAAGAGCTCAGACGGTCTCCCCGTGTCTTCCTCCACTGCAGTGTCTGCACCGTCACCTGGGTGTTCCTGACCCTGAGGGGCTGGCCCTCCCACTGTTTCATGCTCCACTTCTACAATAAACCAAAACTGGCCTTGAACAAGTCTCTGATGCCCCATGCCTCAGTTTTCCCAAATGTGAACTGGATGAAAGGCTACATGATCTACCCCAAGCCTTAAGGAACAATAGCTGTTATCTGTGTTTTCTGCTCCTGTCGGAGAAAGAAGTCAGTTAAATACCAGGCCCGTTTAGGGACCCATTTCTGAAGACTCAAGACTCTGGGGCACTGCTGGCCTCATCCCCCATGAGCCTTACATTACATTTCAAGCAGCTTGTGATGGCAGCACATTGCAATAGATATTAATTGCTACATTAAATTCTATGATTTTGCTTAAGAGAATGTTCATTTAATTTCCCTGCAACTGTGGTCAACCCGATCTTTAATCGAAACTGACAGGTGCAATTTCAATCAGGTAGCAAACTTCCCTCTCTTTAAAAGAGCCAAGAATGGCATGAATATTAAATGGGTCAGGACAGTTGGCAACACTAATACAGCTTAAATCAGAACAAGCCTCAGATACAGCTTTTAATTATTCATGCTCTCCTGGTAAGTCAGGCCCTGACAACAGTGTCACTGGGAGTTCAGGAAACTTCCTCAACGTGACATGAAAGACAAGGGGGGAGCCAGGGTGGAGACAGTGTGGCCCAGGGTCCCAGGTCAGGCCCCAGATGTCTGAGGGTAATCTGGCTTGGGGAATAGGCTGGAGGGTTGTTAAATTAAAGATGGACACTACTTTTTAGCTGCTCCTCCCATCAATAGGCAGAATCTATTTCCTTTCCCATGGAATCTGACTCTTGATCTATTTTGACCAGTGGAATGCAGCAGAGGTGATGCTGTATAATTTTCACAACTGGATCCTCAGAGATCTGCAACTTCCACATTCACCAGCTTGCAGCCTCTGGCATCACTGAAATGCTGTATGCTAAATGGGGGAGGGACAGAAACAAATATAAAGAGGCACAGACTGAGATAGAGGCACAGCTAGAGAGAGACAGTGGCATACAAGAGAGGGAGAGGGAGGGGGTATAGAGAGAGAGAGAGAAACTTAGTTAAAAGAGAGTCATGTGGAGGCAGAGCCAGGAGTAGCATCAGAGGCCTGGGGAGACAGACCAGGGGAAGAAGGGACAAGAGGGAGAGGGGCAGATCAGAGCCTGCTCAGGGACCTGTCTGTGAGTACAGGAAGACCACGGGGCAGGGGTGCAGGTGGCACTAGTGTGGGGCCCAAACCAGCAGAAGAAAATAGAAACAACTGGACATGCCCAGAGATTGTTGCCTGGGGATGGAGGGTGGAGCTTGCCTTGCAGGAACCAGCTCCCAAAACAGCACAGGCTCCACTCAGCACTGCCTGGGCTGAACCAGGTGTATAAATCACTCAGGGATGGGAAACACTGATGTGTGGCCTTGGAAACAGCACCTGGCAGGGGAAATGGGGGGAAGGATTGTGAGGGGCCTGAGGGCAGACAGACAGAGAAGCAGACGGGACTGATCCGAGACAGCCAGGGAAGAGGCAGAACCCAAGAAGAGACGAGAGAGACAGGTGGAAAAGATAGGAGGAAAGACCAAAAGATGCTGCTGGAGAGGAAGGCACCAAACGTGAAAAAGATGCACACCCAGAGGTGGACAGAGGGAGACACTCGGGGAGGGCACAGGAGGTGAAGATTCAGAAAGAAAGACTTGCCTTGCACACTGACCTTTGAAATAATGTTTGCTGGGAACTGACTGTTCTCAAGAATAACACATCCTCCTATGTGTAAAGCACTTACAGTCCACCAGGCACTTACCCATCCATTATGTTCTCTCCTCCAGCCCCCCCAGCAGCCTCCCCAACTCTAGAGGAGCATTCCAGAATATTTATGCCCTAAAAGCACAGATTGATACTGAGTCAGGCCACTTGATTAACCCAAATCATCAATTATCAGGCATTTATCTAAATTCTTTCTCCCCAGCCCTATTGTCAGCCGTATTGTCAACCATGGATGGATGCCCATGGTAAGGTACAAAGAGCATTGAAGAAGGAGCCACTTCGAACCCTTGGAGCCTCAGTTACTCCCTCCATCCAGTGTAATGTGACAACCCTGAAGGATGCTGGTGAAGCCCAACTAAGTTCACCCAAGTGAAAGCATAAGCCCTGTGCATATGGGAGAAATTTTCATGGCCCCCAGTAAAAGGACACCTCATTTGTAGGTGCTCTGTAGAATTTGGTAAAGGGTCCCTGGATTGAAGAGTTTGCCCCAAATCTCATCCTCCCACAGATTCAGCCCTGGCAGGGTTCCCTTCTGCTTCCAAAAAGATGAAGTCTGTCTCCTGATCCTCCTCCCTGCTGCCAAAGCCTCTGGGGCACCCAGGCATCCCTCCTTGGTGTGGCTGAGATTTGCATCTAGTCTCCTAGGCTAGCTGATCTCTGACCGGAGGAGAAGGTAAATGGAAAGGCAGCCCAGGCTTCCTGAATGTGTTTGCCCTCTGCAGCCCTTAATATTTACACATGCCGCGGAGGAGGAGGTAGCTGTCTTAGAGCCCGAGACTGGCATACCAGCCAAGGAGGAGAGCAAGCCTCTGGCTGGGCCAGGTCAGAGGAATGTATGAGGGTTTTCAGGTTCAGCATCTCCTTCTCTCTGGGTGAGCAAACATCTCTGTCACCTCCGAGGACCACCAGCAAACCAGGTGGGCCTGGGGAGGCGGGCAGGTACTCTGGCCAGGAGTACCTGCCTGGGCCATTTCACCCAAAGGACCAGTCCTGGTGGAGGAAGAGTTGGCACAGTGCAAAATGAAACTGTGGGGTCCCTTATTCAAAAATATTTAAGAATTTCATGATGGCAAGAGCAGAATATTAAACCATGCATGGGGACCTTCTGAGTGTGGGACTCTGAGTGTGACTACACAGATTATAGGCCCACAAAGCTGACCCTACCCTATGGCAACAGGCAAAGGGTGATGATAGAGGTGTTTACAGAGACTGTGGGAGTGTTTCAGGAGGACCAGACCAGGGACTAGGAATGTGGTATAATATAGCAGAGGAGAGGATTGAGCAGATCCTAACTGTTGGACCTCGGGCAAGTAACTTAACCTCTCTGAGCCTCAATCAGGACAATAGCTTATGGGCCTAATTAAATTATATACACAAAACAGTGACAAGGCTGGGCACAGTGACTCATGTCTATAGTCCCAGCTCCTCAGGAGGCTGAGGCAGGAAGATTGCTTGAGCCCAGGAGTTCAAGGCTGCAGTGAGCCAAGATGGTGCCACTGCCCTCCAGCCTGGAGGCAGACTGAGACCCCATCCAAAAATAAAATAAAATAAAAAGCAGTGACAGTGCTTGGCACACAGTAAGCACCCAGTAAATGATGATTATTGTCCTTTTTCTGACAACTATGAACAAAATAAAACACACACAGCCCCTTCCCAACCTCTCCTTCTGAAGGTTAAATGATGCATTGACTAAGCCACATAGCAACCTGACAACCACACAGAAGAGACAGCATCTGTCTGCCGGAGGACTTTTCTACAGTTTGAACTACTTTAGACATTAACCAATGTGAGGGAATGATGTAAGACGTTGGCCAGAAGTACTTCATGCTGTAGGACCGAAGATAGAGCCAACACAGACCATTCGGTATTCATTTGTTTAATAAATATTAACTGAGCACCACACACTGTTAGGTGGTTAAGACATGACTGAGAAGCAACCAGCATGGTTCCCCACTCTCATGGAACACACAGTCTAGCATTTCCCACAGCAGAGACCAAATCTTGCTTTAATAAAATAATCATGATAATTGTAACAGTATTAGGGAACGTTTTGTTGAGGACTTGCTATATGCCAAATGATGTTTTATTTGCATTCTCTTATCTTCATCCTCACAACAGTCCTATGAGGTACAGACTCTAGGACTCCACATTACAAATGGAGAAATGAGACTGAGAGAGGTCAAGTCACCTGGCCAGGGTCACAAGACTAGATAAGAGGCATTCACTCATTCAACCCTCACATGTCAAGCACATCTTCTGTGTTGCACTCTGTGCTTAGGGAAACCATGGTGAGCCCCACAGATTTTGCCTTCACTCTGGTGGGGAATATAGACGCTGAACAGGAAAATAAATAAAACAAGATCATGACATGCTTTAATTAAAGCAAAAATGAGGGAGGATGCTAAAGTAGAACAATAAGAGGTCTGCTTTTAATGGGACATGGATTGGTGCTTAGCACATAGAAGGCACACAGTAAATATTTGCTGACTAACTAAATGAAAAAGGAGGTCACATGGTATCATTTCTGACACCTGAAGAATGAGAAAGAGCTATTCAAGCATGAAGTGGCCACTCCAGGTAGAGTGAACAGAAAATGCAAAGGCCCTGAGGTGGGGAGAGCTTGGCATGACGGAGTAACTGCAGGGAGGCCTGTGGGCCTGGGGTACAGCAAACAAGGTGGTGAGTAGCATGCGATGAGGTCTAGAAAGTCAGGCAGGGGTCAGAGCCCTGGAGGCCACTGGGGCAAAGGAGTTTGGAATTTAGCACAAGGGCAAAGGGAAGCCAATGAGGGAGAAGGGCACAGTGACACGATCCTATCTACATGTTAAGGAGATCATTATGTGGGCTGGGGAGGGGGAAAAAATTAAAGATGGAGAATAGTATTTGGCTGCTACCCCCATCAATAGGCAGAATCTAGTTCCTTTTCCCTGGAATCTCTCTTGATCTATTTTGACCAATACAATGCAGCAGAGGTGATGCTGTGCAATTTTCACAACTTGACCTTCAGAGATCGGCAGCTTCTATGTTCACCACTTTGGACAATAGTGCCCAAAGTTTGGAATGCCTCCCATTGACACTCGGCTGCCCAGCTGCAAGAAGCCCAAAGCTACATGGAGAGGCATGTAGAGAACTGAGGCTGTCCTGGCAATAGCTCCGAGTTTCCAACTTCCAGCCAGCGCCAGTGGCCAGCTAGTAGCATCAGATGACTCCAGCCTGGTCAACACTACATGGAGCAGAAGAACCAACCAGCTCAGCCCAGTCAACCCACAGACTCTTGAAAGAAAAACAACTGTTGTTTTAAACCACTGTGTTTTGAGGTGGTTTGCTACATAGCCATGAGTAACCAAATCAGCAAGAACAAATCAAAGGAGGGCAAAAGCAGATGCTGAGATAAGCTTTGAACCTAAAACTCAGTGACTCCAAGACCCTGCCCCTATCCACCATGCTCTGTAACACCAAATTCTCTCTGATTGCTGATGCTCTAGTTTAACTCTCCTGCTCATCTGCCTGCCTGCTTGCTGCCTTTCAGATGCAGGGCCTATTCTCCTGCCAGCTCTGACTTCCCCCAGCTGTCTCCTGTCCTGACCCTTCCCTGGGAACCCTGTGTGGCTGAGGCCTATGAGGTCAGAGGGGCATATGGGGATTCCTGTCCATCTTGCCTTCACCACCCTGAATGCATCTTTGGTCTTAATCCCAGAGTCAGTGCTGGCCTGGAGGGAGAGCTTCTTCCCTCCCACAGGCTCTAGGGAGCAGGCCGCTGCCCCACTACCTCTCCGCTGCACTCATACATGACTCACTGACCTTTACGATCCTGAGACTTGATGGGCCTGGTGTTTTATTAACCTAATAAAAAGGCAGCCTGATTCAGGGGCTTAACATTTCTGGAGAGAGGAAGGCTCTGCCCCCCGGGCATTGGGAGGAAGAAATACTGTCTTGGGCTGAGCTCCCCAGCACTGTTCTCTGAGACTTCTTGCAGGGAGGCAAAGAGCAATTCATTGTATTCCCCATCAAACAGCAGCAGCAAGCCACAAAGCTTAATTTAATTTTGTAATCAGTAGAAGCACAGGCAGAGGAAGACTGCTGCTCACTGTTTTTTCCACTTTGCTTTTTAATAGAATATCTGACAGCACACATAATACAGTGGCTTTATGCAATAAAGGACGTGCACGCACACACACATATATGCACATGACGAGGCAGCTGCAGGAAACTGGAAAGAATCTGGGATTTGGAGGCCAAAGACCTTACTCTTGCTCACTTTACGGCTTTCAAGTAAGTCACTTCACTTCTCTGTGCCTCTTTAGCTAAGAGTATTTTCCTTATTCTTCTCAGATTTAGTGAAAATACCTAATATTTATTGCGGCTTAATACAAGTGCTAGGGAATGTGTGAAGTGTCTCATTGAATCTTTATAACAAGTCTACAAGGTAGTTAATGTTATTGTCTCATTTAAAAAGGAGAGGTCTGCGGCACAGGAGGGTTGAGTAACTTGCCCAAGGACACACAGCTGGTAAGTGGCAGAGCTGCATTTCAAGAGGGTCTTTAGTTGCAATCAACAGAAGCTGACTATAGATGTTTAAGCAGGAAAAAAAAAAAAGTCATTGAGAGACTGATGAGTGGTCAGGGGACCCAGCTTGATTCTGAGCTTCCAAAACCATAGCACAGAGTGGGCCTGGTGAGGAAGCCACCTCTCCACTGGGAACTGGCCTTTTGTGCCACTGCTCTTGGCTCCAGCCCTGATGCCACTTCTCCCTTAGGAATTCCACCTTGTAGACTTGCCACCCACCAGAGCCAGCAGGCTTGACTGTTCCATTCAAAAGCAAAACTCATTCCAAGGCAACCTTCTTTCTCAATTTTCCCACTCCTAGAGACAGTCCCAACAAGTGAGCCTGCCTGGTGAAACCTAGGTCATCTCCGACAACTGGGCTGCAAAGGTGGCTGCGACCGTGAGAGTTCTGGGTTCTCCCTGAGGACACAGAACACATGGGCCTGGAAGACGTCCAAAGATAGGAGGGTGGCCAGAAAGTCTATACAGCCAAAAGCAGAGCAAACGCCCACTTCCCACTGGGATTCACACCAGGCGGGCTGACCTAGAGCCTACTTGACTGGCTTAGATGAGATGATGGTGTGAAAAAGCTCTGTCCAATATAAAGTTCTTCTGGGGGCTGGGGGTGGGGGGTGCTTCACTGTGGTGGGAGCTGAGGGAGAGACTTAGGTTAGTGGTCAGTAAGTGACCACTGTCTTACCAAATGGAGTGATTTGCATTCAGATCACTATCACATCAGGTTAATTTGTGCTCAAGTGGCTCACAGTAAGTGATAACATGGACAAGAACTAGGAGGGAAGCCCTTTTAGTATCATCCATGAAGATGCCTTTGTCCTTGCCCCTGGATGTAGCCTGCCATCAGTCACACAGAACTACTCATCCTCTCTTGTTCTTTACCACCTTAGTCCCTTTCCACCTGATTTTCTACTGCCCAGAATGCCTTTCTTTTCCCTGCATGGCAGGCTTTCATGCATTCTCAAAATAAAAATAATAATATCATATATGTGTATGTATACACACATATATGCTTTTTAATATATATACTTTATATATATACATGTATATGCTTTAAATTTTTTTCTATGTTCTAGACACTGCTGTAAGTGTTTTATATATGTAAGTTCATCTAATATTCATGACAATTTTATCGCTATTTTACAGAGGAGAAAATGCAGGAACAGAGAGGTTGAGAGAGTTGCTTTATGATGCACAGCCAGTGAATGGAGATGCTGGGATTTGAAGCCAGTCACCCTGGCTCCAGTAGCCCTGCTTGCCACCACTGTGCTATGCGTCCACTCAAACGTCACCCCCTCTGTGAGACTTTCCAAAAGGGCTCCAGGCCCAGTCCAAACTCCCCTCCTCTGGAATCCCACAAGGCCTGGCTTCTCCCCTGTTCCAGCAGGATCATGTACTTTCACTTCAATGAATCCTTCACAGGGCTCTGCCTCCCCGCTAGACTGTGAGGCCAGGACTGAGTGTGTGTTGTCTGGTTTGTAATCTCTGAGTCCCCAGTGCCTCACTCAGCCTGGTGCATAAGGGATGCTCGGTGCTTGTAGAATGAATGAGTTTGTTGAACAAATACATAATGTCAAAACAAATTGTGGCAAGAAGGCTTAAATTCCTGAAAAGAGGAAAACATTGTTTCAAGATGCTCTTGTTTCCTAAACCCCCGGACACCTGGACACTCACCCCTTGTGGGGAGGAGAGTCTTCGGAGGGCCTTGCCAGGTGTCACTGTCCTCCTGCCCCAGTGGAGCAGGCGCCCTTAATGGCAGCCACACAGTAATTCTTCCAAACCATTAAATAATTGGGAACTTTTCATTAATTAAGCATGGTGACCCTATTAATTAATGAATTAAGAGGAAGGAAAAAAGGAAAGAAAAAATGATATCAACCTTGGTTAAGAGCTTACTTTGACATATTTCTTAAGTGATTTTCTTTTCTTTTTTTTTCTTTCTTTCTTTTTTTTTTTTTCTGAAACAGGGTCTCCCTCTGTCATCCAGGCTGGAGTGCAGTGGCATGATCTTCACTCACTGCAGCCTCGAACTGCCCAGGCTCAAGTGATCCTCCCACCTCAGCCTCCCAAGTAGCTGGTACTACAAGCACGTGCCACCACACCCAGCTAATTTTTGTATTTTTTGTGGAGATGGGGTTTCATCACATTACCCAGGCTGGTCTTGAACTCCTGGGCTCAAGTAATCCTCCAGCCTCAGCCTCCCAAAGTGCTGGGATTACAGGTGTGAGCCAGCGTGCCCAGTGGTTTTCAAACATTGTCTTTGGGACAGTGGCATTAGAATACCTGTGGATTTTTTTTTTTTAACTACAGATTCTTGAGCTCCTTGCCATGGAAATTTGGTTTTGTTGGACTAAGTGGGGCCCAGGACCTGCCTTCAAAGGTGATCCCTGGGATATTTCCCTGCCCGGAAAGGTTCAGGAACCCATGCTTTATATCATATTTTCCACCAGAATAACATGAAGAGCGCATCTTAGTCCCTCTATAGGTGATGCTGGAGATGTTACATGCTTTTCCAAGGTCAGCAACTAGTGAGTGGCAGGCCTGGGACTGCAAGTGAGGTCTACCTGATGAGAGAGAGAGAGAGATCTTTAAGAGACTGGGATGCCCAGTATGAGAGAAGCAAGAAAAAAGATGGGAACAATAAAAGATGACCACCTCATGTCCTCCTTCCCCAGCCATGGGTCTGCGCCTTCCTCTGGGTCCGGCTCCCAGCCCCCCATTCCCATGTCCGCTCTCACTTTTGGCTGAGATGCCCTATCCCAGCTTTGGGTTTGGGAGCCTGCTCTCCTGCCATCTGACTCCCTGCTGGCAGCCTGCTCTCATTTGGCTTTCACCCTCCTGTATGGTAGCATCTGGCTCATACCAGTGTATATATGACAGTGCCTTTAAGAGATTGTCTGATGTCTCAACCCCCAGGCTGGAGATTCTCCCTTTTAGAAGGAGCAGAGTGATTTACCAGGGCAGAAGGGGCAAATGATACAAAACATAAAACTAACAAGTGTTTACAAAGCACCTGCTATGCCTCTCTCAGAGAGAGATAAGGGAGTCCCCGCCCTGGGAGTTCAGCATCTTGCTAGGGATCCAAGGCATTCTCAGAAAGAAAGAGAAATGCCCTTGTGATCAAAGGCCATGTCCTGTGACTCAAAAGAACACTCTGACTGTGGGAAGGACACAGCTGGAACCATTGCTGCAAGCAGAGGAGGTCACAGAAGCAGGAGGAAGTCCCGACTGGAATGTTCAATGTTTGTTGTGTGGGGTGGCAGTTGCAGGCTCCCAAACCTGGAATGTGGGGTGAGGAACAAGAAAAGTTCACACAAACAGAACTTACTGGGGCCAGGCACTGCCCTAGGCTCTTCTCATATGTTACCTCCTCATTTAATCCTCACCACTATCCTATGAGAGAGGCAGCTACAAGGCAGGCCATTTGACAGATGAGGAAGCCGAGGAGTAGCAAGGGGAAGGAACTTGTCCAAGGCTGCACGGCTAAAGTAGCAAGCTGGAATTTGAACCCAGGCAGTCTGGCTGCAGGCTGCATGTGCCTGATCACTTTGCTATATTTCCTGTCCAGGTGAAACGGTGCAAGAGGTGAGTAAGTACAGCATGGATTTGCAATGGGGTGAAATCCCACCATGGCTGCTATCTGTTGGAAAAGGAAGAGGAACAGGACCTGAGCTGTTCCTCCAGTTCAGGCCTGAGCAGAGAGAGCCTTGTGTGCTGGTGTAGGGAGTGTGTGTTCTTCTGTCAGTGGTAGAGAGCTATTGGGGGTTTCTGAACCAGCCTGTGGGGTGACAGTCCTATGCTCGGGAGAGATGACTCTGGTCCTACTGTATGGGGTGTTTGGGGTGGACAAAGATGCAGGACATTTCTGCAAGACAGAGGTAGGGTTAGGGGCCTGCAGCCAGGGCTTGGGGTTGGGGGAATATCAAGAAAGTGGAGAGGAGAGGGCACTCCTGGGAAAGCCCCATCCTACCCTGCTCCACAGGCTACAGTTCCCACTCCCCGCCACTCCGCGGGCTACAGTTCCCACTCCCCGCCACTCCATGAGCTACAGTTACCACTCCCTGCCACTGGCCAGCAGCGTGGCTTTGAGCAACTGACTGTGGCTTTCTGGCCATCTGTAGAAAGAGGAGCCTACAGGGATCAAATGAGGCCACGGTTGTCATGACTGAGCCTGGCCAACCACAAGGCACAGTTCAAACAGGAGATGCCACTTCCATGCCCAATGCCATCTTCTCCCCCTTCATCTCTCTCGTTGCTGATCTCCCTACTACCTACTTGAATCTCCCTGTGGACTTTTACTAGTGTTTTTGTAGGAAGTGACCTCGCATCTCTTTTGGATGAAGGCAGGATCATAAATAATAAAGAAATAAATGAATGCACTCTCAGCCCATGCCTTTGCATTTCTGCTCAGTGTCTGCCTCTGACCACTGACCCGTTTGTCCCCTCAGCTGCAGCCTCTGCACATTCCCCTGCTTTGGCCTGATGGCCCGGACCTCAAACCCTTTCATGGAATGCCAACGAATTCCATAAGGAGTCCATAGGGCTCGTGGACACTCCCTGCCCCTTGGCATATCTGCGTCTTCTGCAGAGCATCCCGCCTTCCAAATGAGAGTCCATGGAAGAGACTGGAAGGAGGACCTGTTGGTGCAAGATCACTAATTTGCCATTCCTGGGAGGGGTCAGGGGACCCGAGGAGACCAGGCTCAGCCTAGGTTTGGGCTTGAAAGACAAAATATGAAAGCCAGAAAAGTGTTTTGCTGCATTTTTCAACACAGACATCCAGGCACAGATGTCCAGGGGCCAGTGGAAGATATGGATTAGAAATTGGGAAGGATTATCAGCTGGGGGCGCAGGCTTGGGAGTCATCTCCAAAGAGGGTTATATTTAAAGTGGAATGCTTCTGCTATTTTGGTGTCAGTTGACTTCACTAATGTTGGAAATTAGCTGTTGCTAAACAGTCATTGTGATACAAACAATCCAAAATATGCTTCATATTACATTCATTCATGAACCAATACTTGTTGAGCACTTACTAGGTGCCAGGCCCTGCACGAGGCCCTGAAGCTACAGGGGTGAATAAAACAGATGCAGTTGCTGCCCTCTGGAGCTGGAGCCTGTGGCGGGGGGTGGGGGGTGCAGGGATGTGAAGTTCTGCAAATACTGGGTTAACCACAATTTTCGAGGTTGAGGAGGAGAGGAAGGACATGGAGCTCTACCGGAGGGACCTAACCTGGTCTGGGAGTGAAGGAAGGCTTCCCTAATGATGTGACTTTGAAGTCAAGATGTAAGGAATAAGCTGGAGTTGGCCAGGTAAGGAAGGGGGAAGGGGAAGCAGGAAAAGCAGAGGGAACAGCACCTGCTAGGGCTCTGAGGCAGGGAGGGGGTTGGGGTAAGGGGCAATGGAATCAGGCCCACGTGACTGCCATGTACTAAGCACGGGGAAAGGGCCTAAGATGAGGGCTTGAGTGGTGAGCTTGGCCACATCATGCAAGATCTTAGAGGCCATGGTGAAGGTTTTAGATTTCATGGTACAAACACTAGGGAGTCACTGATGGCTTTTGACAAGGGATGACACAGTCAGATCTGTGCTTTAGAGAGATCCCTCTGGCAGATGAAGAAGAAACTGGGGAGAGGGGCTGTGAGGAGACCAGAGTACAGCCACATCTTTGTCTGATCCTTGGTCCAGATACATTTGTGTCTGATTCACTCAACAAACATACTCCATATGCCTCCTCCTCACCTCTCACTTTGCTTTCATTTTTCTGTTTCAGGAAAAGACACCACATTCTGTCCAATGGTCCAGATCAGAAACGTGGAGTCCCCATGACTCGACCTCCTCTCTCATCCCTGCATCCAGTCTACCTCCCATCCCTTTCATCCTTTCTCTCCATCCCCCTTCCCCCACCCCAGGCAGACCACCATTCTCTCCCTTCTCAGGTACTGCCACAGCCCCTCCACCACCGTGAGGAGTCTCCCTGTCCTCAGGTTGCCCCACTCCAATCCACTCCCACATCAGGGGGACTCAAGTGCATCCCTCACACTTCTCTCATTTCTCATTGCCTGAACAAGGTCACAAGACCCATCATCACCCAACCCTTGTCTACCTCTGGAGCCTCCTGCTCCTCCTCCCCTCCTGTCCCACCCCACACCCACATCCACTTCCCTAGGATGCCAAAATAACACTGAGTTCTTTGAACTAATGTTCTGTTCCTAGCCTCCCAGCCTTTGCACACGCAGTTTCCTCTGCCTGGAGCACTGTTTCTATTCCCCTTACCTGGCTTGCTCCTCGTATTTAGGTCTCAGCTTAATGCTACTCATTCATTCCTTCATTAATTCAATACATATTTACTAACCTGTACAATGTGCAAAGCATTACGATAGGTGCTAGGGTCCAGTGGGAGCAAGAAGGGCATGGTTTCTGTCCCCATGGAACTTACAGCCTGAACCCTGGGTGTGGAGCTATACACCCGCCCAATGCTGCCACAGTTCCCATCTTTCTGCTTGATGGAAATTATAGGTTATTGGTACTGTGAGCTCTCTCCCCTCCTAGTCTGCAAGTCCCATAGGACAGGGGTTGAAGCACATAGTACAGTACTTGGCATTTATCAGGTCCCCAATGTGCCACATATACAGAACTGACAAACAGCCCCTTCCCTGTACAGTTAGAGGACACCTATGCAGCATGGCTCTGTAGAGATCATTCTGCCAGCATCACAGATCCCCCAGTGTGATATCTTCTGCCCAGGCCTCATCACCCTGGGCACTAGCACCACCCTTGCATCCCAGCAGCCCCCATGCCCACCACCTGCTTATGTAGAGCCAAAGACCCAAGAGATCCATTTCCCTCCCTGGCTAGCATGGAGCACTGCCACCCTGTAAGTCCTACTTTTCCATGCAAAAATGTTAATTGGAAAAAATGCTAATTAGCACAAATGTTAATCCACCCAAACTTGCATTCTATGCCCAACAGCTGAAACAGGTGACACACAGCCCTCCTGCCTGTCCCTCACCCACTTCCTTTCCCCCCTCCATGCCCCGTGGAACTTGGCTTTTCCTGCAACTTGGGGAAGGGATGTGTTCAGTGCCCACTGTTGAAAGAGAACAAAAGAAAAAATGTGCACATCCTAGGAGAGGAAATGTGTGCTCATTTGCCAAACACAAGTGAGCCTTTATTCTGTTCCAGCCCCACACTGCAAATTCCACATCACGAGACAAGGGTGTGCTGTGCCAAAAGTGGACTTTGTGACTTCTCGACCTCCACTTATGAACTGCTGCGCCTGCTCCCTACCCCTGTGCCTCTGCTTCTCCTACTTGGAAACTTCTCAGCCATTGCTGCCCCACGCCCACCTGCTATCAAGTCTTGCCCCCAGTCCTGCCCTAGGTGAAGGTTCTAGGAACCCAAGTATAGCCATTGGCAACTTGCAGGCAAGCATAAACTCCCAAAGCCTTAGTTCCTTCCTTCCTTCCTTCCTTCCTTCCTTCCTTCCTTCCTTCCTTCCTTCCTTCCTTCCTTCCCCCTTCCTTCCTTCCCCACTTCCTTCCTTCTTCCTTCCTTCCTTCCTCCCACCCTCCCTCCCTCCCTTCCTTCCTTCCTTCTTTCCTTCCTTCTTTCCTTCCTCTTTCTTTCTCTCTCTCTCTCTCTTTCTCTCTGTCTCTTTTTGAGACAAACTTTAGCCCTGTTGCCTGGGCTGGAATGCAATGGCGCGATCTTGGCTCACTACAACCTCCGTCTCCCGGGTTCAAGCAATTCTCATGCCTTAGCCTCCCAAGTAGCTGGGACTACAGGCGTAAGCCACCAGACCCAGATAATTTTTGTATTTTTAGTAGAGACAGGGTTTCACCATGTTGGTCAGGCTTGTCTCGAACTCCTGACCTCAGGTGATCCAACCACCTCAGCCTCCCAAAGTGCTGTGATTACAGGCCTGAGCCACCTTGCCTGGCCCCAAAGCCTCAGTTTCTGCTTCTGTAAACAGAAATGAGATTTCCCACCAGGTGGGTTCTGGTGGGCATTCAATGGGATTACATTTGTATAGGCTCAGGAAATACCAGTGTGCATCTGGGTACCTTGTCCCTCACTTGGCTGTGCGAGTGTTTCATTCCGCCCCTGCAGGTTCATGCCCACCCAGGTCCCAACCTTGTCCCCAGAAGAAGGAGTAGCAGGACTATGCCATGCCTGGGACTTCTGTGGGCAGCCTCAAGTCTCTCTCCATGCCATCCTGACCCAGCCTGGCAGCCCACAGCTGGCCCCAGGGGCCTTCACCATCACTGACCCAGAATCCTCCTATCCCATCCCCATTGGCCATCCCTGGACCAGAGCCCTCCCATTGCCCCCCACCCCAAGTGACCCAAGCCTTCTTTCTACTCTGCTATTGGACAGTCAATGCCGTTGGGCATCTGCCTTGGTTCCCAGCCTTACATCTGCCTATGATTCCCACCTTGATCCCTAGAGGGGTCTTAGCTCCTACCAGGCTTCTGTGGCTGTCCTGTCCCCTTACCCCAGACTATGCCTCTGGAAAGGAGAGCTGTCATGGATGGGGGAGCAATATAATTTGCAGCTTATGAATCAATGACTTAAATTCCAACTCCAGCCCCACCCTTATTAACTATGTGGCCTCCAGCAGGTCATTTCTATGGGAAATCACTGTTTACAGGGTCAATGGGGACATTAAATAGGTTGGTACATATATAGTGCTTATCCCAGTGTCTGGCACATAGTACCATCAGGGTAGGGAACACATCTAGTATTCTAAGCATTTTACATGTGGTAACTTGTTTAATTCATAACCATCCTATGAGATGGGTGCAGATATTCTCCCATTTCATAGACAGTGAAACCAGGCACAGAGAGGTTACATAACTTGCCCAAAGCTACATGGCTTGTAAGAGGCAGAGCCACATATCAAAACCAAGGGAGGCCGCTTGAGAGTCTATGCTCAGAACCACACTGCGTCTCCCCTATATGTGGAAGCTGTTGTTTCCATTTTAGTTATTTTGTCTGTATGTGTGTTGTCAGATGTCCTAACACCAAGGCCCTCTGCCAGGCTTCTGGTTTGGACCACCTCCTGGAATCCCTCACTGCCCCACCCCGCACTTGGCACTCCAGCCCACCCTGCAAGTCAGAACGCTGCAGCTGAGGCTCATGCATCTGTGAGAGAGAGGGAGTGCGGTGTCTGCCCTCATGTTGTGTGTGTCTGTGTGTGCAGATGCTGCGAGCAACAGGGAGCAAGCCAGAGAGGCCGATGGAGGAAAAGTCAGAGACAAAGAGATGTTGCTGCCAAATCCCTTTCATCTCCAGCAGAGAGAGAGAGAGTCTGAAACTCCACGGTAGGTTGGGAGTGGTCTGTGTGAGCAAGGGTGTGAGAGAAACTGTGAGTTCCAGAAGATGAGCAGAAGGCAGGCCGCCTCCTTGTGTGAGTGTCACTGTGTGTGCACAGGGGAGTGTGTGTGTGTGCCCCTGCGTGTTTGAGTGGTGAGCTTGTGAGTGTGCATCTGTGAGCACACATTGGACCATCGGCAATGATCGTTCCACCCCGGGATAAATGGCATAAACAAGGCTAAGCTTCAAACAGGCCTTCCGATGACTTTGGTGGCAGAGAGGACAGGAGGAGGGAGAGGAGGAGAGAGGCTGCTGGAAGGAGAAGAAAAGGCAGCAAGCTCATGCACTGGGGGATGGGCATGTTGGACGCCTTCCACTGCCAAACTGTCCTAAACGCCGATCCATCCAACGGAATAACAAACACAGAACAGTCCCCAACACCAGAGCCGGGGCGTTTCCCAGGGGCACAAGGCCCGGCTCCTGCTCACAGGCACTGATATTTTATTGATTTTATAGCAGCCTGGAGGCAATTGTAGTTGGGGCAGCAAAAAAGCAATTTTCCTCACCTCCTGCTTTCCTGACAGACCTCTCTGCTGAGCTGAGGCCAGCCCTGCGTGGCAGCCGGGGTGCATTAGGTCACATCAGTACAACAGGAGAGCCCATGCTCAGTGACCTCCTCAGATTCACCTGCGTGCTAGGTCCTACTGTGGGACACATTATTGGAGAGACAGATATGTGGCTTAAGTCAAGAGGGAGTGACAGGGGCCAGGCCAGCCCTCTCCTACCTGCCTGGCCCAGGCTATTGAGCCGGGCAGAGTTCCTGCCAGCCTTCCAGTTTGGGACAGGGATGTAGGAGGCAAGTCTGGGCACAAAAAGGATGGGAGGCCAGGATCAGGCAGGCAGGAGACCCATACCTGATTCTGAAGCCAACGTAAGCCAATGTCAGCTCCTCGGAGGGGTGGGGAGCAGGAGACTAGTCAGTTCACTCCACCTTCACTTTCCTCACCCATGCAATGGGCATGATCTCTCTTGGGATAATTGGGATCCATCACCTAGTGCATAGCAGGTGCTCACAGAACCTGGTGGTGTGCATTAGAAGTGAAGAAAACACAGCTCAACTCAGGCTTGCCAAAAAGTACATGACTCTTGGCTCACAGACTCTACCTTAGTAAGCACTAGAGTATTGAGAAGGTGTGGGAGGAGGGGTGGTGCCTGGTACCCGACAAGGGCTCAGTGAGTAGTTATGGAGGACAAGATGCTGAGAGCCTGAGGCGTGCACACATTCTAGAGGAAGCGGGGCCTGGAGAAGGACACAGGCCTGGGAATCAGAAGCCAGAATGTCTGCCACAAAAGACCAGGAACAGGGGCAAGTTTCACGCAGGAGTTACATTTTAGAAAGCATGTCGAAGGGAGTGGGAGTTTGCTGGGTGGAGGGAGAGGGAGCAGGAACAGAGTTCCAGGCATGGAAAGCAGCATTGTTAAAGGCACCGAGGGCGAACTGCACAACTCGACTAATAACAAACCCAGCTGACTGTCCCTTGTGTGCCGTGTGTTTCTCTAAGTGCTTTTCATGAATTCACTCATTTGTACCCTTTGAGTATATATTGTCGCTTATCTCATTTTACAGATGAGGAACTGAGACCCAGAGAGTGAAAGTCACTGGACCCTGGGCACACAGAGTCAAAATGCACTGTCTATTCTGCCAGGCCTTTGGTCCAGCTGGACTGATGGGAAAAGGTGCAGGGGAGGAAGGCCTCAGGCGTCGTTTGGAGAAGTTTAAAATGGATGCTGTGGCCAGTGGAGAGAGATCAGTCTAAGCTCTGAATCGAACACTCTGGTGATTTCTGCAAAAGGTGGATGGAAGGAGTCGAGGCTGGAGGCAGGGATCATGAGGGAGGCAGCTTCCACAGGCATTTTTTTTTTTTGCAACTTTTTAAATTTATTTTTCTAATTGATGCATAACAATTGTACTTATGGGGTACAGAGTGATATTTCGATACATACAATGTATAGTAATCAGATCCGGGTAATTAGCATATTCATTATCTCAAACATGTATTATCTCTTTGTGTTGGGAACATTTGATATCCTCCTTCTAGCTATTGGAAACTGTACGTTATTGTTAACTATAGTCATCCTACAGTGCTATAGAGCACTAGAACTTACTCTACCGCCTAGCTGTAATTTTGTGTCCTTGAAAAAATCTCTCCCTATCCTTCCTCCCCACTCCTCTTCCCAGCCTCCAATAACCTCTGTTCTGCTTTTTACTTCTATGAGATCAACTTTCTTTTAGCTTCCGCATATGAGTGAGAATGTTCGGTGTTTAACTTTCTGTTCCTAGCTTATCTTATCTAACATAATGTCCTCCAGTTCCACCCAAGTTGCTGCATATGGAAGGACTTCCTTCTTTTTTATGGCTGAATAATATTCCATTGTGTATATGTACCACACTTTCTTTACCCACCCATCTGTTGTTGGGCACTTGGGTTGATTCCATATCTTGGCTATTGTGAATAGTGCTGCAATAAACATGAAGGTGCAGATATCTCTTTGATACGCTGATTTCCTTTTTTTCAACAGCAAACTCAGGCTTTGAAAGCATTTATACACCAAATGATACATTTCTGCCCAGTGTCACTGCACTTTCATTCCCATTAGTGCTGTACCAGCTCCAGGAGTGCCCATTGCACAGATGAGACCACTGAGGTTCTGAGCTCTGATGACTAACACATAACTGGCATCTGGCAGAGACTGGACTCGAACCTATGTCCCATGACTCTAAATTATCTGGTCTACATGATCTTTCTCCCCTACCTCAGCTGCACACTCTTGGAAGGCACTGTCTGTCTGATACACCAAGCACACAGTAAACCCCCAACAAGTATGTGTAGAATGAATGAGGGAGCATATGAATGAGGGAGTGTATGAATGAGTGAGGCTGGATCTTGGGTGCTGGTCACTTCTAGCTCTAGGTGTCGCTCAGGTTGTATCACAAAAAGGAAAACAGATATAAGCCCTTTCACTTTCCCTCCATCAATCGAGGGATGATTCCTAATACATAGAGACAAGGTAGGAAGAGTCATGAGACGTGGGGGCAGAGCAAAACTCAGGGGTCCCCATCCTGGAGATTAGACTTGGGGCCCTGAATTAGGCCAGAGGGCCCAGTTCACCACCTCCTCTTACTCCTAGGCTGGTGAGGACCTCCCCACACCCAGGCCCCAGAATAAATGCCATCCCAGGCTGTCGGAGGGACCAAGGAGCTGCTCTGAGAAAGTCCTTGGCAGCTCTGAAGGTGTGTCCTTTAAATAAGGCAAACCTATTAGGGAGTGAAGGCACAAAACAGACTGCAATCCTGGAGGCTTGGGGAGATCTCGCTCCTCCAGGACTGCTATTCTGGAGGAAGCCAGTGCTGACTCGGAAATCCATTTCTAATATGATGTAAATGAACGATGGAAGTGCTCTTTCCAGAGTATTTTTAAAATAAGATCATATATACATATATATATGAAGAGAGAGAGAGAGAATATGACAGATGGACGGGGTATTCAGTGGAGTATTTTTAATCCTGGAGTCAGGATTATGTAACGATGGGAAGAGAAAAGCTAAGGCAGGTGGTGAGTCATCTGGAGCAAAGAGGGGAAGCGAGTCACACCCAAACCCCTCTTCCCATTCTGCCAGCATCTGCAGGTGCCAAGATGCACAGGACCACAGCAAAGAGGCAAGAGAAGTGGACCCAGGGGTGGTGAAGAACCACCGTGTAAGCTGGCTCAGGGGGTGGAGGTGGGGACTTCACAGGTTCAGCAGGGGTCGTGGAGAGAAAGATAGGGCCCAGCCAGGCCTGGCTGCAAAGGCTGAATCCTGGAAACACTTGTCAATTTCCAGGAAATTGGAAAAGGCAGAGATATTTTCAAGTGAGTATTTGCTCTGCACTGTACTGCAGACTACGTGTCATCTTTGACTTCCTGCAATTTGCTGAAATGGGAGGCTGTGAAGGCTCCCCTCAGAAATTGCAGCTGCAGCCTGGGGAACATACACTTTGCATGGCCTCCCTTAAAGGCTGACCCATAGGGACTCTTCGCCAGGCCTGTGAAGCAAGTGCCGTAGCCAACAGGCCTGTGTGAAGCAAGAAGCTTTGAGATGGAACATAAGGGAGCCCATCTTGACTGTGAAGGAAGGAAAGCTAGAAATGAGTGAGGGAGGGGAGGTGGGGGTGTCTGCCCCTGGAGAACTTCCAGAAGAGAACACCCACCATCTGCCCCGGGTGGTTTGCAAAGTCATCTGCTGAAGGCAAGGGGCTGGACCAGATGGCCAAACGGAGCTCTTGTCTCTTCTGGAACCCTTTAACTCTAGATGCATTGCTGCTCAAAATACTCAAAGATGTCACAGAGTTAGCACCCATGCCTTCCTTCTTCAGCAGAAGAGCTCCTGTGTATACCCATTGCCTTCCACTTCCAATAGCTGCCATTTACTGAGTGTTCACCATAGTCCAGACATTGTGCTTTTCATATATTATCACACTGAATCCACTATCCACCCTACAAGATAAAGGCTACTATTCCCACTTCACGGATGTGAAAACTGAGGCATAAAGTCAGTGGTTGGATTAGGACTTTAACCCAGTTTTTTGAGTCTAAATCTCGCTCTCTTAGCCTTGACAGCATAGACACTCAGACCCAACAATTTTATTCCTCCAGGGCTGACCCTCCTCCGGGCTTAGACCCCTGCAGTATGCTTAACTGAAGCCAAGGCAGTCATCAGTCAGGAGAGATGGCTGCTAGTTCCAGGAGCAGCTCCATCTGTCTGTGATCCAGGGCACTCATGGTGAGAACCTACTGAGAAAGTGGCCCCCACACCTCCGTGCAGCCAGGGATGAGTCCACTGCAGTTACTGCCCTGAGAGGCTCTTCAAAGCCCTTGACTGGTCAAAGCAATTGGGCTGGAGAAAAGGGGCCGAATCAACTTGGAGGCAGCCTTTGCTGCCTGGAGGGCTGATGCTGTTTGCTTCCAAGCAAACAGCTTCTCCTTTAGTTGTTTCCATTAGAGGATCCTGGAGAGAGGCCCAGCAGGAGGCTGTGCGTGCCACGAGGCCTGACAGGATTGGCCCGGTTTCTGCCCTAGCTCTGGCCTGTCCATGCTGCTGAGACAGAAGAGATGTGGAGACCACGAGGGAGATGCCAATGAGACAGAGACACAGTCAAGAGTCAGGGAGAAGGAGATACCATAAGAGACAGACAAAAAGGCCAGAACAGACAAGACAGAGACAGAGGCCACGAGAGAGGCTTGAGAGTCATGGAGACCTAGCAGGCAAATAAAAACAAGAGCAGAGTCCCCGAGAGACATGGAACCTGCCAGTTAGCAGGGCTTTATCCAGCCCTTCTATGTGGCAGGCACTGTTCTAGGCACTGAGGAGACAGAATTGAGCAAGGCAAAGCCTCTGCTTCATGCAGCTTCCTGCCTAGTGAAGTAAGGGGCAGGAGGGAAGATACCCCACTCATAAGAATCTCCCCAGACACCATGAAGACACCTTTAGACAACAAGACGCTGAATCAGGGAGGCTTTGATGGCAGAAAAGAGGCAGGAAATGTCACAGGAACCACTAGCAGGCCAAGAAGAGAGGAGAGAGAGAGAGAGAGAGAGAGAGAAGCCATAGGAGAAATGACACCAGGGAAACCAGAAGATGTGGGGCCATGAGAGATGCCAATAGTCAGGAATCCTGAAAAACCTAGACAGAGTTAGAGAGGAGAGAAAAACCAAAGAAAGAGACCTGCCTAGAATCAGGGAGGCCAAAGATGGGAACAAAATGAGAAAGGCGCAAGCATAGAAAGCTAGAAACCTGAGTCAGGAAGGCAGAAAGGCTGGAAGAAACCCAGAGAGAGAGAGAGACAGATAGACAGACAAGCATGGAGACAGGGAAACAGTAAGACAGAGAAACAAAGAGACTGTTGTTATCACTGATTATGGAGTTGGGTTTTCCAGGCCTCCCCCAGATCCATGAACTTCAACCCTCTCATTGCCAAGGGTTACTTTCATTATCCTCCCTGATGGGCCTCAAGGTTTGAAAGATATTTGTCTACCAAACAATCTGCATTTCATAAGTAATAATCAATTCACTTTCCCATTTTTTATTCATCAAAGACATCTATAACTGGCAATCAGAGCTTCAGATCAGTGGGAGATAGCTCATGTTGCCACACTGAGTTGCTGTACTTCCAGCCAAAAGCAAAGAAATCTGCCATTGAGTTGTCAGCCCTTGCACAACCAAATCACATTTCTGTTAAGTTTTGGGAGATGTTGACAATAGTTCAAAGGACACAAAGAGAGACCCTGCTGTCTTTGCAGACTCCTGCAGATCCAAGGGCCCAGTTTCCAGATGATAGTCCCAAGAAGTCCCTTCATCCTGCTGGCATTGAGCTGCACGATGTGGGCTGAGATCCTGGGAAGGCCTGGCTCCTTTCCTGGGAGTATATGGCCAGAAATAGACACATATCGTCTATCCTAAGTAGCCTTTTTACGAACAAACTATACCTATTAAAATAACAGTACAAAACCTCAGCTTATCCCTCTCACTATGTCCTAGTTCTTGTCTTCCTCCACAGCCACACTTGCCAAGGGAGTATGGTTCTTTTCTTCTGACCTCCATAACATGGCTCATTACTCTTTTATTCATTGTCTTCCAGATTGCCCAAGCCAATAGCTTTTTCCAACTCAAGCTATTTAGCATTTAGCATTGTAGCCACTGCCCTCCCACTCCATTTTCAGATGTTAGGCTCAGGTCCAGAAGACTTGAGTGTGCATGCAGGTTTGTCTGTGCACCTGTAGGGTCAGTCTCAGGACTCCCAAAACAACAACCCAACCTGTGGGCAACCACTCATCCCTCGGTGTTTGTCTCTTCATTGTCCCTGTCAGAGCCCTAAAATAACCTATGGAGATAAGCATATTATGACCCCTAGTCCAAGACCCTGGCCATGCACCAAGCTCTGAACCTGCAGGAAGAACTTGGCTTGAAGTCTGTCTGTAACCCCTTCTTGGGCTCTGACCCTGAGTTGGGTTGGCCTTGGTTTGGTTTCTTGTTTGACTCCCATTATGGTGTTTTTTCAGGTTCTCCTGTAGCTTCCCTGTCTTGCGTGCTGACTCCTATTTCCCCCATCCAGTGTCTTCGGCATGGGCATCCATCCAGGCATCTTCTCCTGCTCCCAGCACTGCCCTCCTTGCCATGCACTCTGCTGCGATTTCCCACTCATGTGTTGCTCATCCTGCCCCACTCCTTAAATGGTTTATGCCCCATCCTTCACTTCTGCCTATTCGGTTCCCACTGTCCTTTAAGGCCCACTTTCTTCCCTATCCCCTGCTTCAGAGAGCCAATTTGATGCACATGTAGGATCTCAGGGGTCCCCTAAAACATCCAGTAGGGAGAGCTTGATAAACCTAAATCCTAGAAGATTCCAAGAAAACAAGCACAGAGTGTCTCTTCCAGGCCAGTTGGAGCCAGGAAGAAAAGACCAAACTGGCAGGGTTAGAAACTAGGCACTGGGGCAAACAAAGAGTGTGGACAGTAGTGGACAAAATAAGATCCCTTTTCTACCTTTATGGCCAGGGCTGAGTCTCCAGAAACTCAGTGTTTTAGCCACCAGTCATGGTGCAGGATGAGCACCATGTGAGATAAAGGCAGAAAGTCAGGGCAGATAATTCCTAACTGCTACATGAGGCCTCATGCCTCCCTGCCATCATGCACAATAGCAATATCTCACCCCACCTCTCTATTCTCCCAAAGCACTTCATGTTATCACCATTCATGTTTCACTTATAGCTGCTGTTTGTGCACAGGTACTATTTTTCTCCTATTGAAAGTATGAAATTTCACAAATATTGATGACATTAACTCCTCAGTTGTATATTAAAATTAGGAGAAAATTCTATTTGAATAAAGACTTAAATAAATGCATTGTCTAGGGATAGGTCTATTCCCTTCTTACTTTCAACCTTGTCTATAATTAATTTTTACTTAGCAATCTTATTTCATTTATTTATTAACAAACATTTACTGAGTGCCTATTATGTGCCAGGCCCCATGCTAAGAGCTTGGGTGCCACAAGAACCAAGACACACTCTCTGTCCTCTAGGAGCCTATGGTAAAGACAGAGAGATAGGGGAGTAAACCATTGTCAAGCAAGGTAATAGGCACTAAAATAGAGATATGTGTTGAGTATTTAGGAAATATATACTAAGAGTGATTGGCCAGGTGCGGTGGCTCATGCCTGTAATCCCAGCACTTTGGGAGGCTGAGGCGGGTGGATCATGAGGTCAGGAGATCGAGACCATCCTGGCTAACACGGTGAAACCCCGTCTGTACTAAAAAAAGTATAAAAAATTAGCCGGGCACGGTGGCGGGTGACTGTAGTCCCAGCTACTTGGGAGGTGAGGCAGGAGAATGGCGTGAACCCGGGAGGCAGAGTTTGCAGTGAGCCGAAATCACGCCACTGCACTCCAGCCTGGGCGAAAGAGCGAGACTCCATCTCAAAAAAGAAAAAAAAGAGCGATTGGCCAAGACTTTGATGTTGACAGTGGTCAGGGAAGGCAGGGATAGTGCCTTGCCAGGATCTGGAAGGGCATGTGTCAGTCAGAAGAGGATTGGAGAGGGAAAGAGAATTTCCAGGCAAAACGATTAACCTAGAAAAGGGAGAGAGCATGACACACAAATTAGTGGAATGGCAGGTTGTTCAGAAAGTCTAATAATAGGATGCCCAGTAGGGTAAGGGAGGAGAGAGGGGAGCGATGTGGCTGGCTGGCGAGGGGAAGCAGAGTGAGACCATGAAGGGCCTTGTATTCAAAAGTAGAGAGTTTGTATCATGTATCCCTATGTTATGATAAGTATTCCTATCCCTTTGAAGAGATTTAAGCAGGGAACAGCATGACTAGATTTGGGTAGTAGGTAGAGCACTTCTGGCCAATGTGGAAACAAGATAGACAGATATTGTAATAGTTCAGGTGAGACATGATAAAGGTTTGGATGAAGGCAATGGGAATGGAGAAAATGGAGAAATTAAGATGGCATTATGTAGAAAGTGTCCACAGGCTTTAAAGACTGACTAGGTTGCAGATTTCTTTGACTACATCCTATGTCAGCAGCCTTCCTGGGTTGGGTTTGCTCTTGCCTTGGTCTCTGACTTTCAGGGCTAATGAGCAGGAGTAGACTAACCTCCATGTGATGGCTTGCTCCAGCAGCCCATGAATTGAGCAGACTCTCTCTTCAAACACATTGAAAATGATTTTTGCCTGCCATTGATTTTATTAAAATTGGATGTCACTCCTGCCTTCTAGCTTTTCCAGTTCAGTTCAGACCAAATTTCATAGTCAAACAAACAAATGAACAGAAAAATCTTCTGCAACTAACTTTAGGTTTACAACCCATCCCATCCTCTTTCAACACTCATTATTGCCTTTTTTTCTCTTCTTGTTGCTCCAAAGAGCACTGGTGACAAATGTGGCTGTTTGTAGTTAATTCCATCCTCTTCTTGACTGTTTTTGCCCAATCAGGACTGAAGTTTACCTTGGTTGCCAGGGGGAATCATGCTATTAATTATCTATTCACCTATCTTTGAAGCTCACCACCAGTGTGAAAATTACTTCGCATTAAATTATAAGGAGGCACTCATTAACTTGATTATGCTGGAAGAAACAGTTCTATTAAAGAAACTTTTCCCCCTCTTGAATATTTTAGACATATTTTGTAGGGTAGAATTAATTTTTAAAGAAAATTACATAGTGTTTTTCTTACAAGCAAAAGTAGATTGAAGGGAGAGCAGGGAGGGCTGGGAAGAAGAGGAGAGAGGAGGGGCAGAGAGACTACATGAGCACAGAGAAAGACAGAGATAAATAGAGAAAGGAGATGACAGAGACAGAGAGTAGTCACAGATTATTTCCTATTGGAGTTGTCTTTGCTGGTTGCTGTCATTTTGGAGATAGTCTATGGAACAGATCATCAAAGCCACTTTTTTACACTTTATAAAGTACACCAAGACTCTGTGACAACTGCAGATTAAAGAAGTAGTACCAGTACCAACTGTTGGTCTTATGGTTTTTCTCTCCTAGTTTCAAAGCTCACAAAGGCTGCCATGACTCAAAACTTTCTACCCAACATATGATATGTCTTGCAGCCATTAACCAGGGTCATAACTCAGTAAGAGCTGACATATCATCTACCACTCCTGCCCCCACAACTTGCGATTTTTTCTAATTCCCTTTCCTGCCAAGCTCCAAGAATTCCAAAGTTTTTTAACCTCACACTGATGAAGACCACATTGAAGTGGTTAGCATAAATGTACTTCTATGGAAAAATAGGGTGGGGCAGAGGATATGCCAGCCCTGCAATTTCCCAGAGAAACAACCATATACTTGTTGTAGTGCCGGTTCAGAACCATGGACAGTGACAGACAACACACCTCCCCCTGCCCCCCTCCCCCAACCCTCACCCGCAAACCCCTCGCCAAAAAATAAAATCAATGAAGCCTTGCTTTACTAGAGAGTTGGAGAATCGAAACAGCCAATACTGCTGATTAATTATGGAGGAAGGGGATTGTAGGACATTCTCTATTCAAAATGTATTGAGAAGTTTATCTCCTGTGTCTGGTTGTGTTGACTGCACAGGAGTGCTTGCTCTGTACTGAGCCCAGGTTCATGCAGCTACTAATACTAGACTTTGGATTCTGATCCATGTCCATCTGACTACAAAACCTCTGCTCTTAACCACAATATGGAGGTTCTATGTCTGAGCTGGAGCCTCTTAACATGAAGGAGTCAGCATCACTAAACTGGGGGGTCCCCATTGTGGAAATTTCTCAGATTTTGACCTTGTCTCACCATATATTCTTGTGTGCTCTACACCAACCCTGAAAAATTATCTCACAGGAAGAAAAACGACTACACAAGAAGAATTTAAAAGAAGCACATCATTTTAGAAGGAAAGAAAAAACTCCACCCAAAACACAGCTATTTTTCACCTCTGCATATTATCTTGCAGCCCTTGTTGACACACTGACATATTTTCCATCATTGCAATCAAAGCAATTGTAGTATTTTCACTTAGTGTCTTATCATAAACCTTTCCCCAAGTTGCTATACAGTCTCTGTGATGATCACTTTTAATGTCTGTATAATGTTCTAACAAATGGATACATCGTGATTTACTATACAACCCCCTAATTGTTGAACATTTAGGTTATTTCCAGTTTTTTTATTTCAGAGACTTGTGCTATGATGAGAATTTTTATGTGAAAACCACGTGGGGTGATTGAAAGAGCATGAGCTTTAGAGTCAGAAAGAAGAGAGCTAAAACCACTCAACAGTGTAACTTGAGTGTGTTGAATGACTTCTCAGAGGTTTTGTCTTGGGGAGAAGGCCAGGGAAAGTGGACATTGCCAGAACAGAGGGGTAAGGGTGAGGCTAAATCAGGCAACCTACAGAGAGAGATGCAAAAGGCAGGTGGAGCTACTGATTACAAACTGTGACTTTACAACTTCGCCTCCTCAAGCCCAGAGCTGAACAAAAGCATTTTACCCAGAGGAAGGAAGGCACACAAAGGGGATGTTTCTCCTTTGGAAAAACTTTGGACCCAGGGCCTGAGATGGGCAATATAAATAGGAGATCAGCTGCCAGAAGTCTTCTTCAATGAGGTATGATGAGAGTAGGAGGCAGAGAAACACCTCATCTCCATTCCTCTGGACTCAACACCCTGAGGCTTAAAACCCTGGAGTCACTTCTCTGCCCCAGACAACTTTCTCTGGGCTTGTTCTTCCTTCCTGAAAGCCCAGGGGCACATCCTGCTGCCTCCATCTTCTGGAGCTACCAGCAGTCCTATGAACACTGATCATAGCTAACAGTCAGGATTCAATATCCCCAGCTCCTCCTGCCCCTTTCTCCCCAAGGACAAGCCCACAGGACCCTTTATGGTCATCTTTTATGCTGCTCCATGAGGGTAGATAAGCCTGAGAATTACCAGATTTCTAGAATCTTCCACGGTTTCAGTCATATCCTTCCTTCTGGCATCCTGATGAGAGGACTCCCTGGGCTCTTAGATGATCTCCATGCATTCTCTTTGACTCTTGCTTGATCTGGGCTGAGCCCAGGTTCATGTAGCTAATAATACTAGACCTTGGATTCTGATCCATGTCCATCTGACTGCAAGACCTATGTAAGCCTACATGTTCAGTTTGAAGATGCATCTAGAGAAGGCTGATAAGCAGATCAGAACCCATTGACCATCCGAGTGTTTCCAACTCCAGTGGGTAATTCTGTTCTTAGGAGACCTGCAGACGGAGCAATCCTTCATTAGTGTGGCTCCTTGTCCATACCTTCATGGTAAGGGAGATCTTCATCTGACCTACCTCTAAGCCGCCATGGGCAACTCTACTTGGGATGGAGGGGGTAGAGCATGGAGTGGAGAGAGAATGGGAGCCTAGGGCTGAGGCCACCCACCAGAGCCCTTCCAGGGAGCTGGCCATCCTCGAGGCACCCCACCCCAACCCACTCCCCTCCATGCAGCTCCAGAACACGACAGAATTATAGTCTGAGCTCTCATTGCCCTGGGGAGCAGGGAGGCCTTGTCAGGGGAAAGTTGCTGACCAGCCCCTTCTCCTTGGCTGTCAGGGCTAATCAACATCAGGGCAGTTAATGGGGAACACAAAACCTATTTAAAAGCTACATTTAACACTTGGCTGGTTCCATTACATTGTGCAATATCCAGGTGTCACACTTCCTCTCAAAGTGTCTGTCTCAATGCTTCCTTGAGCTGCTGGAGTTAGGAAGTCGCTGCCAAGAACCACCTGAGGAGGACTCCTCCACCCAACCTCACAGTGGTCTTCTCTGCAGGTTCCAGTGGTGAGAGGTTCCCCAACCCATGGAGCTGCCTGAGGAGGAAGATTCTGGAGCCAGGCACAGCAGTGGACACTGAAGGCATCTGGCCTTTAGCCTCTCCTCCATGCATAGGAGGAGTTCTTGCTCCCTGCTATGGTGATTATGATGTTGCCTATTGGTGCCAACTCTATGCCCACTCACCCCCCAGAATCTGGACACCAATGGGCATGATCTGCTGGATTAAGACCTCAGTCTCTCCAACTATCCCTTCGAGTCCAAATGAGCAGGGTGGCTTTCCATGGTTTCCTGACATGGGCACGTCCTATTCCTGCCCTGATCCTCTCACTGAGGATCTAACTGGGGACAGAAGATAAGCTGAGGATTCCATTAGAATAAAGCCTGGAGCCTTCTCCTCCCATCCTGTTTACCTCCCACTCCACTCTGCCATCAATGCCAGCCTGGCCCACCCCACCCAGCAACATTCAAGCATTTTATTTCCTTTAAGGCTAAGCCAAAAATGTCTTCACTTCCTTGCCACTGATCTGCCATGTACAGTGCCTAATCTGTCGGCATAGAACCCTTGCTGTGCTGAAGGGTAAATTCTTGGACTTTGAAGGAAGTCTCTACTGAGATTGCCAAAAGTGACTCTCTTTTTATTCATCTGGTAAATATTTTATGAGTACCTACTGGACTGGGTCCTTGGCCTAAGTATACAGAGTGGGCAAAGCCTATAGTTTAGAGGTAGACACAGGCAGAAATCAAGTAATCACAGAAACACCTATTGCACACTATGACAAGTGCTATGAAAGAAAAGCACAGGGGCCCCAGAAAGCAAATAACAGCTGTCTTGACCTGACCTGGGGGCCAGGGACATCTTCAAGGAAGCCCCTTGAGGGGGTGTCCATGTCTATCTTTTTTCCTAGTCCTTGCTGTGTCTGGCACACAGAAGCTTGTCTAGTAATGCTTTTGGAGTGACTAAGCAATGCTTCTCACATCTCCAGCACTGTCGTCATCACCTCTCCACCCTTTCAGCCACAATCATCCCATCTCTATAGCCAAGTCTAATCTTATTTAATGCAAACAGGTGCCAGCCTTGTAGCAGAATCAGGTCTGGCCACCCTCCCTGCTCCCACATACATGGCATGGGCACCCTTTGGAAGAGCCTGAGAAGAAAGCTGTTGCCTCAAGATGAGCAAAGGATCCGCCTCCCTCCTACTCTGACACTTCCAGGCACTCTGCTCTCAACATGCATGGCCAGCTGATGTTTTTCTGCAGGAGACCTGGTGAATGTGTTGGCTCAGACAGGCAAGGGAGGCTCCTGCTGTGCAGGCTTCCCCCAGGGTTGGGTGCTGGCAAACCTGGATTTCCCAATAGTCTGCAGGTCCTCCAGGATCAGCCACTTCCAGAAAATAGAGCTGCTATTTCCCGTTCTTACATAAAGCAAGCCTGCCTATGCTAGGGAAATGAGGAATGCTTGTTTGCCTCCAGAGGTGCTAGAAATGTTCAGAGGTGCTATAGCCTTAGATTGTGTGGCTCTCAATAGTACAAGAGCCTGTCCTGTGAGGGCTTCTGGTGCCCACATATCCAATCACACCCAGTGGCATCTGCAGGGGCTCCCCACACCACCTGCTCAATGGGAATCTGTCCATCTTGCATATGCCTGCGTCACAGTGTAAACAGAAGGCATGGCCTCTCCCTCTGCAGCCAGTCAGAGGCTGCCAGAGCTCCATCCACGTTAGCACACATCCCCAGTCAGGGTGGAAAAGCACAAAATGCACAGCACTGTGGGCCAGGAGTTGCAGGGCCAAGTCCAGGCACCCTCAACTCACTGTGAGTTTAGAAGTGACCTCCCTTCTCTGAACCTCATTTCTCATGAAACAAGGGGTGAGGCTAAAGCAGTTGAGCCAGCCCCACTTCAACCAAACTAGCACCAATTTTATCTGCTTTGTATGTAGAGCTTCTGCAGAAAATTTTCACTTAGAAAAAAAAAGTTAATCGCTAAATGGAGTAATCGTCCCTAATGCCCCTTCCAGCTCTGACATTTCATGATTTATGAGTAAATGAAACAATGTATATGAAAGGGGCTTGGGCCATGGTAGGGGTGCAATAAACAGACTTCATGATTACTGCTGTGCCTTACATGTATGATGAGAGCCCCTGATAAATGCTGAGCTGAAATCTGGATATAAGGCCTACACCATTTTCTGATCTTCAAGTCTGGGAACCACACTCAAAGAGGCTTGATGATTACATAGGTGGATACATGTAGAAAGAAAATGAGAGAGAACAGGGAGATAGGGGAAGGAGGGAGGCATAAATGCCAGAGTCAGGCCCTAGAAGCCCTCAGGCACTCAAGTTTCTGGAGAAGAGGGGTGTAGACCCCAGACCCCTGGCTGCCAATTCCATCATTGGTTGCCATGGAGACAAGGGAGCCTGGGCTCAAGGCATTGGTCTCTCCACCAGAGACAGCATCTGCCTCTTGATTTTGTATTTTTATTTTTTTGAGATGGAGTCTCACTCTGTCTCCAGGCTGGAGTGCAGTGGCGCAATCTCAGCTCACTTCAACCTCCAACTCCCTGGTTCAAGAGATTCTCCTGCCTCAGCCTCCCAAGTAGCTGGGATTGCAGGCACGCACCACCACGCCCAGCTAATTTTTGTATTTTAGGCGGGTGGGTCACGAGGTCAGCAGATCAAGACCACCCTGGCCAACATGGTGCACCTCTTGATTTTATTCAATTGAAGAAGACATGGAGGTGAGGACTTTGCACTTCTCCCATCCTGTTTCCCAATGCCAACTCACTGCCCTCTGCTTACCTCCAGGATTTCCCTGGGTAGCCAAAGCCCAGGTCCCCTTTGCATAGAGGCCCTGCCGCAGCACACAGGCTCGTGTGTTGATTGAGTGTGTGATGGGAACAAGGCAGACTTGGTCAGAGCAGCCACATTGAGGAAGGCTGGAGGAGGAGGTGGGACAGGATCCCTGGAGCAGAGAATAACAGCATCAGAGTTTGAAGAAGTGGGTCTGACAGGCTGCAGAGGGTGGAGCAGCGGGGAAGAGGTGGCAGGCAGGAGGCCTGGTGGAAGGCTGCTGGAGTCATTCAAGTGAGAAAACGAAGGCCTGGCGTAGGCCAATGTCAGAGGAAATGGACTGGAAGAATGAGCCCTGGAGTTCCAAAGCGGCAGCAGCAGCTGGCTTTGTTACTTAGATCGAAAACCTCGGAACCTCAGAGCGTAAAGAAATCTTCAAGATCTCCTAGTCCAGCTTCTCCCAAAACGCCTTCCCTGGAAAACTGGCCCCATAAGAGGCTCTATTAGCAAAGCGTCTAAGGTCAAGTTAGCTTTGTAAATGTGGTGTGCTGAAATCCTCCCAGTGCCAAAGCCCTCCCAGCTTAATAAAGGCTCACAGAGGTCCTGCTGTAAAAGGAGTTTCTACCTTTACATTGTTTGACTCGACTTTTATTTTCACCTCAGTCCTGCTTTTAAAAAATGTGGTTTCATGTTGCTTAATCCAACTTGGACCGTGGAACTTCCCTTGTTCCATTTACACCTTCTGGAGCATTAGGAAATTATTGATCTAGTCAAATAGATCCCATGCACAGCACAATGGTGGAGGATTGAGAGGCTGAGCTGTCCCAGAGATGCTCACATCTGTGACTCAGGTGCCCCACCTCTGGGGATCGGCCTAAGAAAGGAGTGCTTAATGTGGAAATGGTGATGTGGATGACGATGTTACACGATTTAAAATAGTGAAAATAATAAAATAGCTGGAAGTTTAACAAAAGGAAACGGCTCAGTAAACTCTGGCATCATTCCTTGATGGGTCTTTTTGCAAGATGATTATGAATATGATACAGTTACACAGAAGATCACTTAAGATTGAATAAATCACAAGAATGAATAAATCACAAGAATGGTTTCACTGTACTTTAAAAAATATACATATATTGGAAATATAAAGATAAGAAAACACATAGAAATTTGTTTTTGTTTTTCAGGGATTTTTTTTTCCCCCAAGAAAGAATTTTCTCCAAATGGTGAAATTAAATTTGGTCATAGAAATAAACAGTCTCGCCTGAAATAGGTGGCAATTGGCTTGTATATCAGGCTTCTGTGAGTTTAGTCAATTTGAGTCAGTTTCCTGCATCTCATTCTCTGCAGGCATCTTGAATATGTGGACTTGTAGGGCTGAACCCTGGTATCTCTGTTGAAGTATGGCCCCTATTAAGACCCATCCAGAATAGCCAGTTCTTGCCATCGACTCTCATATCACATTCTCAACTTTAACAGGGCAAACAGGTTTGGGAGAAGGAACAACTGGAGCATATAAAACGAGGGAACTTGACTCAGAACAGGCCCTTTGAGAGCTTTCTACATTGTTGTGTGGTTCTTGACCTTGCTACATATTGGACTCACCTGAAAAGCTTTTTAAAAAACACTGATATGGGGGGTGTTGGCCTCAGATATTCTGATTTAATTGGCCTGGGGTATGCTCTGAGTATTGCAGCTTTAAAAAGCCCACGTGATTCCAATGTGCGGCTGGGGCTGAAAAGGCAGATGTGAGCCATGGATGAACCCAGGCTGAGCTTGAAGAAACAGAGGAACTTGCCATTTCATAAGGGCTATGCTTGAAGTTGGCACTCAATGCTGTGGGACACAGAGGGGGTGCCTCGCAGGGTCTGGGGTCAAATAGCCTGGGAGGCCTGTCAGATGAGGGGCACAAGGGCAGGCCTTGTAGGATGCTGCAGAGTTCCCTCAGAGGGGCTCACGGGTCAAGCAATCGGCAGGTCCCCAGCAGTGAGACTCCCAGGCTCCCCGGCAGTTCTGGTTTGGGAGAAATCACACTGCCCCTTAAGCCTCCAGGGCCCCTGCTTTTCAAATGAAGACATTGCCACGTGCCAAGTGGATGGCTTGTAGGGCTAAATGACTTAATATTTTTGGAGTAGAAGGAACAAAACCGCAACAAGACGCTGTTGTTTTCCCCATCATAATTGATGGGGCTCTGTCTTTTCTACCGTTAAAGCACAAGCTGCAGCTATTTTTCTTTTTTTAACCAAACACCACTGAATACAAAACATTGATTTTTTTTAAACTGGGTTTCAAACTGAGAAATGTCTTGATCCCAGAAGTCAATCACCTGGGAAGTCATAGTAACTTCCACTGGCACCACTGTACAGCTGACAAGGAGCTCTGTGCCAGCGGGGCTGATGTCCCACTCAGAGCAGCTACCTTCCCCTTCCTCCCCAGGCCACATCACCAGGCAGACAGGGGACTCACAGCCTCCCCTCTCCTGGCTTCTGCCCCACCCCCAACCCAGCAGTGACGGTCTCAAGGAGAGGGACCTTCCAGATCTTTCAAAAGGGCCCCTGAGGACCATCCTCTGTCTTGTTTGGCTCCCTCAGACCCTCCTCTGTGAGGGTCCGAGGAGATTTTTCACTGCCCTTCCAGCCACTCCCATGCCCTGAGCACATCCTGTCCCAGGCAGGAGGGACACTCCGAGCCTCTGCCCCATTGGGTCACTTAGGACCACCATGTCCAGTTGTTCTGGTTCCTCACTGCACAATGCTGGGGAATCCGTCCCATCAGTGCTGCTCATCTGCTATTTAAAGTAAGTTCCTGGCAACTCCCCATTGCCAGCAAGTGAAGTCCAAGTTCCTCCAGGCACCTTCCAGGGCCCAGCCTGGCATTCATCTCCAGCCACCTCAAACTTTATCCCCTTATGTCTAGTTCTGGACCCACTGAACTCATATTCTTTTTCCACAGAAGCGTGTTCTCTCTGACCACATCTTCCCCCATGCCATGCTCTCTGCCTGGAGCACTCTCCTCCCTTCCTTCCTCCCTTCCCTCCTCTCTTCCCACCTTGGTAAACTCTACTCCTCCTTCAACTCTCAGCTAATACATTGCTTCCTGCAGGAAGCCTTCCCTTACCTCCCATCCTATTGGGTCCCCTGTCATGTGCTCTGTAGCACCTTTTACTTCCCTTGACATACCTGTCATTGAGTGTCATTGTAATGACTCTGTAAGTCTGTCTTCTCTGCTGGACTGGAAGTTACACCAGGGCGAGAGCCATGTCTCTCACTCACTGCCATCCCTCTAATGCCCGGCCCAGACACTGGTACAGAGCAGGGGCTGAATCCACTGGTTCTGAGTGAATGAAGGAATGAAGAAATGACTGGCTGTGGTTCGTCAGCCCAGGCCTAGCATGCGGTGCAGTCCTCCGCACCTACCACAATGCTTGCTCAGTCTCTACTTCAGTGTCTATAATTAGACCAGGAGCCTGCCTGTCTCAAATTCTGCCCTTCCCAACTTTGGCTCTGGTACCTACCCAACCCTTTTCTGTCCCCTCTCCTCTGGCAGAGGGGACGTCTGATTCCTGGTACCCACAGGGCCAATTGCTGGTTGCACATGGACTGGGCTTGACCACAGCCAAGATGCTGATGCTCCCTGACTTGAACTCTGGAGGGCTAGACACCTGGGTCCCTGGACTCTTGCTGCCTTGCCTCACCCTCTAGGTCACAACAGCAAAAAGCTAAGTACTTCATGGACTGATTTAAACTGTACCACAACCCTTTGAAATGGGTGTTATTACTATTATACCCATTTTATAGATGAGGAAAGTGAAGAAAAGAGGGGCTAAATGATTTGCCCAAAGTCACACAGTAAGTCGTAGCTGTGCTGGAATTTGAACATACGGTAGATTGACTTCAAAGCCTTTGTTTTACACTGATATTCCCAGAACTAAGCTCAAACTTGCCACACAGCATGAAGACTCAAGGTCTTAGGTGGTGCGATTGCCCCTTCAGGGCCCACTTTTCTCAGGCACCCCTCCCCCAGCATCCCCCAGCTCTGTGAAAGAGGTCCTGGTGAGTCTCTGGCCCAAGGCTGGGGATATTTCACCTGCCCCCATGTCCTCTGCAGGGCCCCACCCATCTTGTTCTCTGGGTCCCTGAGTGGGCAGGGTCGATGGCAGCTCCCAGTCACTGCCTACACAATCCTTCAGAGGCAGCCACAGTGCCCCTCAGTCTCCCTCCCTCCAAGCTAAGCCAGCTCATCCCTCAGATGTCACCACACCCTCAGCACAGGCAGAGTCCCCTTGGATTGCAAAGGCACAAGCAGTCTTACAGTCATTGGGAAAAAGAGGCAGAGAAATTGTATTTCCTCTGAGACTATTGTGAAGAGCTGTGTGTGTGACTCACCACTTTTTTGCTGGATTGCTTTCTCTGGGTCTTGCAGACCTGAGACTCCATTTTGCAGAAGAGTTGAAGGCAGATGATGCAGGGAAAATAACTGACTAGGAGGAAGGATACTGGGTCCCACTCCCAGCTTTGTCACAAACCTGTTTGAAAACCTTCAGTGGCTCCTTTGCCCTTAAGAACATTTCCAAATGCTGTAAGATGGGGGACAAGATCCTGCACCATCAGGCCTAGGCCACTTCTCCCACCTTGTCATGTATCACTGTTCTCTTGAATGCTCTGCTCCAGCCACAATAACTTCTGCTTGTTCCTCTGAAGGTCATGTTCTCTCTCCTGCCTCTGGCCCTCTTCAATGTCATTCCCTCAGCCTAAAGCTGTCTTTTTCCTCCCTCTTTGCCCAGAAAACCTTTCTCCTCCTTCAGCCTAAATGTCACCTCCTCCAGGAAGTATTCTATTGTCATCACCCCTAGATGAGGTCAGGTTGCTAAAATGCTCCCATGTCACTGTGGGTGTTTCCTAGTGGAGTGTGTGTTGCAATTTAATGTGCTTTTCCTGTCCAATCATCTAACTATCTCCAGTGTGAGCTTCATGAGGGCTGCACTCATCTGTGCTGCTCACCATTGTTCTCTAGCACTTAACACAGTGCTTGACACACTGTCGGTGTTTTAAAAGAATATGCTGCATAAGTGAATGAAGAAACAAATCAGTCAGGATTCTTAGTTGTAAGCAAGAAAAACCAGCCATGCCTGGTTCAAGGGAAAAAACAATTTCTTAGAGGGTTACTGAATAGCACACTGAATCAGAGCAAGTTCTAGGGCACCAGGACCCCACAGCAGAACAGTGGCCTAAGCTACCCAGCCAGACTTATTTGGGGAGGACACCACTACCATCCCCAGCTAGCTGCAAGACCCTGCAGCTGAGACCACCACCATCACCAAGCACTGACCCTTGACCCTCCCACAGCAGCACTGCCCCACCCCCAAACTCAAACCCTGACTGTTGGGGAGAGCTGCCAGCCTTGCACACCCTCCTGCTCACACACCCACATCCTAGCTGCAAGGGAGCCTGGGAAAGGGAGTACTCAGCCTTGCCTTTTTTTTTTTATTTTAAGTTCTGGGGTACATGTGCAGGACACACAGGTTTGTTACATAGGTAAACGTGTGCCATGGTGGTTTGCTGCACCTATCAACCCATCACCTAGGTAATAAGCATAGCATGCATTAGCTATCTTTCCTGATGCTTTCTTCCCGTCCCCCAACAGACCCCAGAGTGTGTTGATCTCCTCCCTGTGTCCATGTGTTCTCATTGTTCAGCTCCGACTTATAAGTGAGAACGTGTGATGTTTGGTTTTCTGTTCCTGCATTAGTTTGCTGAGGATAATGGCTTCCAGCTTCATCCATGTCCCTGTAAAGGACGTGATCCCATTCCTCCTTTTTATGACTGCATATTATTCCATGGTGTATATGTACCACATTTTCTTTATCCAGTCTATCACTGATGGGCATTTGGGTTGATTCCATGTCTTTGCAATTGAGAATAGTGCTGCAAGCATTGTTTTTTTCTTGAGTGGGAGGTGGGCTCTGTTTCCCATCATAAGTTGGAGAGTCATGAGTTGGAGAATTCCTTGGAACAGGGTACACAAGCCAGGGGGGTTAAAAAGACAGGGAAACATCCATCACAGCGATCAAAGGAATGAACCAATAAGCCAAAGGCCTTAATCAATTTCCCTCCCTTCTCTCTGCCTCAGTTTCCTCATTTGCAAAAGGAAAACATGTTAGTCTCTCAGTTCCCCTCTGGCACTAACATTCTATGCTACTGGTTTTGAGTTGTTTATCCAACATAAACAGGGTACAACCTCATCCAGGGAAAGAAGAATCTCCCAAAAGGTCTTCTATCAGTCAGGGTGGCCTGGCCTCTGCCACAGTAACAATTAACTCCCAGATCTGAGGGACTTACCATTCCAGAGAAAACTGCTACAACTGGAGGGGGCTTTATTGCCTAGAAAAGAAGAGCTTCGTCACCAACAGCCGCTGGCACTTTCTTTTGGTTCATAGGAGGAGCAGTGTTGTCTTGAACTCTACGGAAGGAACGATGGGTCAGAAAGGCTAAAGAAGAAACTAGCTAGGAAGCCTGAGGGCAAATTCAAAGGCAGGTAGCTGCAAGAGGAGGGGTTCACGAGCAGCAATCCTGATGATGATTCACTCATTTATTCATCCAGTTAGTCAAGAAATATTTTTTGAGCATCCATGATGTGTCAGGTACTCTGCTAGCCACTTGTTACTGGGATATGAGGGTAGGCAAGATTGAAAAGGTCCATGTCCTGCTCAAATTTATATTCTAGTGGGGAAAAAGGAGAAAAAAATGAGTAAGTAAATAATTAAGCAAAATACTTTCAGATGTTGATCAGTGTTATAAAGACATTAATCAGAGTGGTACAATGGAATGACACATGTGTGAGTGAGGGGCATTTTAGTTGCAATGGTCAGGGAAGATACCCTTGAGTTGACATTTAAGCTGAGCTCTAAATAACAAGAGGGAAGAAGAGCAAGCCAGGCAGAGGGAACAGCCAGGTACAAAGACTGAAGTAGGAACAAATGTAGCTGCAGCACCATAGGAGATGAGGTCAGAGAAGCAGAGAGTCTTTAAGCCATAGCAAGGAATCTGCATTTGATTCTGAGTATCATGGTTTGCAGGGATGGTGAATCGGCCGGCTTTAAGCAAGAGAATGGCATGATCTGATTTGATTTTGCATTCTTTTCAAAAGATCGCTTTGGCTGCTGTGTGGATTGTAGGATTGTCAGGGCAGCAAGGTAATAACAGAGCAAATACAATACCTAGTTCAGTAGAAACGAAATAGCCAGCAGAGAGTCTTGACTTTAGTCACTATTGCAGGTGAGAGATACTGCTGGAACCATATAGGGAGTTCTCATGCAGGGAGGATGTTTTTGTATATGAATTCCTGGAGGAGAGTCATCCAAAGATCCTTGTATTGGTTAGAATAGGGTAGGCTACACCACAGTAACAAATTAAACCCTAAGCTCCAGTGGCTTAATACATAAAGCTTTACGTCTTCCTCACACGGCGTGTTCATTGTGAGTTAGCCTGGGGTCTCGGCTCCACACAGGCACCCAGGAACCCAGGCCTAGAGAGGCTCCACCCTTGATAGCCTTATCCTCTTAGCCACTGTGGCAGGGGAAAAGCAGTCACGGCGATCTCACAAGTTCTCCTCCGAGTTTCATCATCTCTTCTCACATCCCATTGGCCAAACTAGTCACATGTCTCCACGTAGCTGCAAAGAAGCTAGGCAGGGTTGTCTTCTGCGGGCTCAGAAGAAAAGGAATGGGTATGTCTTCAGAGGCCTGAAATCCAAAGTGATAAGAGACCAAAGAATTGCCTAAAGAATAAATAGAGCTGCTTTTCTGCTGGAATATGCAATGTGACTTGGGAGCAAAACACACTTGTTTTAGGATGTATATGGATCTGGCTGGAGCACACTAGGAGGGGCCAGCCATCCAGAAGTGGAGGGTCATTCAAGACAGAATCTCCAAATGCCAGAAAAGTGGGCTTACCTCCAGGCTCCCCCTTAATTTGGCATCTGTTTTGTTTGTTCGTTTTTTTTTTTTGCTTCTCTATGATGTTTGTGTAGATACATATACATCCTGGAGAATTTTGTAAGCCTCTTTGCACTGTTATGTGATCTTTCTATTGACAATTGTTATGCATATGTATTTTTCTTTCTCTAATAACATCATTTTAAAACAATAATCATAGCTACGCTTTTATAAGCACCTTCTAAGCATCTCACCTATCATAGCTAATTAAATCCTCACCACAATCCTATAAGATAAATATTATTATCATCATTTATACATGGGGAAACTGAGGCATGGAGTGATTAAATAACTTGCATAAATCTCACAAGTTCTCCTCTGAGTTTCATTATCTCTTCTCACATCCCATTGGCCAGACTAATCATGTGTCTCCACATAGCTGCAAAGAAGCTAGGCAGGGTGGTCTTCTGTGCGCTCAGAAGAAAAGGACTGGATATGTCTTCAGGGGCCTGAAAGTGGAAGAGCTGGTATTCAAACCAGGTAGTCTGGCTCTGAAGCCCCTGCTCCTGAACTCTAGACTACAAGCTCTTGATACAAAGTGTGCCCTAGAAGGCTGGCCAAGATCCATGCTTGCTCTGAAAAGCAACTGTTCCCGGGAGAGGCTAGAAGAGAACAGCAAGTCCTCTTGGGCCACATTTCTGAATTGGTGACTTGCGACTTCATGGAAAGATGAGCCTTCCCCACGTGTACCCAAGAGAAACTGACCTGAAAGACACGTAAACAGTGGTCTCTGAGTACTTAAAAACAGCCAATGACAGACTAAGCCAAGAAAACCAAAGCCAACAGTTTGGAAGCTTTTATCTCCTTTCATTTTTCTACTTCATATCGGTTTGGCTTATTTTGTTTTCAACAAATACTTTTGAAAATCTCCTACAAAGAAGACACTCAGCTAATGCTATAAAGGAAATTATGGGGAGGAAATTAGGAGTGTAAGTCATAATCTCTTCCCTCAAGTCAGGGAAACTTAACAGAATCACATGACGAATTGGATCACTTTAAAAAGAGAGAGAGAATAGCACAATTCTAGACAAGACAATGTGATTCTTTGTTAAACGAGTGGTCAAGATGATGTAACCAACTGGCGCACAGGGGTGTAAGCAGATGAGAGGCATCACTGAGCTAGATGAGCAAGGAAGACTTGGAGCAAGAGGAGGAATTTGAATTGGGTTTTGAAGGACATGGCAAGAGCCAAACTAAACTGACTATGGGGATGGCTGGCCTGGGGAAGTGAGAGAAGGAGGGCTTTGCCCAGGGTTGGAGGCTCCTGGACAAAGGGCTAGGCAGGCACCCCTCAACAGATCCTCTCTGCAGGGAAGCTCCCACTTCGGGCTGTTGGAAAGTTCTCAGAACAGCAAGTTAAGACATAAGACTTAGGAGTTGGAAGGTGGGTTTGAGGGGACCACAGGCCCTGCTGGGCCCATGTCTGTTGCTCTTGCTGTAGGAGCAGCTGCTGGTCTCAGGAAAGCCATGTTTAGCTTTACGGCCACCTGAACATCTATAGGACCCTCTGTAGGAATGCCCAGTGCTGAGAACAAAATTGTTTTTAATTCCATTACCTACAGCCTTGAGGCTGCCACCTTCTACTCTTTGGGAAATTTGCTTCCATCACACACACACACATGCACACACACACACACACACACACACACACACATCAAACAAGCTAACAACAAAACACCTGTATATTTCCCTGTTGCATGAGTCAGAACCCACAACCCTCTCTAACTGATTTTAAGGAAAAAATCAATATATCAAACGTTGCCACATCACTCAGAATTTCAGGGAAGACTGGAGAGCTGGTTTTCTACATCGCCAGAAACAACATTCAAGTCATATGACTGGCCCATTTGTGGATATGGTCCTGCTGTTTCAGGCACAGGCACTGAAGCTTGCTTTGTGGGCCTGGAGCATGGAATACCCTTCCCAGGACATCACCGCTGCCTCCAAAAGTTTGATGGCTCTCTACCACCCTCCACCCCTTTGCCAACAGCTCAGCATTCACACAGAGCCTCCTGCCTCAAGGTGTCCTCTGCTGACTGGAAGGCTCTCATAGATGCAGCTGATTGGAGGAGCCCAGGTCACATGCCTACCAGTAGCTGCAAGGGAGGCTGGGAAAGTGAGTTCTGACTCCTGTCTTGGGGAGATGAGATTCATAATGGGGTAATTACCAGGGCAGCCATCCATCCTGGTGTCTTAGGAGAGTCTCAGGTTTTGTCTGTTGTTCCACATAATGATGAATAGCACCCTTTTTATTCTCAAACGTGTTTTGGTTTAGATCATCAATTATAGAGACACCTTAATAATTCTCAATAATAATTTTGGGGCTCATATGTCCTGTTTTCTCTCCTTTTCTTATTTTCTGCTCCTCCTACCCAAGCAGCACATACTGAATTTGCTAAAACCCTTCTATTGCAGAGCAAAAGGGAGGATATTCTCTGTGTTTTCAGGGAAAGCCCACAACAGACAATACATCAGAGGATTACATGTTCCTCCTAGAAGAAGAAGGACTTTTCCATGTGAGGTGAACAATCCAAATGAAAATTCAGGGAACAAATAAAAAGATGACTATAAGAACCTTCAGTTGGTCAGTTTACTTGGTGATATGGCTTGGCTCTGTGTCCCCACCCAAATCTCATCTTGAATTGCAACCCCCATAATCCCCACATATCAAGGGAGGGACCAGGTGGAGGTAATTGAATCATGAGGGTGATTTCCCCCATGCTAGTCTTTTGATAATAAGTGAGTCTCAAGAGATCTGATGGTTTTATAAGTGTATGGCATTTCCCCTGCTTGCACTTCTCCTTCCTGCCATCTTGTGAAGAAGGTGCCTTGCTTCCCTTTCACCTTCTGCCCTGATTGTAAATTTCCTGAGGCCTCCCCAGCCATGCTGAACTGTGAGTCAATTAAACCTCTCTCCTTTGTCAATTACCCGGTCTTGTGTATGTCTTTATTAGCAGTGTGAGAACAGACTAATACACTTGGAGGTCCAGGTTGGGGCCAGCTCATGGAGGGCCTTGAATGTCAAAAAAAAAAAAAAAAGACTTTGGACTTTGTCTCTGGGAAATAGTCATGTGGAAGGTCTCTGAATGGGGGAATAACCTGACCCAGTCCAGTTTACTTGAAAGAGCAAGAGTCAGACAGACCTGAGTTTAAATCACGATTCGTTGTGTGGAGTTAGGCATAGAGTGGAAAGTTGCTGAACCTCTTTGTGCTTCAAATTTATCATTTATAAAATGGAGAAACTAAAAGCTCCCTCTTGAGATTAATTGTAGAATAAATTAAAATTTAAAGCTCTTGGCACAGTATACAAATCCACAGTAGATATGTGACACGTGTTAGTTGTCTTAGCTGATGTCATGGCAGTATTTTGGGGAGCATCATAGAGCGAATGTATGCAGAGCAACAGGAAGAAGAGAGAGGCTGGAGGCAGGGAGGCCAGTGAAGAGGCAGCCAGGCAGGAGAGACCTGTGGATGAGCTACTAGGAACTGAGTGAGAGGACAGAGTCAGGCTAACTCTTCTTGCCTGGGTATTGTCAGGCCAGTGGTGACAACCTCAAAGTACAGCATGATGGCAGGCGGCTAGTTTAGAGAAATTTGTAAGAGAAAGATGAGACATTCATTGCAAGACATACAGGATTTAAAGGTTCAGACTGTCATCTAGGAGAGCTCTCCAGCAGAAAAGCTGAAGCTTAAAAATTGTCTGTCCAACCCCAGATCTTATAAGCTCAAAGAGAAAGTGTAATGAATAATAACAGGATGTGCATTGCTGCATGCTGGGACCAAGCCACAGAACCTGTCATTGGTGCAGGCAGGAAAGGCTAAATACACACCTGGATGGAAGAGACCTATTGGGGTCTTAAAGGGCAGAAAGGGACATTTTCGGCATTAAAGGAGGGTGACATGCTTGATTTGCAAGAAACAGAAAACCAATCAAGTTAGCTCACATAAAGAGGGCACATTATGAAAAAGATCTCACAGAACAAAAGCTCAGAAGTGCAGCTGAACCCGGACTTTCTCTGTTCATCCCCCAGGGCTGTGTAGACTCTTTTCTCTCTCTCTCACTGACATTCTTGCATGTTCTCCCTTTCTCCTGGTCAGCTTCTTCCATACGCTCACCCAATATCTGGTTTAGTCTAGTGCCCCTGCCCCTGATCTCACCTGGCTTTTCAACTTGAGAGCCTACCACCAACTAGGAGAGCAGTTTCTGTGTCTACTAGATTAAGTTCCCAGTAACTAGAAAAACTGGAATCTCCAGGAAAGCCTGTGGGAAAGGTGGGCCATGGAGCCATCTAATGTAAGAGGTCATTGAACTTTATAGAGCATCCTTCAGTGTTCAGAGATGGAGTCAGTATTGGTCTGGCCATTTTTAGGGCAAAGAGGCAGCATCATGCTGGAAGCAGTAGTCTGCAATGCTAGGATGTGACTCCCAAGCCCTTGGTCATACCCTCTACATTGTATATACAGCAAGCTTCAAGGTGCAGAGATAAGGACTTGGGAGCATGTTGAGGGATCTGTCATGAGGCTGGAGCACTGAATGCTTGGGTGTTGGGAGAACAAAAGATGAGCCTGGAGGGATCAGCAGGAGTCTCATCCTGCAGGAGGTGGAAATTCATCCTGATAGCAATGGGGAAGCCATGAAGTCTTTTCAAATAACATTTTTATTGAGCTGTAGTCTGCACACCATAAAATGTACCCTTTTAAAGTGTAACATTCAGTGATTCTTCAGTATGCCACAGAGTTGTGTAACCTATCTAATTTTAGAACATTTCATCATCACTTCCAAAAGAAATCCCATACTAATTAGCAGTCATTCCTCATTCCCCCTTGCTTGACAGTCCCTGGCAACCACTAACCCACTTTCTTTCTCAGTGGATTTGCCTATGCATGACATTTCATATACATGCAGTCATACAATGTGTGATCTTTTGTGACTGGCTTCTTTCCCTTAGCATAATGTTTTCAAGGTTCATCCATGTTGTAGTGTGTACTTCACTCCTTTTTATGGTTGTGTAATATTCCATTGTATTGATATACCACATTTTATTTATCCATTAATCAGTTGATGGTCATTTGTGTTGTTTCCACTTTTTGACTGTCATGAATAATGCTGCCATGAACACTTATGTACAAGCATTTGGGTGAAGATATGTCTTCATTTCTCTTGGATATATATCTAGGAGTGGAAATGTTCTATTATATTATAGAGTTAACTCTATGTTTAACTTTTTGAGGAACTACCAAATTGTTCAAAAGTGGCTGTACCATTTTACAATTTGATTAGCAATGTATCAGGGTTACAATTTCTGCATGTACTTGTCAATCTTTGTTATTATGTGTCTTTTTTATTTTAGCTATTCCAATGCATGTAAAGTGGTATCTCGTAGTGGTTTTAATTTGCATTTCCCTTATGACTGATTATATTAAGCATCTTTTCATGTGGTTATTGGACAATTGTATATCTTCTTTGGAGAAATTTCTGTTCAAATTATTTGCCCATTTTAAAAACTGAGTTACTTTCCTTTTTATTATTGAGTTGTAAGAGTTCTTTATATATCCTGAAAACAATACCCTTATCAGATATATAATTTGCATATATTTTCTCCCATTTTTGGATTTGTCTTTTCACTTTCTTGATGGTGTCGTTTGAAGCATGAAAGTTTTAATTTTGATGAAGTCCAGTTTGTCTATTTTTTGTTTGTTTTGTCACTTGTGCTTTTAGCGCCAAATCTAAGAATCCATTGTCCAATCCAAGGTTATAAAGATTTTCTCCTGCATTTTCTTCTACAAGTGTTATAGTTTTAGCTCCTATGTTTAGATCTTTGATCCATTTTTAGCTGATTTTTGTATATGATGTGAGGTAGGGTTCTACTTCTTTCTTTTTGGCAAGTGGCTATACAGTGTCCAGCATCATTTGTTGAAGACTATTCTTTCCTTCATTGAATTGTCTTGGCAACCTTGTTAATAATCAGTTGGCCATAGATGTATGGGTTTAATCTATCAACTCAATTCCATTCTATTGATATACATGTCTATCCTTATGCCAGCCCTGTACTGTCTTGATTACCGGGTTTTTTTTTTTTTTTTTGTAGTAAGTTTTGATATCAAGCAGTAAGAGTACTCATACTTTGTTATTGCCTTTCAAGATTATTTTGGTCATTCTGGGTCCCTTTACATTTCATATGAACTTTAGAATTAGCTTGTGAATTTCTACAAAGAAGTCAGCTTGTATTCTAACAGGGATTGCATTTAATCTGTGGATCAATCTGGGGAGTATTTCCAGCTTAACAAAGCTTCTGACCATGAATATGAAATGTCTTTCCATTTATCTAGGTCTTCTTTAACTTTTTCAACAATATTTTTCAACTGTATTGTTGGTTATACAAGTCTTGCACTCCTGTTAAATGTATTCCTGATAATTTTATACTATTTATGCTATTGTAAATAGAATAGTTTTCTTAATTTCATGTTTGGATTTTTTATTGATAGTATATAGAAATATAATTGACTTCTGTATATTAATCTTATATTCTGCAACCATACTGGACTTGTTCTAATAGTTTGTGTGTGTGTGTGTGTGTGTGTATTCCTTAGTATTTAGTATACATAAGATCATGTCACCTGCAAATAGACATAATTTTACTTCCTCCTTTCCAATCTGGGTGTCTTTTATTTCCCTTACTTGCCCAATTGCCCTGGCTAGAAACTCCATTACAATGTTAAATATAAATGGTAAGACTGAATATATTTGTCTTGCTCCTAATCTTTGAGGAAAAGCAATCAGTTTTTCACCAGTGTGTTAGCTGTGGGTTTTTTTCATAGATGAGTTTTATTAAGCTGAGGAAAATACCTTCCATTTTTATTTTATTGAGTGCTTTTATCTTGAAATGGAGTTGGATTTTGTCAAATACTTTTTCTGCATCTACTGAAACTATCATGTAGATTTTGTTCCTTTTTCTATTAATATGGTATATCATATTAGTTGTTTTTACAGATGTTAAAAGAACTTCACATTCCTGGAATAAATTCTACTTGGCAATGGCATACAATTATTTTTATATATTCCTTGATTCATTTCACCAGTATTTTGTTGAGAATTTTGTGTCTATATTAATAAGGACTATAGATTTATTTTCTTGTTATTTTTATCCGGTTTTGGTACTAGGGTAATACCGGGCTCATAGAATTCATTGGGAAGTGTTTCTTCCTCTTCTATTTCTTTGAAGGATTCATGAAAAATTGGTATTAATTCTTTACATGTTGGGTAGAATTCACTGGCAAAGACATCTGTGCCTGGGCTTTTCTTTGTTGGAATCTCTTATTATTGTTGTTTTGGTTTTTATTAATTCAATCTCTTGTAATAGATATATTCAGTTTTTTATATTTCTTCTTGAGCCAATTTCAGTAGTTTACATCTGTCTAGGAATTTGTTCATTTCATCTATATTACCTAATTTGTTGGCATACAGTTATTCATAGTATAGCAGATAATCCTTTTTATTTCTATAAGATCTGTAGTGATGTCACCTCTTTCATCTCTGATTTTAATAATTTGAGTCTTCTCTCTTTTTCTTGGACAGTTTTCCTAAAGGATTTGTCAATTTGTTGATATTTTTAAAAACTGACTTTTGGCTGGGCGTGGTGGCTCACGCCTGTAATCCCAGCACTTTGGGAGGCCAAGTCAGGCGGATCACAAGGTCAGGAGATCGAGACCATCCTGGCTAACACCGTGAAACCCTGTCTCTACTAAAAATACAAAAAATTAGCCTGGCATGGTGGCAGACTCCTGTAGTTCCAGCTACTCAGGAGGCTGAGGCAGGAGAATGGCATGAACCCAGGAGGTGGAGCTTGCAGTGAGCTGAGATCATGCCACTGCACTCCAGCCTGGGCGATACAGTGAGACTCCATCTCAAAAACAAAACAAAACAAAACAAACAAAAACTGACTTTTGGTTTTCATTAAATTTCTCTATTTTTTATTCTCTATTTTATTCATTTCTACTCTAATCTTTATTATTTTCTTCCTTTTGCTTGATTTTGGTTTACTTTTCTTTTACTAGTTTTGTAAGGTGGAAATGTAGGTCATTGATTTGAGATCTGCCTTTTTATTTAACATAGGTGCTGATAGCTATAAAGTTCTCTCAACACTGCTTTTGCTGTGTCCCATACATTTTGGTATATTGTGTTTACATTTTCATTTTCATTTATTTCAGAGTATTTTCTAACTACCTTGTGATTTTTTTCCTTTAATCCATTTTTTATTTAGGAATGTATTGTTTAATTTAAACGTATTTGTGAATTTCTCACTTTTTCTTCTGTTATTGATTTCTAATTTTATTCCGTAGTGGTCAAAGAGCATACTTTGCATAATTTTAATTCTTTTGAATTTATTGAGGCTTGTCTTATGGTCTAACATATGGTCTATCCTGGAGAATGTTTTATGTGCACTTGAGAAAAATGTGTATTCTGCATTATTAGGTGAAATATTCTGCATAGTGTCTGCTTTATAATGTTGTTCAAGTCTTCTATTTCCTTGTTGATCTTCAACCTTGTTGTTCCATTCATTATTGAAAGTGGAGTAGAAGTCTCCAACTATTATTATTGGATATTCTATGTCTCTCTCAATTCTATCAGGTTTTGCTTCACAGATGTTGGGGCCTTGCTAAGTGAATGTATATATTTAATTGTTATGCATTTCCAATAGATTTTTCATCATTATAAAATGTTCTTTGTCTCTAGTGACAGTTTTTAATCTTAAAGTCTACTTGTCTGATTAGTGTAGCCTCTTCAGCTCTTATTTGTTTACTCTGCACAGTATATTTTTCTTTATCTTTTTACTTTTAATCTATTTGTGTCTTTGAATCTAATGTGTGCCTCTTGTAGATAGCGTATAGTTGGATTATGAGTTTTTTTCTATTTTGCCTATCTCAGCCTTTTGATTGGAATGTTTAGTTCATTCACATTTAATGTAATTGCTGATAAGGTAGAAATTATATCTGATATTTGGTATTTGTTTTCTATATGGCATGGGTTTTTGTTGTTGTTATTGTTGTTGTTGTTCCTCTACCCTTCCATTACTGCCTTCATTTGTATACGCTAGATACTTTCTAGTGTATTATTTTAATTCTCTGTTGTTTCATTACCATGGTTTGTTTTTTAGTTCTTGTCTTAGTGGTTTCTCTGGGAGTTATAATTAACTTCTTAACTTAATTTAGTTTGGATAATGCCAACATAATTTCAATAATATGCAAAAAACTTTGTTCCAATATATCTTTGTTTCCTCCTCCTTTGTTGATTGTTATACAAATTAGGTCTTTATACATTATCAGCTCCTCAACACAATTTTATAATTACTGCTTTATGCAATTGTGTTTTAAGTGCAATAGGAAAAGAAAATCATTACAAACAAAAATGTACTTATACTATTTTTTTATACTTACCCATGTTACTGTTACTTGTGCTCTTTATTTCTTTGTGTGGATTCAAATGACTGCTTTGTCCTTTCATTTAAACTTCAGAGACTCTCATTAGTATCTTTTGTAGAGCAAGCCTGTTACCAACAAATTCTTGGTTTTTGTTTATCTGAAAATGTGTTAATACCTCCTTTGTTTTTGAGGCTTTTATTTGTTTTTGTTTTTTAACTTTAACTTCTGGGATACATGTGCTGAACATGCAGGTTTGTTACATAGATATACATGTGTCATGGTGGTTTGCTGCACCTATCAACCCGTCATCTAGGTTTTAAGCCCCACGTGCATTAGGTATTTGTCCTAATGCTCTCCATCCCCTTTTTTGCCCACCCCCTGCCAGGCCCTAGTGTGTGATGTTCCCCTTCCTGTGTCCATGTGTTCTCATTGTTCAACTCCCACTTATGAATGAGAAGATGCAGTGTTTGGTTTTCTGTTCCTGTGTTAGTTTGTTGAGGATGATGGTTTCCAGCTTCATCCATGAGCTGCAAAGGATATGAACTCATTCTTTTTTACCACGGCATGGTATTCCATGGTGTATATGTGCCACATTTTCTTTATCCAGATGGGCATTTGGGTTGGTTCCAAGTCTTTGCTATTGTAAAGAGTGCTGAAATAAACATACATGTGCATGTGTCCTTTATAGTAGAATGATTTATAATCCTTTGAGTATATACCCAGTAATGGGATTGCTGCGTCAGATGGTATTTCTGGTTCTAGATCCTTGAGGAATTGCCACACTGTCTTCCACAATGGTTGAATTAATTTACATTCCCATCAACAGTGTAAAAGTGTTCCTATTTCTCCACATCCTTGCCAGCATCTGTTGTTTCCGGCCTTTTTAATGATCACCATTCTAACTGGCAGGAGATAGTATCTCATTGTGGTTTTGATTTGCATTTCTCTAATGATCAGTGGTGATGAGCTGGAGTGTTTTGGTTAACCTTCTTTTTCTTTCAGCATCTTGAATATGTCATTACACAGCCTCTGGCTTCCCTGGTTTCTGATGAAGTGTCAGCTCTTAATCTTTTTGAGGATCTCTTGTATGTGATGAGTAATTTTCCTCTTGTTGATTTTAGGATTATCTTTTTGTCTTCAGCTTTTGACCATCTGACAATGATGCATTTAAGTGTGGATCTCTTTGACTTTATTCTACATGAAATGTATTGAGTTTCTTGAATGTGTAAAGTTTTTCATCAAATTTAGGACATTTTAGGCCATTATTTCTTCAAATATTCTTTTTGCATCTTTCTCTCTCTTCTCTCTTTCTCAGACTTCCATTATGCATATCTTAGTATGCTTCATGACATCCCATTGGTCTCTGAGGCTCTGCTCATTTTTTCCTTTTTTTCTGTTTCTCAGACTGGGTAACCTCAATTGACTTATTTTCAAGTTTGCTAGTCCTTTTTTCTGCCAGTTCAAACCTGCTGCTGAGATTATCTAGTAAAATTTTCACTTCAGTTTTCATACTTTTCAACTCCATAGTTGCTATTTGGTTCATATATATATGATATTTATATAATATTTATATATATATAAATATATATATATTTATATATATATAAATATATATATATAATATTTATCTGTTCAGTGATAGTCTCTATTTAGTGAGACATTGCTCTTATACTTTAATTATTTGGATGTCCTTTCTTTTAGTTCTAAAAACATTTGTCATAGTTAATCTAAAGTCTTTCTAGTAAGCCCAACATCTCAGCTTCCTCTTAAGAAACTTGGTGTAGTTTCTTATGACTACTTTTTTCCTTTATGTATGAGCCATATTTTCCTGTTTCTTTGCATGTTTCATAATTTTTGGTTGAAAACTAAACATTTTAAATAATATATTGTGGCAACTCTGAAAATCAGATTTCCCCCCTCCTCTGGATTTGTTGTTGTTATTGCTGTTTATTTAGTGACTTTTCTGATCTAATTCTATAAAGTCTGTAAAGTCTGCAGCCATTGAGGTCTCTGCTCAGTTACCTTAGTGATTATCTAATGATTGAACAGAGATTTCCTTAAACAACTTCAACCAGTACCAATAAGCCTCCCATCCTTTGCTGAGGGGGGCTCCATGTGTGGTTAAGACACACCTTCAGGGCTCTGAAAATTAATGACGCTGCCCAAGCCTTCATCTCCTGCTTGTGCAGAGTTCCAGGGTCAGAGGTGAGAGATTAGGGCATTCTCAGGTCTTTCTTGAGCGTGTGCACAGCCCTACACATATGGGCCTTCTAGATTCACAGGAATATTTCAGAGCACTTCAAAGCCCCCTTCAATATCTCATTCACCAGATATAAGCTTTTTGGCCAGCCTCTTGTTCACCCCAGCAGGTATCCCCAACTCAGTTAACTGTGTGATATTAAACAATTGCCTGTGATTGTTTTGAACAAATGATCTGCAGACAGAGTGTCTCACTGAACAAGCTTCTAGTTAGGTCAAATGAAGGCAAGCCTGTGATGGGGTTTTTCCAGGGAACTGCCAGACAGATCAAATAGTTACAATTCTTTTGAAATAAAACTTTTGTTTGAGGCTCTAAACCTGTTCTTCCCCATCCCATGATTGTTGGGCTAGTGGTTTTCACAGCTGTTGTGATTGTGAGGCTGCTGGTTTTCAAGGCTAACACAGCGCTAGGGACAGAGGCATGAGAATAAGACAAGTTGAAATGCCACAAAGCTCACTGCACTTGATGAAACCAAGCCATTTTTCTTGAATAAACACTCTTTTGATTGTTGTGAGCCTTTGATTAATTTCCAGAGTTCTAAAAATGTCGATTCTGACAGTGTTTCCAGTGTTCTCATTGCTTTCATGCAGGAGTAGATTGTTGAAGATTGTTCCTCTGCCATTCTGGAAGTGCTTCCTTTCCATGCAGGATTTTAACTGGGGCCCTTTTTGTTTGGATTGGTCCAATCACAGCATTGAGAACAGAGTGGAGGGATGAGGCAAGAGGCAAGAAGATAGTTAAGAGAACCATACTGGGGAGAAGTGGTGGTCACCAGGGCTTCCGAAAAGCGGATTGTCCAGGAGACTCATCTAAGGCACTTTTGAAAACTAAATTCTTTCCCCCAACCACTTAAGCACTTCAACTAGTCGTTGAAATAGGGCCCACGCTCCATCAGACATGTTGGTCCAGGGGGAAAGAGCCCAGACACAATGCAAGGAAGAGCAGAGGTTGCCTGCTTATCTCAGGGAAGCCAAAGATGACTTTACGAAAGAGGAGATTCAGGACCCCAATGGCAGGTAAAGTAGGCTGAGGGAGGGACAACGAGGGCTGACACAAGGGGAAGAGGGCCTGCGTGTTCCCTGGCCTCTGCCTCAGGGACAGCTGTGGGGGGGAACCAGAGCTTTGCCTTTTGGGATCCTCCAGAAACACAGATTCCACTGTGCTCCAGCCTCATCCACCCCTCCCCAGAGGCTGCCCTGTGTTCACTGTGTGCCTGCTAGAGCCCAGAAGCAGAGCCGAGTGCGGGGTGAAGTGGGCTGCTTTCTTCTTCATTCCTTTCTCTCCCAAGCAATTCTCCAAACAAGCTTTTGTATGTCCCAGATGTTCCCGCCTTTGTTCAGATTTAATCCTCCCTATTTATCCTCCCTCTGGTACCTGTTTATTATGTTCTATTTCTCTTCGGAAGCTGGGGCTCAGCGGATCTGCCACATCTGATATTATCTGCACTTGGGCAAACACAATCGTGCCTATGCCTTGTCAACCAGCTCTCGTCTGAAAGGGCTGGAGAAAGAGAAGAATTAAAATCAGCACCGCCAAGAACAGCAAGCCCAAAAAGATTTAAAAATAAACATGAAAGCTGCTTTAGGCCCCGTTTCGAGGCACTCGCAAAGCCCTTCAGTGGAGACACAATGGTGCTGGGTGCACCCATTCTCACTGCCTCATCCTCTGCAGCTGGAAAACATGTGGCTGTGGCTCTCGACTCCTCCTTGAAGAAGGAACCATGTCTCCTGCCAGAGCTGTGAGACAGTAACTCAGAGCTTCTTCTGCTCAGACTTAATATCTAGGAACATTACAGCTGTTCGAAACCAAAGCTTCAGGTCCCTGGCAGTGTTCCTGAGGCCAGCATGGGGAGTACTTAGTCATGGTGAGACAGGTATAAGAAAGGTTAGGATGCAGGCCTCCTGCTTCCCCTCTCCATCTCTTCCTCCCAGTGCACACTGCATACACAGGGGCTGCCAAATGGGAATGGAGAATCACAGCACCAGCAGAAGGAAAAGAAAGAAACTAAAGAAAAAGAGATTTCATTCCTTATTGCCGTTACCAGACAGATCTGTGGAGATGAACCAACCTGACCATATTGTCTCTAATCTGGAACTCTGAGGCCTCCCCTGGACCTGGAGCCATTAGGACCTGCCAGCCACACTTTTGGGTAAAAGACAGACAGGAGTTGAAGGCAGACAGGATCTGATTTTTCACTAGATTCTCAGTCCAAGCTGTCCAAATAAACCACAGGCAGGGCAAGTCTTGGAGACAAGTCACTCTCAAATGGCACCCCACGTGAGGGAGGCGTAAGAACCTTTTCTAATCCACACTCCTTTTCCCACCCCACACATCCTCGCCTTGTCCTGGGACAGAAGTGAAATGGGATTTCAAACTGATTTAGGGCCACCTCCATGCCAGAAACTATGGTCGTTCTGTAACCCACTGTGCACAAGCTTCCTTAAGCCTCATATCAACTCTCCAAGGCAGGTTTTAATATCTCTGCTGTGGAGATGAGTTAACCAAGACTTCGAGAGGTTACACAAGTTGCCTGAGATCACACATTTGAGAACTGGCAGTTCCAAATTTGAGCCCTGGTCTGTTGAATAAATATGTGGGGCCCATTTGAGCCCTGGTCTGTTTGGTCCAAAGCTAAAAGATGCCTAAGAATGTTCAGGGCACCAGGGCTCCCACTAGCCAGTCCCTTCAGGATTGCCCATCCCACGGGGGTGTGGGGTATACAGACATAGGTGCTCCTGCACTCTGCATGCCTTCCTGCAGGCACCACAAATGGCTTGTTTTATAGCCATGGCTGCAGTAGCAGCTTCAGGCGCTTTTGCCTTGCAGGATTGACATCAATCCTCATTCATATCAAACTCCTTCTGAAACATGCTCCAGTGGAGTGGAATTTTCTGCTAAATAAGGTGTTATTAACCCAGCTCCCAGCTCCTTGGGCCCGGGCTGAGCTCAGCAGTGGCGGCAGCCGCTCCGCGCTGATGAACCCACTTAAACACCAATTAATACGCACTGAGACACTGGCCCTGGCAGACCCTGTGACCCCCTGGGCTCCTCCTGGCTCCTCAGGCTGCAGCGCCTGGAACTCAGTCACATCTCCTGTGACTTTCATTCCAGCCCAGTTGCTGAGTAGTGATTGGATGCTTTATGGTCTGAGGATGAGAAGATAGAAGTGGGAGATAAAAAAGGTTGTTTTTTTTTTCTTTTTGCAGCTTCTTTCTTACCAGCTTCAGTTTCCAGAGCTTCTCAGGATGGGAAAGACAAAGAACAGGCCTATAAGAGAGAAAGAGGTGTAGCTCTGCCTTCCACCAGCACTCCCAGCAGCACACATGGATAACGGGGAGGTTCTGCAACAACACAGGTGACATGAGAAGTCTCCTGACTTTAGGGCAGGACTGCATCTCAACAAAATGCCATTCTAGTTCTAGTGCAGCTCAAAACAGGCTTTGACACCCCAAATCCAATCATTTTAACCACATACAAGTTAGGTTTATATAATTCTCAGAGTCTCAGCTCTTACAGCTGAAAGAGCCCCAGAGAGTCCCTGGTCTAAGCTCATTTTATAGCTGAGAAAACTCAGGACCAGAGAGGGAAAAGTCATGCCCAAGATCACACAGCTGGTAAGCAGCAAAGCCAAGGCTCATACCCAGATGTCACAATTGCCCACGCATGCTCTTTCTATTATCCTGTTTCTCTTCCTTCCAACAATACAAAAGCATCGCTGATAGCCAGAAAGTAATAACCACATTTACATGATTTCCCAGTCTACATACTGCAACGGATATCAAATTGTTCTTAAGTGATATGTTATTAAATAAGATCAGAGAATATAAAAATGGATTTCTGAAGGATGATAAATAAAAGTACACCACATTTATTCATTTGTCTTTTAGACACCAGCTTACTGGGCGGGCATCTGATATGCCTCAGGCTGGGTGTGGGTTCTAGAGGGATGAATGCATAGGAGGTGGTCTCTAGCCTCACCAAGCTTATAGTCTAGGGGTGAGGGGAACAGAAGAAAAAGCTCACATGCACACACACCACACATGCACATACAGACAATTGCAAATGGTGCTGAGCAGATCAGCGCTGTGAAGAAATAGGTGAGGGGTCCAGCAGAAAATCACAGGGCCAATTTATGTTTGTACGGTCACAGAAGGCTTCTCTGAGGAGGTGATATAAAAACTGAGACCTGAAGGATGGGAAAAGGCCGACTATACAATAAAGTGAGGAGAGGTGATTCAAGCAGAAGGAATCAAACTTGGATTTCTTATCATAAACAACAAAGTCAAAATATTTTAGAATTAATAGAAGCCTATTATTTCAGAGAGAGAAAAGCTATTTTATTTTCTCCCCTAATTGCTCTGCTTCTTGGAGATGGTGCTTATTGTTCAGCCTTTTTGTGTTGTTTGTCTGTATTTTTGTGCTGTTTCCTCCATTTGTGGCTGAGAAGGGCCTTTTCAGAGATTTGTAGAAGACTTCATTTCTCTTCCCAACCCCAAAATGATGGTGAGTGGAGTTGTTACACACACAGGCTCCATCTCTTCTTAACTGTGGGAGCTTGGGGAAGGCATTTCTTCTGTGAGCCTCAGTTTCTTCATCTGTATATATTGAGGATAACAAAAGCACACTATCAGAGAGCTGTGGTGTGGCTTAATTGAAATCATGTGTGTGAAGAACTTAGCACAGTGGAATTGGAACTTTGGAATTGTTCAATAAATGTTAGCCATTTGTTATGACTGTAAGCTACATGTATTCAGATTAAACTACCTTGTTTTATAAAAGTGTTGATGACATTTTCTTGCAACTTTCTTTCCATGCACATTGCAGCAAGAGCAGATCAGATCCCTTTGCGATTGTGACTGGGAGCCTGTGCTAAGAACTAGATGAGTCCTGGTAGGTGGAGCAGACTTAGGTGGGGTATGGGGAGGGCCTAATACCTGGGGCCAGAAATGAGATCTTATAAACTGGGGCCGGTATCCCTCAGGACAGAATCCCAGGGAAGGTGTCAGCCTTGGGAGAGATTACAGAATAAGGCAGAAGGAAGAATTCAAGAGAGGGAGGCCAGAGACAGGCTGGCAGAAGCCACAATTGCTGAGTTGGGCTTCTCAGGACTCTAGCACAAACAAGTAGAGACCAGAAGATTCTAGCCATTAGTGGGAAATCTAAACAGGGCCTTATTCTGGACCAGGGTGTGTGCCAAGGGGCCTGGGAGGCTGGGGACTGGCAGGCAGGGGGGCCCTCTGAGGGTAGTATTTCTACACATCAAAGAATTTCATCAGAACTTTTCCTGGTCTACCCACCTGGAAGGCTTTTCCATCTGTATCTGAAGAAACAATCATATCTGACAAGCAGACTTGGGAATCATCCAGAAGATCCCCAAAGACATTCACTTGGTCAGACGTGTTTTGATCTTCTCTCCCCATTGAATGATGCTTGGATTTTATCTTCTCTCTCCCTCTGGCTCCCCAGTTTGGTCCATAGCATCTCTCAGGACATGCCTGGGACCCACCCTAACTGCCTCCCAATATTTTGCCTCTTGGACCACGGACCAGACTCTAGGACTGCCAAAAGCATTGGCAGTTACCATCCCTCCTTCTCTGGCAGTACCCACATCCAGGCTGAAATGCTCCAAGTCCAACTCATTTGAGCTGCTCTCTCGAAGCCAAATGCAAGAAAGGCTTTTTTCATTAACTAGCTGGCCTGATTAGCATTTATTAGGGCTCCCCGCAGCAACTCTCTTAGCCTCCTCCTCCATATACTTACTAACCCCTGAGGCATCTCCACCAAGCTCTAGAGCTCCTTGGAACACCATTTGAGAATTGTTGCTTTGATCTAATGTTGTCACTCTACCTTTAGGGAAACTAAGTCCTACAGTCATGGTCTCAGCCTTAGCACAGTCTAGACCTCGTGTTTAAACCTGGCTCAAGGTTCGCACATGATAAGAACAGAAGACCAACTAGGGAGGCCTCCATTTTCATGCAGGGCTGCTCACCTTCTTTCTGCCTCTGCCTCCCCAAATCCCAAAGCTAGATTCCCTCATGGCCCTGCCTGCAGACCAACTAGCAGACAGGTCAATTCTGCAGTGAGATTCCAGATTCAGCCTTAGCATATCAGCTGGGAGACTTAACAATGAGTCACCGTACTGGTTGATCCTCACTTCCCCCCAGACCAACTCTGTTTCCTTTTCTAATCTGCTCCATGACCCGGGAATTTAACCTCACTGCTGGGTTCAGCCAATGGGAGTCATCAGCAGGGCAGAAGGAGAGGTTGGGTCATTTATTCTCTGCCCCCTTCTTGCTTTGGCACCATGTTTCTGGCAGTAGCTATACCCCTCTGTGGCTAACAGCTCTCCCCAGACCTCCTCCCTGGCTCCAGCTCTTACTGGGCCCTTTTTCTTTTTGATCCTCAGAGGAGTAGCAGCTCTCTGCTGCTGTGACTCTCGGGGTGATCATTTGTTGATTCCTGTTATTCTGCCTACACCTCTATAAGCAGTCCCTCCATCTACCTTTCTTCATTTGAATCACCTGGTGGGTATTCTGTTTCTTGCCAGGCATTGAATGATACAATCACTTTCCTCAGACTCAAGGTTCAATGTCCCAGCCGTGGTGGCTTACCTTAAGCTGTGTGTCTAAGCCTCATGCTGCACTCCCAGAGATAAGATTCTCTACAGGAACTTGGGCCTGCGTGTGTTTGACATATAGGCTCCCCTGCCCTGTCTCTGGTAGCCCTGTCACTTCCCAGCCCTGGCCTTGTCCTGATGAGAGGCTTTGCCTGGTCTCCAGCCTGTACTCTGGCCTCTCCTCATGTTGTCAAGGCCAGAGCCAGCCTCATGTCCTTGTGTTCTGGCCTCCATGCTGGCCTTGGCTCAGACATACTCCCTCTTGTGTACTTTCCATACCCTTTGATGACCCTGCCCATGGACTCTTCAACCAGTGCCCCAGGGCATGTCCAAGGTATTCCCTCTGGCTATCTTGGCTTTCTGCCCTTCCCAAGGATTCTGGGCCATGCTCAGTGACCAGAGGTGCATCTGCCTGAGGTCTTTCTTATCTCTCCAGCACACTCTGGGGCAGGGCTCTGGCTAGGCTTCCCCCAGCCTGTGTCACTCCCTGACTCACTCACTTAGCAGAGAGTCTCTGAGCATCTCCTGTGTACCAGGCCCAGCCTTATGTGGCACACAGGGTTCCTAAGTCCATCAGACCTGGCCCCCTGCCCTCAGAAAGCTCACAGTCTAGAGGGGAAAGGTCTAAAGGCACATCATTACCTTGGAGAATGACAAGCACCCTAAGGTCCAATGGGAGGAGGCTGGAGAGTGCTAAAGCTCGTCTGGAAAGTTTACAGAAAGCTTCCTTAGGGAGGTGATGTCTCTGCTGAGGCTCAAAGATCTGGTGGATAAGAGTGGCCTGGACTAGAGTGGGCACAGTTGTAGGTGGCAGATGAAATGCTCCAGAAGTGGCTAACAAGAGGCTATTGGTGACATGTCTGCCCTTGAGGGCAGGGTAGGAGAGCTAATCAAGGTGGCTGTCAGGTCATTTAGGTGGGTGGATGGGAGAGGTGCCAGCCTCTGAGAATAGGATCACAGAAGGAGGAGTGGATGTGGGGAGCAGCTAGGGGTGGGAGCAGCTATGGGTGGGCGCAGCAATGGTGAACTCAGTTCTGAAGTGCCTTGGGAATGTTCCTGGAGGGACTTGGGACACAGGGAGAGAGCTGGGAGTCAAAACCTCCATGTGAAAGCTAAAGCAGGGAATAAGAAGTGCTGCTGAGAGAGGAAGAAAGGCTGAGCACAGAGCTGATGGACACCAACATTTAAGAAAGAAGGTTTTGGAAAGAATGAGAAGGGGTGGTAAGAGAAGTGAGAGGGAAAACAGGAGAGGTTGCTGTATGGAAACCAAGGGAAGAAGGGTCTCAGGAGGGGGCAGTCAGCATGGGAGGGTGACTGGCACAGAGGGCTCGTGCAATATGGAATCACAATGGCAAGATCCTGGCTCCTCCACTTGCCGTGTGTATAACCTTGGACGGCAGTTCAAGTGGGAGACTCAGTTCCCACTACGTAAAAGCAAACAACAGTGGTGCCTTTTGGGGTGGTTCCATTCACATGAGCATGTTGTGAAGCATCTAGCACAGTGCATGCCACACTTAACATGTTCAACAGATAGTAGCTACGCCTCTGAGCATTAATTCACTCAGAGAACACTCAGGTGCACGCATGAAATGATCCTTCCTACAGAAGATGCTGAAACAAGATGAGGTCTAGTCTCAAAAAGAAAATTACATCAATCACTGAATCCATGGGAACAAGTGCCAAGTGGCATAAAAAGGAACCAGAGAGTGGCTGCAAGCGTCCTCAGGAGGCAAAAACCCTGCTGTCGCCATAGTTTGGGCTTGGAAAGCTGCAGACACGGAACTTGCCGTGGAGGAGAGACCCATGAGCCAGGACTGGAAGAACATCCAGGAGGAGGGAACAGCCTGAGCAAAGGCCCAGAGGGAGGAACTTGCACCTTCATAAGAGACTCTTGGGGCTCCCTGCTGCCCTCTGGTGCCAGGCTCAAGGGTAAATGGCTCCTTGTCTGGGCGACAAATTCACAACAGCAGCAGCTTCCAGCCCTGCACTCCACGTCACCAACAGGGGGATGTGATCATTAGGTGATTATATTTTCAAGGCCCAAATTGTTTTATTTGTTTCCCTGCCAGCTTTCATGAGGCCATCAGTCATTCCCCACACAGATAACATTTCTTATGTACATTGACAGAATAAATTACATGGTTCTCATCCGGCAAATCCACATTACAGGGGAACGTTATCTTTTGCAAAACGCTGCCCGGGCACATCATAAATCCTAACCAGGTTTATTACATCTGTCTTGTCATAGATTCATTTTATTGAGAAGTGGGCTTTTTTTTCCAGATTAATAATCACATTAATAGATGAGATTCTTTTTAGAGGATTCTTTTATTGGAGAAACCAAAGGAAGAATTTCATGGCTGCAGAGCATGGCCACACTAGTGGCTGGTGCTGTAAGACTGTCCTTGTCATGCTGACAATATCCTCCAGGATTGGGAACTGGGAACTCCTGACTCACCAGGGACTTTGGGCCAGCTCATGATCCCTTCTTTGCCTCTTATTTCAGAGCTCTTTCCAAAGAACAAATCCAGAAGCTTCCAAGATGGGATCAAAGATGTATTGGGATATTAAACCAATCAAATTAATATTTAATGAGTAACTAGCATGTGTGCAACTGACAAATCAATGAAGGAAAGAACGTTAACCCACTTGGAACAAGAAGAGAAGAATTCAGCACAGAGTCCTCAGAATTGGGCTTCCTTCCTGCCTGCCCCCCTTCAGTAGGTGGCTCAAGCGCCTGAGGTAGGTAGCCTGCTAGCTCTGAGATTCTTTCTCCTCTTTTTGTTAAGTGAGAAGATTGGTCTAGATTAGGGGTTGGAAAACTATGGCTGAAGGATAAAAACAAGCCCATCACCTGTTTTAGTAAATGAGATTTTATTGGAACATAGCCTCTCCCATTTGTGTATTGTCTATGGCTGATTTTGCACAATGGCAGAGCTGAATAGCTACAACAGAGACCTTCTAGCCTGCACAGCCTGAAATGTTTACTCTCTGGCTCTCTACAGAAGAAGTTTGCTGGCCTCTGGTCTAAATAAACTTCAGGTGGACACAGATCCCACAATTTGCAGCCAAGTTGTGGGATCTGTGCTGAAGTGCTTTAACATTGATTTGAGTCCATTGTGCTAAATGCTTTTCTTGCATCATCTTATTTAATTCTGGTTCTATTCTACAAATAAGGAAACTGAGGCTTTAAGTGATCCAGTGACTCTTCTAAAATCACCAAGAGGCAGAGGCAGAGTCAAGCTAGGAATTCAGGCCTGTCCAGTGCCAAAATCCCTTCTTTCCTTTCCAGGAAATGGCCAGGGTACCATGGAGATGTTAATTAGTGAGAATTGGGGAGACAGGAGGAAACTTCCTAGGGGACCTCAAATTTGGCACTTAAGATGTGGAAGTGTGGAGAGAAAGGGGGAGGAACTCCCGGCAGTGGGAGCCCAGGAGAAGAGGAGGGGGCTGTTATGCATCACAGGGCTGGGCCCTGGTGTAGCAGTGAGAGAATGACTTCCACCTGCGGGCTGCCATGATGGGCATGGCCTCATTTAAGGCTTACAGATGAACTCTAAGGTGGGTACTTCTACAGTCTCCACTCAACAGATATAGGAAAGAAGCCCAGAGAGGTAACCGCCAGCCCAAAGTCACACAGTGGGTGAGTAGTATTTCTTCTTCACTTATGTGGTTTTGGCAAGTTCTTTGCACCGTATCAGGCAGTCTCACCTGGAGTAAGAGAGAGAGCTGGTGGGACAATTTTGGGATAAAAAAAAAAAAAAAGTAAGATCACTTCAGCCATGGGGCAGGTGGCATCAGAGTGGCAGAACCCAAGGGGAAGGCAAAACTCAGAAGCCAATTGGAGGTTGTTAAGTTGGCTGAGTGCACCTGTCTGGGAATCATCTCTCGGACCTCTTCTCTGTTCAAATCAGGGAAGACTTTGTGTCTGAAAAAGGGTGCTTCTCCCCTGCAATAGAAAGAGCTGGGGACCTGGACCCACCCATGCCTCTTGCCTGACCCCCAGTCTGCTCCACTTCTCCACTGTGACTTCTCACAGACGGCCCTAGCATCCCCACTATGGCACAGTCCTCATCTTCCCCCCAAAGCCTGTTCCTCACGTTAGTAAAATACAGCCCCAGCTTCCCAGATGCTCAGAAAGAAAACTTTAGCCATCCCTGACTTATTTTTCTCACACTTAATATCCAATCCACTAGTAAACGCTGTTGGCTTTTCTTTCAAAATATAAATAGTATCTTATCAATTCTCCCCACTTCTGCTGCTACCGACTGGGCCCAAGACCACCATTATCTCTTGCACCAACTGGTCTGCCCACCTTGGCCCTGCTGTCCTACTCAGCCAGAGAGGTCCACTTAACAGGCAGCTTCTTGGCTCAAAACCCTCCAATTCCTCATTTTTCACTAGCCTAAAGCCCACATCCACATAATGACCAGAAAGGCCTCGCACACTCAGGCTGCAGTTACCCTCTGACTCAAGGCCTCTCTTCTCCCCTCCATCACTCTGCTCAGCCACATCACCCCCTGCCCACACAGTGCCCACCTCCCACCTTGCTGCACACCCCCAGGATAAACCCTCTCCTTGCTGCCTTCATGAATACTGTCCATGAGTTGCGCAGCCCGGCAACTCCATGCCTCTGGATGCTTGTACTAGCTGTTCCCTTCTCCTCAGATGCCCTTCCACAAGATATCCGTGGGCTGGATCCCTCAGCCCCTTCACAGTTTCACTCAGAAGTCATTCTCAGTGAGCCCTTCCTACCGGTTTATGCAAAATTCCAACCTCCACATCACCCTCTGCCTTCCCAGTCTGCTGCATTACTTTCCTCTATCATTCACCTCCATCAGGCTGTTTGTTTATTGCTCATTGGCTCTCCACTAGAATGTAAGCTCCACCAGGGCAGGGGTCTTATCTGTTTTATTCACTGCTAAATCTTGAGTACCTAGAATAAGTCCTGGCATATATATAATAATATATATTAGCCCACATGAGCTTGGCAAATATATAGAAGTCTAATAAATTTTAACACTGTTCCACCACAGGTAAGATGTGGTTCTTTGGACAAGGTATTTTATTGCTCTAAAACTGTATCTTCATATATTAAATGGGGGTAAAATAGTTAAATAGCAGTACTTTCCCCAATACATATTATCAGGAATGATTGAAAAACAAAGCAAAGCTAAAATGAAGAAATGTAACATGCCTGGTTCAGAGTTTAGCACAGAGCCTCTCACAGGGTAGGTTCTGGGAGATGTGTTGTTCCCCCTTTTTTTTTTTGAAAGAGTCTTGCTCTGTCACCCAGGCTGGAGTGCAGTGGTGCGATCTCAGCTCACTGCAACCTCCACCTCCCTGGTTCAAGCGATTCTCCTGTCTCAACCTCCCAAGTAGCTGGGATTACAGACGCCCACCACCATGCCCAGCTAATTTTTGTATTTTTAGTGGAGACAGGGTTTCACCATATTGGCCAGGCTCCTATATTTTTAAGGACAATCACCAAAGCCAAATAAACCTGCATCATGAGACCAAGACTGAGACTGCATCTGTTAGGCTCTGGTGTCCAACCATGGCAAGAAACTCAGTTCCACAACCTACTAACAATGTAACAGAGGAATGTTCCATCATCTTGCACCTCAGTTTGCTCAGCTGTAAAATGGGTGATAATAAAACTGATTTTATAGAGTTGTTTTAGGGACTGAATGAGGGAAAGCACAAAAAGATGGTTAGCATAGGGCTTGGCCCACGTGAGCTTGGTGAATGTTAGTGATGGTGAGGATGGTGATGACAATCCCCAAGGAGGCTGCCTGGGAAGGAGGTGCCCTCCAATCCCTGGCCTCTCAGCAGGGAATAGGTTGCTGATGAGTCAGGCCTGAGCACATTAATGTGCAAAGTCTCTCTCCCTCTTTTTTTCTTTTTAGCACAAAAATCTCTCCTAGCACCTCTCATTATCCACTTCATCAGTCTCAAACCGTCGGCTAATTGCACTCCCCAGCAGCCCCTCCCTCCCTGCCTCTTCAACAAGCTCAATAGGACACAGCTGCCTCCCTCTTTGGGGCTCCCCTGGGGAGTTATAAACAAAATGTATCAGGCAATGCCCTGCCTGCCTTCTCTGGGCTCCCCTATTGCGCCCCTGCTCCTCTCCTACCTCCCCACGCCCCAGGAGAATGGCCACAGGACAGCCAAGGGCAGTGGGGTGGGTGGAAAAGGGAGGTGGAGCTGCAACAAGATTTCATGGTTTACTCTGGCTCATAGGTCTGCAAGATTCTAACTCCTAACTGGCTGTGATCCTCGAGAAAGGGAAACACAGGAGGTGAGTTTGACATTCACCCCACCTTCCTGCCAGTGGGCCCTTTCCAAACCTGGAGCACAGATTTGGAGAGAAAAGAGGTCTTACTGCATGAAGGAATCAGAGACTAGAGTGTGAGGCAGCTGGAATTTGTGAAGCAGGTTGCAGGACAGTTGGAAGATGCATAGAGAAGGAGCACCAGGAATATATATAGTATTTGCCCTGTTAGTAAGCCATGCATGGACAGGGTGAGACTGTGCTGCCTGGCAGAGAACAGCTCCTAGCCTGCAGTGAGCCAAACTACTTTGTTAGAGATCACACAGTGCTGGGAGATAGTGGAGTTATGACCAGCCAGAGTGGAGATCTTGCTGAACGCCCTCGGCATGTGGCAGACTCCAAGAAGGCTATGCATTAGGGACTACTCTATACTCACCCTAAGAAAGCCTAAAATCAATTCATGACACAGTCAAGCTGACTCACCAGCAAATTAACTGCCTACCACAACAAAAACACAATACTCTTTCAAAGATGACAATAAAAATTAATATCTCCATAACACAACATTCACAGTGTCTAGCATACAATTTTTTAAATGTCAAAAATGCAAAGCAGGAAAATATAACCTATAACCAGGAGAAAAATTTACCTAGAGGTGATGTGGGTGCTGGAATTAGCAGTACAAAACTTTAAAACATCTATTACAAATATGTTTAAGGATGTAAAGGAGAATATGTATGAAATGAGTGAAACAATGGGGAACCTCAACAGAAAAATGGAAACTATGAAATGAATCAAGTAAAAATTATAGAACTGAAAAATGCAATACTTGGAATGAAAAATTAACTAGATGAGCTTAATAATAGATTGGAAACTGAAAAGAAAAGAGCAATGAATTTGAAAGCAACCCATGAAACCATGAAAGCTAAAGTACACGGAGAAAAAGGAACAGAATGTCAGTGACCTGTGGGACAATACCAAGGATTGTAACATAAATAAAATTAGAGCTCAAACAAAAAAGGAGAGAGATTGGGGCAGAAAAAAATTTTGAAAGAAATAGTGATAGTCAAGAGAATGAAAAGACAAGCCACAGACTGGAAAAAATATTTGCAAAAGACATATTTGATACAGGACTGTTATTCAAAATATACAAAGAATTCTTGAAACTCAACAATTCAGAAAATAAGCAACCCAATTTAAAGTGAATCAAGTATATGAACAGATACTTAATACAGATGGACAACAACCATATGAAAGATGGGCTTTCATAAATGAAAGATGTCAAATAAGCATATGAAAAAAGCATATGAAAAAATGCTCAATATCATACATCATTAGGGAATTATGAATGAAAACAATGAGATACCACTACACACCTATTAGAATGGCCAAAATTTAAAACACTGACAACACCAAATGCGAACAACAGGAATGCCTCATCTATTATTGGTGGGTACGCAAATGGTACAGTCACTTTGGAAGACAGTTTGGCAGTTTCTTTTGTTTTTTTATAAAACTAAATATACCCTTACTATACAATCCAGCAATCACTCCCCTTAGTATTTACCCAAATGAGTTGAAAATTTATTTCCACTCAAAAACCTGCACAGGAATGTTTATAGCAATTTCATTTATAATTGCCAAAACTTGGAAGCAAATGAGATATCCTTTAATAAATGAATAAATAAACATGCTGTGGCACCATCCATACAATAGGATATTATTCATCACTAAAAGGAAATGAGCTATTAAGCCCTGAGAAGACACGGGGGAACCTTAAAGGCATATTGCTAAGTAAAAGAAAACAACCTGAAAATTGTATATTTCAACTATATGACATTCTAGAAAAGATAAAATATGAAGACAGTTAAAAGACCAGTGGTTGCCAGGAATTCAAGGGAGAAAGAAGGAGGAATGAATATGGAACACAGAAGATGTTTTGAACAGGAAAATAATTTTGTATGATGCTGGAATGATGGGCACATGTCACTACACAGTTGTCAAAATCCATAGAATGTATAACAACAAGAGTGAGCTCTATTGTAAACTATGGACTTTGGTTGATAATAATGTGTTGATGTTGGTTCAGTGGTTATAATACATGTACCACACTGATGTGGGATGTTGATGGTGGAGGAGGCTATATGTGTGAGAGGTAAAGGGGTATATCGGAAGTCTGTACTTTCTACTAAATTTTGCTGTGAACCTATAACTTCCCTAAAAAGTAAAGTCTACTGATTTTTTAAAAGACATAAAATGTTTCAAATGTGATGACAATGTCAACCCACAAATCCAGAAGCTTAGCAAATCCCAAGCAATATAAACACACACACACACACACACACACACACACACACACCTCTGCCTTTACCACCATCACCAAAACACGTAATAATAAAATTTCTGGAAAACAAAGTTAAAGAGAAAATCCCAAAACGACCAAAAAAAGATGCATATAGGTAGGGGAATTAAAATAAAAAGATAAGAATGATCACTGCTTTACCACTAAATACAATGCAAGCCAGAAGGCAATGGAGACCTTAAAGTGCTAAAAGAAAAACAACCCATCACCCTAAGTTGGAATTCAGAAATCATTCAAAAATGAAGGTGAAATAGAGAAATTTTGAAATAAATAAAAGCTGAGAGAATTCATCACCAAGCTAAAGAAGAATGGTACCAGATGGAAGATAAGATCCTCATCAAGGAATAAAGAACACCAAAAATGGTAGTATATATGAGTAAATGTAAAATACTTTTTCCTTAATTTTTAATTTATTTAAAAGAAAAATGACTGTTTAGAGCAAAAATAATAGCACTGCATTGTGGGAGTTAACATATGTAAAAATAAAATAAATGTCCAAAATAGAGCAAAGGAGGGAGGAAATGGAAGTATACTGTTGTAAGATTATTACATTGTATGTAAAGTGGAATAATATTAATTCAAGGTAGGCTTTGTTAATTTAAGAGTGCATATTGCAATTCCTGGAGTAACCATCTAAAAAGAGATGTAGATAAAAAGCTAGTAGATGAGATAAAAAATATAATGTTAGAAATTCCCATGAATTTAAAGAAAGAAGAAAAGAAAAATAAATAAAGGGGAAAAATAGATATAAAATTGCAGAATGGTACATTTCAACCCAACGAAATCAATAATTACATTAAATGTAAGTGGACTAAACACTCCAATTAAAAGGCAAAAATTGATCACTTAAAGAAATAACACTCAACCATATCCTATTTATAAGATACCCACCTTAAATGTAAAAATACAGAGAGGTTAAAAGTAAAAGGATAAATAGAAGATATGTTGTGAAAGACAAAGTAGATTCAACACAAGAACTATTAATAGAGATAAGAAGGGAGAAAATTTTTGCAATCTACTCATCTGACAAAGGGCTAATATCCAGAATCTACAATGAACTCAAACAAATTTACAGGAAAAAAAAAACCCCATCAAAAAGTGGGCAAAGGATATGAACAGATGCTTCTCAAAAGAAGACATTTATGCAGCCAAAAGACACATGAAAAAATGCTCATCATCACTGGCCATCAGAGAAATGCAAATCAAAACCACAATGAGATACCATCTCACACCAGTTAGAATGGCAATCATTAAAAAGTCAGGAAACAACAGGTGCTGGAGAGGATGTGGAGAAATAGGAACACTTTTACACTGTTGGTGGGACTGTAAACTAGTTCAACCATTGTGGAAGTCAGTGTGGCAATTCCTCAGGGATCTAGAACTAGAAATACCATTTGACCCAGCAATCCCATTACTGGGTATATACCCAAAGGATTATAAATCATGCTGCTATAAAGACATGTGCACATGTATGTTTATTGCAGCACCATTCACAATAACAAAGACTTGGAACCAACCCAAATGTCCAACAATGATAGACTGAATTAAGAAAATATGGCACATATACACCATGGAATACTATGCAGCCATAAAAAATGATGAGTTCATGTCCTTTGTAGGGACATGGATGAAGCTGGAAACCATCATTCTCAGCAAACTATCACAAGGACAAAAAACCAAACACCGCATGTTCTCACTCATAGGTGGGAATTGAACAATGAGAACACATGGACACAGGAAGGGGAACATCACACACTGGGGCCTGTTGTGGGGTAGGGGGAGAGGGGAGGGATAGCACTGGAGATATACCTAATGTTAAATGACGAGTTAATGGGTGCAGCACATCAACATGACACATGTATACATATGTAACTAACCTGCATGTTGTGCACATGTACCCTAAAACTTAACGTATAAAAAAAAGGGACATTTCATATGAGAAAAGAGTCAATTAAGCAAGAAGACAGAACAATCCTAAATGTGTATGTATCTAATAACAGAGTTTCAAAACGATAAAGAAAAACTGACAGAACAAGACCTGTGTGCTTCACTGCATGTAATTTATATCTTAATAAAAAATAAAATATATATTTGTAGAAGTTTAAAAAAAAAAGAAAAAGACAGGCTCTCTGTCTCAGGAATAGGTCTAGGGCTTAAGGTCAAGGCCTAATCAGCCACCATCTTGACATAGTCTCAGAGGGGTGGGCCAGAGCTCTCAAATACCTCCTGCCTGATACCAGGGAGAGCTGGCAGCTGGGTCAGGACAGAGCCAATAGTCACAGGTGAGAGATAAGCAGGGCAGGGTGCCAGACAGTGCTCAACCCCCTCCATAGGCTGGTAGATAACATGTGGGAGGGAGCACAGATGATCTAATTTCCTGTTTCAGCATTTTTGTTTTCTTCATAATAGTTAACTACAGTTTGTAATCATTGCATCTATCTGTGTGTTCATGATTTAGTGTCTGTCTCACCCTGGGTCTGTAAATCCCATGAAGGCAGAAACCAGGTCTGTCTTTTTCATGATCTTATCCTAAGCCTTGGATACAGTGGCTGACATGTCGGAGCACCCTTGATAATTGGTCATTGGATAAAGGAGTAAATAAACGAATGAATGAGGGAAGAATAGAAAGGAATGGAAGAAAGGAGGGAGGGATACATTTTCTACTTTCCCTAGAAGAGCTAAGGCAATGTCATAAAGAGCATGAGGTCAAAAATACAAACCCTCGGGTCTCTTTTGCCAGCCCAAAATTTCCTAATAACTCCTGAAACCCCTTGCTAGGCTGCCCTAGCCCTGTTTCTTCCCTGCCACCTGAGCTCCTGACCTCTCTATCAAGCCCAGTAGCTGAGCAGCAGGACCCTCTGAGGACCATGAGATCTCGGTCAAAATCCTCTTCTGCTTCCTGTAAGGACAACCTCCTCTCTCTAGACTTCAGTGTGTCCTGCACTAAATTAGACTTTTGCCTGCCAGAGCACAATCTCAGCTGCCTGAGAAAGGAATGCACAGTCATTGATCAAAGACTCTTACCTTAATTTGCTGCCCCCACCCCCAACCCCATCTCCACAATGAGCCATTTTCCAGATAATAGCCATCATCACTGCCTTTGTGCAGGCCCAGGCATCCTGAAATTGAGCTTCCAATTTCCTTGTAGACATGCACAGGAAATGGAAAATCTATGCCAGTCCCCGGAGGCACACTGACAATTGATTCCAAAGCACACTGGGTGCCCACTCCCCAGGAGGGAGAGGGGACAGATGACCTGGGCCAGCCTGGGAGAGGTCTAGCTCCCATGACCAGTTCTCCAGGGTAGGAGGATTAGCATCTCCCTGTGGTCTGAGGGCCCCCTTAACCGCTCTACTTATATCACCCACCCACTCACTGCTGTGCAGGGCAGGACAGGTCCCTATTGCTGGGGTCATCCCAGGAAACATCCCAGGTCACATCCCTATGACCCTGAGTCCCAGAGTCCTGTTTGCAGGAGGGTCCCTTTGATTCCTGGAAGGACAAAGATTCAGGGGACTAGAACTCTGAGAAAGGAAGGTAGACAATGGATGCCCTATCTAGGAAAAAGCCCTTGAAATTACCAAGTCATGCTGAGGTAGGAGACACACCTTTATTCCATTCCCCAAAAGACAGCCTGCAGACGCTTCTGACTCATACGTCTGAAAACATCATTTCTCCTGCTTAAACCTCTGACCATGGGTAGAGGGTATCCACAGCTGTGTTGAACATAACTTAAATATTTTGAGACAGTCAGGGAAATTTGATTAGGGACTGGGTTATTAGAAAATAGAAAGGATTTATTGTTAATTTTGTTAGGTGTGATAATATCACTGTCGTTGTGTAAGAAAACATCCATATTTTTTAGAGATATATGCTGCTAGAGTGTCAGTACACGGTATCTGAAATTTGTTTTCAAACACTTTAGTGCAGAAAAACAAAAAGGAAAGAAAAGCTATCATAAAGCAGAATCCAGGTTCAACAAGATGAGATGCTCAGATTGAGAAATAATATCTGCCACAGGCAGGGGAGAGGCAGCTGGGGTGGAGGTGGAGGGAGTGACAGGACACCAGCCATACATTTGCCATCCTGGCTGGTCCCTCACCTGCCAGACAAATGTCTACTTTGCCCTTCAGGCCTACTTCAAAGAATACCTTAGTTATCATTGACTAACTAGGAGTTGATATGTTCTTAAACAATTCAGCCTTTTTTATTTATTCTGTTGCTGCTCTAGGACAAACCAAAAAATAAGAACTATGAGGGCCTTGTTCTAACAATTGCTGCTATGAATTGACTTTTATATGAAAGTCCCAACTTTCTGGCTGGATGTGGTGGCTCATGCCTGTAATCCCAGCACTTTGGGAGGCCGAGGCGAGCAGATCCATTGAGGTCACGAGTTCAAGACTAGCCTGGCCAACATAGCGAAACCCAGTCTCTACTAAAAATACAAAAAATTAGCTGGGCGTGGTGGCGTGTGCCTGTAATTTAAGCTACTAGGGAGGCTGAGGCAGGGGGATCACTTTGAACCTGGGAGGCAGAGGTTACAGTGGGCTGAGATTGTGCCACTGCCCTCCAGCCTGGGCGACAGAGCGAGACTCTGTTGAAAAAAAAGAAAAAAAAGTATTGACTTTCTATTTTAGACTCAAATAAGCAATTTATCCTTTCCTTACTTTCAAGTAGAAAGGGATATTAATAGCTGCCATTTATTGGATGTCTACCACGTGCCAGGCACTGTGCCAAGTACTGTGCATGCATCATCTCATTCATCATCACAACCACCCCATGAGCTAGGGCTGTATTACCCCCATATTTCAGATCCCAGTTGGAATCACTTGTACAAGCCCACACAGAGGGTAAGCACTTGAGTTAGGATCTGACGTCAAGCTCTGTAACACCAAAGGCACTGCTCAAGCATTGTACTCTCTCACCTCTCACTTCTCACCAAACACCTGGACAAACGACTTATACATTTGGGGGCCACAGGGAAGAGCTGGGAGTTTGTGGCCTGGAGGGCCAGAGAGAAAAAACAGAGACCAAGTTCCAAAGGACAGCTGCTAGAGAGCTGGTAACCTCGGGGAAACTCTCTGCTCTAACCAAGAGAGGGAAAGAGAAAACACCACCTGCAAGGGGCTCCCAGCCCACGGAGAGTAACTGCTTCCTGGACAGCTCAGAGCAGCTGCTCAGAAGCCTCCAGGAGAGGGCTCCTGGCTGGGAGCACTCCAGGTGGCTGGGACCACTTCCCTGAAAACTTAGCCCACTTTGGGGCCAGCACTCTGTTTGTCAGCTAAGGGCTGAAAACTGGGGGTTTCAATAAGTGAAAATGGGAACACAAATTTGAGGCTCCATGAATATAATTCTAATTGGGCATAATCCTTTGTTTAGGGATTTTCTTGTTTTATGGTAATAATTTGAGTCAAAATTTTTGTGTGAGTTTGGTTATTTCTGTAGGATTTAAATTTTTATCAGTAACTAAATATTTTACCCAATGTGCTGTGATAGGGGTGTGCTGTCAACACAGAATGCAAAGTTCCAATGTAGGCGTTGAACGTGTGGCTCACGCAAAGAATCTGATATTCCAACTGAAGCGAAATTTATTGAGAAATAAGGAAGGGCTGCTAGTCTACAATTCTCTGTTTTCTGTTTCTGATTTTTTTTTTGTTTTTTTTTTTCTTAAAAAAGGACTCCGAGATTTCCCCAGGAATTTATGAGAATTGCTTGTAGTAATTTAGGATGGAGGTTAGAAATAAGAAAGGATTGCTAGTCTATAATTCCCTGTGTTTCCTGTTTCTGTATTTTTTTTTCTTAAAAAAGGACTCCAAGATTTCCTCGGGAATTCGTGAAAATTGTTTGTAGTAATTTAAGATGGAAGTTAGTGAATGTAACATGAATGAGGAATTGGAAGCTCTAACAGGTGTGGGATTTCAGCTGAAATATTAGGAATGACGCATGAGCTCATGGGTATTGTCCAGTTTGAATTTCTGAGAGAATGTGTCCTATTGCAATGTGGATTTCAGTTAGCTGGCATTTGTTTTGGTTGAGATCCTTCATTGGCTATGTTTCTCTGATAAGAGTTTGGAGAAACACCAAAACTACAGTAATAAATGGCTAAGACAATAGAATTAGCACCAGAACTTTACTCACTGCCCTAAAATATCTCCCCATGACCCCAGGTTCTACAGCCTTCCAAAATCAACCTTCTCCTTAGAAGCTAGATATGATAGTCCAAGTCCTCAGGCGGCTTACCTGAGAGAAAGCCTGGCTGTTTATCAGGTTTGTCTCCCCCTGAGATCTCTGGAAATCCCCCAAGGAATGCTTCTGTGTCTTACAAAGCAGCCCTGATCATCACTTGAACGTCAAGGAGCTGCCTAGCTTTTGGGCAACCTGTACCTTCATCCCTGTGTTGCATTTCTCTGGATTATTTGTGCTCTCTCAAAAGTCCCATCCTAAACTCCCCCAGAGAACAGTGAAAATCAGGTTGTAACATTTAACACAATATTACTGAAGGTGCATGGGGGACAGACCGGGATTGCAGTGTGGAGTGCTGGCTCTCTCTCTCTCTCTCTCTCTCTCTCTCTCTCTCTCTCTCTCTCTCGGCTCCAGCCTGACACTGTGCACATAGAATTGCTTTGTCTCTATCTTCCCAACATGAGTGTAGATCCTCCTCCCCATCCCAGTCTTCTGTGGGGTCCAGCAACAGAGAAAATGATATCTCCAGTCTCTGCTTCCCATGAACTGCAAACACCTAACTCAGCCCAAAGTGGAGACACACTGTTAACATCACGATGAAGAGAGGTTTCATTCTTCACTGCCCTGCAAATTCCATTTCAGAAAAGAATGTTTTTGGCTTACAGTTGTTAAACCAAAGTCTCATTAAACTATTTGTCTTAAGATATAATTTGCCCATAAGTAAGATACAAATCTCCCCCCTTGGAGAAACAGGAAGTCATCAGTTTTGAAAACAGCTCCTTCTCCTGCCACTTCTAGCCATCAACATTGAGGTCCGCCTTTATGATTTGGAGGTTATCTCCAGGCCCAGCAGCTGAGAAGGACCTGCGGTGCCTACGCCACATTCTGTTTGTGGTCTGTCCTTTTGTACCTGTTTCCCCAAGGGGGACATCCTATGTTTTTGCCCTGTGCCCCAAAAATGCCTTTGTACACAGTGATTCCCTGCGAGGTACAGGATGCCTGGAGGAATGGGGAGTTTTGCATCAGGTTGGGTAGGCAAACTAGAGGAAAAGCCTTTGAGTGCTGCTGGAGGCAGCATTTGTGGTCCAAGGAGAGGAAAGGAGCAACAACATTGGCAGTGAGACTGTGATAAAAGGAAAGACAATCAGTATGGTTTGGCTCATGTGGAAAGAGGAGAGCCAGGGCAGACCTCTTGACAGCACCCCAAAGCCAGCAACTTCTGAAACTCATCTTTGTATCATTGCATTGTGTTTTGTTCACAGGGGGCCTTGGCTTTGGTGTTTCTGGGAAATGTTTGAGTTTTCTCTTTTGAAAATATTTCAAGCTCCTTGCCCCAATGTGTCTTAATCTATGCTTCTCAAACTGGGACACATTTTCCTACTTGCCAGGGGAATGGAGCCGCGTGCTAGAGCATACATGAAGCCACAGAATACCACATATTCATGGTATGTGGATTTAATTAAAACAATGGCCTGGGGGCAGAGTGTGTGCCATTTTGGACTTTTTTACACAACTTTGTGACAAGGCAAAGTCATCAGCCTTCTGCTTTTGCATTTCATCTAATTTCATGTTTTCTTTTTTATGAAAGATTGAAGTTTACTTTTTTTGAAGTTTTCATCAAAGTAATTCATGAACACAGTTTTAAAATATAATCATATAAAAAAACTTCTCATGACAAATCATCATGCCCCCCCATCCCACCCATTCCCCAGCCTCCCTTCCCCCAAGGTAATTATTTATCATTCTTTATAACTTTTCTACTAGTTAGCTCCATGTTTCCAAATAATATGCTTAAACTGCTGTTTATTGATCCATGCATTTGACCTTCTCTATTTATTTTGAATTATGATGGATATGGGTTTGGATCTTTCATTCTCCCCATCTGCATTTCCTCTTACAGCAATTTCACTACTATTTTTTGTTAAATAATGTATGCTGTAAAATAGACATTGACTGGTAGCCACCTAACATCCATTTTCTTTCCTCTTGGAACTGTACCTTAATTCCCATTTGGAATGGAAACCCACCCATTTCCCTAGTCAGTGGAAACTTTCTTGAAGAGCTGACCCCGTCTCCATCCACAAGGGTGGTTTCTGATTGGCTGAACCCCAACCCTCAAGCTATAGTGACTGGTTCAAGAAAAAGCAGGTTACCCAACATCAACCAATGAGAGGTCTGCTGGAGGAAAGTGAGAGCATGCATTTCCTTGTTTTTCTGCAGAACTGGAGAAATATTCTTTCCCTGATGGACATGAATGAGGAAAATTAAAGTCCCTAAGTGATGGAAACCATCTTGCAACTCTGGGGAAAGCCAGTCTTACTTTAAATAGATACTGCAGAATGCCAAGAGGAGAAATTAAAAGATTTCAGAGGGCCCCTGAATCAAACCTCATCTGTAGGCTAAACTGCCTTCTGTCAAATATGCAACAGAAATACTGTAATTTCCTTTATGGTTTAAGCCACTTTGAGTTTTTAGTTACTTGCAAGGAAGAGATTCCTTACCAACATAAGGGTTTATATCAATATGATACACAACAAATTATTTGTGATTTCATTGCAGAGTTAATTGGTGTATGGTTACAATTCCTTTCATGTGCAGCATTCTGATGGTCTTAAAAAACTAATCATTATTTTTACTTGCAAAATTTTCCATATGCATATCCTTAATTCTTTCCCCATACTCATCTCCAACCTCCTTCTTCATGCTCCACTAGTGGCCTCTGAGCTGTCAGCCTGAGCCTTCTCTTCACCACTCTCCTGAGTTAAATCCACCTATTGCTGGATCCCATGACTTCTTTTTTAGATTACTCAGGATTTACTGGAATGTTTTCTCAAAGCTTCCTATGAAAAAGTGCCAAATTGTCTATGAATGAATGAAGATGTCTTAACTTTGACCTCACACTTGACTGTTAGCCTGGCAGGGTGTAAAATTCCCAGTTGAGAATTATATTCTGTAAGATTTTTGATGCTATTGTTCAATTGCTTTCTGGTATTCAGTGTTGCTACTGAGAAGCCTGGTGTCTTTCTAATTATATTCTTTTCTATGTGACATCTTTTGCATTATTTTGCTCTTTGGGAGCTTTTAGGGGACACCTAGTTCTTGGCTTTAAATCCTCTCTATGATATACCTCAATGTGGTGTTTTTTAATTCTCACTGAGATGTGTCCACTACGGGCCTTTCAATACATAGCCTGGCTGGTGTTCTTCATTTTGGAAAGAAAAATGTTCTTAGATTATTTCGTCTGTTTCTGTCCCTATGTTTCCAGTCTTCTTTCTTTTTTTTTCTTCTTTCTTTATTATCTTCTGTCTGGAAACTTATTATTCAGATGTGGAATTTCTAGGCTTTATTCTTCATGTCTCTCCTCATCATTCTCATATTTTTCAACTCTTTATCTTTTTTTCTGCCTTATATTTCCTTGATTTTGTCTTCCATTTTTAAAATTTAGCTATTATTTTTATTTCCACAAGCTCATTGTGGTATCTTGCTCTTGTTTTATAGATGCAATACTTTATTATAGTCCTCTGAGAATATTTATTAGAATTGAGGTGGTAGTTACTTTGGAAGTTTTTTCTTTTCCCTATATTATCTCTGTGGGTTTTTTTTTTTTCATTTTCTTTTATCAAAGACTTTTATCAATTGTCTTGTGATCTTTGACCATCTGCCTGCATTTAAGAAATAGCTGAAAACTCAGAGGCCTGGGCAAGGTTCATGTAAGCTGGACTTATGTTAGGGTGGTAAGGAATGATGACAGCCATCTCATTGGTGGATGCACAAAATATCAGTGAGTGACTACAGGATTTCAAAATATATTACAAAGCTATAGTAATCAAACAGCATGGTGATGGCATAAAAACAGACACATCAATCAATGGAATAGGACAGAGAGCCCAGAAATAAACCCACACTTCTACAATCAATTGATCTTTTTTCTTTAAATAGAGATGAGGTCCCACTATGTTACCCAGGCTGGTTTCGAACTCCTGAGCTCAAGCGATCCTCTCACCTTGGCCTCCCAAAGTGCTAGGATTACAGGCATGAGCCACCGCACCTGTCCTCAATCAATTGATTTTTGACAAAGGTGTCAAGAACACACAATAGGGAAAGGACAGTCTTCAATAAATGGTGTTGGGAAAACTGAATATCCGCATGCAGAGGAATGAAAATGGACTCATGGCTCATCTTTACACAAGAATCAATTCAAAATGGATTAAAAACTTAAACATAAGAAGACATAGAAGGAAAGCTCCATGACACTGGCCTGGGCAATGACTTTGTAATGTGACCCCAAAAGCACAGGAAACAAAAGCAAAAACAGACAAATGGGATTGCATCAAATGAAGAAGCTTCTGCATAGCAAAAGAAACAACACAGTGAAGAGACGACCACTAATTGGAAGAAAATATTTTAAATCATATATCAGATAAGGGGCTCATATCCAAAATGTGCAAGGAACTAAAATTACTCAACAACAAAAACAACAAAAAACAAATAACCCAATTTTTAAAATGGGCAAAGTACCTAAACAGACATTTCTCAAAAGAAGACATACAAATGGCCAACAAGTAAATGAAAAAAATGCCCAACATCTCTAATCCTCAGGGAAATGCAAATTAAAATCACAATGAGATAGCAACTCACACCTGTTAGAATGACTATTATCATAAATATGAATGATAACAAGTATTGGCAAGGATGTGGAGAAAAGAGAACACTTGTACACTGTTAGTGGTGTTGTAAATTAGTACAGCAATTTTGGGAAAAGTATGGGGGGGTTCCTCAAAAAGCTAAAAATAGAATTACCATGTGATCCATGCTATAGTATAGATATTTGACCCTCCAAACCTCATGCTAAAATTTGATCCCCAATGTTGGAGGTAAGGCCTAATGGGGGATGTTTGAGTCTTGGGGGTGGATCCCTCATGAATGGCTTGGTGCCCTCTTACTGGTAACAAGAAAGTTCTCACTCTCTTAGTTCCCACAAGAGCCCCCAAAAGCTGGTTCTTGTGGTCTTGCTTTGCTGCCCAGGCTGGAGTGCAGTGGCAACATCTGCTTCCCAGGCTCAAGGGATCCTCTTACCTCAGCCTCCTGAGTAACTGGGACCACAGGTGTGTGCCACCATGCCTACCTAATTTTTTATTTTTAGTAGAGATGAGGTCTCACTATGTTGTCCAGGAGGATCTTGAAACTCCTGGGCTTAAGTGAGCCTCCTACCTTGGCCTCCCAAAGTGCCGGGATTACAGGTGTGAGCTACCACACCCGGCCTTAAAGAGCTGGTTCTTAAAAAGAGCCTCCCACTTTCCCCTCTCTCTTTCTTTCTGTCTCACTGTGTGATCTGCACACACTGGCTCCTCTTTGCCTTCTACCATGAATGGAGGCTTCCTGAGGCCCTGTCAGAAGCAGGTGCTGGAGCCATGCTTCGTGTACAACCTGCAAAACTGTGAGCCAAATAAATCTCTTTTCTTTATAAATTACTCAGCCTAGGTACTCCTTTATAGCAACACAAGTGGAGTAAGAAAATCTGACAATCTCACTTCTGGTTATACACCCAAAGGGAATGAAATCAGTATGTTGAAAAGATATCTGCACTTCTGTATTCATTGCAGCAATAGCCAAGACACAGAAACAACTACAGTGCTCATCAATGGATGAATACATTTTCAAAATGTGGTACGCATACACTATGAAATATTATTCAACCTTTAAAAAGCAGGAAATTCTGTCATTTGTGACAACAAGGATGAACCTAGAGGACATTATGCTAAATGAAATAAGCCAGCCAGGCACAGAAAGACAAATATTGCATGATCTCAGTTATATGTGGAATCTAAAGAAATTGAACTCATAGAAGAAAAGAGTAGCATGGTGGTTGCCAGGGCCTAGGAGAAAGAGGTGGTGGGCAGGTAAAGAGGAGATATTGGTCAAAGGGTACAAAGTTCCAGTTTGAGAGGTGGAATAGGTTCTGATGCTCTATTGCACAGCATGGTGACTATAGTTAATAATTATGTACCACATAGTTCATATAACTAAAAGAGTGGACTTTGAATGCTTTTACCACAAAGAAATGATAACTATTTTAGGTGATGGATGTGTTGGTTAGCTTGATATGATCATTCCACAAAGTATACATGTATTAAAACACCACATTGTACCCCATAAATATATATAAGTATTTTTAATGAAAAATAGAATAAAATAAATCATTGTCTGGAGGTCTTTTTCTGGGGCAATTCAGTTTCTGCAGAGAAAAACATTCTGTCTTTCTACTTTGTTAAGGGTGGGGAAAGCAGAGGGAAGGGAGGCTGACGGTACAACTCAAGTGTGTCCAACCTGCAACCTGCAGACTGCATGCATCCCAGGATGGCTTTAAATGCACCCCAATACACATTCGTAAACTTTCTTAAAACATTATGGGATTTTTTTGCAATTTTTTTAGCTCATCAGCTATCGTTAGTGTTAGTATATTTTATGTGTGGCCCAAGACAATTCTTTTTCTTCCAGTGTGGCCCAAGACAATTCTTTTTCTTCCAATGTGGCCCAGGGAAGCCAAAAGACTGGACACCTCTGGTATAATTATTTCATCTGTAGATTTATTGTCTCCATCTCCATGCCCCATCTCATTTCCAAACTTCTTGGGCTGAATTTGTACAAAGAATAAACTTTCAGTTTCCTTCGTGGGGTTAGAGGATCATATAAGAAGGGATGTCTGTCTTCTGGCATTGAGTACACAGAATTGGGAAATAGGGTTTGGAGAGGGGTTCAACTCTTCCACTACAGAGTCTTCCAAAAAATCCCCCAGTTTGTAGCTCTACCCATCACCCAAAGCCTGCTCAGTAACCAGTATCTCTGCCTCCTAGGTCTTTCTAAAATCCTGTGGGGATGGGTCAGCTCACTTCTCATCCACATCCTACTCTGCACATACTGAATACAGGGGCCTTTTGTGTAGTGATGGATCAGTTGCCCTTCTTCCATCAATTTGTATCTTCTGAAGATTTATTGAAATCTCTCATCCACTGATGCCCCCTCTCCCATTTTTGTTTTGTCCTTGTGAGTTCATGACTATTTTATTCATTTTTCAAATTTTATTAGTCATTTTTAAATGAGAAGAAAAAAGATAAATGTGCATGGTCAATCCATTATTTTAACTGGAGTTTTCTAAAACCTTTTCTATATGCAGACAGTGACTGAAAAAACAAGTACTTTTGTGTTTCCCGGAGCTCAGTTGTATTAACAGTATAGTTAGAACTAGGATTAGAGCCAATGATCAGAGAATGTGCCAAGACTGCAGAAAGCACAAATGGCAGTGATATTGCTGCCCACACAGCTAGGTCAGGCCACCAGACTAAAAACGGGGTAGGGTGGAATTTCCACAGAGGTCACACAAAAATGCAGACCTAGATTTTTCAAAGTAAATGTATCGTCTTTTCTTTTAACTTTTGACACAAAAAAAAGTTTCTTGTACAAATCATTCAAAATCCTAACAAAAATGCACTTCATTAAATATTTTATTTACAAAATGTGGAAATATGCTTATTTCAACATCTGGCCATAATGGATTCCTGGCATCTTATGGTCTGAGTTTCATTATTCTTATATCATTTCATAATGCAATGATTTTTAAATTGCATGTTCAAATGGGACCATGGATCAGTAGTTAAAATAGGAAATCTGAAGTAAAATTTGAAATTAGTAGGAAAATGCCACCCACATAATGATCAAAACTCAGAACTCTAAAGTATCAAGGGTGTCATATCCTTATCCTAGTCACTGAAGTTTCCCACAAAGATTTGAGAATGAAGATACTACCACAATGTAGCAGCAATTGGGGGAAGGGCAGGATGGCCTAAAACTTATTTAAAGTATGAGTTTTATTGTTGTGGACCACAACTGAGCCTAAACTACCATCTCCATTTCAGAAAAACCTGGAGCAATAGCTGTGTGAAACTATCATTCTTGAAGGGATATTTTAAACCTAATATACAATCTATTAGGGGAGTTAAATTATAAAATAGTAACAATATGAAAAACCTATAGAGAAAATGCCAAAAAAATAGTGTCAATACCAACAAAGAAATTCAGCACTGAAACTGGATTTCTCTTACATTACTGGTGGGAAGGCAAATGACACAACCACTCTGAAAAATAGTTTGTCAGCTTCTTAAAACATTAAGCATTTACTGACCATTGATGGCAGCAATCACATTCCTAGGCATTTATCTCAGATAAATGAAACTTATGTCCACACAAAAACTTGTACCTGGTTGTTCATAGCAGGATTATTTGTAATAGCCAGAAACTGGACACAACCAAAATGTCCTACAATCTGTGAATGGTTAAACAAGCCGAGGTGTATCATGGAATACTACTTAGCAATAAAAAAAAAAACTGTCAATACACACAACAACCTGGATGGTTCTCAAAGCATTATGCTGAGTGAAAAAAAAAAATCCCCAAAGGTCACGTACTGTATGATTCTATTTGTACAAAGTTCTAAAAGTAACAAAATTATGTAGGTGAAGAACATATCTGTGGTTGCCAGGGGTTAGGGAGGGGAAGAGGTGTAGGCAGGAAGGTGGGTGTGACCTTAAAAGGGTAGCACAAGTAATCTTTGTGTTGATGGAACAGGTCTGCATCATGATTACAATTGTGGTTATATGAATCAATACATGTGATAAAATTGCCAAGAACTAAATACACACCTTTGGTTCTATATAATAGATAAATTGCCTACATTAAAAAATGTAAGGATCTCAAACAAACAACCTAAATTTAAACATCGGGGAACTAGAAAAACAAGAATAAATTCAGTCCAAAGTTAGCATAAGGAAGGAAATAATAAAGATCAGAGCAGAAATAAATCAAATCGAGAATAGAAAAACAATAGAAACAAATGATCAAAACTAAGATTTGGTTTATTGAAAAGATAGACAAAATTGGCAAACCCTTAGCTAGACAGAATACGAAAAAAAGAAAGAAGGCTCAAATAAACTCAGAAATGAAAGAAGAGACATTACAATGAGTACTTCAGAAATTTAAAAAAAAATCATAAGGGACTATTATGAACATGTATGCACCAACAAATTGGATAACCTATAAGTAGATAAATTCCTAGAAATATACAACCTGCCAACACCGAATCAACAGGAAATAGAAAGCCTGAAAAGATTAATAACAAGTAAGGAGATTAAATAAGTAACCAAAAGCTTGGCAACAAAGAAAAGCCAAAGACCAGATGGCTTCACTGCTGAATTATATCAAATATTATACCATTCCTTCTTAAACTCTTCCCAAATAAATAAATAAAGGAAGACTTCCTTACTCATTTTACGAAACCAACATTACCCAATACCAAATCCAGACAAAGACACCACAAGATACCACAAGAAAAGAAAATTACAGGCCAATATTCCTAATTCATTATTATAGATGCAAAACTCTTCAATAAAATACTAGCAAACCATATTCAATAGCACATTAAAAGGATTATAGCCCATGACCAAGTGGGATTTATCCCAAGGATGCAAGGATGGTTCAACATATGCAAATCTATAAATGTGAATACCACATTAATGGAACAAAGGACAAAACATATGATCTCAATAGATCAGAAAAACATTTGACAAAATTCAGTATTCATTTCTGATTTAAAAGAAAAACTCAGACAGGTGCAGTGGCTTATGCCTGTAATCCCAGCACTTTAGGAGGCCAAGGTGGGGGGATCATTTGAAGCCAGGAGCTCAAGAGCAGCCTGGGAAATATCACAAGACTTTGTCTCTACAGAAAAAAAATTAGAAATTGGCCAGGCATGGTGGTGCATTCCTATAGCCTTAGCTACTCAGGAGGTTGAGGCAGGAGGATCATTTGAGCCAAGGAGTTCAAGGCTGCAGTGAGCTATAACTGTGCCACTGCACTCCAGCCTTGATGACAAGGTGAGATTCTATCTCAAAACAAACAAAAAAACTTTCAACAATATAATGAATGCACCTCAACATAATAAAGGCCAAACATGACAAGCCCACAGCTAACATCATAGACAATGGGAGAAAACTGAAAGATTTTCCTCTAATATCTAGTATAATGCAAGGATGCCATCTCACCACCACTATTCAACATAGTACTAGAAGTCCTAGCCAGAGCATTAGGAGGAGAAAAATAAATACAAGGCATCTAAATCAGAAAGGAAGAAGTAAAATTGTTTCTGTTCACAAAGGATATGATTAGATATGTAGAAAATCCTAAAGACTCAATAAAAAAACTGTTAGGCCTAATAAATTCAATAAAGTTGCAGGATACAAATTCAACATATGAAAATTGGTGGTGTTTCTACAAACTAACAATAAACTACCTAAAGAGGAAATTAAGAAAACAGCATCAAAAAGAACAAAATACTTAGAAATAAACTTAAGCAAGAAGTCATTATTCAAAAAAGATACTTGCACACACATGTTTATAGCAGAACAATTCACAATAGAAAAATTGTGGAACCAACCCAAATGCCCAACAATCAAAGAGTGGATAAAGAAACTCTGGCATATATATATATATATATATGATGGAATACTATGGCATATATATATATATATATAATGGAATACTATGAAGCCATAAAAGGGAATGAATTAACAGCATTTGCAATGACCTGGATTAGATTAGAGACTATTATTCTAAGTGAAGTAACTCAGGAATGGAAAACCAAACATTATATGTTCTCACTGATATGTGGGAGCTAAGCTATGAGGATGCAAAGGGATAAGAATATACAATGGACTTTGGGGACTTGGGGGGAAGAGTGGGAGGGGGCAAGGGATAAAAGACAACAAATATGGTGCAGTGTATACTGCTCAGGTGATGGGTGCACCAGGTTCTCACAAATCTCCACTAAAGAACTTACTCATGTAACCACATACCACCTGTACCCCAATAACTTATGGAAAAATAAAATTTAAAAAAAGAGGTGAAAGACTTGTACACTGAAAATTATAAAACATTAATTATGAAAAATTTTTAAGAGCACAGATAAATAGAAAGACAGCCCATGTTCATGGATTAGAAAGATTAATGTTGTTAAATATCCATGCTACCCAAAGTGACCTATAGATTCAATGCAATCCTTATCAAAATTGCAATGGCATTCTTCACAGAAATGGGGGAAAATCCTAAAATTCACTTGGAACCAGAAAATAGTCTAAATAGTCACAGCAATCTTTAGAGCAAGAAGAACAAAGCTGGAACATCACACTCCCTAATTTCAAAGTATATTACAAAGCTACAGTAATAAAAACAATATGGTACTGGAATATAAACAAACATAGACCAATATGAAATAGAATAGAAAGCCCAGAAATAAATCCATGCATTTACAGAGTGCCAATGACACACAATAAAGAAGTATCTCAAATAAATGGGGTTGGGAAAATTGGATATACATGTGCAGAAGAATAAAATTGGACATTATCTCATACCACATGCCAGAAATAGATCAACTTGAAATGGATTAAAAACTTATATGTAAGACCTGAAACTATAAAACTACTGAAAGAAAACATAGAGAAAACGCTTACTGACGTTGTTCTGAACAATGATTTTTTGGATTTCACTCCAAAAGCACAGGCAATAAAAGCAAAACTTGACAAGTGGGATTGCATCAAACTAAATACATCTGCACAATGAAGGAAACAATAGAGAGAAGACACCTATGAATGGGAGACAATATTCGCAAACCATATATCTGATAAAGTGTTATAAGGAACTCATACGACTCAAGAGGAAAAAAGCAAATAACCCAATTTGAAAATGGGCAAAGGACCTAAATAGATATTTCTCAAAAGAAGATATAAAAATGGTTAATAGATATATGAAAAGATGCTCAACGTCACTAATCAACATGTAAATGCAAATCAAAACCACAATCAGATATCACTTCACTTGTTAGAACGGCTATTATCAAAGACAAAAGATAGGCTTTGACAAGGATATAGAGAAGAGATAATCCTTGCACACTCTTGGTAAGAACATAAATCGGTACAGCCATTATGGAAAACAGTATGGAGTTTCCTTTAAAAATTAAATATGATCCAGCAATCACACTCCTGGATATATATATCCAAAGGAAATGGAGTAAGTATCTCAAAGAGGTATCTGCACTCCCATGTTCACTGTAGCATTATTCACAATAGCCAAGATATTAAAATAACCTAAATGTTCCTCAACAAATGAATGGATAAATAAAATGTGGTGTATAAAAATAAGGAAATCCTGCTATTTACAACAAGGATAAACCCAAACGACATTATGCTAGGTGAAATAAGCCAGTCACAGAAAGACAAATAATGCATGATCTCTCATGTACTGAATCTAAAATAGTCAAACTCATAGAAGCAGAGAGTAGAATGGTGGTTGCCAGGGCCTGAGGGAAGAGAGAAATGGGAAGATGTTGGTCGATGAGTACAAAGTTTCAGTTATGCAAGATAAATAAGTTCTGGAGATGTAATGTACAACATTGTGACTAAAGTTAAAAAATAGTGTAAAAATGCTCCTCAACTTATGATGGGGTTATGTCTCAATAAACCCATCATAAGTTTAAAATATTGTATGTCAAAAATGAGTGTTTTGTAGACCTAATTTGATACAAAACACAATATTCAAAAAATGCTGGCAACAGTGCACTGTAGCATATTGGTTGTTTCCCCTTGTTATTGGGTGGTTGGCTGGGAGGTGCAGCTTGCTGTCACCACCCAGCATCACAAGAGAATATCATAGCACATTTTGCTAGCCCAGGAAAAGATCAAAATTCAAAGTCCAAAGCATGATTTATATTGGAATGCATATTGCTTCTGCACCATCATAAACTTGAAAAATTATAAGTTAAACAATAATAAGTCAGGGACTGTCTACATTATATATTTGAAATTTGCTAAAATGGTAGATCTTAAGTGTTCTCACAAAAAAGAAGAAAAAAACAGAGAGAAAGAAAGGGAAAATAGAAATTAGAGAGAAAGAAAAAAGGAAAGAAGGAAGGAAGGAAAAGAAAGAAAAATAGAAATGAAAGAGAGAGAAAGAAAGAAATGAAAATGGTAAGTAGGTGAGGTGTTAATTAACTTGATTGTGGTGGTCATTTCACAATGTATACATATACTAAAACAACAAGTTGTACACTTCAAATATATAAAATTTTTATTTGTAAATTATACCTAAATAAATCTGTAAAGAAGTGTCTAAAGCCTCCTTTAATGTTGGTTTAAAATCACCTTGGGTGCTTGCTTTGGCAGCACATATACTAAAATTGAAAAACTAAAGAGAAGATAAGCATGGCTCCTGCTCAAGGATAACCCAAAAATTCATGAAGTGTTTCATATTTCTGGTATATCTGCTATGGAAAATAGCATGGCAGTTTCTCCAAAAAAAAAAAAAATAGAATTACCTTGTGATCTAGCAATTCCACTTCTGGGAATATACACATAAGGGTTGAAAGCAGGGTCTCCAAGAGATATTTGTACACCCAGGAGGCTCAATAGATACCTAGTAGAATAAATCCAAAGAGATCAACCCCAAGACATATTAAAATCAAATTGTCAAATTTAAAAACAAAGAGAAAATATTGAAAACTGCCATGGATAAACAACTTGTTCAATACAAGAAAACCTTTCATAAGACTATTAGCAAATTTTTCAAAGGAAACCCTTGCAGGCCACAAGGAAATGAAATTATATATTTTTAAGCTGGAAAAAATTAAAATCTGCCAGCCAAAAATACTGTAATAGCAATTCTGTTCTTCCAAATGAAGGGATGATAAAAACTTTCCAAGACAAACAAAACCTGAGGAAATTTGTCACCACTACACCTGCCTTACAAGAAATGCTAAAAGTACTCCTTCAAGCTGCAGGGAAAGATTGTTAAGTGGCAACATAAAAATATAACACTCACTAGTAAATATAAGGCATACAGTCAAATTCAGAACATTCTTATATTGTAGTGGTGGTGTGAAAATCAATTATATCTTTAGTATGAAGGTTAAAGGCAAAACTATTAAAAACAACTGTAGCTACACTACTTTGTTAAGAAACACAAATTACAAAAGATAAAAGACATGTCAACAAAAACAAATTGGATGTGAGAGTAAAAGTGTAGAATTTGTACAAGTGACCAAAATTAAGTTATCAGTTTAAATAGCCTGTTATCAGTATAAGATATTTTATGTAAGCCTCATTGTAAGTACAAATAAAAAATCCTTAGTAGATATACAAAAAAATAAAAAGAAAGAATTCAAAGCATACCACTACAGAAAATCATCAAACCATAGAGGAAGACAGTAATAGAGGAAGATAAAAACAACCAGTCTACAGAGTAACCAGAAAACAATTAACAAAATGTCAATAGTAAATCCTTACCTATTTATAACTAATTTAAATGTAAGTGGGTAAAGTTCTTTAATCAAAAGATAACAAGTGGCTAAATGGATTTTAAAAAAGAAAAAAAGACCCAACTATGTGCTGCCTACAAGAGATTGATTTCACCACTAAGAACACAGGTCGACTGAAAGTTAAGGGATGCAAAAAGATGTCATGCAAACGGAAACCAAAAGTGAGTGGGAGTAGCTATACTTACACCAGAAGAAAAAAAAAAAGACTTGAAGTGAAAAACTCTTAAAGAGACAGAGGAGGTCATTCTATCGTGATGAAGGGGTCAATTTATTAAGAAGATATAACAATTGTAAATATATATGCAACCAACATTGGGTCACCTAAATATGTAAAGTAAATAATGAATCTGAAGGGAGAGATAGATTGCAATACAATAATAGTTGGAGACTTCAATACTTCACTTCAACATTGGATGGATCATCTAGACAGAAAATCAACATGGAAACATTGGACTTGAACACTTTAGACCAAATTGACCTAATAGATATTTATAGAACAATCTAGCTAATAACAACAGAATACACATTCTTTTCAAGTTCATACAGAACATTCTCCAGGATGGATCATATGTTAGGCTACAAAACAAGTCTTAACAAATTTTAAAAGACTGAAATCATACTAAGTATCCTTTTGGACAACAATGTCATGAAATTAGATATCAATAATAGGAGGAATCTTGGAAAAATCACAAATACGTGAAAATTAAACAACAGTCTCCTGAGCAAACAATGAGTCAAAGAAGGAATTAAAAGGAAAATTTAAAATATTTCAAGACAAACAAAAATGAAAACATAATTTATCAAAATTTATGAGATGAAGCAAAAGTGGTCTTTAGAGGAAAGTTTACAGCAAAAAAAAAAAAAAAAATGCCTGTATCAAAAAAGACTAAAGATCTCAAATAAACAGCATAATATTACACCTCAAGGTGTAATACAAGAGGAAGAACAAGAAGGACAAGGTAAGCCCAAACATAGCAGAAAGAAGAAAATAACAAAGATCAAACTAGAAATGACAAAGTAGAAACTAGAAAAGCAATATTTTAAAAATCAATAAAACCAAGTAGTTTCTTAAGAGATAAACAAAACTGGCAAATGTTTAGCTAAACTAAATAAAAAAGAGAAGGCATATAAATAAAATCAGATATGAAAGAGGGAAAATTACAACATACCACAGAAATACAAAAGATCATAAGAAACTACTGTGAACAACTAAACCTAACAAATTGTATAACCTAGAAGAAACGGAGTAATTCCTAGAAGCATGCAACCTACCAAGGCTAAATCAAGAAGAAATAGGAAATCTGAACAGACCAATCATGAGAAAGATTGACTAGTAAAAGTCTCTTATCAAAGCAAAGCCCAGAACCTGATGGCTTCATTGATAAATTCTGCCAAATATTTAAAGGAGAACTAATATGAATTATTCTCAAACTCTTCCAAAAAATTAAAGAGGAGGGAATACTTCCAAGCTCACTTTATAGGGCCAGTATTGCTCTGATTATCAAAGCCAGACAAGGATACTAGAAGAAAAGAAAAGTACAGGCCAATATCCCTGATGAACACAGATGCAAAAATCCTCAACAAAATACTAGCAAACCAAATTCAATAATATACCTAAAAAAAATTATTCACCATGATCAAGTGATTAATCTCAGGAATGCAAGGATGGTTCTGTATATGTAAATCAATGTAATACACCATATTAACAAATGAAGGACAAAAACTCCACGATTATCTCAAGAGATGCAAGAAAGTATTTGACAAAACTCAATGTCTGTTCATGTTAAGAACTCCAAAAAAGAAAAAAAAAAGATATACAGGGAATGTACCTCAACACAATAAAGGTCACATATGACAAACCCACAACTAACATCATACTCAACTGTGAAAAGTTGAAAGCTGTTCCTCTAAGATAAGGAAGAAGACAAGAATGCTCACTCTCACTATTCTATTTAACATAGTGCTGGAAGTCCTAGCCAGAACAATAAGGCAAGAAAAATAAATAAAATGCATCGATATAGGAAAGGAAAAAATGAAATTATCTTTGTTTGCTGATGACATGATCTTATATATAGAAAATCCTAAAGACTTCACTAAAAATCTGTTAGAATTGATAAACAAATTCAATCAAGTTGCAGGTTACAAAATCAATACACAAAAATTCATAGAATTTCTATACACTGTCAAGGAACTATTCAAAAAAATTAGGAAAACAATCTCACACATAATAGCATCAAAAAAATAAAATACTTAAGAGTAAATTTAACCAAGGAGTTAAAAGACCTGCATGCTGAAAACTATTAAAAAAAAAAAAAAGCCTAAAACACTGATGAAAAGCCCAGGTGTGATGGCTCATGTCTGTAATCCGAGCACTTTAGGAGGCCAAGATGGGAGGATCTCTTGAGGCCAGGAGTTTGAGACCAGCCTGGGCAACAAAGTGAGACCTCATCTTTACATTTTTAAAATTAGCTGGATATGGTGGTGCATGCCTGTAGTCCTAGCTACTCGGGAGGCTGAGGTGGGAAGATCACTTGAGCCCAGGAGGTCAAGGCTGCAGTGAACTATGATCTTACCACTGCACTCCAGCCAGGGTGACAGAGTAAGACTCTGCCTCTAAAAATTTTTTTTTAATAATAATAATAATTGAAAGAAATTAAAGAAGACACACATAAGTAGAAAGATACCTATATCCATGGATTGGAGCAATTAATATTGTTAAAATGTCCATACTGCTCCAAATGATCTACAGTTTCAATACCACTTATATCAAAATTCCAAGGTCATTTTTTACAGAAATAGAAAAAATAATATTAAATTTGTATGGGACCAGAAAAGACCATGAATAACGAAAGCAATACTGAGCAAAAAGAACAAAGCTGGAGGCATCACACTCCCTAATTTCAAAATAGATTAAAAAGCTATTGTAATCAAAACAGCATAATTTAAAAATAATAAAAACAGATACATTGACCAATTAAACAGGATAGAAAGCACAGAAGTAGTCCCAAGTATTTTCAGTCAATTGGCTTTTGACAAAGGTGCCAAGAACACAATTGGAAGAGAAAGGACAGTATCTTCAATAAATGGTGCTGGAAAAACTGAATATACACATGCAGAGGAATGAAAATGCACTCATATCTCACCCTTTATACAAGAATCAATTCAGAGGAGCCAAGATGGCCGAATAGGAACAGCTCCGGTCTACAGCTCCCAGCATGAGCAACGCAGAAGATGGGTGATTTCTGCATTTCCATCTGAGCTTTGAAGAGAGCAGTGGTTCTCCCAGCACGCAGCTGGAGATCTGAGAATGGGCAGACTGCATCCTCAAGTGGGTCTCTGACCCCTGACCCCTGAGCAGCCTAACTGGGAGGCACCCCCCAGTAGCGGCAGACTGACACCTCACACAGCCAGGTACTCCTCAGAGACAAAACTTCCAGAGGAACGATCAGACAGCAGCATTCACGGTTCACAAAAATCCGCTGTTCTGCAGACACTGCTGCTGATACCCAGGCAAACAGCGTCTGGAGTGGACCTCTAGCAAACTCCAACAGACCTGCAGCTGAGGGTCCTGTCTGTTAGAAGGAAAACTAACAAACAGAAAGGACATCCACACCAAAAACCCATCTGTACATCACCATCATCAAAGACCAAAAGTAGATAAAACCACAAAGATGGGGAAAAAACAGAGCAGAAAAACTGGAAACTCTAAAAAGCAGAGCGCCTCTCCTCCCCCAAAGGAACGCAGTTCCTCACCAGCAACAGAACAAAGCTGGACGGAGAATGACTTTGACGAGTTGAGAGAAGAAGTTTTCAGACGATCAAACTACTCCGAGCTACAGGAGGAAATTCAAACCAAAGGCAAAGAAGTTGAAAACTTTGAAAAAAAAAATTTAGACAAATGTATAACTAGAATAACCAACACAGAGAAGTGCTTAAAGTTGCTGATGGAGCTGAAAGCCAAGGCTCGAGAACTACGTGAAGAATGCAGAAGCCTCAGGAGCTGATGCAATCAACTGGAAGAAAGGGTATCAGTGATGGAAGATGAAATGAATGAAATGAAGCAAGAAGGGAAGTTTAGAGAAAAAAGAATAAAAAGAAACGAACAAAGCCTCCAAGAAATATGGGACTATGTGAAAAGACCAAATCTGCGTCTGATTGGTGTACCTGAAAGTGACGGGGAGAATGGAACCAAGTTGGAAAACACTCTGCAGGATATTATCCAGGAGAACTTCCCCAATCTAGCAAGGCAGACCAACATTCAGATTCAGGAAATACAAAGAATGCCACAAAGATACTCCTCGAGAAGAGCAACTCCAAGACACATAATTGTCAGATTCACCAAAGTTGAAATGAAGGAAAAAATGTCAAGGGCAGCCAGAGAGAAAGGTTAGGTTACCCACAAAGGGAAGCCCATCAGACTAACAGTGGATCTCTCGGCAGAAACTCTACAAGCCAGAAGAGAGTGAGGGCCAATATTCAACATTCTTAAAGAAAAGAATTTTCAACCCAGAATTTCATATCCAGACAAACTAAGCTTCATAAGTGAAGGAGAAATAAAATCCTTTACAGACAAGCAAATGCTGAGAGATTTTGTCACCACCAGGCCTGCCCTAAAAGAGCTCCTGAAGGAAGCACTAAACATGGAAAGGAACAACCAGTACCAGCCGCTGCAAAATCATGCCAAAATGTAAAGACCATCGAGACTAGGAAGAAACTGCATGAACTAACGAGCAAAATAACCAGCTAACATCATAATGACAGGATCAAACTCACACATAACAATATTAACTTTAAATGTAAATGGACTAAATGCTCCAATTAAAAGACACAGACTGGCAAATTGGATAAAGAGTCAAGACCCGTCAGTGTGCTGTATTCAGGAAACCCATCTCATGTGCAGAGACAAACATAGGCTCAAAATTAAAGTATGGAGGAAGATCTACCATGCAAATGGAAAACAAAAAAGGCAGGGGTTGCAATCCTAGTCTCTGATAAAACAGACTTTAAACCAACAAAGATCAAAAGGGACAAAGAAGGCCATTACATAATGGTAAAGAGATCAATTCAACAAGAAGAGCTAACTATCCTAAATATATATGCACCCAATACAGGAGCACCCAGATTCATAAAGCAAGTCCTGAGTGACCTACAAAGAGACTTAGACTCACACACAGTAATAATGGGAGACTTTAACACCCCACTGTCAACATTAGACAGATCAACGAGACAGAAAGTTAACAAGGATACCCAGGAATTGAACTCAGCTCTGCACCAAGCAGACCTAATAGACATCTACAGAACTCTTCACCCCAAATCAACAGAATATACATTTTTTTCAGCACCACACCACACCTATTCCAAAATTGACCACATAGTTGGAAGTAAAGCTCTCCTCAGCAAATGTAAAAGAACAGAAATTATAACAAACAGTCTCTCAGACCACAGTGCAATCAAACTAGAACTCAGGATTAAGAAACTCACTCAAAACCACTCAACTACATGGAAACTGAACAACCTGCTCCTGAATGACTACTGGGTACATAACGAAATGAAGGCAGAAATAAAGATGTTCTTTGAAACCAATGAGAACAAAGACACAACATACCAGAATCTCTAGGACGCATTCAAAGCAGTGTGTAGAGGGAAATTTATAGCACTAAATGCCCACAAGAGATAGCAGGAAAGATCCAAAATTGACACCCTAACATCACAATTAAAAGAACTAGAAAAGCAAGAGCAAACACATTCAAAAGCTAGCAGAAGGCAAGAAATAACTAAAATCAGAGCAGAACTGAAGGAAATAGAGACACAAAAAACCCTTCAAAAAATTAATGAATCTAGGAGCTGGTTTCTTGAAAGGATCAACAAAATTGATAGACCGCTAGCAAGACTAATAAAGAAAAAAAGAGAGAAGAATCAAATAGACACAATAAAAAATGATAAAGGGGATATCACCACCAATCCCACAGAAATACAAACTACCATCAGAGAATACTACAAACACCTCTACGCAAATAAACTAGAAAATCTAGAAGAAATGGATAAATTCCTCGACACATGCACTCTCCCAAGACTAAACCAGGAAGAAGTTGAATCTCTGAATAGAACAGTAACAGGATCTGAAATTGTGGCAATAATCAATAGCTTACCAACCAAAAAGAGTCCAGGACCAGATGGATTCACAGCCGAATTCTACCAGAGGTACAAGGAGGAACTGGTACCATTCCTTCTGAAACTATTCCAATCAATAGAAAAAGAGGGAATCCTCCCTAACTCATTTCATGAGGCCAGCATCATCCTGATACCAAAGCCAGGCAGAGACACAACCAAAAAAGAGAATTTTAGACCAATATCCTTGATGAACATTGATGCAAAAATCCTCAGTAAAATACTGGCAAACCAAATCCAGCAACACATCAAAAAGCTTATCCACCATGATCAAGTGGGCTTCATCCCTGGGATGCAAGGTTGGTTCAATATACACAAATCAATAAATGTAATCCAGCATATAAACAGAACCAAAGACATGATTATCTCAATAGATGCAGAAAAGGCCTTTGACAAAATTCAACAACGCTTCATGCTAAAAACTCTCAATAAATTAGGTATTGATGGGACGTATCTCAAAATAATAAGAGCTATCTATGACAAACCCACAGCCAATATCATACTGAATGGGCAAAAACTGGAAGCATTCCCTTTGAAAACTGGCACAAGACAGGGATGTCCTCTCTCACCACTCCTATTCAACATAGTGTTGGAAGTTCTGGCCAGGGCAATTAGGCAGGAGAAGGAAATAAAGGGTATTCAATTAGGAAAAGAGGAAGTCAAATTGTCCCTGTTTGCAGACGACATGATTGTATATCTAGAAAACTCCATTGTCTCAGCCCAAAATCTCCTTAAGCTGATAAGCAACTTCAGCAAAGTCTCAGGATACAAAATCAATGCACAATAATCACAAGCATTCTTATACACCAATAACAGACAATCAGAGAGCCAAATCATGAGTGAATTCCCATTCACAATTGCTTCAAAGAGAATAAAATACCTAGGAATCCAACTTACAAGGGATGTGAAGGATCTCTTCAAGGAGAACTACAAACCACTGCTCAATGAAATTAAAGAGGATACAAAGAAATGGAAGAACATTCCATGCTCATGGGTAGGAAGAATCAATATCGTGAAAATGGCCATACTGCCCAAGGTAATTTATACATTCAATGCCATCCCCATCAAGCTACCAATGACTTTCTTCACAGAATTGGAAAAAACTACTTTCAAGTTCATATGGAATCAAAAAAGAGCCCACGTCGCCAAGTCAATCCTAAGCCAAAAGAACAAAGCTGGAGGCATCACGCTACCTGACTTCAAACTATACTACAAGGCTACAGTAACCAAAACAGCATGGTACTGGTACCAAAACAGAGATATAGATCAATGGAACAGAACAGAGCCCTCAGAAATAATGCTGCATATCTACAGCTATCTGATCTTTGACAAACCTGAGAAAAACAAGCAATGGGGAAAGGATTCCCTATTTAATAAATGGTGCTGGGAAAACTGGCTAGCCATATGTAGAAAGCTGAAACTGGATCCCTTCCTTACACCTTATACAAAAATTAATTCAAGATGGATTAAAGACTTAAACATTAGACCTAAAACCATAGAAACCCTAGAAGAAAACCTAGGCATTACCATTCAGGACATAGGCATGGGCAAGGACTTCATGTCTAAAACATCAAAAGCAATGTCAACAAAAGCCAAAATTGACAAATGGGATCTAATTAAACTAAAGAGCTTCTGCACAGCAAAAGAAACTACCATCAAAGTGAACAGGCAACCTACAAAATGGGAGAAAATTTTCGCAACCTACTCATCTGACAAAGGGCTAATATCCAGAATCTACAATGAACTCAAACAAATTTACAAGAAAAAAAACAAACAACCCCATCAAAAAGTGGGTGAAGGATATGAACAGACACTTCTCAAAAGAAGACATCTATGCAGCCAAAAGACACATGAAAAAATGCTCATCATCACTGGCCATCAGAGAAATGCAAATCAAAACCACAATGAGATACCATCTCACACCAGTTAGAATAGCAATCATTAAAAAGTCAGGAAACAACAGGTGCTGGAGAGGATGTGGAGAAATAGGAACACTTTTACACTGTTGGTGGGACTGTAAACTAGTTCAACCATTGTGGAAGTCAGTGTGGCAATTCCTCAGGGATCTAGAACTAGAAATACCATTTGACCCAGCCATCCCATTACTTGGTATATATCCAAAGGACTATAAATCATGCTGCTATAAAGACACATGCACACGTATGTTTATTGCGGCACTATTGACAATAGCAAAGACTTGGAACCAACCCAAATGTCCAACAATGATAGACTGGATTAAGAAAATATGGCACATATACACCATGGAATACTATGCAGCCATAAAAAATGATGAGTTCATGTCCTTTGTAGGGACATGAATGAAATTGGAAATCATCATTCTCAGTAAATTATCTCAAGGACAAAAAGCCAAACATCACATGTTCTCACTCATAGATGGGAATTGAACAATGAGAACACATGGACACAGGAAGGGGAACATCACTTTCATGTGCGTCCGTGTGAAAAGACCACCAAACAGGCTTTGTGTGAGCAACATGGCTATTTATTTCACCTGGGTGCAGGTGGGCTGAGTCTGAAAAGAGTCAGCAAAGGGAGATAGGGGTGGGGCTGTTTTATAGGATTAGGGAAGGTAATGGAAAATTACAGTCAAAGGGGGTTGTTCTCTGGTGGGCAGGGGCGGGGGTCACAAGATGCTCAGTGGGGGAGCTTCTGAGCCAGAAGGAAATTCACAGGGTTAATCACTCAGTTAAGGTGGGGCAGGAACAAATCACAATGGTGGAATGTCATCAGTTAAGGTGGGGCAGGGCCTTTTCACTTCTTTTGTGATTCTTCAGTTACTTCAGGCCATCTGGGCGTATATGTACAAGTCACAGGGGATGTGATGGCTTGGCTTGGGCTCAGAGGCCTGACAATCACACTCTGGGGTCTGGTGGGGGGACAGGGGAGAGATAGCATTAGGAGATATACCTAATGCTAAATGACGAGTTGATGGGTGCAGCACACCAGCATGGCACATGTATACATATGTAACTAACCTGCACATTGTGCACATGTACCCTAAAACTTAAAGTATAATAATAATAATAAAAGAAAACCCTGCTCTTAGAGGGTTCATCATCTAGAAGTGAGAGGAAGATGTGAAAACAAAATTTTGTCATATGCTGTGGTCAAGTGTTTAAATGGAAGTATTAATAGGAATCTAAAGGAAATACATATGACTAAAATAAAAGAAAGTGAATTCAGCCCTGGGAGTAACAGAGACGTGCAAACAAGATGAGAGGCATTGTCTTGGAGCATAAACAATGTGGTCCTGGTTAGATACTGTACTTAAAATAATATTGTAAATATTGCAGATTTATGGGTTAAAGACTTTGCTGTTGTGGGCTAAGAATCTAACCAGTTCCAGACGACCAACTTTTAAACAGACTTTTGGAGTAGAGTTTCTAAATGTTCTTAAAGGTTCCTGTCAGGCCTTTGAGCCCAAGCCTGTATGTATACATGCAGATGGCCTGAAGCAAGTGAAGAATCACAAAAGAAGTGAAAATGGCCAGTTCCTGCCTTAACTGATGACATTACCTTGTGAAATTCCTTCTCCTGGCTCAGACACTCCCCCACTGAGCACCTCGTGACCCCCGCCCCTGCCTGCCGGAGAACAACCCCTTTGACTGTAATTTTCCACTACCTACCCAACTCCTATAAAATGGCCCTACCCCTATCTCCCTTTGCTGACTCTTTTTGGACTCAGCCCGCCTGCACCCAGGTGATTAAAAAGCTTTATTGCTCAAAAAAAAAAAAAAAAAAGAATCAATTCAAAATGAATTATACAAAAATTAGCTGGGCATGGTGACAGTTTCCTGTAATCCCAGCTACTGGAGAGGCTGAGGCAGGAGAATTGTTTAAACCCTGGAGGCAGAGGTTGCAGTGAGCTGAGATCGTCCCACTGCACTACAGCCTGGGTGACAGAGCAAGACTTTATCTAAAAAAAAAAAAAAAAAAAAAAAATGGATTAAAGACTTAAAAGTAAGACCTGAAACTGTAAGACTACTAAAAGAAAACATAGCGGAAAAACTTCATGACATTTGTCCAGGCAATGATGTCTTGGACAGGATTCCAAAAGCTTAGGCAACAAAAGCAAAAATAGAGAAATGGGATTGCATCAAACTAAAAAGCTTCTGCACAGCAAGGGAAACAATTTACAGAGTGAAGAGACAACCCATGAATTGGGAGAAAATATTTGCAAACCACACATCTGATAAGCGGCTAATATCCAAAATATATAAGAAATTCAAACAACTCCATAGTAAGAAAACAAATAACCTGATTTTAAAATGGGCAAAGGATAAGAACAGACACTTCTCAAAAGAAGACGTATGAATGGCCAACAGACATATGAAAAATACCAACATCTCTAATCATCACAAAAATGCAAATTAAAACTACAATGAGATATCATCTTACAGCTATTAGAATGGCAATTATGAAAAAGATGAATGACAACAAGTTTTGGAGAGAATATGGAGAAAAGAGAACCCTTGCACACTATTGGTGGGAATATAAATTAGTACAGCAACTTGGGGAAATGGTATGGAGGTTCCTTAAAAAACTAAAAATAGAATTACCATATGATCCAGCAATCCAACTTCTGAGTATATGTCCAAAGAAATTGAAATCAGTATGTTGAAGAGATGTCTGCACTTTCATGTTTATTTCAGCATTATTCAGGATAGCCAAGCTAGGGCAGCAACTTAAGGGTCCATAAACAGATAAATGGATAAAGAATATGTGGTGTATATATATACCCAATGGAATACTACACAGCCTTTAAAAAGAAGAAAATTGTGTCATTCATGACTACATGAATGGACCTGGAGGACATTATACTAAATGAAATAAGCCAGGCAAAGAAGAAAAATACTGTATGATTTCACCTATAGGTGGAATCTTAAAAAGTTGATCTAATAAAAGCAGAGAGTTTAAAAGGTTGTTACCAGAGGCTGTCGGAGGGTGGGAGGGATGGGGAAAGGAAAGATGTTGATCAAATGGTACAAAGTTTCAGTTAGAAAGAGGAATAAATTTTAGTAATCTATTGTACTGCATGGTGATCACAGTTAATAAATGTATCATATATTTCAAAATTGCAAAAAATAATAGATTTCTAATGTCCTCAGCACAAAAAGAAATAAGTTGATAAGGCGATGGATATGTTAATTAGCTTGATTGGATCTCTCTATAATGTATACATAGATCAAAACATCACACTGTAGCCAGGCATGGTGGTGCCCACTGTAATCCCAGCTACTCAGGAGGCTAAGATGAGAGGATCGTTTGAGCCCAGGAGTTCACTACCAGCCTGGGCAACATAGTGAAAGCTTGATACTCAGTCTCCAAAAAAATAAAAATCACATTGTAACCCAATAAATACACAAAATTATTTTTCAATTAAAAACAATTTAAAATGTTTTAAAATTTTAATAAGGAACTTCAATTTAAAAATAAGGAAATTTTGACACATGTTATAACATCAATAAACTTTGGGGGCATTATGCTAAGTTATGTAAGCCAGTCACAAAAGTACAAATACTGTATAATTCCACTCATAGGCAGTACCCACAGCAGTCAAATTCAGAGAAACAGAAAGTAGAGTGGTGGTTACCAGGGGCTGGAGGGGAAGGAGGAATGGAGAATTGTTTAATGAGCATAAAGTTTCAGTTAGCAAAGATGAAAAAATTTTGGAAAGGGATGGTGGTGATAGTTCCATAACAATGTGAATGTACTTAATGCCACTAAACTGTACACTTAGAAATGGTCAAAATGATAAATTTTATGTTATGTATATTTTATCACAATTTTTCAAAAAATCACCTTGGAAAGAAAAGCCCTTCCAAGTCAGGGAAGAGAAGATGAGGAACCGGGGTGTAGATATGGCAGGATGTTTTGGAGCAAAAAGAAGCAGCCACGCTAGAAAACTTGCTCTTCCAGGCTGAACCATAAAATAATGCATTTTAATGTGTTTGAGAGGCATATTTGAGCAACCAGTTGGGAGACCTAGGTTAAGTGGGTTCTTTACCTTACAGTCATGTGACTGAACAGATGTTGACGTGGAGGGCATTTTATGGATCTATGTTTATGGATCTATGTTTAATGATGATGCCTATAAGACATTAAATGCAAATTTCTTGATAGTAAAATAACTGGTTAAGGAAATTTCAACAAGATAATATGAGTTCCAGGGAAAACCATGGTATCAATTGGAGAAAGTGAGCAGATGGAGCTAGAATTCTGACAGGCACAACTGCAGGAGTGGCAGTAGCTGGCCTTGGGCACACATTGGATACAGCTGGAATCATTGCCTCTCTTACCCTAGAATGCTTCACCTGAAAGTGTCTGCCTCCTGATTTTGTTAGTGTTTTCAATAGGGAACTAAAGTGGGTAAATTTTGTAATAAGATGTGTTTTGAATTGCTATCCTATGCAAAGTGCCTTGAAAAGCTGGTTCTGTCTCACTAATATACACTGGTTTTGCAAGGAGAGATGTTAGCCAGTGGTTTTGAGACATCAAAACTAAGTGTAAAAACATCAATGAGCTGAATAAATTTATTGTTCACCTTAATGATGAAGTGACTCACAAAACCAGCTTATTTAGCAAGTTTCTTCTTTCAAGGTTGAATACACTCAATCAAAATCTGTAAAACAGTTGAGGTATATTATTAATAACCACACCAAGGCCTGATATTAATTATGGTGATGCCCAAGAGTTCAGTCAAACTGACACTTCAATTTGCTGACATTGCCTTCAGACAAAATAATCAAAGTGCCCCAATATCTGCAAAAAGCTTGATTTTGTTGTTGTTCTTCTTCTTCCATTGTCTTAGTACATAAGACTGGACTTCTGCTTCCAGAAAGATACAGTAGGTATGCTTTACACTAGTCTTCCTGCTAAGTATAGCTACAAACCCTGAAAATTACTTATAAAACAAACATAAGACTCTGAAAGGTGGTGAGAAGAAGACAAACTGGCTGGGGACTTCAGGACCCAAGGAATGACTCAGCAGGGAGCTCTTTGAATTTTCTCTTTGCCTCATATGTCCCACTGGGCGCTGGAGAAGCCAACAACCTGGAAATGTCAATGAATGTAGACAGAAAAAAAAAAAAATCTCTAAGTCAAAGCCCACACCCTCTAGACAAAGGAGCAGCTTAGCAAAATAGAAAACTCTAGAAAATAACTTCTCTCTCTTCCAGTCACATATCACAGAAAAACTGTGGTCCCACTCCCACCCCTACCAGCAAAGACTGAGTGGGGAGCCTAGACTTCCATTTTCACCAGACTACAATGAGATGTCCTATCCCCCACTAGTGTGGTGTCAGAAAAGGCCAAGTAGAGATCTGGGACTTCTATCTCTGCCAACTGTTAATAAGACTTCTCTGTGTGGTGTCAGTAGAGATAACATGGGGAGCCTGGACGTCCACCCCTGCCCAGTGGTATCAAGGTGCTCCTCCCACTTCCCACTTAAGTGGTATCAGAGGAGGCCTAGTGGAGAGCCAGGATTTTCACCACCACCCAGTTAATGAGGCCACTCCACTACCATTACCCTTGTTATGTTAGTGGAGGCCATCTGGAAACAAAGTATTTCTCCCTCTTCCCGCCCAGATGGTATCAGTAGAGGCCTAATGTAGAACCTGAACTCCTACTCCAACAGAGCAGTAACAAGCAGTTCTTGCCCCACTACAATGTCAGTTACGGCTGAATAAGGAAACTAGACTTTCTTTTTTTTTTAATTTTATTTATATATATATATATTTTATTATACTTTAAGTTCTAGGGTACATGTGCACAACGTGCAGGTTTGTTACATATGTATACATGTGCCATGTTGGTGTGCTGCACCCATTAACTCGTCATTTACATTGGATATATCTCCTAATGCTATCCCTCCCCCTCCCCCCACCCCACAACAGGCCCCAGTGTGTGATGTTCCCCTTCCTGTGTCCAAGTGTTCTCATTGTTCAATTCCCACCTATGAGTGAGAACACGCAGTGTTTGGTTTTTTGTCCTTGCGATAGTTTGCTGAGAATGATGGGAAACTGGACTTTCATTCCCACCTTACAGGAATGATAGGCCATTCTCTTTTCTCCACCAGAACAATGCCAGAAGAAGCTTATTAAAACAGTTGACTGAAATAAGATACAGGTTGGGTGTGGTGGCTCACACCTGTAACCCCAGCACTTGGGAGGCCAAGGTGGATGGACCACTTGACTTGAGGTCAAGAGTTTGAGACCAGCCTGGCCAGCATGGTGAAACCCCATCTCTACTAAAAATACCAAAATTAGCCAGGCATGGTGGAAGGCACCTGTACTCCCAGCTACTTGGGAGGCTGAGGCAGGAGAATCACTTAAACCCAGGAGGCAGAAGTTGCAGTGAGCCAAGATTGTGCCATTGCACTCCAGCCTGGGTGACAGAGTGAGACTCTGCCTCAGAAAAAAGAAGAAAAATAAAATAAAAGGAAAAGAAAATACAGAGTCTTGTAACAGTATACCTAAAATGTCCAGGTTTCAGTCTAAAATCACTCACCATACCAAGAACCAGGGAAATTTCAACTTGAATGAGAAAAAAACATCAACAGATGCCAGCACTGAGTTGACATTAGATGTTAGAATTATCTGACAAGGATTTTAAAGCAACCATCATAAAAATGCTTTGTCAAACAATTATGAACACATTTGAAACAAATTCTGCCAAAAAATTGACAAAATAGAAGATGTGAAGAAGAACTAAATGGAAATTTTAAAACTAAAAAATATGATAACCAAAAATTTAAAACTCAAAGGACTATATCAATAGAACAAAGGAGAACACAGATAAAAGAGCCAGTGAACTTGCTGAACAATAGAAAATACTAGATCTAAACACCAGAGAGAAAATTGACTGGAAAAAAAATGAACAGGATCTCAGGAGAGTGTGGAATTTTAATAAGAGATCTAACATTCATGCCATCAGAGTCATAGAAAGAGAGGAAAAAGAGAATGGGCTGAAAAAGTATTCAAACAAGTAATGGCTGAAAATATCTTGAATTTTGCAAAAGACACAAAATTATGAATTTAAGAAACCCAGTGAATCCCAAATGGGATAAACCCAAAGAAACCCACACCAAAACAAATTATAGTCAAAATTTCATAAAGTAAAGGCAAAGAAAATACTTTAAGCAGAGAGATACCTTACCTGCAGGAGTAAAACAATTCAAATGATAGTGATTTCTCATCAGAAACCATGAATGCCAGAAGAAAGTGGCACAATATTTTTCAAGTGCTGAAAGAAAACAGCTGTCAAACAAGAAATCTATATCCACCAAAAACATTCATCAGGAATAAAGAGGAGGCCGGGCATGGTGGCTCACGCCTGTAATCCCAACACTTTGGTAGGCTGCAGTGGGCAGATCACTTGAGCTCAGGAGTTTGATACCAGCCTGGGCAACATGGCCATTGTCCCTACAAAAATTACAAAAATTAGCCAGGTGTAGTGGCATATGCCTGTAGTCCCAGCTACTCAGGAGGCTGAGGTGGGAGGATGGCTTAAGCCCAGGAGGCAGAGGTTGCAGTGAACTGAGATCACACCACTGCACTCCAGCCTGAGCCACAGAGCCAGACCCTGTCACAGAAAAAAAAAAGAGAAAGAGGAAATCAAGATATTCTCAGATTTTAAAAACTAAGACAAATTGTAGCCAATCGACAGCCAATTGGCCTACCCTAAAAGAATTGTTAAATGAACTTAAACTTGAAGATAGAATAATAAGGAAATGTAGAAAGGAAATTGTGCAATAAGGAATCTTGGGATATCAGGAAAGCAGAAAGAACAATGAAAAGAATAAAAATATGGGCAAACCAAATAGACTTTCTTTCTCCTCTTGAGTTTTCTAAATTATGTTTGGTGTTGAAGGAAGAATTATAACCCTCTCTGATGTGGTTCTCACTGTATGTACAGGAAATATTTAAGACAATTATATTACAAATTATAAACTGTGGAAGATAAAGGAATATGAAGGGAGATAAGGTTTCTTACTGCTCAAATTGACAAATGTTGGTACCAATAGATTGTGATGTTATGTATGTATAATGTAATACCTAGAACAACCACTTTTTAAAAAACCTACACAAGGAGATATACTCAAAATACTACAATAATTCAAAATGAATTATTGACCGGGCACGGTGGCTCACACCTGTAATCCCAGCACTTTGGGAGGCTGAGGCGGGCAGATCACAAAGTCAGGAGATCAAGACCATGGCCAACATGGCGAAACCCCATCTCTACTAAAAATACAAAAATTAGCTGGGCATGGTGGCCCGTGCCTGTAGTCCCAGCTACTCGGGAGACTGAGGCAGGAGAATCGCTCGATCCCAGGAGGTGGAGGTTGCAGTGAGCCGAGATCATGCGACTGCACTCCAGCCTGGCAACAGAGCGAGACTCCATCTAAAAAAAAAAAAAATGAATTATTAAAAATGTTCAAGTAAACTACAGAAAGGTAAGAAAAAGAAAACAAAACGAAAAGAACACAAAACTAAAATGGCAGACTTAAGCCCTAACATATTAATAATTACATTAAATGTAAGTGATCTAAATACACCAAGTAAGAGAAGGAGATTGGCAAAATGGATGGAGACTGGCAAAATGCATTTTTTTTAGTGACCCAACTATGTAATGTCTATGAGGAACTCACTTCAACAATAACAATATAGGCAAGTTGAAAGTGAAAAGATGGAAAAAGAGATATCATGCAAACATTAATCAAAGGAAAGGAATGGCTACACAAATATCAGATAAAACACAATCAGAGCAAAGAAAATTACCAAAAATGGGAATAGAAATGATATAATGATAAAAGGATCAACCCACCAAGAAGACATAGCAATTCTGAACGTATATGCACCAAACAAAAAAACTGCAAAATATGTGATGCAATATATAAAAGGAATCATATATCACAATCAAATGGAATTTATTTCAGGATGTAGGACTGATTCAATATTTGCAAATCAATCAACGTAATTCACCATATTAACAGGCTAAATAAATAAATACAATATTATTTTCAACAAATGATGTTGGAGTAATAGGATATTCATAGGCTTAAAAAAGGAAACTTGACCTAAACCTTACGTAAAAAAATTGACTCAAATACATCCTAGACTTAAATGTAAAACATAAAACTATAAACACTTTTAGAAGAAAACATGAGAAAATCTTCTGGACCTAGGGCTTGATGAAGAACTCATCAAGTTTAATATAACACCAAAAGCACAATCTATACAGGAAAAAAGTAATAAATTGAACTTTATCAAAAATATGAAATTTTCTCTGAAAATGACCATATTTACAGGATAAAAAGGCAAGCTACAGACTGAGAGAAACTATTTTCAAACTACCTGATAAAGGACTAGTATCCAGGATATATTTTAAAACTCTCAAAACTCAACAGTGTATCACCTCATACTCATTAGGATAGCTACTATTTAAACAAACCAAACAACCAACAGACAAACAAACAAAAAACAGAAAATAAGTGTTGTCAAGGACGTAGAGAAACTGGAGCCCTTATATATTATTAGTGGTGATGTAATGTGGTGCAGCCTCTATGGAAAACAGTATGGAGCAAACATACATAGCATCAAAAAAATAAAAATAGAATTACCAGATGATGCAGAAATTCTACTTCTGGGTATATATCCCAAAAAAAACTGAAAGCAGAATCTTGAACAAATATTTGTAAACCCATGCATGTTATGGCAACATTATTCAAAATAGCCAAGAGGTGGAAGGAACCCACGTGTTCATCAACGGATGAATGGATAAAACATATTATACACACTCAGTATGTATAATACACACACAGTGGAATATTCTTCAGCCTTAAAAAAGAAGGAAATTCTGACACATACCACATAACACAACATGGATGAACCTTAAGGACATTATGCTAAGTGAAATAATCCAGTCACAAAAAGAAAAATACTGTATGATTCTACTTATATGAAGTATCTAGAGTAGTCAAATTCATAGAAACAAATAGTAGAGTGGTGGTTATCAGGGACAAGGGTAGGGAAAAATGGGTAATGGTTGTTTAATGCAGCAGTCCCCAACATTCTTGGCACCAGGGACCAGTTTCATGTAAGACAATTTTTCCAAGGACCTGGGCAGGGGCATGGTTTTGCCATGAAACTGTTGCACCTCAGATCATCAGGCATTAGATTCTCATAATTTAAGGAGCACATAACCTATATCCCTCACGTGCACAGTTTGCAATAAGGTTCACACTCCTATGAGAATCTAATGCTGCCCCTGATCTGACAGGAGGCAGAACTCTGGCGGTAATCCTTGCTCACCCGCTGCTCACCTCCTGCTGTGCAGCCCCAGTTCTTACAGACTGGTACTGGTCCATGGCCTAGGGGTTGGGAACCCCTGGCTTGATGGGTATGGAGTTTCCGTTTTGCAAGATAAAAAAATTCTGGAGATTGGTTGCACAACAATGTGAATATACTTAACACTAATGAATTATACATTTAAAACTGATTAAGATGGTAAATTTTATGTAATGTGTCATTTACCATAATGTTTAAAAAACTCAACAGTATAACAAACAAGCCAAGCAGAAAATAGATTTAAAAAAAAATATGAGGAGACATTTCACCCAAGAGACCATAAGGTAACAAATAAGCACATGAAACTTCAACATCACAAGCCATTGGGGAATGCAAATTAAACCAGAAGGAAATATCACTACACATCTAATAGGACAGTTAAAATTAAAAGAGTGACAATGCCAAATGCTGAAGATGCAGATAAATCTGACTTGTCATACATTGCTGATGGGGATGTAAGATGGTACAGTACTCTGGAAAATGGTTTGGAAGATTCTTTAAAAACTAAACGTACATTTAAACCATACAATTCAGCATTCATACTACTGGGCATTTATCCCAGAGAAATGAAGCATATTCACACAAAAACATGTACACAATTGTTCATAGTCAAAAATCAGAAACAACTGAAATGTTCTACAATCAGTGAATGGTCAAGTTAGTACACTCATACCTTGAAATCCCATGCAGCAATAAAAAGGAACTAAATATTAATACACAGTACAACTTGGATGGATCTCAAGGACACTATCTGAATGAAAAAAGACGCTAATCTCAAAAGTCTCAGAATGGATGATTCCACTTGTATGGTATTCTTGCAAAAACAAAATTATAAAGACAGAGAATGGATCCGTGGTTGCCAGAGGTTAGGAAGGGTCATGGGCTGGGTTCAGGGGAGTAATCATAAAGGAGTAGCATGAAGGAGACTTTTGTAGTGATGGAATAGTTATGTATCTTGATGGTGGTGGTGGTTACACAGAGCTATATTTGTGATAAAGTAAATACATAAAACTGTATATATTAATAGATCGATGGCTATATCCTGGTTTTGATATTATACCATAGTTACATAAGATGCAACCAATGGGAGAAACTGGGTGAAGGGTCCTCTAGACCTCTCTCTTTTATCTTTGCAACATCCTGCAAATCTATATTTCAATATTTTAAAAGGTTTTTGGAAAAATAAATAAGACTGATAGTGTATCTGAGACCTTTTCAGACTGCTGTATATGTCTAGTGAATTGGCCTCTTCACAAGATACACTTGCAGATGTTTCCTTGTAATGGTAACCTGAAAATCTTGCCCATGCCACCTCTTTGGCAAAATTCTGGGCATCTTTCCTTGGAGCTTATGCTGACATAGCTCATAAAGCAATAAAAAAACATAAACTGTTGTCATTTCTGCCCCTGTATCTATGCGAGCCTGAGTGCACATTGTGAGACCAAGGCAGAGAAAATAAATTGCCTCAATCTTGAAATTGATGGGCAGTGTCGATTCAATATATGTGTTATCTATTGGCAACAAAGTAACCCATACCACTAATACAATTGTGGTCTGCTACTTACATTTCTAATTGAAGGAAATGCTAAATTTCTGCTCCAGGTTACTTAAAACAGATTTGTATCTTTTTCCCAGCCAAGTTCACAAGATCTCTGAATTCTTACCTGAGGTTAAGAACGCTAGCGCTGAGGACTGTTTTAGCTGCATCCCACAAGTTTTTGATGTGTTCCTATTTTCATTTTTGTTCAGTTCAAAATATTTTCTTATTTCCGTTGTGATTACCTCTTTGACCTGAGGGTTATTTTACCTGAGTATTGCTTTGCATTTCCTTCCAACCCACAATATATTCCTTGCAAATGTGTTTTAGAGGCAATGTTCCACTGAGCTTGGAGAAAATGGAAGCTCCCCTTAAAAAGGTGACTTGCAAGCAAGCTGAAAGGTTGTTGAAGCCATGGCTAGAGCAGCCAGGACGAAGTGTAAATTTTATTGCTTTAAGATTTATCATTTTTCAAATGAGCAGTAACACAGGCTCCAGCTTCAAAGGCACAGTAGCTGCCTAGCAGGGAATCTGGGGCTTGGGGAAAGACTGTCAGGTTAGGAGAGGGTGCCCACAGCCAGTTAGCCATTTACACTGCTACCTACCTGGGCTTTGTTCTGCTTTCCTTCAATAAGTGAGGGGACCCTAGGGGATACCAAGGATCAGGCCTGGAAACTTCTAGCCAAGTAGGAGCTGTGACAAGTCCTAGTCGAACTTTCCGCCTTCAGCTAAAATCAAAAATACACATGGGGGAGGTGAGATGAAGAAGAATGGGGAATTAGACCGAGAAGATCAGTACTCACACCCAAACGGTCTACAAGAGTTTGGGCACAAACTGTCAACATACCAGGATAGGGAGAGTTTTGTCCTAAGTTTTGAAATTCAGGGTGTATTAATCAAGCTTCATTTGAGTTATGCAAGATAGATAAGTGTCGAAAACTAAAGAGATGGATTCAAAGGGGTTTATTTCCATTGCTTAACCCACTGTGTAACCTTGAGTACACACTTAAACTTTCTGGCCCTTGATTTCCCTATGTGTACAGAGAGGAAGTTGAAATACAGTTCTCTGAGGATGCTTCTCATTCTAAAATGACAGTGATGCTGCAAACTGCTCACTAGGTTGTGCAGCCCCTCTGAACCTCAGTTTGCTAGCTATTCTAACATCACTTGGCCTTGGAAAATTGCAGATTATCTAAAAAGGCAGGATTCGCACAAATACTCAAATGTGAATGCCATGCCATCAAACACATAGACCCACACAACTGGGACACATAAATGCTAAGCTATTCACCTTCACACACACACAAAATTTGCACATGCCCTCAACTTCACACTGACAGTGCCCATGCACTCATACACACACACACACACACACACACCCCAACAGCCTATGTTCTATACATCCTTATCCAACTTCTCAAATGTGGCCCTTGAAATAAGACATGGATGACACAGTATATGATCAGTTTGTGGGTGGAAGAGCAAACGCATTTTGCAACAGACTCAAGATTTCAAGGTTCTGCTGGGTTGGATGGCCAAAAAGATGAACTCCAGTCGAGATGAGTACAGAGTGGCCATATAATTTATTTACAAAATGGGTCACATTTAAGAATAAAAAGGACACAACTAAAAATGAAATGTCTGGAACTTGGTCACCCTAGATAGGTATAAAGCCTTGAATATGGGTTTAAAATATCAATTTCATGAGCATGGGGAAGCTGAGTGTAACAGCACCCACAACTGTGACATCCATTCAGGTACATGTTCTGGTTGAGAACATCAATTTTTATTTAAAAAATGTCTCATCTACTCTGCCAACTGTCAAAATATATGAATATTTGAGAAAATCTGCACAGCAGGTTTTTTCCAGAAAACACAACCTCAAACTCTCTGCTGCCCTTCTTTATCAAAAACTTTACTGAAAGAAATGATATTCATGATGGGCCGCCTGAAGGATGAATAATCCATCCATTCTTTTACCTAGTCTAAATTCTCCTCTTGGATAAAATTCAGTGCATTTTATCAGAAAGCCAGTATGGAAATTGCACTGTTCATTCCAGCCCCCTCTCCCATCATCTCCTTCTCTTACCCCAAATCACCTTTTTTTTTTTGAGATGGAGTCTTGCTCTGTCGCCAGGCTGGAATGCAGTGGCACGATCTCAGCTTACTGCAACCTCCAACTCCCTGGTTCAAGTGATTATCCTGCCTCAGCCTCCCGAATAGCTGGGAATACAGGCGCACACCACCATGCCCTGTTAATTTTTGTATTTTTAGTAGAGACGGGGTTTCACCGTGTTGGCCAGGATGGTCTTGATCTCCTAACTTCGTAATCTGCCTGCCTCGGCCTCCCAAAGTGCCAAACCACTTTTTAAATTGTGCGTTGGTGCTAGGGCTTTGGGATTTTCTCTTTAGCTTGCATTGGGACATTATAAGAAACAGCTATATGATACCTGCTACTAGACTGAACATGGAGGTATGGCCTGGAAGTGGTGCACCACAGTGTCTTACTGATGAAGACCAATGGGAGAAATTTTCAGATCTCAGTATCAGAATATGCTGGGATGATCCTAAACAATTGATTTATTTAAAAATGGATGAGTACCGTACATTTTTAAGATTTGGTTTCCCCTTTTTGCTTTGGATTCTGGGAAACTCAGAGCTAAATTTGCAGCCCACCTCTAGCAACTGTACTAGACCACATGGTCTCTGTATTTCTGAGTATCTCATGGTGTGTAAGTCAGTTTGCCCCAGGTGTCACAGGCATTATAGTAGATGCTCCATTATTCATTTCAGCCCCCATGATTAATCTAAGCCAGCCATGGGAAGTCCATTCCCCTTGTCCATAATTGGTTTGGGAGTGGAAAAGGGGCCCATTCCTGGCCAATAAGAATTAGTGAAGGAAAGTCTGCTTGGGGCATCTGGGAAGTTTCTTTTTCCTTCCTAAGAAAATGTGGTCTTTTTCCTTCCTTTAGGCATCATGATGCTGGCATATGATCCCTAAAAATGCTGACAGCCTGAGGATAAAGAAAAAAATGACAGAGCAGAGATAGAAGAAACCTGGGTTCCTGGGCCATCCCCCTGGAGTTGGTGTGCTTTAATGCACTAACGGGTTAATGGAGTAATGAGTTATCACGGGAGTTATTATGAATGGGTTGTCACAGAAGGGATCTTGAGAATGGATCTGCTATAAAAGCCTGGTTAGCTCTTTTGTGAACCCCTTTGCTATATGATGCCCTGGGTCACCTTGGGACTCTGCCCACTAGCAAGACCCTCACCAGATGCCACTGCCCAATCTTCGACTTTCCAGCTGCCAGAACCATAAACCAAAATAAACTTCTTTTGTTTATAAATTACCCAGTTCCAGGTATTCAGTTATAGCAACAGAAAACAGACTAAGACATCCTGTTATGTAAGACAATAAAAGATAATAAATGAGCTAATTGTTTAACACTTATAGCTAGAACCAGCCTGACTGACACATGCTGGCTTTATTATTTTTCCACCTCTTTTTTTCTTTGAACTTCATCTCTCAAGTTAATGTTCTATCATTCTGAATTTTAAGTATTTTTACAGGTCACTAAAAATCTTATGTTGAATGAGACTAAAAGGAAAAGATATATACACAAACAGGCAGATTGATTAATAGCAGAAGACCTGGGTTTTCCGTGGATGTGAATCAATGCCCTGATCCAACTGCTGAAAGAGCTAGTATGGCCAACAGCTACCCAAATGAAGCTGTCACTCATTTATTAAGTACCCACTGTTTGCCAGGCCTGTTCTGGGCACTGAGGCCACATCCATGAACAAAGTAGATAAATTATCTCCTTTAGAGATAGATAATAAACATATAACAATAAACAATATAATTTCAAATAATAAAAGATGCAAAGAAGATGAGCAGGGTAAAGGGAGAGAGAAAGATGGATTAATAGAGTTATTTTAGACGGGGTAGTCAAGGAAGTACCTTTTGAGGAAAAGATTTCTGAACTGAAACATGAAAGAAAAAAAGGAAAAAACTATGAGACTCCCTAGAGAAAGAAAATTCCATGTGATAGGAACAGCAAGTGCAAAGGCCCCTCAGTGGGAGGTAATTTGACACATTAGAACAGTGTTTTTCAAATAATGGTCCAAAGCCCACTGGTGGTTTGCAAAATTGATGTAATGGGTCAAGATCAGCATTTTTTAAGGGTGTTAGGTTTTTTCTTTTTTAAAGGTGTTTTCAATTGACAAAAATTGTATACATTTGTGGTATACAATATGATGTTTTTGATGCATATAAACATGTGAAATTATTACATCAAGCAAGTTAACATATCCATCACCTTATATGCTTATTTTTTGTGATGAGGACATTCAAGATCTACTCCCTTAGCAATTTTCAAGTATACAATACATTAACTATAGTCACTGTATTAGTCCATTTTCACGCTGCTGATAAAGACATACCCGAGACTGGTAAGCAAAAGAGGTTGGGTTTAATTGGACTTACAGTTCCATATGGCTGGAGAGGCCTCAGAATCATGGCAGGAGGCGAAAGGCACTTCTTATGTGGATGCGGCAAGAGAAAATGAGGAAGGTGCAAAAGCAAAACCCCTGATAAAACCATCAGATCTCATGAGACTTATTCACTACCACGAGGACAATATGGGGGAACCGCCCCCATGATTCAAATGATCTCCCACCAGGTCCTTCCCACAACACGTGGGAATTGTGGGAGTACAATTCAAGATAAGATTTGGGTGGGGACACAGCCAAACTATATCAGTCACCATGCTGTACAACATATCTCCAGAACTTATTTTATCCTGTCCAACTGAAACTTTGCACTCTTTGACCAATATCTCTCCATCCCCCAACCCCAGCCCCTGGCAACCACCAGTGTACTCTCTGCTTCTATGAGATTGACATTTTTAGCTTTGACATATAAGTGAGATCACACAGTATTTGTCTTCTGTGCCTGGCTTATTTAACTTAGCATATTTTTCCAGGTTCAGCCATGTTGTCACAAATGACAGAATTTCCTTCTTTTGTAAAACTGAGTTGTGTTGTGTGTGTGTGTGTATGCACGTGCATGCACACGCCACATTTTTAATCCATTCACTCATTGATGGACATTTAGGTTATTTTTATATCTTGGCTACTGTGAATAATGCTACAGTGAACATGGAAATGCAGATATCTCTTTGATATACTCATTCCATTTCCTTTGGGTAGATACCCAGAAGTGGGATTGCTGTAGTTCTATTTTTTAATTTTTTAGGAACCTCCATACTGTTTTCCATAATGGCTGTACTAATTTACATTCCCACCAACATTGTGCAAGTGTTCCCTTTTCTCTACATACTCTCCAACACTTATTATTGTCTTTTTTGTAATAGTCATTATAACATGTGTGAGGTGATATTTATTGTGATTTTGATTTGCATTTCCATGATGATTAGCAATGTTGATTTTTTTCATATTACCTGTTGGCCATTTGTATGTCTTCTTTTGAGAAATAGCTATTTAAGTCTTTTGCCCATTTTTAAATTAGGGTTTTTTTTTTTGCTATTGAGTTGTATAATTTCCTTATATATTTTGTTAGAATATATATATCTGGATACATGTATATCAGATACATGATTTGCGTATATATTCTATCATTCCTTAGGTTGTATCTCCTCTCTACTGATTGTTTCCTTTGCTGCACATAAGGATTTCAGTTTGATGCAATCCCGTTTGTCTATGTTTGCTTTTGTTGCCTGTGCTTTTAGGGTCAAAAAAAAAAAAAAAATCATTGCCCAGACCAATGTCATAAAGCTTTTTCTCTATGTTTTCTTCTAGTAGTTTTACCTTTTAGGTCTTATATTTAAGTCCTTAATCCATTTGAGTTGGTTTTTGTGTATGATGTGAGATAAAAGTCCAATTCATTCTTCTGCATTTGGCTATCTAGTTTTCCCAACACCGTTCATTGAAGAAACCGTCCTTTTCCCATTGTGTGTTCCTGGCACTTTTGTTGAAGATCAACTGACTAAATGAATGAATTTATTTCTGGGCTATTTACTCTGTTCCATTGGTCTATATGTTCATTTTTATGCCAATACTATGCTGTTTGAATTACTATAACTTTGTAATATAATTTGAAACTAGGTAGTGTGATACCTCCAGTTTTGTTCTTTTTTCTCACAATTGCTTTAGCTATTCAGTGTCTTTGTGGTTTTATATAAATTTCAGGTTTTTTTTCTATTTCTGTGAAAAATGTCACTGGATTTTGATGGGGATTGCATTGAATCTGTAGATCACTTTGAATAGTATGGACATTTTAACACTATTAATTATGCCAATCCATGAACATGGGATATCTTTTCATTTATTTGTACCTTCCTTAATTTCTTTCATCTATGTTGTATAGTTTTCAGTGTACAGATCTTTCACTTCCTTGGTTAAACTTATTCCTAAATATTGTATTTATTTTCATAGCTATTATAAATGGAATTGTTTTCTTGATTTCTTTTTCATATAGTTGTTCGGTTCTTTTTTATAACTTCTATATCTTTCTTAAATTTCTAATTTTGTTCATGTATTGTTTTCCTGATTTCACTTAGTTGTCTATGTTCTCTTGAGCTCGCTGAGCTTCATTAGGACGATTATTTTGAACCCTTTGTCAGGGAGCTCATAACTTTTCATTTCTTTATGGTCTCTTATTTCTTTGATGGTGTCATATTTCTTGGGTTATTTGTAATCCTTGTGGTCATGTATTGGTTTCTGTGCATTTGAAAAGCAGGTACCTATGACAGTCTTTACAGACTGGGTTTGGTAGGGAAAGCCCTTCACTGGACTACTGGTCCAGAGATTTTAGGTTGGCTGTCTGGTAGTGTCTGCAGGCAGGTTTGCTGCTGGAGCCCTTGAGAAGACTGGCCTGGTACCTGAGTCAGCAAGTGCACGGGCCAAGAGCCTGGATCCTCAGGAGCTGACCTGGAGCCTGGATCCACAGAGGACAGTCTGGCTCCAGGATCCACTAAGGAGGACCTGCAAACTGGATCTTTGGGGGCTGACCTGACACCAGGATAGGCCTGGTGTGCAGGTCCATTGGAATAGGCTTTAAACCTGAGTCTGCAGGGCCCAGCAGGGTGCTGGAGCAGGCTTAGAGTGGGACTGGCCTAGAATCTGGGTCCATGGGGACTGGAACAGCTCTGGACCCTGAGTCCAAAAGAGCAGGCCTGGACCCTGGGTTCACTGGAGCCTAGGGCCTTGGGGACCAGCCTGGAGCCTGTATCTGGCCTGGAGCTAAAGAAGGCCTGGAGTCTGGATCCATGGATGCTAGCCTGGTACCTGGCCTGCAGGGTCTTGCCTTGAGGATGTGTCTTCAGGGCCTGTCCTAGAGCTTGGGACCACAGTGGCCAGCCTAACACTTTGGCAGCCCTGGAGGCTGGATGCACAGGGACCAGTCCAACATCATAGTCTACTGCAGTAGGCTTGGACCCTGGGGCTCCTGGATTATAGGGCTGCAGGGACTGGCCTAGCATTGGGTGTGCCTGGGGCCTGTATCCATGAGGCTGGCCTGGTGCTTAGGGCCACAGGTGCCAGCCTGGAGCTGGGGTCCATGGGTACAGGCCTGGTGCTGGGGTCTATGGAGGAAGGGTCCACAGGTAAGAACAGCATTTTTAAAAAATGAAATAAAATAGAATAGGACAAGGTACATTGTGTCCAGTAAAGATTAATATATTATTTTGTGACACTTTTGTTTTGGGTGCATATAGGTGTAGTTAACTGGGCAGAATGTAAAATGAATTTCTTACTCTGAATTGTGGTTTAAAAAAAAAGAAACCCACTGTAAGAGAAGAACAGGGAAAAGCTGGTCTCTGGAATACAGTAAACTATGGGGAGAATCATGGCATTGAGAGTTCTGCAGGACAAAAAGATCCAGACCAAAAGAAGTGGCCAGAGCGGCAGGAGGGAGGGAAAAGGCAGATGAGCATAAAATCGTGGAAGCTAGGGAAGAAAGGGTTTGGCACAGCAGAGGCTCCCAAAAGGGGTAACATGAGAGTGAGGGATGAACATGGAGGTCATGAATGAGCTGGATGAAAATGATGACCCGGAGTGACTGAGAACAAAGCTTGGGTGGAGAGCATTAAAAAGAGGATGGAAGGTGAAGAATTGGAGTCAGCAACCAAAGACAGTCTTTTGAGAAGGTTTGGTCTTGCGAAGGAACAAAATAAATGGCGTGGGTGCTGGAAGAAGAATGATGCCACTTGGGAAGCAGTAACTGACCATTCCCCACTTGGCTCAGTCCCAATCAGGCCCCTTCAAGATCATTCTTCTTTCAGTTTCAGGCCCCACATCCTATAGAGACAAGACAAATTAGGAAGAATCATCAAAACAACTCTTTTACAAACCATGTCATCTCCCTAAGGACATAGGATAGGTAGGTTTTACAGTGGAGAAAAGATAATGTTGGAAGAGTGTGTCACTTTTGCCTTAGAGCCAGATAGAAGTCTGGGACCACAACACACTGGCCAAATGACCTTGAGCAAGCCGCACACCATATCTGAGACTTGTGCTTCTCGGTATTAATAGGACAATAACAGACATGTTGCAAGAAGAGATCGCATAGAGAAAGGGCTCCTATATGTGTGAGGGACACATAGCTAAGTGTACAATAACAATACATGCCCCTCACCCTGACAATATCACCCTGGCAGTATCAATGCCTTTGTTGGGGCTATGGATATAAGGGGCAAGTGCATGGCACACAAGATACCCCAGAGCCAAGAGGAGGAGTGAACAGGCAACAAAACCCACCTTCCCATCCCCACAGAAGATGAAGTCTTCTTAACTAGATCAGGCGAGTCACTCAAGGTCAGGGCCTTCCCCTGGATATACATGCACACTGACTGTAGGATCAAGCCCGGCTCCTCATCCCAGCATCCAAGCTCTCTCCAGTCTGGCCCACAACCTTGCAAAATTGCATCATGACTAAGAGCAGCTCTGAGTCATCAGCCATGATTTCCCAGGTTTGTCAAATCCCTGGGCCCCAGAATCCCTATCTGCACAAGGTGGGGATAATCATCTCAGGGTGGGGGTGGAGTGAGGATCAAATCAGGTAGCTTGGATAAGACACTGGGCACAGTGCAGGTACATAGTAAGTGCTTAATAAATACATTTGAGTGTTCTGCCTCTTCAGTCATTCCTTCCATTCACGCTTGGCTTCCCCTAAATTAGCCTTCTCACCCTCACCCAAGCCTGCCAGAGCTCTTGGAAATGCTGTGCCTATGTCTCTGCTTGGTCCTCTTTGGTGGGGTTGTCCCTCCTCCCAATTTCCTGCTCCTTTTTAGTCCTGATTCTAATGTCACCTCCTCGGAAATGTGTTCCCTGACTCCCTAGGTGTTTTATTGCTCTCAAAACACTTTGCTTATACCTCCATTATAAGGCATTTTGACATTGTATTATAAGTAATTCTTTATACATACACCGCCTCACCCCTGGGCTAGATTCTTTGAGGGCAAGAACTGTATCTTATTTATCTCTGTACCCTCAATGCCTTGCACAAAAGAAGTGTTCAGAAGATACATGGTGAATGCATCAATGCAAAAGTACATGAATATGGATGGACAGACGAACAGATGGATGGGCAGTGGGCAATCTTCCTGTCCACTTCAGCCCAGACTTCAACCCAGCTCTTCCCCAAGTATCTCAGGCTGGCACAAAACCCAGGCAATCACTCAAGTGAACAGTAACATAGCACAGCTCACCTGGACTGGAAAGAAACTGTGGACTCAGAAACCTGAGGTGTAGAATTTTGAGGATCTCTTGGGGCCAGAGAAAACCACTTAGGAAGAGCCAGGCTCCTCACAAACCTGCCAGGAGCCTCAATGGGAGAAAATGATTTAATTATCGGAGTGTCACCAAACAAATTGTAAGCCTCATTTTGGGGTACTTAATGCTTATGGTAATTAACATTACGAAGATTTTTCTTTTCTCTTCTGTTTATATTTGGTTTAGCCATTCACAATACAGCTAAAATTATTTCGACTAATTTTAGGAGCTCTTTCTACATTGCCCCTGTGTTTCTTCCCCAGCACTGCTACCCAAATGCAATCTTTAACTTCAGAGACAGCCAAATGCAGGACAAATTGGAATCAATGCTGCCTTTGTCTTCGCTAATAAGTGGCTGCCACGCAGAGGAGTGTGGAACTGCTAATTGGCTGATCTCAACAGGGAAGAGACAATGGTCGCGAGAATGCTGGGAGATTAATTATAGGGCCGCCTTCTGCGAGGCCTGGCTTCCGCTGCTCCTGGCTCGCGATGCAACAAGGGTGGGCCTCTCCACCCATCTTTAGAAACAGCAGCCTCTCCAGCTGGAATTCTCCTGCACTGGGGATTCAGACCACACACCCAGCACACACAAAGGTCAAGGAAGAGGAATGTGGGAGTGGAGGGGGGGAGACTTCAAATTCACAAAGGAAAGCACCAGAGTGTGTGTGCTGGAGGGTGGGAATGAGGGAGCACTCACTGGGATGTGAAGCTCTGTGCACCTGCTCGTGAGGGAGGCACGATCATCCCCCAACACATGACGAAACTGAGGCCTCAAACGGTGAGAAAACTAAAGGATCAAGCTTGCTCAAGTTATATCAGGTTAGCTCCTAAAAGGAGGCAACAGTTCCCTCTTAGAAGCAGCCAAGCTACAAGTAAAGACTCCTCTGAGCCTGGATTTGAACTCAACTTTGTCTGATTCCAGAGCCCATATTCTTTGCACTCTCAAAAGCTCTCCTTCACCATTAGTCTGTGGCCTCTGAAACCTGATTTCCTTGTCTTTGGGGTAAAGGGTTACCTCTGAAATGTCCTCATTAAAATGCAAATATATCTGCAGAGTGGAGGAGCGAAGGCATCTCTTAGCCCAGATTTGCTGTTTAAATGAAGCACCTGACACCAGGGAAAGCAGATTCTTCAAGGAATGAGTAACATCAGTTTTGATAAGGGGAAGGGGAACTGCCAAGAGACAGCAGGGCCACATGGAACTCAGTGGTTGTCTTGGGAATGGGATGGGGAAGCCCAAAGTGGTGGCATTTGGAAGGAAAACACCAAAGGGATTGCTTCAAAGGCAAACTGGGCTGAGTCCAATAATCCCAAATCAAATTTGGTGTTCTCTTCTCAAAAGCCACAGTCTCTCCCGGATGCCACATCTCTGTTGCTCCACCTGGAAGCCTGGGACAGCTCCTCCACTCCCTGCTCTCTGCACCCCAGAATCAACCATTTGACTCTACCTTCAAAGCATGTCCTCTCCTTCCCATCCTTCTGGTCCTTATTGGCTTATGCTTGGCATTTTCCCCATGTCAAGGTAAAATTGCACCAGACACATTTTTTTTTTAATGGCAAGACAGATTTTATTTGGGCTACTGCACTGGGGGAGAGACACTTCATGCAGGATTGAACTCATCAACACAGTAGGGGCAACTGGGGATTTATAGCTAAAGGGGAGGGTGAGGGAGTGAATGAATAGGAAATTACTAAGAGGAACTTGGTTCAGAGCAAGGACCGGGGAGGGATTCTTGCTAACATGCCTTGATGGGATTCTTGCTAAAACTAGGTTCTGCAGGCTAAGGATGAAACCTAATTGAGAAGAAGGCTTAAAGGAGCCTGACTAAAGTTTGGTCAAGGAGGGAGTCCCTGTCAGCCATCTCTGGGACCTCTGCCTCCAGGCTCACTCCTCTGGTCCAGGCTCATACACAGTCAGAATTTGCCCAAAACTCAGTACTGATGTTATTGCTTTCCCACTTGACACCCTGCACTGGCCCTCGCATTGTCCTCAGGATAATGTACATACTCCTAGGCGGATGGGCCACAAAGGCCATTCAATCATAGCCAGAGAATCCCAAGAAAACCTGATCCAGAAGGAGGAAAACTTGTCTTCGTTCATTTTCTGTTACTTATAACCCAAAACTGAGTAATTTATAAAGAAAAGGAATTTATTTCTTACAGTTATGGAGGCTGAGAAGTCCAAGATCGAGGGACTGCATCTGGTGAGGACTTTCCTGCTGGTGGGAACTCTCTGCAGTCCTAAGGTGGCACAGGACATCACATAAACAGGGGGCTGAGGGTGCTAGTGCTGGTCTCTCTTCCTCTTCCTGTAAAGCCACCAGTCCCACACCCAAGATAACCAGTGAATCCATAAATAGATTAATCCACTCATGAGGGCAGAGTCCTTACGATCCAATCACCTCTTAAAGCCTTCGCCTCTGTATGCTGCCACATTGGAGATTGTTTCAACATGAGTTTTGGAGGGCACAAACATTCAAGCCGTAGCAGAACTTTTTAGTGTTCATTCCTGATTCTACCAGGGTTCTAAACCTAGAAGGGTTAAACACACCCGAACAAAACCCTCCCTTGCAATTATCTCATGGTGCGATAACAAGACTCTTCAGCCTTTCCAAAACTTTTTCTTGTGCTTTATCTCCTTGGTTTTTACAACCTCCCTGAAAGGCAGAAAGTTTCATCACCATTTCCCAGATGAGGAATCAGAATGAGCGTGGTGAAGTGACTTGTTCAGGTCACACAGCCAAGAAGTGAGTTCAACCAGCATCCAAACCTCATCTTTGGTGCAACATGACATTGTAATTGCCCCAGTCCCCCTCCTTGATTGTAGGCTCAGTGAAGAGAGGTAGCATGTCCATTTGGTTTACCTCTTTGTCCCCATACTTGGCAATGTCTGGGACATAGGAACACTCAATGGAAAAGGTCATGAAATCACTATCATTTGTTGAGGACTTTACCTTGTACTAGTACTGGGCTGAGTTCATTAAAAGGTCATTCTTTGCCTCAATGCTTGATAGTACTACACTATAATCAATCCCATTTTACAGATGTAAAAGCAGAGGCTCTGAGCAGTTAAATAACTCGCTCAGGTGGCACAGTTAATAAAATGATAGAGCAGAGACTTTCACTATGTCTGTTGACTGCAAAGCCCATACTCTCTATTGCTTAATAACTGCTGTGTGAATGAGTGAATAAATGAAGGACTTCAGTTCTTGAGCTCTTTCCAGCATGCTTTGCTTTTATCTGAGTAACTACTTCCTCACTTTCCTCCACAACCTGACCTCAGGGCTCAGCTGAATGTAGACACTTTGCAAGCAAAAAAGAATTCCCAAATATTAATGCTCATAGCTAATGTTCTTTGGTAAAGATAATTTCAATGTTTTAAGATATTAATGTTCTTTTGACTGGTCTCCTTTCTAAGCACTTCTGAGTAAACACATCTATCTAAGGCTGATTGATTCTTGCAATTGCGCTATTACAACCTAAACTAGGACATTCTGAGTCACATATTCAAAAGCAGAAATGGTTCAGGGTATGTATGTGTGAGTGTGTGTTAATATTTTTTTAAGTTTCCTTTTGTGTTCAACTCGAGAGAAATATTTGAAATTCAAATAATGAGGTATTCATAGTGAGTTTGCTTTCCTTATGCCCAGGGTAAAAATAAAATAAAATGCTAGACCTTTTTCTTGCTGCATTACATGGTGCTGACTTTCCTTTCTCATTATGTTTACCTCCAAAATTTGAATGGGAATAAAATTTAAAGGAATTACCACAATTCTTCAGTACATTTGCAAATCAATTAAGAGAAGCCAAATTATGCTCCTGTTTTTTTCGGGGAGCCAGTCTTCCCCAGCTCACAGAAAGCTACAGCCCACAGCTGCCTGGCAAACAAAGAGCAGCTGTCACATCTAGAAGTAGGTTTGGCATTTCAACACTCACCTCCCGCAGCCAATGCCACCCGCTGCACCAACCTCTCCACAGGCAGCTCCACGTACCTGCTAGGAGCTGGGTCCCCCATGGGGTGTTAATAGTGCCAGAAAAATACACACTGTCTTTAGAGTCAGACAGACCCCCAGCCACGCAGTCCCCACTCTGCCGTCTCCTTGCTGTGTGGCCTTGGCCAAATCACTTCACCACTCTGAGCCTCAATTCTTCGGCTGCCAAGTGGAAACAATAGCACCTCTCCCAAGGTTGTCCTGAGAATGTGAGGATGTGATCAGTCTAGAACACACCCCCACCTGCTCAGCACACTGTGGGCTCAGCCAGTGGGGTTTACCTTCCTGTGTTCACGCCCTCTGGGGCCCAAAAAATCTTCTGGGCCCTCTGGGGGAGGGGGTGCTAGGACTGTTCGCTTTATCCTGCAGATCCAGCTCCACTCCTCCTCCCCTGCCCTCTTCCCTGAGAGGCTGAGTCACTCCCATGAGGCACCTCCGAGAATTCCTGTGACCTCTGGTTCCCTTGAGTTTGACTACATGGAGCCCCCGGATGAACTCAGTGGGAGGGTGGAGTGTGAGGTCATGTGTGTATCACCCCCTCCCTGTGGGGTGGCCTTGTGCTGACTGAGTCCTTTCACTGAAGTTCAGCCCCTTCAGTGGGCTACCCTAGACTCGCATCCAGACCTGGCAACTGCTCCCTTTCCTCATCCCTTTAGGCCTAGGGATGTCAGGCCCAGCTTTAGCTCAGCTGTCACCAGCCCCAGGATGCTGCATGCTATGTGGTTCCCACCCCCTGCCCACACCTTTATAAATGGTCCCATTACGAAGCCGTTCTCCAATTATCCTAACATGGAAGGCCATCTGTTTCCTGCCAGAGCCCTGATGGCACTTCTCCTCCCTTTTTCTCATTCCCTTGGAGTCATAGGATGGAAAAAGGAGTTCCAGCAAGATTTGGGAGTTAAAATGTCACCTCCTCCAAGAAGCCCTGCCAGATTGCAGCTATACCATCACCTCTTCTTAATTCCCTCTGAATTATGGGAACTTTACTCCCTATTATAGTAACGTATGCCCACATTTTCCTTCTCCAAAATAACAAAATACCATGACAGCAGGGAAAAATCATGATGCTTCTTTGCAATTTCTATTTCAGCCAAACAGAATTTGTGATTTTAGCTGACTTTCCTCCAGGCCTTTACTCATGCTGTTTCTTCTCATCGGAGGCACCCCCAACTCCACTTTAAAATGGATAAGCTCCCCTACCCAGATCAGCTATGGCTTTACAGCTGCAGATTCAGGTGCGTGGAAGATGCCCCTCTTTGTGTTTTTCTTTGGCCCAATCTAAATTGACTGCAAGCTGAGGCAGAGGACTGATGTGGAAATCAGCTCATCTTGGAACAGTTGAGAGCAGCTGATGCCATAGGCCCCAAGGTACCTCCCTGGAGAAAATTTGTCCTGGAGAAGGAGGCCCCAGAGCATGAGGTTTGGGCTCTGTGACCTGGACACTGAGGAAGCTCCCAGAAAGAGACTAGGACCCATGCAGAAGAGCATGCAAAAGAGGACTGGGTAAGCCCAAGAGATGAAGTTATGGGATGGAGCAGCAGAGCCCTGATGAGGGGGCATCCATTTAAGCCCAAGTACTAGGGCAGGGCCTGGTGCAGTCCCAAGCCCAAGAGAGACCCCTCTGGGGAGGGGAGAGAGGGTTTGGGAAGAAGGACAGAGTGCTGCAAGCCATTGAGCTTGGCCTCTCTCCTCTCTGGACCTCAGTGTTCATCTGTGAATTAGACAATTCTGAGTAGGTGACTCTCAGGGATCCTTGCAATGCTAACATTCTGGGATCGTAGAGGGAGGGTGGGCACAGCACAGAAGAAGGTGTGGCTAGCAGGGCCAAAACACCTAAGAAAGTGTCACTCCCTCCCAGCCCCCACCCAAGCAGCCAGGTGACCTTGAAAACATCTTCATGCCCCCACGCCCCCAGGAGCCAGCCAGGATGACAAAGAAGTATGGTCCAACTTGCTTTGCTTTTATTGAGCATGAGTGTGCCAGATATTGTGCCAAGGGCTTTGCACATATTCTTTGCCAAAAAAGGTGGGTGGCTAAGTTGTAATGGGCTCTTCCTGGCCCAGCAATGCCCAGGCATGTCCCAGCGTCCCTTCACAGAGGTCCTGGGCTGATGAGTAAGGAAAACAGGTGAGAGGCCCACCAGACTCTCTTTGGGGCATATGTACAATCTTTCCTTCACCTCCCTGCCAGCCTCCTGCCCTAGTGTGTTGGAAGACGGGTCCCTTGGCCCCCACATGGGCGGGCCCCGCTCCACAGGGATGCCCCAGCCAGGTGTGCAGTGCTGTGCTAAGCAGCCTGCCAGCTCCAACAGATGGCAGAGCCGAATCGCCATCCATCACAGCCGTAAGTGGCCAACTCCCCTTCTGGTGCTCCAGACAAACGGCTCTGCTCCTCCGTCCCTCCCCCGACCCCTCCGTCAACCACTCTCGCCAGGCAGCCAGGCGGAGTCGTTTACTCAGCAAGTCCTGCGGGCAGAATGTGGGGGGAGGCAGAGCTGGGCGACACAAGGAGGCACATCCATCATCACAGAGAGCCAGCAGCTTGCTCCACACAGCGATGGAGGGACCAGGAGTGTGCTCGTGGAGGATGCCAGCCCTTGCCGTGTGTGTGTGCATGTGTGTGTGTGTGGTGTGTGTGTGTGTGCCCATAGCACCATCCCATATGCCTGGTGGGCCTTGATGGGCCTCGTCTCACAAGGAGGGACATGGTTTTGCCTCTCAGCCTGCCTGCCTCAGCCTAGGCTTTAGTTCCAGGGAGCAGAAATGACCAGACAGCTCATGGCTCCTGGGGTGGGCAGAACTTTAGCCACTGTGTCCACTTATCCACATGTTAGGCCATGTGGCAAGCAGGTCAGACAGAGCGTCAACCTAATGGTAGGCCAGGCACCAGGCCTCTTGGCAGGTCATGTGGGTCAGAACACAGGTCAGACCACACATCGGGCCACACATGAGGATATGGCTCAGACCACCTGTCAGGACACAAGTCCCCGCTTGATGTCCAGCAATTAAAGCCATGGAACTGATTAGGTAACGTGAAATCTCCATCCTCGGGCTCTGTGGTACCAAATCCCAGCTCTCCCACTTCCCAACTGTGGAACCCTGGGCTAATGGTTGAACTTCAGTTTGTTTCCTTTTCTGAAAAATGGAAAGAACGATACCTGCCTCCAGGGGCTTTGCGTCGACCAGGCACTGGGTGGAGGGCCTAGACAGAGTAACACATGGCATTGTTGAGTCCCTGAGCACAGGGGCCAGCTAGATAAATATGCATCTTGGGGGAGAGTGGGTCAGGACAGCAGGCAAAGGGGGGCTCTGGTAACCCCTGGTGAGAGGACAGGTAGGAGGTCATGTGGGCACCAGGGTGGGGAATAGAAGTCAGCCTGTGCAATTGAGCTGCTGAAAGAACTTGCTACAGAGTCTCAGAGTTTGGCCCTCTCCTCTGTACCATGTTCTTGAGTGACACAAGTGAGAACACAGTAAAGCACCTGGATCAATTCTGTGAATGACTTAAGACAAGAAAAGGGAGCTCATTTATTTGAATGGCATATCTCAGGCTCACCACTGACAGGCCAGCACCAAGTTTAGAGATTATATCTAACATAAATCTAACATCCTTCCCTTACTTTCAAATGCCAGAGACTCAAGCACAAAAGATGAAGGGACCTGAACTGACAGAAGTTCTTGTGAACACAAGTTGACAAACTCCTATACATCCTTCAAGGACCAGATGATCTCTTCCCTCCTAGGTGAAGCCTTTCCGAGACTCCCCTTTTATACATGCTTTCATCCTAGTCCCTCTCATACTGGATCCTATTCCCATTCTCTCTCTCTGTCGCCAGGTAGACTGTGCCTTCCCTGGGGCTGAGACTATGTTTGATTCATCTCTCACACACATCCCCAGAGACTAGCATAATGCCTAACACAGGTAGGGAATAAATGAATAAACGATCTCGATCACTCATTACCATTTTGGCTGCCCAGAAGCTCCACATGAGCTAACAAAGTTATATGGCCACTTACAGAAAAGTGACCTAGTTAGGCTGCATCAATAGAGGTATTATGACCAGAGAAATGGAGGAGAGAGTCCCTCTCTGTTCTGTACGACTCAGAAAGAATGCCCCGAAAGGAGAGGCCTGAATGGAGGTAGAGCCTGAAAGATGTGTGCCATGAAAGTATTCAAGAAAACCCGGGAGAGGAGCCTCAGAGCTCAGGAGCTGTCTGTAATGACCTGAGGGTCATCAGAGGTAATGGAGGGGAGCCTAGGGCAGCCTTTCTCCAGGCCCCTTTCACACCTCCACCTTCCCCAGCCCACGGCATTATGGCCGCCCCATCACACCCCACCCAGTGGAGATGTCAGACTTCCTGATCTGCTGCAGGGAAGGCTAGAAGCCACAGGTGGCCTCTTAGGGCCCAAACTGATGGCTTCTGGCTTGAACGGTTATCCAGACGGCACAGAGAGGTAACTTCACATTGCCGGTTCAAACAATAGAATTGGCAAATCTCCCTAAACAAATATATCTAAATTCCGAATATAACTTCATTTCAACTTCATATCCCAAACTTATGTGTTTACTTCAGGGAGGAAGTGCTATTTTATGGTTTCCAGGACAATGCAGTTCATAATTTTTTCACACCTTTCAGAGCAGGTGACAGCTTGCTTACAAAACCTAATTTATTCCCATGCAGGGCTTGGAGTTGCACTTTAATACACGCACCAATAACATATCACAATAAGGTTAGAGACAGGCACTCCCTCCCTCCATCCCAAATAGGCACTTTCTGGATCCAGCCATCCAAGAAGAGAGCTAAACCAAGTAGACACCTCAAGTGAGGCCTCCGAAAACCAGCAATAGGAAGCCTCCCAGTGTAATTTCGTCTTGGACCAAGTACCACCACCTCATCCCCCTCCCCAGCTTAATTGCAGGAAGAATTGTTATGCTAATTAGCATTATTCACCGAGTTAACAGAGCACAGGGTCTAAATTTAGATCCCCTGCTGCAGAGGGCTCTGAATTCATTGGAAGCTGGCAAAGATGCTGGTGGGGTTGGGGAGGTCCCCGGGCTGGGCTGCAGGACAGTGGAGGGGAGGTCACGGGGTCGTTCTCCCTCTCATCCCATCTTCAGACCTCCTTTAACTTAGAACAGAAGGCCTGTGACTCCTGGTAGGAAAGACTCCGAGGAGGCAAAATCCTCTCCCAAAGGAAGGTTGAGCCAAAGGAAAGGGAAGGGCCCGAGGGCTGAGTGGCCATCATGTGCCCGGCAAGACACCCAGGTCACTGGTAAGAGCCCAGTGCCGTGGAGCGGCTCTGGCTTCATGTCACACACCCTGGGGTCCAGGCCTGACTCTTCGGCATATAAGCTGAGTGACCTTAGGAAAAGTTACTCTGCCTGTCTGGACCTCAGTGTCTTCATCCATAGAGGGGATCATGACATCTTCTTTGCAGGGCTGCTGTGAAGGTTGAATGAGATACTGCATGCCAAGTGGTCTCACAGAGCTGGGATTTGTACCCAGACATGTCTGAGTAAAATGGCTGCGTGGTTCTCCCCACCCTCCCTGGCTTCACCCCACTGTCATGCATGCCAGAGGGAGTAGCAGCTCAGCCCAATGCTGGCCCAGCCTCCTGTGACCCCCATTGCCTCGTGGGAGCAAAAGTGCAAGATGGGGCCAACCAAGGCAAGGAAAGTGTGAGCTGGGGTGGTCCTGCCTCCTACCTCTCCAGCCCCATCACCTCGGAGGGAAGCAGGGGGTCCAGCAACTCGTGAACCTGAGACCTCAGGTCTAGGGTCCACCCTCCCGTCTTGTCACAGACAGGCAGTATCATGGTGGTTAATAGCGTGAACTCCATCCAGGCTAGAATCCCAATTCCAGGGATTGGAATTGGGGCTTCAATTTCTGCATCTGTAAGTTGGTGCCTTCCTCCCGAGGCTGCTGTGAGGATTCAACAAGCTGTTCCTCGTAAATTTCTGAGAACAGAGCCTGGCACATAGTAGGTGCCACCTACATGCTAGTTGCTATGAGATTCTGAAAGTCTGGAGGCCAGCCCTGTTGAGGACCCTGCCTTGAGATCCCATCTGAGGTTTCTAAATCAGTTCTCACTGTCAGGGCCCAGTGGGTGTATCTTTGATGAGACATCTAAGTGAGAAATGTGGGACTTTCTTTTCCTCTGAAAAAGGAAAAGTTCTTAGATCTAAAGTTGGAATCCCCATCCCTGTACAACCCAGCCTCCAAAGATACCCTGGGCCCCATAGTGCTTCCCATCTGTTTCCTGGATTCCCAAGGAAGGCTCTGCACCCAGCCCTGTGCCCTGGCCTGAAAGCAAAGCTAAATCTCAGCCTCACGAACGCTTAGTTGAAAAACACCTCCCTGCTGCAGACCAGTCATCTCTGAGTCTATGGGGGTCTGTGGGAAAGCCCCCGATCCCTGGCAGTCAGGAGATGGGGGTTCAAATCTCTGCTCAGATCCCACTTGTTATGGGCCTCAAGCAGGTCTCTGGGCTTCTGTGAGCTTCAGCATCCTCATGTTTAAAGCCAAAGAGTACACTCCTCCAGAACAAGCTGGTTATGCAGATGAAACACAATAATGTGATGTTGTTGATGAAGCTGTAAAGTGCCACACAAATGGATGGATTACTTCCGTTATTCCTGAGTGTGGTCCCAGGTGTGCAGCTATGGATGAAGTACCTCTGGGAATAGATGTGGGGGCTACATTCTCAGCCTTCTCCCAGCCCCACCTGCAGCTCTTCCATCATGGAATACTCTTCTGTCCTGTGAATACTATGGTTTTGCAGTTCACCTTCACAAAAGTCCCCTCAGGTAGGCACTGTCATTATGTGGGAGGCAGAAGAATGACCCCTGAAGATGGCCACATCCCAACCCCCAAACCTGGGATATGTTCCCTAACATGGCAAAAGAGACTGCAGGTGTGATGAAGCCAAGGATCCTGAGATGGAAAGAGGCTCTGATGGTCTGGGTGGGCCCAAAGTCATCACAAGGATTCTTGTAAGAGGGAGACAGGAGGGCCCAAGTCAGAGGAGATGCGATGACAGGAGAGACTAGAGAAATGTGCCTTGAAGATGGGAGAAGGGGCCATGAGACAAAAAATGCAGGTGGCTTTTAGAAAACCAAGTGTTCTCCCCTAGAGCCTCCAGAAGGAACATAACCTTGATGCCTGGTGCCACCTTTATTTTAGCCCCTTAAGACTCATTTCAGACTTCTGACACCTGGAAGATAATGCATTTGTGTCATTTTAAGGCACTAAGTTAGTTGTAATTTGTTACAGCAGCAGGAAAAATATATATCATCTCCTTTTTTTTTTTTTTTTTTTTTTTTGAGACAGGCTCTCTGCTTTCTGTTGCCCAGGCTGGAGTGCAGTGGCACGATCACAGCTCACTGCAACTTCTGCCTCCCAGGCTCAAGCAATTCTCCCACCTCAGCTTCCCTAGTAGCTGGGACCACAGGCGTGCATCACCACGCCAGGCTAATTTTTTTTTTTTTTTTTGGTAGAGACAAGTTCAAGACCCAAGCTGGTCTTGAACTCCTGGGCTCAAGAGATCTTTCCACCTCAGCCTCCCAATGTGCTGGGATTACAGGCATGAGCCACAGTGCCGGGCCCCATATCATCTCCTTTATACAGATAGGAAACCTGAGACTCAGAGGGCTTCAGTTACTGCCCAGCATTCACCGATGAGTAAATGGCAGAGCCTGGACTAGAGCTCAAGCCTTCTGGCAGCAGAGTCCTGGGATGGGGATGTCATGCAGAACACTGGGGCTGAGTGGAAATCCTGGAATGAGTTCCCTGTCACTGGAGGTGTTCAAGAAGAGGTTGGACGATTATTTACCATGATGTTCTAGAGGATATTTCTTTATCAGGTGTGTGTTTGCTCCAGGACAATGGTTTTCAAATCACTTAGCAGAATTCTTCTCCCAGAAGAGAATTTCTCACTCTACTCTAATTAATCCCCTATTAATGCCATACAGATCAAAGAGGAGCTTCTCTGTTTGGGCAGGATGGGCCCCAAGCCCTCGGAACTGCCCCTTCCCCACGTATGCTGTGCTGCCTCTGCGGTGCCCCAACACACCCCAGGGTTCCACAGAAGAGTGTTTGAAAGCACTGGCCTGGAAGGTTTCTGAGGTTCCTCTAGATCTGAGGCCCCAGGGAACTGAGGATTTCTCTGAAGACACATGACAGGGAACACTCAGACCTCCCGGAGCAGGGGCGGGAGCCAGGGAAGGTTTAAGAGCTGTCAAAGACGCTACTAATGATTTTTAGTTACTTAATTCTCCTAGAGCTTTGACAGGTCCCCATAACTTAGGGTTTATTTGCTTTCTCTTGAATGTCACATATAATTCTTGCCAAAATGTTTATTTGCCTAATGCAACTTTTAGTGCCCTGGTAATTTATTTTCCTATTTATCAGCCAGGAGGAAGGAAGGCTACGTTTAGCCTCTGGCTCAAATGCAGAAAATAATACAGTGGCCCCCACCCTTTCATCTCCACAGCACGACAACGTGCCTCACCTGCCACTGAGAAAAGCAAAGTCCGCTCCACCGTAAGGCCTCTCGCCCCTCCCATGTGGACCACAAGCTCAATTCCATCCAGAAATCGGAGTTTTGTTTTCTTCAAAAAGAGCAGCCAATGAGGAGGTGAATTGTATCATCACAAGCCCTTGAGAGAGACAAAAGTCAATCCTCTGGATACAATGTCATTTCCAAATCGAATCAATTCTGTGAGTTGTGAGGGAATTCAATTCAACCAACACTAATTGAGTGCCTACTATGTGCCAGGCCCTCTGCTGGGATGAGGATTCAGCAATAAATGAGCCAGCGTTTTGGCCCTCCAGGAACTGACGGCCAATTGGGAGACGGGAATGTAAACCAATAACGGCAATGCAATCTGGGCCGTAATGAGGAAGCAGACAGAGTGCTGGGGGATGGCGGGAGGAGGTGGCACACTGCCCCAGGAGCCAGCAGAGATGGCAGAGACACCATGAGATGCAGCCTCATATTATCCCAGGAGGAAGGGGTGGGGGGGCATTGAAGACATAGGGAGCCCATTATAAGGGAAGGCAGATTGGTACCTAGCATGCTATGAGGGACACGAGGGGAGAAGGCCTGGAGAGTGAGGCCGATCCTGGCAAGCCTTGGATGCTGCCCAAGGGCTTTGATGTCACTCATAGGCAATGGAGAGCCAATCGATAGTGTGCGTTCGATGATTATGGTAGCAGTGTGATCATGAACCAGGATTAGACTGGAGCTGGGTGTGCTGAGCCAGTGTAGGGCTCTGCAGTAAATACAGGAGCAAGATGATGAGCTAATTGGAGGTAATGTGGATGGAGTCGGGGTGAGGGAGCAGCAAGCATAGGAGAGATTTGGCAGCGTTTCCATGTGGGACCATGGCTGTTGATTAGATGTAAGGGTGAAGGCCAAGGAGCGGGTCACAGATGCCATCCCTGAGTAGGAAACACTGACAAAGACCAGGTTTGTGGGCAAAGCAGTAGCCAGCTGTGTACATGTCAGGTCTATCAGACATGGAGATGCCCAAGGGAAGAGGATGGCCAAGTGGTTGTTGGGAATGAAGGTCTGGGAAGAACCTGTCTGTGCCTCGGTGGGAAATGTGCGCTGGGCTGGGCTGGGCTGGGACGGTGGGGTTTTCCCCATCCCAGAACTTTTGGCCTGGCCCTAAGAGGTGGTGCTGACTTCATCAAATCCTCCCCACCACCACTACCACCAACCCTTTACTTGCTGTGGTCAATATCGACATGGCCCTGGGGCAGGAGGGATTCTTCTGAGAACTTCCCTGAGGCTTTGCATTCCTTTCAGAAGTTGGAGAGGGAGTCACAGAGAGGGTCCCCAGGCCTCCAAAGGGTCAAGAGAGAAATAAGGGCACAGGAAGAGATCTTGGGCTCTTAGAAATCTAGAGAGAAGCCATAAAGAAGGGGGATTCATGAGCATCCCCTATGCTCAGGGGCCCCCAAAGCCATCTCAGTTTTCCCAGGAGGCTCACCCACTCCAGACCCAGATGTCCCAATTGCCCAGACTGGTTGGCTGTGGTCAGTGCATAGAAACCCCAGGAGTAGAGACCAGGTCACTCACCAAGGGTGGAGCAGGAGTGTGCCAGCTTCCAGAAATTTGTGAAGAAGCCTAGGCACATTGGGGTCTCCTTGGGGTGACCTGAGCATGGCCAGGGGTGTGCACAGGCAAGACTGCAAAGTGCACGCAGCAAAGACAATGACAACAGAGTCATTCGTGCTGTGCCCTGCAGGGAAGGTTGGGGTTTTCATGGCCTGCTGAGCGGCAGCATAGACTTCAGAATCAGGCTAGGTCTGTGTCCAAATCCTGACTCTGCCACTGACACAGGTGACCTTGAGAAAATTGCTACTGTTATAGGTGATCTTGAGAAAATCATTTAACCACTCTGCCTCAGTTTCTTACTCTGTAAAATAGAAATGAGAATAATAGTACCTACCTCATAAAATTGTTATGAAAATTAAATGAGGTAATTATGTGAAGCACTTAGCACAGCATCTAGAACTTAATAATCACTCACTAAGTGGGTGGCTCTTATTTATTATTTTTTTACCATCATCACCATTATCAAAGGGGCTACAAAAGCCAGAATGTGTGACCTTCCAGCCATGACCAGAGGAAAACTCTTGATTCTGTCAGAGAACATTGTTGGTTCCAACACTGGGAAGGAACATTCCTGCTATAAATTAATACACCAGACCCCAACCAGGCATGAAATTGCTCCAGGTTCTGACCACCTCCTGGTAGCCCATAAAGGCAGAGCCAAGTCCCACCCCCAAACCCACCAGCCCCTCAATAAGGGTAGCCCCATTGCCAGAGTCAGCTGTCCCCTGGACCACAGCTCCAGCTCATTTTTCTTTAAGTCCAGCCCCGGCCTGGAAGAAGAAAGCCCCTTCCCCTCTTAGGGACCCTTGTCATCAATTGGGGTCTGCTCACTGGACCTCCTTGACAGGAATCAGCTCAGAACCTTGAGAGACCAACAGATTCTCCTTGGGAACTGATGGAGAAGTCCCTTCCCAATGCTCCTCTCCCCACTTTTGTGTTCACAAGCTCCCATTTCCTGAGCACCTACTAATAGACACCCCACGCACACAGCAGCCACCTCTCCACATGCATGCCAAGGAACAGAAACTCTCAAATAACAAAGAACCCAAAAGTCATTGCTAATCACATTTGCATAATATGATTATTTTTTCAGCAGATTTACCTTCCTAATTACGTTTGTCTCCAACCAATATTAAAGTGATTTTGCATTCCCCAAGCACACTGGTGTTGAGCGAAGCTGCTCCAGAGGTGGTCCAGGAAGTCATCCTGGAAGCTGAGATTTTGCCACGAAGTAGACAACTCCAAGTTGAGAAATTATTAAGACCCACCTACATTCCTTGGGGGGAAGAATAGCAGCAAATTGCATTTTTTACAGTGTTTTAAAGCTTGCAAAGGACTTCTTCAAGCATCTCATTTGATCTTTACAATAACCCTGTCACCCACTATACAGGCAGAGAAACTGAGATTGCTTTTCTTACGACGTTTAGGAATAAAGCCAGGACTCCACCCTACATCCCCTGACTCCAAAGCTCTTCAGGGATGGTCTCCCTAAGAGCTCCCCTGGTCTTAACTGTATAGTGTCTACCACAGATGTAGATACTGAAACAGAAATATAATGGCCCAATTTGTTCATGTCTCCCTGTATCTGCACCCTTGGGTACTCCCCATTGCACACTGACTCTAGGATTGGCCATGTGACTTGCTTTCACCAGTGGGACAGCATAGGAAACACGTCACAAACAGACACTTGCAAAGTGCATGCCTCATGCTGTTCTTGGATTCATTCCTTCAACTACCATGTGAGTAAGCTCAGGCTGGCCTATTGGAGGATGTGGGACACATGGGTCAATCGCCCTCATCACCCTGGCCAACAGCTCATCAGCCACCAGACCCGTGTGTGAGGCCACTGGAGTCCATCCAGACCAGCCAGCACACAAGTGACTCAGCTGAGATCAGCCATGCTGAGCCCAGGCCACAGATTCGCTCAGCTGCCCCTAAGAGCCAGGATGGTTTGTTACACTGCAAAACTAACACTAACTGATTGCTATGGCCTGAATGTGTATGTCCACCCAAATTTTCATGTTAAAACCTAACCCCCAATGTGACAGTACTTGCAGGTGGATCCTTTGGGAGGTGATTAGATCGTGAGGGCAGAGCCTTCATCAGTGGTATTAGCACCCTTATAAAAGAGCCCCAAGGGAGCCTCCTTCACCTTCCACTAGTGAGGACACTGTGAGAACACAGCTGTCTATGAACCAGGAAGACATCCCTCACCAGACATCCAATCTGCCAGCACCTTGGTCTGGTATTTTCCAGCCTACAGAATGGTGAGAAATAAATTTCTGCTGTTTGTAAGCTACGCAGTCTATGGGATTCTTTTACAGCAGCCGGATGGACTAAGACATTGATACAAGGAGTAACAGAGCATCCCACTCCTCACTGTAGGAGGGTTGTTGGCAGGGAGTGTTTCCATACACAGTCAGGCCCACACCCTCTCTCAGACTCTGCTATTCCCAAGCCCTGATCCAGCCTGGGTAATTCCTCCACCCCAAATATTTGGCCTTGCTGAGTTCTGAAGCTCTGTTCTCAGGACATATAGAAGGTGTGTTTCTTCATCCATCCTCTCATACTCCATAAACACTCCTTCCTAGTAAATCCCAATTACTGATGTGCTCTCCTCTCTTTGCGCCTGTAGAGACCCCACATGAAGTCAGTCAGGATTTCAGAAACAATTGCCCAAGAAAATTAAGCTGGAGTTTGGAAGGCCCAGAGGCAAATCTAGGCAGTCACTGAGGTCAGCTTTATCTAAGCCCAGGTGCCCTGACACCAAACCTTCTCACTGGTCTTATGAGGTGGCCTTGCTTGAGGCCAGGCCTGGATCCCTCTCTCCAGACAGTGCTGGCCCCAGTCATGTTCCTGTAACCAGCTTCATCCTCTTAACAGCTTTGTGACTTTAGCAAGTTACTAGTGCCTTTGTGTTTTTGTTTGCCCCTCTGTAAAATGGGTATAATAATAGTACCTACCTCATGGGGCTATGTTGAGGTTCACATTTACATATGTAAAGAACTTACAAGAGTGCCTGGCACAAAGTAAGTGCTATGTAAGTACCACTTCCCACTATACCTACTATAACGTCTCCTGTTATAATTATGGTGCTGGTTATTCTTGTTTCCATGTCTCAGGGGAAGGGGCCTGGAGGAGAAAGGACAGGTTCGTGCTCTTGGTTTCAAGCCCTTACGTTAGCCTCCTGGAGGTCCCTTTAGCCTGCTCCATAGGTTCAGGACACACAAAACACCCTCTTTTCCCTGCCTTCCTTTTCCTGACCTAAGCCCAGCACGTGGTCTGTGCTCATTAGTCGGAAGGTTGTTCTCAGATCTACACTCAAGGCTGGTTCTCATTCTGGGGCAAGGACAGCCTTTCTACCACAGTTCAATCCCCAAAATCCCTCACCCTTTCTGTTCTCACTCCTCTCTTTAAGGTCACAGTGAGGCAACTGGCACTGTAGACCCAGAGTCAGAGGGATCTGGTTCCAAATTCTGGCTGTGGCACTGACTAGTTGTGCAGCTTTAGACAAATCACTTAACATCTGAGTTTAGGTTTCTTCATCTTTAAGATGGGTTATTGATACCTGTCCCCTAAAAGTTGTCGTGAAGATTAAATGAGATAATATCCATATGTTAGTTAGAATAATGGTAGCTGCTATAAAAAATAAGCTTCACTATTTCAGGAGCTTTTCACAATAGAAGTGTATTTCTCATTCACACAGTAGTTGAATGAGATTGTTTCTTCTTAATTGGTGGCTGTCTTTTGCACAGTGATTTGGGAGCCAAGGCTCCTTCCATCCTCTGTCTCTGCCATCCTCTAGGGGCACAAAGCCCTCTGCATCTAGCCAATAAACAGAAGTGCAAAGTTGGGGAGGACATCCCTTATTTTTACCCACCTTTACCCAGGTGGAACACGCATCATCTTCCTCATGTTCCATGAATGAGACCAAGCCATGGGCACCATTTAGATGTGAGGTTAGGAATAGAAATAGACCCAGGCTGGGCAACACTGCTAGGCACAACCCTACAGTATGGAAGGGAAGCACAACCCCATGGTGGACAGACACCTGGTTATGTTTGTTGCAGACCACAGAGGCTTATAGAAATACCTTGGGCAGATAGGACATGCTCAGCAAGTACTTACAGTGGCTGCTGTTACTACTACTGCCACCACCACTACCCCACTGCTGCTATTACTATTTGATTAATAGTTGCTGTGTGAAATAGAGATAATAACACCAACCTCATAGAGTTGTGAAAAGCATTAAATAAAGATGCGAAAGCATAAATGATACTACTTGTCTCTTTCTCTTCCCACATCTAAGTCCCCAACTGCCCCTAGCATGCTTCCTAAGGTCAGGCCCTCCTAGGCTGAGCACCCTTCTTTTTTTTTTTTTTTTTTTTTTTTGAGATGGAGTCTCACTCTGTTGCCCAGGCTGGAGTTCAGTGGCATGATTTCGGCTCACTGCAAGCTCTGCCTCCTGGGTTCACGCCATTCTCCTGCCTCAGCCTCCCGAGTAGCTTGGACTGCAGGCGCCCACCACCATGCCCGGCTAATTTTTTTGTATTTTTAGTAGAGATGGGGTTTCATCATGTTAGCCAGGATGGTCTCGATCTCCTGAAATCGTGATCTGCCTGCCTCAGCCTCCCATAGTGCTGGGATTACAGGTGAGCCACCACGGCTGAGCACCCTTCTAAATAGAAAGCCAGACCCCCACTGACCCCACCACCACCCCAAGGTTGTATAGGGTACTTGTCCTTCTCCAGGCTCCCTCACCCTCTTAAGAACAACTAAAGATAGTTTTCCAAGTCAAGCTCACCTGATATTTTAATGGTCAGAACAGAATCCTCTCTGCCCACTTCTCACTGGAGCTCAACATGGACTCAAAGCAAGAAAAAATGGAATTTCATGCATTGCCTCCCATTCTCCATGACTTTTTCTATTCCAATAGAAATGATGTTTCAGGCAGCTGTTTTCCAAGTCCCCAATCCCACCAGCCTACTCCCTCAGTTTCTGTAAATTCCCACAACCTCCCACTTCTTTCTGGACTATTTACTATGGACAGGATTTTGCTTTCAGGAGCAGGTGTCCCAGAGGTGGCTCTTCCTAGGACCAGGTTGTTAAAATTTAGAGTAGGTCTTCTGCACAGGCAGTGCGGCTGTTCTCAGTCTTGTCCCCGATCTTATATTTTTATTACTTTACAAGAGACAAAAGGAAGAAGCCTGTGTTGGAGATACAGACACAAACAGAAGGGGTTGTTTGAGAGGAAGGCTGGAGGAGAAACACAGAGGGAAGGATGGAGATTCATCAGACATGAGTTCTATCCTGCCCTCATTCTCTAGAGTGATATAGTGGGTTTGAATTCTTATTCTGCCTCCATAGCTGTATAATGTTTATAAAATCATTTTACCTCCCTGAACCTCAGTTTCTTCATCTATAAAATGGGACCTGATACTCACCTCATAGGATTATTGAGAGGATTTAACAAGCGTAATATTGCAACACAGCTGGCATGGTGCATGACGCTTAGTAGGGCAGTCAACAAATAACTCCTTTTGCCTTCCCCCTTCCAATGGAAACACAGATGGAACTTTCTGAGTCTGTGGTTAACTGGAATTTTTCTAATAAAAAGAATTTTTTCTGAATACAAACATAGCATATTGTTAGTACCTCTTTAAGTACAAGAACATTTAGAATAGTGCTGGGCTATGAGGGCCACAGGGCAGGAAAGTGGCCACAGCTGCTAAAAATCTTACGGTATAAACTTCATATTAAGATATTAATATCTGATTCTTTTCACCTACAAAACAGCGATTTTATACAGTTCAACATAAATCAGATAGGAGTAATGCTTATATAGTGCTTACTATACACTAAGCCCTGTTCTAAGGATTTTAGTGCTCATTAAGTCCTCACAACTCTGCAAAGTAGATACTACTATAAACTTATTTTGTAGCCAAAGAAACTTAAGCACAGAGAGGTTAAGTGCCTTGACTGAGATCACACAGCTACTGGAGAGGCAGAGCTAGGGTTTGAAACCAGATAGTCTAGCTCCAGAGGCCATGACTTAAGCCACTACATTTTACTGCCTCCTGTATGAATAATTGAGAGGCTTCTTGAAAAGGACCCTGTGTATCTACTGGCCTCTCGGGTGAACTGGGAGAAGGCTGAAAATATAGGTTGGCAGGGATGCCTGGAGGGAGGAGAGAGCGCCTATCATCCAATGGTCCATCTGCAGTCCTGAGCTAGCCCCATCCTGGAAGGCTGGTATCACTCCCTCTAGAAGGACGAGGCAGGTACTGGCAAGCACCTGGTCCCGCTCCGTTTCCTGAGCATTTTATTTTCCTGTCCTCTGTGGCATGACTCTCATAAAACTATTCATTTCTTAATTCTGATGGCAGAAAAGAATTTAATCAAATTGCTTCAATATGACGACAGCCTCCCGCTAAGCCAGCTGCCTCCCGAGGGTCATTGGGAGACAACGCCCTGTTAATATTTAGCTCCAACAGCAAACATTATGGCTTTCAATTTAGAAGATTATGCTTCTGGTTAGTTATGTATCATATGTGCGCGCGCGCTCTCGCTGGGTGGCTCATCTCATCAGTGCGGGAGCATTTTGCCAGGGTTATAAAAAATGCCATTTTCTCTGCGAGCCCTTTCCACTCAGTGATCCAGTGAAGTAACATCGGGATCAAAACCGTGTTCTGAAAAATAATTGATCTACTTCAGCAGCTCACAGGCCTGCATTCCAGCCGCCCAAAGGAGCCATTTTCGGGCGAAGCCAGGGGCCCACGTGGGAGGGAGCTCCAGGAGAGATCAGTCTCTGCTGGCGTGGAGGGGGCGGGGAGGGGGCTGTCCGTGGTGCTGAACCCAAGCTATCCTAGGATTGCCAGGCAGTACGAATGAACGCTGGTTAATGGAACCGGCTGACTGTGTGGGGAGCTGTGGAGCTGTGCCTGTTCTAGGGTCTTGGATCATTACATTTTCCTTCTTTCCAGAGCTCCCAATCCTCTCTCTAGTTCTGGGTCCGCTTCTTCAAGTGCTTTCTCCCGTTCTTGCCCTGTCTGTCATCTGCTTTCGTCGTGAGGGGCTCATTCCTACCAGCCCCTTCATGGGTTTCTCTGTTGTTGTTGCTGTTGTTGCTGTTGCTGTTGTTGTTGTTGTTGTTCTTTTCTTTTTTATTTGAACTTATCCTCAGGATGGCACAGAGGCTCTAGTGGGTCTGAGAAGCTCAGTATTTAGGAAACACAGACCCTACTCTGCTCCCTTTTTTCACTCTTCCTCTCACTCAATTTCTCTCTATTGAATCATCAGGTCCACCGCCCCCCCTCCCCCGCTCCCCCGCCCTTGCTCCTCCCCTCCCCTCCCTCTCTACATCCCTTTCCTTCTTTCCTTGGCTCTTCCTTCCCTACCGCCTCCTTTCTCCTTGGCACTCTCTCAATCTCTCTTTCTTTCCCTTCTTCCTCTCTCTTCTCCCCTCTTCCCTCCATAGTACTCACATTTGCACACGCTCCCTCTCTCACCCCTTCCTTCATCTTCTCCCTTCATTTTCTCTTTCTATCCCTCTTCTCTCCCCACTTTACTCTCTTCTCCCATGATCTCTAACTTCTTAGGAACCCCTGCCTTGCCTACTTCACCTCTCTTCCTCCCTTCCTGGCTTCCCTCTTCCATCTGTCTTCCTCATGGTGTCTTTCATTCTTTCCATCTCTTTATCTCTTCATTTCTCCTTCTCTTTTGCCCTCTCTTTTCCTCTCTCCCTATTTGCTCCTTCCTCTATTTTCCTCCCTCACTCTCACTGGCTCCCTCCTTCTCTCTCTGCTTTGTCTCATTCTCTCTCTCTCTCTCTCTATCTCTCTCTGTCTCTCTCTCCCACCTGCCTCCCTCTCTCCCTCTTTCCCTACCATCCCCCTCCCTCTATCCCTCCCTCTCTCTTCATCTCTCTTCCTCTCTCTCTCACTCCCTCCCTGCTCCCATCCTCCTTCTCTCCATCTCTCCTCCCCCTCCCTCGTCTCTTTCTCTGCACAGAGCTCTCCTCCCTAGAAGCCCCCAGCTGCCTGGTGAATTCATTTCAGCAGCTATTAGGGATCAGCACCTGCCCCGATACTTGGTGGGGAAGATGAGTTTGAGATAAGATGGGCTGTTTCAATCTCAGCACATCTGTAATTGCATTACCATTAAATTGCACCATTTTCTAAAGGTGAGAGCCCAGGGCCCTTGTGCCGAGTCTTCTGTAAATCCACTGCCAAGTCCTGCTTGATGTGGAGGCCCCTGGCAGAGGGGAGAGAAGATCCAGCTTGATTTGACCACCGTATTAATACCCTTTGTCTTCAGGGTCTCTTGTTTTCCATTATATTTCAAAGGTAAAAGGACCCCTGGGAATCATTATTTCCAACCCTCTCATCTCTCAGAGAAAGAAATGGAAACTCAAAGAAAGAAAGGGAATTGCCCAAGGTCACACAGGCACAAGCCACTAAGTTTGCAGATGTCCCTCATTCTGCAGCCTTCCTACAATTTAGGACCAGATCAGGAAAAGGTGGGGGAAGGGCAAAAACTGGATCCAGGATTTTTAGTTTCCAGGAGGGGTGGCCTTAGTCCAATATCCACGGATCTGTCAGATCTAGTGGACAGACACATGGAGCAGAGGATGGCAACATAATAATTTCTTGTGGTATGTCAGGTTTGGCCAGGGACACAGAGAACAGGATTCGGCCTGGAAGACAGGACAAAACTGGAAAAGCTGGATGGGAACTGGGCACATGAGAGTTCCAGACAGATGGGCTGGTATGCTGGGCAGGACTCTATTTCCAGCTAGGACCTGGGGGACACAACCGGGAAACCCATGCAGAAGGCAGCACGTAAACCAAGGCAATAAGACGGGGGCTGGCAGTGGAGATTGCAGTCCAGGAGTCCACCCAGCCTGTGCCTGTCTGGAGGCTGGTCCAGGCAGGAGCTAGGAAGGATAGAATCTGATAAAATGGAGACCAGGATGGGCTAGAGCCTGGAGGCAGAGGAGGCAGGGCACAGACACCACCTGGGGGTAGGTTCAGGGGGAGGATCAAGCACACACTGTGGATTGGACATCAGGAAAAGCTCCAGACAAGAGGTTATGAGATAGAGCAGATGTGCCTGAGCAAGGATTAGCATTAGTGCAGAGCACCTACCAGAAGAGAGCCAGAGGCCAGAGAGGGTATCACCTAGCACAGGGGTCTGTCCCCTGGGGCTCTAAGCTGCCTCACTGATGCTCTGGTTCCTGCTTTGGAAGGAAAATAGCTTCAGGGTCAAACAAAGCCCAGGATTGTCTTCCACTAGAGGATCATTCTCAGTGCCCACCTATTGGCAGGCAGACTGAGGAAGGGTGGGTCTGGGGCTGGAGGGGAGAGCAAGGAGATCATCACCACAGTGGCCTCCAAGGGTCTGGGAGCCCAGTGATGCCCACTCTCCAGCCCCAGCACCGACGGCAGTGGGAATCTAAACAGGCAGGCTGAGGCTGAGCAGATGCACTTCCCCAGCACATCAGCCCCAGCCCCAGGGCTGGGAGACCAGCAAGCAAACAAACAAACAGCCAGCAAATGTGTCCCGGTGCCCCAGGGTCAGCCTGCCACAGTGGCTACACCTACTTTGGCAAAGCATCTACTTTGAAGCCCATCCTGATGCAGAGAGAGCGTGCAGCACCCGGGGACAAAATAGGGAGGTTTAATGATGCGAAATAGCTGCATGTGTAATCTGGGTGCGCTAGGAGGGCTGCTGAGAGCCTCTAAAAGCTTCCTGGGCTGGCCCGCCTCTGAGGCCGACCCATTATGTTATTTGCTGCCTTGTGACCAGGATGAAGCCAGCCCCAGCTGGCTCTGGTTCCATCCATCCACCCTGCTCCTTTCCCCCAATTCCAGGCACCCATGGGGCCCCCGCCACAGGTCAACAGGCACACGGCGAGCTGCCCCAGCAATTCTTAGATAAGTCAATTAGGATAAATGAGCTTAGTGGTGTATGATGCCCTTGCTCCTCTGCGTGCCTTCAGAACTATTAGTTATCCAGAGAAGATTAATTACGGGAGCGTCATGCTAATGCTCTTTTAATGGAAACTGTTATTTAAGTTTAAGAAGAGCAGGTATCAAATGTAGGTAGGAGTTAGATACCTGTTATGAGCCTCTCAAATCAGGGGCGATGGATGGAGCCAACTTCAGAATGGACCTGTTGAAACAGATAGAGAGCCAATGACCACTCTGAACCTTGTGGAAAGTTGCAGTGAGTCCTAAAATGTTTTCCTGGAATTGCATGTGTTTGTGGAATTAACCTTACAACCTACTTGAGGAGGCTTTCTTATGTTGGTGTAAACAGAGTAGGAAAATGGAGAAGGAGCTATTGAAGGGAAGAGGCTGGTTGGCCTTAAGTAAGTTAAGAGTGGGGTATAGACAGAAAGAGCTCATTTGATTTGTGGTCATATTAATAGAGGTATAATACCATGAGTAAAGGAGGTGATCGTCTTGTCCTAGACAGTCCAGTTCAGTATAGGAAGTCACATTTCCGAAGTGCATTAACCTGATGGACTACATGAAGTGGACAGTGACTAGAATGATGAGAGGTCTGAAAACTGAATTGTGTGATGGTTGCAGGTAGCTCCTGGGAGAATTCAGCAGGAGATGAGGTTGGGTGTGGCAAAGCTAAGGATCATTTATTCTCTAAAATAGTGGTTTTCGGCCCTGGCTCCTTCTTAGAATCATCTGGGGAATCTTTAGGAAATACTAATGCCCAGGCCTCCTCCCCCAAAATTTTTATTCCATTGATCTGGGGTGGACTCAAATATTAATATTTTTAAAGGCCCCCCAGGTGATTCTAATGTGCAGCCAAGGCTGAGAAACACTGCCTAGAGGGATGTCACAGGTAAATGGGGATGGTGTTTATTTTGTGTGACTATAGAGAACAAAACAAGTAAGGGTGGGTGGAAGCTTTTGTCCTGATATCTTGGAATCCTGTTGCTAGAACCCTGGTGGACCAGCGGAGGATGGGCATAAAGTGGATCAACAGTGAGCCAAGGGCTGGCTTCTCTGTGGAGGGTATTAGCAATTGAAGCACAGTGCCAAGGGATCGGACAACCAGAAAGACCCACACAGAGGTGGAAATAATTTGCAAGCAACCTTGTATTTGTTTACTGAATTTTTGTAAAGGAGTCAGCCATGTCCCCAGGATTCCTGCCCACCGGGAAGTCGGATGGGGTCAGAGGCAGTGAAAGCAGCATCTCTGGGCAGAAACAACACTCAGAGCTGGATGGGCAAGTCAGAGTGTCAGGAGTCAAGGCAGCCCCAGCTGAACACAGTCAGGACCCCAGCCAGTTGCCAGGTGCCCAGGACGGGCGTGGCCCTACCCCCAGGAAACAGGAGCCTGGCAAGAACTGGGCAGATGTGCTGGGGCCATACCCTCCTGGGCCAATGTTTAGGACTGGGTTGTTGTCCTGGAACATCAGAATCAGAACCAAATGGCCCTCGGACCTGGAATGGGTGGCCGTATTTGGGGGAGATGTGAATGGGTATTCTCGGAACACCTACTAGAGGCTGGACCCGTGAGGTAGCTTCACACCATCATCTCTTTATGCCTAACAATGGCCCTACAAGTCATGGGCAGTTTATAGACACATTCAAAATGAGAAAACTGAGGCTTGATGAGCTCAAAAGACCCTCCCCTGGTCCCTGCCCGGGTCTGACTGCAAACTCTTTCCATGGGCCTAGGCTAAGGGCCATGCTGCCATGTGGTGGGCTATATGAGCCCAGGACTGAGGCCAGGAACGGCAGGCACTCTAATGGAGGAAAAGCTGCACCAACCTCCTGCCTGGCCCCCACCCACCTCAGAGAAACAGAATCTATAGGGTCTTTGGAGCCCCAGAAGGTTGAGGGGGAGACACAGGATGTCATGTGACATAGACTAGGCAGGAGCTGTGCACTGTGTGGCACTGGCTTCTCTAATCCAGAGAATCTGAGCAGCCTCATGTCCTCATCTCCCAAATGGGAACAGCAGCCCCTGTGATGTCCCCTGCCGTGGGGTGGTGGTGTGTAAGAGGTTTGGAAATATTTCAAATCCCAAGTAGGGCAAAGCCACCTTCCTTCCCCATGGGGATAAAGCATGATCCCCTAACACACATACACGCATACACAGATACACAGAAACACAAATATGTGCACACTCAGGGACACAGACATGTGAGCATCTTCATTTACACATAATGTACAAGTGGCACTGTGTTTGCTCCTGTTGTCATACTCAAGCCCCTGGTAAAGTGTCATTTAACTATTCCAGCCCATTCTCAACAAGGCCAGACTTTTCATGTTTGGGCCAGAATAACAAATCAGGAACAGGGTGCCCCTTAACACACGTAGAGGGCACTTGATAGATGTTTGGTGAAGGAAAGAAAAGAAATCTAATAAACGAATGGGTGATCTTGCACTGTAATTCCATCTTAACAACTCACATAAATAGAATGCTTTATAGCTGACAATGAGCTTTGATACATTTTCTCTCAAATAATCCTCTGACAGGTATTAGTATTTCCACTTTACAGATGAAGCACCTGAAGTTCAGAGAGGTTAAGTTACTTTCCCAAAGACACACAGCTAGTAACAGAATAAGAAGTGGTAGAGCAGATAGCTGGACACACACCTCCAGAGTTACATAAGACCCTAGTTATCCATCCGGAAGACCTCTGCTCCCCACCCCCAGAACCTCCCCCATCTTTTTCAATTCCATTACCTTGCCTCCTTTTCTCCATAGCTCTATTACTCATATGTTTATCTGTTACAGTCTGTCTCTCCCACTAGAAAGTAAAATCTAGGAAGACAGGAACTCTATCCCTCTTGTTCACTACCGCATGCCCAGTGCCTAGCAGAATGCCTGGCACACAAACGTCCCGCTAAGCAGTAATTCATAACTGGCTGAGGGATTGCTAAGGGGGCAGCGGGGACGACGGCAGTGGGGGGAGGTATTCCTAGTGACACCTCCCACTCCTCCTTGTTCTCCTTTGCAAAGGTTCAGTAAACAAATGTCAGGTTCATTGCAAATTATTTCTGCCATCTCTCATACAATGGAGTTAACAGCTGGCTGAGCTACAATATATCAATTGTATAAATTCCGAGGGCATTTTCATGTTTCAATCTCCTTATGTATTTCTAGTTGACCAAACTTGTTCAAATTACCATTAACTGCAATCCCATCACCTGGCTCACTGGGCAGGAAGGCAGTGACTTGGGTTTAACTCCTGAAGTGCCATGCATGGGACAGGAAAGTGACCTGGGGCTAGCAACGGAGGTGGAGAAGAATCAGCTGTTAAAAGCCAATCAGTTGCTTTAATCTGTAAACCTCATTCTCCATTTTCCATGGGGGCTTCCGTTTGACCACCTTCCATCCAACTTCTTTATCTTATCAGATCCTTCTCTCTTGGGACTTTAAGGCCATTTCCTGCTACGTTTCCACCCACACCAATGGCTGATAGAACCCCCTCCTGAAATACAGTCCCCAGTTCAAATTCAAAGCCCCATAGTAGACAGACACAATGAAGGAGGGGTACTGAGAAAGTGGATTTCTATTTGGACAAAGTTGTAATCCAGTGGGAGTCAGGGGAGAAGGGGAATGTAAAAGCTCTTTAGGGCTGGGACAAGGACCTGCTCATGCGTCACTCAATCCCTAGTGCCTGGCACAAAGGCTAGCACATAGCAAGGACTACAGAATATTTATTGAATGAATGAATGAATGAATGAATATAATACAAAGACCATGAGTCTTGGGATCAGGTAACTGACCTCAGTTCCTGCTTCAACTGTTTTGTGATCTTGGGCCAGTCACCTAACTGCCCTGAGTCACAGTTTCTGCATCTTTAACATAAGCAGAGCATTCAGAGTGGGAAGGTGTCACGTGACCCCTCCCCCAATTTTCCAGAGGGAGAAAAAAATCTTGTAACTGTCAGTAACATGCTAGAACTGTCAAAAGCACACAAAAGAACCACGCCAATTGTGAAACAGAAGTCACAGTTCTGTTTATTTTGCAATGATGTAAACTTCACAATTTTTCCTTACAGATAAAAAATACAAACCTTTCACTGCTATATCCAAGAAATCTGTAAACTTCAAACATTGTAGACCTGCCTGTCTAACGTAAATGGAACGCAGACAATGTTAGTGGTGTCCTCATGCGAGTTAGCCCAGCCTGGGGTGGTGGCTCCCTTCCCTGTGAACAAAGGGGGTCATTCAGAGAAACACAGCTCACATCATCCAGTTGGAGAAAAGCTTCCTAGAGTAGAAGGCAACCAAGTGAACCCAGGGAAATAGGCAGGATTTGACTAGATGGAGATGGAGTTGGGTGGGGTTGTTAATAGTCCGTGACACTCTCATGATGTCAGGCCAATGGAAACTGAGGCTAGTTGTTGGATTCTGTCCTATCTCAGCCCCAGGCCAGCCTCGCTTTGAGAATAACAACAACATCAGCAATAATAATAGTCCATTTGTTCAGCATATAGCCCAACTTAGCTTAGGCACCATGCTAGGTACTCACACCTAGTATCTCATTTAATCCCCATGACTTACCCACAAAATAAATATTATTGCATTCTGACCTGGCTCCTGATGATCCCGGACCTAGTGACTTGCTTCTAAAGAAAAGAATATGACAAAATTGATGGGATGCCGCTTCCAAGAGTAGGTTATAAAAGACTGTAACTTCAGTTTTGTTTGCTCTTATCTCTCTCTCCCTCTCTCTCTCTCTCTCTCTTTCTGTAGGTGTGTATTGTGTGTCTTCCAGTCTGTCTATCTGTCTGTCCCTCTGGCTCTTCATGTACTTATTCTGAAGAAACAAGCTGGAGAGGCCCACTTGGTAAGAACTGAGGTCAGCCTCCAGGCAGGAGACTGAGACACTTAGTCCAACAGCCCTTGAGGAACTGAATCCTGCCAATAACACGTGCATGAGTTTGGAAGCAGATCCTTCTCCAGTGGAGCCTTCAGATAAGACTACAGCCCCAGTGACACCTTGACTGCAGTCCTGTGAGACAGCCTGAGTAGAGGACCCATCCAAGCTGTGCCCAGATTCCTGACTCAGAAACTGTGAGATAATCAATGTGTATTGCTTTCAGCTACTAAATTTTGGGGATATTTGTTACTCAGCAATAGGTAACTAAAACAATTATTATTCTCAGTTTGTGAATGAGGAAATCAAAGCTCAGTGAATTTACTAAGCTTGCCTGGACCACACAGCGAGTAAGTGGAGGAGCCCACATTACAACCAAAGTTCATCTGACTCCAAAGCCCATGTTTCTATCCACCAAGCACCCTCCCCCTCTCTGGAGCCCAACACTACAGAAGCCAACTGGCCTCCCAATCACAGGCTGTGAGACTCCACCATCAGCACCTTAGCCTCCTGTCCACAGCCCTCCTGTTCAGGGGCTTGGCTTTATTGGATTTTGAGGCTTCAGTCAGTCCTTGGTGAGAGCCAGTGGAGGCACATAGAGTCCCATGACTTCTGAGTCCACCTTGGGTGGACACACTGCCCTTCCTCCTTGCCTGGAGAAGATGGTGGTATACAAGAAACAGTGGCAAAGAAAGAGACAGGGAAGGAAAATGTGGAGGTCGTTTGTAAAGAGCCTCCCTCCACATTCTCAGACTTTTCCTGGCACCCTCTCTACCCACCTTCCCTACTCCCATCCTCATCAGCAGCTCCTCAGAGCCTCCAGTGGTCTTAGCCCCATTGCCACCCCACCCACAACACTTTGCTGCAGGTCTGAGTAGGACAGGACCTCCTGTGCCTGGCTCATGGCTCTTTCCCCAGGACCCAGCACAGGCCTAACCCAGAGCAGCAGGAAGGAGGCATCCTCCAGGGGTCCAGAACCCAAGGAGCTGGAGTCAGCCAGACTGGGTTCCAACCCCTGCTCCACCATTTGTGCTGTGTGACCTTGAGAAACCTCTTCAGCCTCGGTTTTCTCCATCCAAGTACTAACCAGTCCTGACCCTAACTCTTAGCTTCCAAGATCAGGCAAGATCAGGTACGTGCAGAGTGGTATAATTATAGACTAGTCTCAGTCTTCTATCTGCAAAATGGGAATAACAATCAAAATAGTGACAAAATTCTGAATCTAGTGCCTGGCATATGGTCAACAGTTAACAATTATCTACTAATACTGTTATCATGATTATTATTTCCATTTTTTTAAATTGGGCTAGTTCTATATTTCACGGAACTGTCCACTGGCTTTAAAACCATGTGGTCTATTGTATAGACCACTAAGAAAGAAAAATGCTATCAGTTATAACCCCATCAATAGTAAGATGTTGCCATTTCTTAGAGTACATCATATAATTAATGAAATACAGAAAGGGTGTCTGCTTCACAAAGCTGTTGTTAAAGGATTGAGAGGGATGATACCAAGGCATTCAATAAATGTTTGTTGAATGAATGGAGGTTGGATTCCTGCCCAGGACCCAAGACTAATCCAGTGCTCTTCCCTCTCTGCACTCTCCCCACCCTTGCCCACTCCGTAGCGCCCACAAGAGTGCAGAACTGATCTGCAGGGAGGCAGCTCCCATGAGCTCCATGAGCCCCCCTTGCTGCACAGTCTCTCAGTTCCAGGACCCCCAACCCTACAGAGCTGTCCTTCTTGCAGCCAAGGGAGACCCCACTCTGACCACCTGGAGGTGCCTCCTCTCCTTGAGGCTATAGCAGGCAGGAGCATAAAGCCTGGCCCAGCAGCCCCCAAGGCCAATCCACAGCCCAATGAGGCAGCACTCAGACTCCTTGTCTGAAGAGCAGTATTCCCGTCCCAGCTTGCCCCTTCTGCTACTGCCGTCTCTGTGCCTCAGTGTCCTTCTCTGTAGAATGTAGATGATGATTCCTTCTTCTCAGGATGGCTGTGAGAAGCCCATAAGACAATGTCTGTGAAACTCTTCCTTGCTTGGATATGAGAAATTTGCCCCACCAGAATGAAGTCCCCTAGACCCCTCTGCTGCCCACTGGACTTCCGTCCAATAATGAGAAAGTTCAGCAACTTCTCCCTACTGTTCAGGCTCGGTCAACTTCCCAAGGCCAAGGCTCGGGGCAGGAAAGGGGGCATTGGGCAGAGGCCTCTCCCTAAAAGCCTCCTGAAGCCAGGACTGCACAGACCCCTGTGGATACTCCTTCAGAAGGTTCTGCCCCAGCTCTTCTGTGTCTTTCCAGCAGTCAGAGCCCAGGCCTCCAGCTGAGCAAGCCCCAGTGATTAAAGGCATTTGAGCTGGAGGCAGTGGGGAGAGGAGAAAAAGAAATGACGGTCCCCAGCTTCCAGTGTACAGCTGTGCCTCCCTTGGGCAGGGATAGGCATTCACAGAGCTCAATGGCTAATTCAATTTTCTGAAATACAAGTTTAGTCTTCTTTATGTCCATGTGTCTCTCCCAAGCCCCTCTGCCTGGGAGGGTCTGTTCCTCCCTGCCACCTCCTGCCATGGTGAGGTATTCAGGGCCACCAAGGCAGGTTGAGCTCAGCTCCCCACCCCCAGCCAGAGATTCTGGCTCACCTAGGACTAGTGCAGCAGCTGCTCGGGAACAGCAGTCCCTCCCTCTCTCAGTTATGATGAGCTCCTTATCTCTCTGTGCAAATCAGGAGCACTTCATGGTAATCCAGCCCAGCTCCAGCCTCAGCAGACTCTCCAAAATAAAAGAGCTGGATCAGAGTCATCGAACATTTCAGTTCCCCTACCGCTGCCCCCGCCAGCAGCCAGGACTGCGAGGAGCGGGTGATGCTGCATGTCCTCCCACTTCCCTGGGCCTCCTCCCCAGCCTGAGCCCCTCCTCCCCAGTCTCTAGGTGCCCAAGAGCCCACGGCCAGCTTCCCCTCATGTCCTAAGAGAGTCAGGCCTTGAGCAGAGTCCGTGCCCTACAGAGGAACCAATCATAACAATACCCATCCTTCAGAGAGACTCAGAACCAGCCAAGCACTAAGCCAGGCGCTCGCTAGGCCAGGAGCTTGGCATGAGTGACCTCATTTAAGCTCACGATGGGAAGGAGCTTTAGTCCCATTTTTCAGATGAAGGGCAGAGAGGTACACCTAGTGCTGGTAAGTGGTGGGAGTAAACAGCAACACCCCCACCACCTAAACCACTCTGCTCCTGGGCACCCTTGCTGCCCCCACCTCCCCCACACAGGCACCCACCCCTGGGAAAAGACCGACAGTTATGTTAATGCAGCCGTACACATGCACTCCCTGAGTATACCCACGCACAGCCTCCTGTGCTCAGGACTCAAAGCGAGAATGTTTCCTCAAATGGACCCAAAAGGAATGTGAGATTCAGGTTGCAAACTCTAGGCCTAGGCTGTAAAGTGGAAAATCAATTTGTAATGGAGGAAGCCACGCTGTCCCAGAGGTACCTGGGAGAGCCCAGCAAGCCAGCAAGGCACAGACAGCAGCCCCCTCAGAGGAGCGATGCTAGCTGCTTAGGAAGCGGGACCTGTGCAGCCCTGCATTGTCTCCAGATTGCTGTTACCAACAGGTTCCCACTTCCGCTTCCCGCCAGCAGCTCCTGTGCAGATGCTGAATTCCAAATGCAGAGAAAAATAAATATTTTAAGGCTCTGTGGCCTGAGTCACCAGAGTTTGGTGGCAGCTAATGCTCTGCAGCTGGCCCTGCCCACGGGCCTACTTAGCATGCAATTAAGATGCAAAATAACATCCCTCAAAAGCTCCCCTCCAGGCTTCTTTGCTTCTCCCTTCAAGGCTCTGGTGGATTAAGAAGATTCTGGAACAGTGGGGAGGCACTTCTCCCACTACCTTTATTGGCCAGAGTGCCAGGCTGGGTTTATGGGCTTGGCTTAGAGCCAAGCCTAGGGTTGAGACTCTAGTCCTCGGCTGCCCCCTCCTCCTGCCTCCCTGCAAGCCACCCCAGCATGGCACGCAGGAGCCTGGAAAAGCAAATCAGATAGTGTCGCCACTTATGACTCTTCAGTGATGCCTCACTGGCTTTAGTTTATAATTCAAACCACTGGCAGTGACCTCTAAGCTGACCACCCAACAGCTCCCCCTGAATCTCTGGCCTCATCTTCTTCCACTCTCCCTCACCAGCCACGTGGGCCTTCTTTCGATGCCCCAGGAAGCCAAGCTTTTTCCTGCTTCAGACCCTTTGCACTTGCTGTTTCCCTTTCTCCTGGTCTGTCCATGGCTGGCTCCTATTCAACCTTGAATATCGCCTCTTCAAAGATGACTCTCTGGATCACCTCACTTAATGGGAAGTACTCACTACGTGCCAGGCACTGCACAGGTACTTTATAAAAGCTGGGGAGTGAGAAAATGGAGGCACAGAGCTGGTAACTTGCCCAGGGCCACACAGCCAGAGTTCAGGTTTGAACACAGGTATTCTGGCTTCAGAGTTCAGGTCCTTAACCACTGTACTATGCTGCCTGGAGCAACACCCTGTCCCCATCTTCCTCCCTGGCTTCTTCCCTTCTACCTCTATTTGTTTTTTTTTTTGTCTGCCCCTCCCCACTGCCCCTTAATGACACCATTAGTCCATGAGGACAGGAGCTTTGTCTGTCTTCCTCTCTCCTGCTTCCCCAGCAGCTATAGCAGCGCCATGCAAGCAAGGGTACCTAACATGTGTGTATTGACTGAGTGACTGAATGCATGAATGAAGTGCTGTAATCTGCTCCACCTCCTCCTGCTCCTTCTCTGTAGGACGCACTGCATGGCATATAGGTTTTTGGGGAACAGTTCTTCAAGGCCTGGGTACTGAAGTGACTCCTTGTCAAGACAGGACAGCATTTGTATCAGGCTTCCCAATTTAAACCTCCTCCTAAGGCTGGGCACTGTGGCTCATGCCTGTAATCCCAGCACTTTGGGAGGCCGAGGCAGGTGGATTGCCTGAGCTCAGGAGTTCGAGACGAGCATGGGCAACATGGAGAAACCCTGTCTCTATTAAAAAAAAATACAAAAAAGAAAAAAAAATTAGCCGGGTGTGGTGGTGTGTGCCTGTGGTCCCAGCTACTCAGGAGGCTGAGGTGGGAGGATCATTTGAGCTTGGGAGGCGGAGGTTGCAGTGAGCCAAGATCACACCACTGCACTCCAACCTGGGTGACAGACTGAGATCCCATCTCAAAAATAAATTTTAAAAAAAAACTTCTCCTGCTACAGCTGGTTCTAGAAGGGCAAGGGAGACAAAGAGGCAATGAATTTGTCTGTAGTTCTTGAACTGCAGTGGGCTGTAGGGGGACAGGCAGGACAAAAATGCAGAAGGAGTATTGAGCCAGCTAAGAGAATACGCCCATGGGCCAGCCAGCAAGGAAACTGCAGGACCTCTAAGTCTGCACATGGTCAGGGGGAAAAAAGGAAGGACTCCTCTTACGGAGCACAAATTGCATCCTTTAGGAAAGAAGTCATTATACGAAAAAGATACTTGCACACCGGAGTTTGGTGGCAGCTAATAATGCATGTTTATAGCAGCACAATTCCCAATTGCTAAAACGTGGAACCAGCCCAAATGCCCATCAATCTAGTGGATAAAGAAACTGTGGTTTATATATACTATGGAATACTACCCAGCCATAAAAACGAATTAATTAATGGCATTCGCAGCAACCTGGATGGGATTGGAGACTATTATTCTAAGTGAAGTAACTCAGGAATGGAAAACCAAACATCCTATGTTCTCAGCCATAAGTGGGAGCTAAGCTATGAGGATGCAAAGGCATAAGAATGACTCAATGGACTTTGGGGACTCAAGGGGAAAGGGTGGGAAGGCGGGTGAGGGATAAAAGACTACAAACTGAGTTCAGGGTATACTGCTTGGGCGATGAGTGCACCAAAATCTCACAAATCACCACTAAGGAACTTACTCATGTCACCAAATACTTCACCTGTTCCCTAAAAACCTATGGAAACAAAAAAACTTAAAAAATAAATTGCATCCTTTAGGATTGTTGTGTCACAGAATTGTCACTTATTAAGACTGTTATAAGATAGGAACTAGTGAGGGTAAAGTGCCGGTGTCCTTAGGTGACCATAAGGAAAATATGGGCCAGCAAAGTGAGGGAGCTGCTAAAGAAATTTAGTTCGGTCTTAGGCTTTATCAGTAGGAGTATGGTGTATAGATTAAGGGAGACGATTGCCTCACTGCACCTTCCCGGGCCACACTTCCCTGGAGTGTTGCATGTAGTCCTTACCACACGTTAGGGGCACCTCAAAAACTTTTTTTTTTGAAACAGAATCTCACTCTGTCGCCCAGGCTGGAATGCAGTGGCACGATCTTGGCTCACTGCAACCTCCACCTCCTGAGTTCAAGCAATTCTCTTGCCTCAGCCTCCCGAGTGGCTGGGATTACAGGTGCATGCCACCATGCCTGGCTAATTTTTATATTTTTAGTAGAGACAGGGTTTCGCCATGTTGGCCCGGCTGGTCTCGAATTCCTGACCCCAGGTGATCTGTCCACCTCAGCCTACCAAAGTGCTGGGATTACAAGCGTGAGCCACCACACCCAGCTTCTCACCAACTTTTGAATGCACAAATGAGACATTCCCAGACCCACTGCAGGAACTGTTGCTGTCAGCCAGGAGGAGAGCAAATCCAGAGACCCTGACCTTTGCAATCCCTGAAGGCTCCCAGGAGATGGAGCTCAGTTTCATGAAGGAAGAAGGATTTGAGTGCTAGGAATTGTATAGTAAAGGAGCCTCACCCTAAAGAGAGTGACATTCCTGTCATGAAAGGCGATGAAGCCAAGACTCACCGCATTTGTGAGGAGATGGCAGCGAGGATGCTGAACCTGTGAAGGGGGTGCCTGGAGGGACGAGTCTTGCAACTCAGTGTGGTGCACCTGCCAGCAGCATCCATCACCTAGGAGCTTGTTGGAAACAAGGAGCCTCAGCCCCCAGCCCTAAAAATCAGAATACACATTTTAACAAGATCCTTAGGTGAGAAGCACTGGGCTAGAGGCTGGGGGTGGAGTAAAACCCTGTCAAAAGGGAAGTGATGCAGTCACCTGTTTGGAGGGCACCAGCTGAGCACCTACCTGTTGTCAGGCCCCAGAACCCCCTTTGGAGGAATTTCCACTCTGTTAGGGGCAGCAGACTCCTAAATAGGCAAGCAGCATAGAAGGAAGCTCCGAGTGCCAATAGGAGGCAGTGCAACGTGGGGTGGTCAGTTCTGGGGGAGAGTGAGACAGGAGAACCACCAGAAAGAGCTCTAAAATAAGGCCCAGAGCTGGCCAGGCATGGTGACTCATGCCTGTGATCCCAGCACTTTGGGAGGCAGAGGTGGGTGGATTACCTGAGGTCAGCAGTTCGAGACCAGCCTGGCCAACATGGTGAAACCCCATCTCTACTAAAAATACAAAAATTAGCTGGGCGGTAGTGGTGTGCGCCTGTAATCCCAGCTACTCAGGAGGCTGAGGCATCAGAATAGCTTGAACCCAGGAGGTGGAGATTGCAGTGAGCCAAGATCGTGCCATTGCACTCCAGCCTGGGCAACAAGAGCGAAACTCCATCTCAAAATAATAATAATAGTAAGGCCCAGAGTTGTTCAAGGTATACAGCAAGGACAAAACACAAGCACAAAGCCCCAGGTGCCTGGCTTCCAGCTCGCCTGGTTGTGCTGTGTGTGTGTGTGTGTGTGCACGCACACCTGGGTGTGGTTGTCTACATCTATGATTTGTGACATCATTGGTCATGCTCATGGTCATGTGTGAGCTGTGTAAATGTGTGAGGTATGTGTGTGTTTGTGGGATGCATCCACGTGGGAGCATGGGTGGCTGTGGGAATGTTTCCGCAGGCAAGGCTGCAGCTGCTGTGGCCAGCCTCCCCACCGTGCACAGCCCTTGACCATCAGCAAATGGGACCTTGTGCTTTGCAGTTCCCCCAGGCCCAGCCTCACTTGCCTTCGATGACTGACCCTGGAAAAGAAGGGTCCTCTGGGCCTGTCAGGTGTCCTTGGGTTGACCCAGGGCAACTGGAGCCTTATTCCTGACTGACTTTTCTGCCCATGTGGCCTCAGGCAGTTCACAAGACACCTCTGTTCCCTGCCCCCCATTCCCAAGTGAAAGTGAGCAGGAGATGGGACAAGGGCAGGAGCCACAGTGGTTTTCCCCTCCACCCAGACCTATCCACTGCAGCCCCTCTGTGGGCGAGGGCTCTCTAGCAACACTGACCAGCCTCCAGGCCACACTGCTGGTGCAGGACAGCCCCTCTCCTTCTGCCTCTTTGTCCTCTAGCTCATGGTCCTGACCTAGCCTAGTCCCCATGTGCCTGGCCTTTGGCTGAATTTATCCTAAATACCTCTCCCCCACCCACCCCCTACCAGCCATCCAGGCTTGGCAGTGGAACAAGTGTGCCCCATGCCTTCTGGGTGAGCTTGGCCCTGGGCTGGGGATTCCAATCAGTCTGTAGCCAAGGGAGGTGGGCTAGGAGGCAAGGGGACAGCCAATCTTTCTGTGCCCAGAACATGGACTCTGGATCACAGAAAGTCCACTCTACTTCTTACCTAAGGCAAGTCACCCCACTCCCCAGGTGTCAGTTTATTCATTGATAATATGGATATGTGGCACCAACTTCCAGACATGCTGTGGGGTCAGATGAGATCATAAGAACAGTAACATGCCATGGACACTATGTGGGTCAGCAGGGTCTTCTCTGATGCCAGCAGGGTAGAGGATGAGCGTGAGGTCAGGGTGGCTTGGGAGAGGAAGTGACAGGACTGCTCGTGGGTGAGATAGCCCTGGAAATGCCCGGTGCTGCTAGGGAGCTGGCCCTCATGGGACCACCAAGGCTCCAAATGGGAGCTGAGCAGGAGTCGAGAGACGGGTGCCATGGGTCTGGGACCCCAGAACCTCAGCTTCCCTGGGGTATCAGGGGTCTCCAAGGAGACACAGGGCAGAAGCTTCTCCCCAGCCAGCTGCTTTGGTAGAGTGTGGGGGCGGCTGCTGGTGATAAGGGCAAGAAGTGGGAGGGACATATTCAGGGGCCTGAATCTAAACACCTCTAACAGTGGAGGCCCTACCGCCCTGCCCTTCCAAGTGGCAGATGGTCCCAGGTGACAGCCCACAGGCCGGAGCAGCCAGACCACAGAAATGTCGCTCAGATCTCAGAGCTGGTGGCCAGCAGGGTCTGCTTCCTAAGGGCCTCCCAGAGGACCGAGGGTAAGGATAGGACTGGGCAGCCTCAACAGCTCAGAAGCTGGCACCTTCAGCCCCCTCAGTGGGAGCAGGGAGCTCAGGGAGTCAGCTCAGGGGTTCACAAGCTGCGTGACGTCCTCTGAGCTGCACTGGCCTCTTCTGGAGGATGGGATCCTAACCCGCCTTCTAGCGTTGCAGGGAGGATGAAATGGCATGATGAACAGCAAGTACTTTGCAAAGTCCCCAGTGCTAGGTGCATGGTAAAGCCCTGGAGATGCTCAGCATCCTCAGCAGTCCCTTGGTTCTTCTTTCCCAGCACACAAACAGCCCAGATTCAGAAGCCAGTTCTCCTACTGCTTAGCTGGGTGCCTAGGGCAAGTTACTTTTCATCTGTAAAATGGGGAGAATAAGGGCTCCCTTATGGGGCTGTTGTGAGGATTAAATTTGTTAATAAATGTCGAGTGCTTAATCAGAGCCTGGCACTAAATAAGAGCTCAATCAACAAGAGTAAGAGCACTACCGCTGGTATTGTCATTCCCATCACACACCTCCTCCCCCACCACCTGCACACAAGAGCAAGTCCCATCCCCAGGCTTCGCATTCAACCCCTGCTTCCTCTGGCTGTTGCTCTCTATAAGCCCAACCTCCCAAGCCACCTGAGGACAAGACCACGGCTCCTTTCTCGAGTCTCTCCCTAGACCCCTTGCCCACTCTCAGCATCCAGATGCCTGATCTACCTGGAGTCGGTGGTGGTGGCAGAAGAGCTCGGGGAGAGATGGACTCTGGGGCCTGATGGGCTGGTCCTGGCCCCCCACAGATGGGCCAGGGCATGCAGCGTGAACACAGGTGGGATACACTTAAGTGCACACACATGGACCACACCACAGGCAGCCCTTCCAGCTCCCAGGCTCAGGCCACCATGTTCTTAGAACGCTGAGGGGGACAAAGCAAAAGCCCCTCCCTCCTCAGCAGCCACCTACCTCCTCTGCAAGTGGAGCTGCTGCTGCTCAACAATGTATTGTTGCCACCTAGAGTCCTCCCCTGGCATCTCTAGGCCCTGCTGGCTGCCCAGCTCCAGCCCCCCGCCCCCACCACTAGCTCCCACAGTTGGGGTGAAATAGGGGGAGGGGGCTAGGAGTAAGGGGAGAGACAGGGCAGGAGAGGAGGTCCACACTGGGCACTGCTGGGCAGGAGCAGGAGAGCCAGGTTCCAGCCCAGGCTGGGTATTAGCTCTTTACATTGCCTCAGGCAAGCCTCTACCCTCCTTGGCCTCAGTTTCCCCATCTGTAAAAGGACAAACATTCACACATAGGTCTGTGGTCTACAGACACACACAGACACTTCCCTGGCTAAAGGTCTCTAGGGCAGGAGCTCATGGGGAGTGGGACAGTCTTCTGATGAGAAGATGGCACCCCAGGCTAGGCCCTAGTGGAAACTACCGCTAATCCCGCCTCCCTGGCCATAGCTGAGAAGCTGGAGCTGCCCCGGGTTCGAATCCCAGATCCACCACTTTCTCGCTGTGGAACTTTGAGCCAGGTGTTCAATCTTTCTTCCTCCATGCAATGGATACAGACAACACTCGGCACAGTCCCCAGGCCACAGTGAGTCCCCAGCAAATGCCAACTGTGACCAGCTACTATTGCCTGCCCAAGAAGGCTGGAAACGGTTTCATTTGGGAGAAAATAATCCACAGGTGCTTCTCCTGTGTTTCATTTTACCTGAATGGAATCTGCCAAAAGCTGAGTGAGGGGACTCCTATTTCGCTAAATTAGAAGAATTTGGGTCACATGGTAGAAACCCTGGCAACCAGCTCCGAAAGGGCCGGAGGGTGGGGCGGAAGCTGCCACATCCCTCCCACCTCCACCATGAGGTCTCCTAGACAACAGGAGGTGAGGACACTCCCAGGCCGCCTTCCTCTCCCAGAAGCCAGCCTGCCACCTCCCCTGCCACCACCAAGGAAGGAAGGGGCACCCGCTGGATGGGGACTTTACTCTGCTACCCCCCACATTTAGCCTGTGTGGCTCACAAAGCCCCTCTACCACTCAAAGCGAGGCCAATAGGGGCTCTCCCCACCATGGATACCGGGCCTTACAGGGCTGCAGCTGCACTGCAGCCCCTTGGTCCCCACCACCACCCTCCAGGATCTGCCATGGGCTCCCTGATTGCTAATTTAGACTTTCCTGCCATCCCACGCAGGGGAATCAGGGGAAATCAAATTACCGAGTTATTCACTCTTTTTGTACAGCTGATGGGCTGATTAGCTGTCAATCAGGGTCTACATTAACATCTGACACTGTGTGCATAACAATTACCAGTCACATTAAGGAAACCTTTCCCTTTCTCTCTAAAGGGAGGGGTGGGGAAGAGACAGGGGAGAGGAGGAGGCGGGAGGCACTGAAGGGAGAAGGAGGAAATTCAATCAGCATAATTAGCTCAATCAGAGGAGAACATCACTTCACCAGCTGAGCAGAGCTACTGCCACTGCCAAAGACCCCCGGCTGACCAGCTGCTCTGGAGCCTCTGCCCACTCTGCCCTCCAGCAAAGTGCCCATCCTCTCCCTGCAGCCACAGCCCTAGCCAAGGCAAGCTGCCCTTCCAGTCAGTCAACCACTTGGGCCCACCTTTAGACCTCCCTTGCTCCAATCAGGTGGGCCCATTTCTGCCTGCTTCACTGGGATTGGCTCTGACTGAAGAGGAGGGATATAAGACTCCAAGGGTCGAGGCAGAGTTGGGAGTTGGGGGTGAGATGGAATAGAAGGGGTTGAAGACTATTGGAGTCTAAGTTTATTATTATTTTGTGAAAGGGACTCCCTTATACTGAGTCAGGCTCTGACATTTTGTGGATCATCCTGCTGTTTTTCCTGCTCCTTCCTTATGGCCTGGCATCCTCCATCCCTCAGCACCCCTTCTGAATTGTTTGACCTTCTCTGGGCTGACCTGCATGCATCTTCACTTGACTCTCCCAAGATAGATTTTCAAGCCCATTTCCCATCCTACCCTCCACCTCTGAACACTCTCCAGTTTGTCACTGCCCTGAAGGCTAATAAGTACTCCCTGTATGTTGTAACCACCAGGGTGGAGGATGAGCCTGGGATCAGAGTAGATTGGGAGAGGAAGTGACAGGACCACACATGGGTGAGATAGCCCTGGAAATGCCTGGTGTTGCTGTAAGTGGGAGCTGAGCAGGAGTCCGTGGGTCCCAGCACTCCTGGGACCGCAATTTCTCCATCCATAATATAAGTGTGTCTCTAACCACCCTCCAGACTGGCTGTTTTTGAGTCTCTCAGTCTAAGGAGTCCTTACTCTGGACGCTGCTGCTGCTCCACCAGGAGACGGATGGTGCTTCGAGCTATTTCCTCAGTCCAGACATGGGGAGGATTTGCAGGGAGCAGTCACACTCTCCCATTCAGTCTCTTCAGGGCCTCCTGTGACAGAAGTAAAACAAACTGATAATATTCTTGGAAAAAGCCAAGCTTGTCCCTGGCCCACAGACTGAATGTCAACAGTTCATGTTTGCTGAGGTGTCCAGACAGGGGGTCACCTTTTCTGTTTGCTTTTTTCATATAAAAGAACAGGTCTCAAGAAGGCTGGCTTTGGCCTCCTTAGCACTGCCCTGACCCACTGAGCAAGTCACAGACAGGCCTAGTGATAGACTAAGGACGCACTGGTAATGACTGCCAGGCAGGAGGAAGGTCTGGAGCCTAGGGCTGTGAGTTACTCAGGGAGGTGCAGGCAGAGGGAGGCCTGAGGTTGTGCTGTAGCTGCTTCTACAATGCGGACGTCCCATGAGGGTGAAGAAGATACTCAGCCCCATTCTCTGGGCCTCTGAATTTCTTGACCCAGTGTATTAGTCCACTGGGGCTGCCATTGCAAAAGACCACAGACAGTTTAAATACTAAAATAAAATAACATAACAGAAATTTATCTTCTAGCTTTCGAGTTCTGGAAGCTAGAATTCCAAAAGCAAGGTGTTGGCAGGTTTTGCTTCTCCTGAGGCCTCTCTCTTTGGCTTGCAGATGGGACCTTCTCTCTGTCCTCATGGCCTTTTCTCTGTGCACATGCACCCCTGGTGTCTCTCTGTGTGTCCAAATTTCCTTTTATAAGAAAGCCAGTCAGGTTAAATTAAGGCCCACCCTAACATCTGCTTTTAACTTAGTCATCTCCTTGAAGTCTCTATGTCCCAATCTGAGCTATTAGGGGTGAGGGTTTCAACATATGAACTTGAGGGGACACAATTCAGCCAAAAACCCTCAGAGAACTAATAGCAATAGTTATCATTGTTGTTGGACAGCTAACACATATGTGGCACTTACTCTATTCTAGGCACAGGTCTAAGTGCTTACATACACTCACTAAACCCTCACAGACTTGAGCAGGTACTATTAGGCAACTATCATTACCATCCCAACTCTTTAGATGGGAAAAATGACATACAGGGAGGTTAAGCTACCTTCCCATCTAGTAAACAGGAGAACCAAGATTCAAATTCAGGTATCTGAATCCAGAGTCCACCCACTCAGCAACTGTTTTACATGCCTGGGCACAAGGTCCTTGGAGGCTCAGTGATGGTGCTGATAGTCTTTCCAGGCCCCAGAGAACAACTGCCTCCTGGCCTCTAGCTCAGCAGCCTCCACAGTAGGGCTACCTCAGGCAACTTCAAACCCAGCCCTTGTACTGAGCCCATCTTCAGCCCAGAGAGCCCAGACACCACCCCCCACCCAGCATTCAAGAGGGTCTCCATGTGGAGGGGCAGGGGGTGCATCTGGACCTTCAGCTGCCGGCATTCACAGAGCCCCTGATTATGCACCAGACCTCGTGCTAAGTGCTCTGCAGGTATCATGTCATTTAACTCTCACATTAAATGTGAGTCCAGGATTATGCCCATTCTCTCCCTTCCTCTACAAACAAGACCTTCCAGACTGATCTCAGCTAAGCACACCAGGTCACCCCTGAGCTATGATAACTCATTTTCTCTTCTTTTCTTTTTTTGAGACATGGTCTTGCTGGAGTGCAATGGCGCAATCATAGTTCACTGTGCCTCAAACTCCTGGGCTCAAGCAATTATCTTGCCTCAGCCTCCCAAGTAGTGTTACCATGCCCAACTAAATTTATTTTTTATTTTTTGTAGAGACAGGGTCCTGCTATATTACCCAGGCTGGCCTCAACCTCCTGGCCTCAAGTAGTCTTCCCACTTCAGCCTCCCAAAGTGCTGGGATTATAAGCATGAGTCACAGCACCTGGCAATAACTAGTTTTCTTAGGCATTCCTAAAGCCACTAATTTACTCCCCCATTCAAAAAATTATTTACTGGGTGCTTACTATATGCCAGGCACTGGTTCTGGGTATCAGGTGTGAATGGGGGAAAACAATAGAAAGGATTCCTGCCCCCCAAGAGGCTTATAATCTAGTGGGTTTAGACAGAAAATAAACAGGTATGGACATAAAGAAATACGATGGTTACAGATAGTGACAAATGAATCACGAAATGAAACCAGGCAATGGCTAGGTTGCAGACGCTTCAGATGGGGCAGTCAGGGAAGCCTCCCTGAGGAGGTGGTGTTTGAACTGAGATCTGAATAACAAGAAGGATCCAATAATGAGGGGGAAGGGCAGGCAAGGCAGAGAGAACAGTAAGTGCAAAGGTCCTGAGACATGTTCAGGGGACAGAATGAAGACCAGCCTGGCTAGAGCAGACAGGACTGGGAGACCGGTAGGAGATCATGTTAATGCAATTCTGCACCTGAGTTACCTCACATTACCATCAGGGAAGAGGTGACTGACAGTTCCTTCCAATGTCTAATACAAATCCTTCTAACTGCAAGTGAAACCTCATTGCCTTGCTCTGTCTTCAGAGCAGACTAAAATCTGAGAACACTTATGGTGTTTCCTCCCCACCAAATCACCATCCCAGCCAGAAAATAGTAGCTTCCCCTCTTCCCCCAACCATTTCTAGGTGACATTTAAAGGAGTGGCGGGGTTTGGGCTGGGAGCCTCTATGAGTTTGAGAAAATCTATCTCCCTTCTGATATTTTCAACTGCCTCCCTTTGTAGGCTGTCAGAGCATGACAGGGAACATTTCTTGCCAAAGGTCCCCTTGTGTTGCTGCCTAAATACACTCATAAATTCTTGCCTGAACCCAGAAGCAAGGTCCTGTATTTAAAATAAGAAAGGCAGAAAGACCCATAGAGAACCTTTCACCCCTTTCCATTCTATTTTCTTCTCCTTTCCTTCCCAACTCCCAGCTGCAGAAAATGAAATAAATGCTTTTCAGGAGTCAGGGTGCATAGATTATTGTGTCTACATCCCCAGCTACCACGGAGGAGGAGAGAGATGCATCAACAAACAAGTGCAATGCATGCTATAATAAATAAATCACCTGCAAGTTGGGGAACCATGGTTGGAAGAGAAGCTCAATTCATCATGTATTTACTCAACAACTATTTATTGAACACATACTCTGTGCCAAGTACTTGAATCAGTACTGTCAGGCACTTGAATCAGTTAGGGTCTGGTTAAGAAAAGATAAACCATTCTAGGTATTTCATACAGTGGAAATTTAATGCAGGGAGCTGATTATGCAGATGATGGAAGAGTTGAGAGCCCAAATTAGCACCACTAAAAAATTGGCAATAGCCAAAAGCCACCAGCTACTTTGGAAATGGAAGGACAGTGAAAAGAGATGGTTTTACTCTATCTCAGAGCTGGGGTTTTCCTGCAAGGAGCTAGACTACAGGGAAGCCTGCTCAGCAGAATCTGAAACCACAGAGGGGGCCATTGTCTGCAAAGAGATGTACTCACTGCCACAGATGCTACCCCAGGCAAAGAAAAAGATGAGAAATGCCCTGGCTTCCTTCTTCCTTCCATCCTCCAGTCTCCCACCAGTGCCTCTTATTGACTAAACTCAGCCAGAGAAAGTGACTCTGCAGGAGTCACTTTCACCTCCACAACACCCCCATGGTAGAGTGGAGAAGGGGAAGAGTAAGAGATGGGTTTGAAGGCAAACAGCCAAATGAGTGTCACAGCACTAAAGACTTAAGAGGAGGGTACATTTGATGTGGATTTTAAAGCTTGAATAGGAATTTTCCAATCAAGAAAGAGAAGAATGGTACAGGAAAGAGCAGGTTCAAAGACAGGGAAGTGCAGAGGATGTGGCTCATTCAACTAACAACAAAATATTCTGCCTGGCTGCCCGGAAGGTATATAAGCAGAGCCAACAAGAGATTGGGGACCATCCTGTAGGGCCTAAAAGGCTGAGCTCAGGGGTTGGATATCATCCTGTAAGAAGTGTGGGACTCCATTGGGTCTCAGTCACAGACTGGGATTAGTAAAGAAGAGGGACCACAGATTGGGAAGAGAGACAGTGAGGAGCATTTGCAATGGTCCTAGTGAGCAATGATTAAGTCTGAACTAGGGCTGTTTTCATGGAGACTGGGAGGAGAAAGGGCATATAAGAGAATTTTAGGATGTAGAGACAGCAGGACTTGGTAGTTGACTGGTAGGAGCGAGAGGGAGAAAAAAAGACAAAATATGATATTTGGGTTGGTGTCTATGAGAATATAATTCTAACTCTTCTCCCTTCCTTCTCCTTCCTCTAGGGCCACCTTTGGAGAGGCCTCCACTTATCTCTTAATGTGCAGGCTCTTATAATGCAGCCTTCCTTTCTTCCATTGTATTAGAATCCTCACTTTGGGGCTGGACAAAAAGGCCTCCTGGAATAAAGGCTACACTTCCCTGCATCCCTTGCAGCTAGATACAGCCATGTGCCTAAGCTCTAGCCAATGAGATGTAAATGAATGTGTCAGGGGATAGCTTACTTAAATGCAGCTGGCATGTGCCCTTTGGCCCCTTTGTCACTCTTTCCCCACCTTGCTGCCTGGACAGTAACCATGATAGAGCTTTGGCCACTATTTTAGACCAGGGAACAATAGGAACCTGGGTCCCTAAAGACATGATAGAATAGATTCAGCACCTACTTTGCACTGCCTAAATCAGTTCTGTAGGTGAAAGAGAAGTAAGCATCTACTTAAGTAAGCCACTGTTATTTTGAGTATGTTTGTCACAACCAAACTTAATCCTAAATGATACAATACTCTGTATTTCAGGAAATAATTTAAATATCTCATCTCATTTACTCCTCAATAATCCAATGATGTAGATAATATTGATATATCCAATTTACAGATGAGGAGATTGAGGCTTGGTGAGATTAAGTCCCTTGTTCAAGCTTACACAAAGAGCCAGTAGTGCAGGCGAGATACAAACTCTGGAATTTTGGCTCCAAATGTTCTGACTTCCTCAGAGGCACCTCTTTTCCCTTCCCAAATGTTTTTCATCTTCCCTCCTGCTTCTTTCAGCTTGACACGTGTTTCTAGCAATAATAATGGCCTCAATAATAAGGATAATAATAAGAACACTGGGATTTGTTCTTTTGTAGAACTGAACAACTTCCTACTATTTCTGCCAACAAATTAGTCTTAATTGCACTGTGGCATCATTAGGCAGCATTTGGGGAAATGTAGAAGGTCCCCAACATGTCAAGAATATAATTTGATCAACAAAACATCTAAAAGAGAAAAAAAAACAGTAGATGTTCATATTTAAAAAACAAAACACTGGGCTGAATTTTGTAATCTGTCCTTTTAACTCCTGTCTTTGTAAAAGATGAATTACACCTTAGTGGCTTCTGGGCTCTGGCTCACTGCACAGTCGCCGAGTTGCCTGTGACACTTCCAGCTGAATTTGCTCCCTGCTGTCAGCTGTAGGGAGGGGGTTATTTCACTGAGAGGGAGGAGGGTTATTTGGGTTATTTCTCTGCTTCTACTTTTGCCCGTCTACCATCTAATCAGCATGGAACAACCAGATGAGGCTTCAAAAACCTAAGTCACATCACATCACTCCTCTCTTGAAACACTGTCAATAGCTTCCCATCCTATTTACAATAAAAACTAAGCCTCCATCATGGCCTCCCAGGCCCTGCATAATCTGGTCCTCACTCACCTCTGTGACCTCATTACCAACTCTCTGCCCTTCACCTCTGACTGATGCTCTGGCCACAATACACCTGGACACTCCTGCCCCAGGGCCTTTGCACTTGCTGCTCCCTGCATCTGGAACACTCTTTCCCCAGATGTCTATGGGATGGCCTCCCTCGCCTCACTCTTCTCTCTGCTAAGAGAGGCCATCACTACCCACTGCAACAGAGCATCCCTTCCTGCCCTACTTTTTTTCATTAAGTTGATCACTACCAGCCATTACATTATAAAAGTATTTGTATATTTTTAATTGTCTGGTCCCCCAAGTAGAATGTAAGTTCCAAGAAGGCAGGAGCTGTATCTACTTTGTTCAGTGCTTGGCTTCTGTGCCTAGAGCATGTATGACACATGCTAGGTTCTCAATAAATATTGGAGGGAGGGAGGGAGAGAAGGAGAAGAGGGAAGGAAGGAAGGGAGGGAGGGAGGCAGGGAGGGAGGGAGGGAGGAAGAGGGGAGGGAGGGAGTTTGGGAGGGAAGAGGAAGGGAGGGGAGGGGGAAAGGAGGGGAGGGGAGGGGAAAGGAGGGGAAGGGAGGGGAGGGGAAGGGAGGGGATGGGGAGGCTGGAAAGTACATGGTGAAGAAGGCATCAGACAGGATAGGGAATAACTGCTCCAAAGGCCAAACAAAATGAAATTCAGTAAGAGGAATTGGAGTTAGACATAGGGGAGTATTTTTTGACACTGAGAGGTGTAAGGTAGTAGAGCAGGAAGCTGGGAGTAGGAGGGGATTTGCAGTTAGGAAGTGGGTTCCCAGAGCGGTGGTCAAACTGAAGGAGGACATCTGGACTTTCCTGGGCAGTGTGGGAATGTAGCCAGACCTGCATTCTTTTTTCCCTCTCCCTTCCTTTCTGTGGGAGCAACTGGCACAGAAGAGATTTGGGACTTGGTGAGGGGAGGGGAAGAGGAGGAGGCAGTTCTTTTTTCTTAACCTCCCCATAAAGTTACAGAAGAAATCTCGAGTAGTGAATCATCCCTCTTTACAATCAAGCAGTTATTTAAAATGGAAAAAGGAAAAGAGACCCAGAGAAAGGGAGAAAGTGGGAGATTATCGCCCGCCAGCTTGCTCCCAAATTCCAGGCAATCAGCCACTGAGATGTGTCTCATCTCACGATGAGCCGCTTTCCTGATTGAGGGAGCTAATTGCAGGGCTGACACAGCTTCCCGGGAAAGTACTTGTAGACAAAAAATGCCAAGAGCTACCAACAGCAACAAAAATACATCCATACACACTCATAATGGCTCAAGACCCAACTGGCCTGTACTGCCAGAGACATCTACCCCACCCTGAAAAAGGAGAGGAAGCTCTTGAGACCAGCCAAAGCCATTAGGAAAATCCCAGGGGAGAAAGTGGCCAAAGACATAAACAGCCAGTTCACAGAAGTGGAGGTACAAATGTCCAATAAACCTAGGAAGAAAGGTTCAACCTCACTTGCAGTCAAAGAAGCAATGCTAATTACAACCATGGCACCATTTTTTGTGGACAAATTAGAAAAGGTTTTAAGGGAAAAAACATTCATATTGACCTGGGCCTTTAGGGAGGCAGGGGTGAGATCCTGATTTCTTTGCTGATGGAGTTTATCATCAAGATACCTGGGAGAAACAGGTCACAGGGGAACTATCTCTTTGGGGGCTGTTGGCACACAGTCTAGCGGAAACAGAAAGTAGTCACTCAGCCTGCTCTGGGATGCAGCTGAGCTCCAGTCAGTGCCTTCGGTTTGTCTGTGTCCCCCTGAATGTTACCCAGAAAGAGGACTTGATGGATTCTCCATCCAACAAGGAGCCCCTTCCCTGGGCTCCAATACACTGGCTCCATCCTCAGGGCCATCCTTAGGTCTTGTCTGGGGCTCTTGGACCAATTCCAGGTCTAATCCAGTGTGGCAGAAGCAACTAGTTTAGTTTCACCCAGGCATGCCTCAGAGTCAGAGCGACTTAGGAAGGAAAGAACAGCTTCTGTTTTTGGTGTCAAAGGCAAGCATGCTGAGGCTCCATATCCTGCCTGATAAAATGGTAACACTCAGTCTTGCAAGGATGTGGTGAAATTGACTTTCTTGTGTGCTATTGGTGAGAGTGGAAAATGATGCAAACTCCCTGGAGGGTAACTTGACAAAAAACAAAATCTTCATTCCCTTTTCCCTTCTGGAAATCAGGAGAGAGGAGAAATGCTTCAGCTATACTCCTTATGCCAGATGTCCCCTGCCCAATCCCTTTAGGACTCCCCGCTGCCCTCACAAAGAAGGAGAAATAGCCATCTGACTGATCGGAGTGTGAGGCACCCATCAGTCCATATTCAAAAGGTCAGCACCTCCAGGGAGTGCTCTTGCTGGTACTTCCTGCCTCTATCCCATGGACAGAGCTTGAGGGCACACCTGGGTATGTTGCTGTCAAGAAGGAGAAGGAGTGTTGCACCCTGCTCGAGCCTCAAGCTAAGGCATGCACTGCAACTCAGCCTTGTACTTCAGTTCTGAATTGGGGACATTGGGTAACACTTGGATGACTATTAATAAAGAGGTACTTGCATTCCAGTTCTGCTATTGTTCGTTATGTATCACTTCTTTAAAACCTCAAAGGCAGGTTGATCAGTAACCAGGAAGAATGGATCTTTGAATTTCTGAATTCCTGGCAGTAAAACTTTCTGATGTCATCCAAATCCCACCCGAATTTCTTTTTAATTGAAAGATAACCTACACACAGTGAAACATAAAAAGCATATTTGTTTTCATTATATGGCTTCATCATTTTTTTACTTTTCTATACACTCATATAATTACCACCAAGATCAAGAAAAGGAACATTGCTGGCATCATCGTACTGCCATCCTGCATCTTCTTAGTCTGTATCTCCCTCCAGAAGTAACCATTGTCCTGATTTTAACAAACATGGATTCATTGCACCTGTTCTTGAACTTCCTATTAATGAGATCATATGGAACATATTTTTTTCTGGCTTTTTCACTCAACATAATACCTGTGAAATGCATCCGTATAACTGCATCTACCAATAGTTCTTCCTCTTTTGTTGCTGTGTAGTATTCCATTTTTATGAAACTACTATAATTTATTTATCCTCTTACATATTGATGAGTATTTAGATTATTTCTACCTTGGGGCTATGATGAATAGAATATATATGAATATTCTGTTATGGACCCGTGCACTCATTTCTCTTGGGTATATACCTAGATGTGAAATTGCTGGGTTATAGCATAGGTGTGTGTTCAGCTTCAGTAGAAACCATTTTCCAAAGTGGTTGTACCATTTTCAACTGCACCAGCAACATATGAGAGATCCAGTTGCTCCATATTTTCACCAACGCTTAATACTGTTGGTCTTTTTCATTTTACCCATCTAATGTTTAGTGGGATTTCTTTGTGACTTTAATGTACTTTCTATGGTGAGTAATGATACTGAACAGTGTATCATTATGTACTTATGTCCATCTGCATATGTTGTTTTATGAAATGCCTCTTCAAATTTTTTGCACATATTTTAATTGGACACCTTAATTTCTAAAATAATCAATACTAAGGAAATAATCAGAGAAGCAGACAAAACTTTATGCATGAAGATGGGCAGCACAGCACTGCTTGTAACAGCAAAAAACTAGAAAAACGTAAATGTTTATCATATAGAGAATTAAATAAATTATGATACAAGTGTATATTCAAAGACTGCATGCTTTTGATAAATATGTTTGTGATAAACATATATGCTTGTGATAAATGTTAATACTATAAATAAGAAAATTTTTATAATATAGCATTTTGATAGCAACTTTATTTAATGTAAGCATTAAAAGAAAAATTGGAGAGAAAAACATCCAAATGTTACTGCTGGTTATTTCTCAGTGATAAGATTATGGGTGATCATTATTTTCTTCCTCCTACTTTTGTTTCCCAAATGTTCTACAGCATTCATACATTACTTTTATAATCAGAAACACAATAAATATTTTTTAAACTACTAGGACTATGAGGTCTAACTGAAATTGAGTATTACAAATAAACTATTGTCTGAACAGAAACTAGTTCTTTGACTTTCAACATCTTCAGGCAAGATTTTCTAAGCCTGAATACCTTACACTTTCTTGAGAAGAAATTATTTTGTTTACTCCACATGCTGTAAAGGTACTTTTGTGTCTGTGTTCTGATTAGGTTTTTATCAAAGAATGCCAGTGTATCGCTTGGATTTGAAAAGCCCTAAATGGGGCTTAGTAATGGGGCATTTGGAAACAAGCATGCTCATCTGCCAGTGGACACATTTCTGAGTATAGGCAAGGGGGTAAAACCACAAGCTCCATGAGGGCAGGGACCTCTATGCCCGTCCTGTTCACTGTTGTGTCCACAGTGCCTGGCATAGGACCTGGGCTTCAAAAATATTTGTTGGATGAATGAATGAATGAATTCACCTGTAAAGTATTGATTTTCCCTTACAAACGAAACAGAACAGACCTTGTAAACAGAAAAGAGTGTTGCCCCACAAAGGCATCCCCTTGGGAGACTATAAATAGTTTTTACAATAGCATCCCCATGGCATAAAATGTTGGGAATTTCTTTTGTGGAATTGTTTCCAGAGTCTAGAATATATTCTTCTGAATAGTTTCAAGGGTGGCCAATCAAGAAGAGTGAAAGGAAGATCTCCTGGAAGGGGTGTGGGAAGTGAGGCAGGATTTAAGCACCATCTTTTCCTTTGGGCACTGAGCAGACCCCCTGCCCACCCCCCAAGACCAGGCAGGACCATACATAAAGCTTGATCTGTCTGGAGAAGAAAATGAGAGCTGAACATGACAGCCTGGTGGCCTTCCCCCTACCCCAGGATTCTGCACAACCCTCTACCAGATTAACCCTCCTGCAGCTCATTACCATGCTGTCATTTGCCTACTTTCAACCCTCTAATGGCTTCCAAACAGAGGCCAAGCCTCCCAGGCTGGCTTCTAAGGCCATGCAGGGTCTGACTCCATCTGTTCCAGACTCAAGTCCCATGACTCCCTTGTACAAACCTTTCCAGCAGGAAGAGGCTACTGTACTGAGACTCCCTGTGGGTTCCCACCCATCCTACAGATTGGGCTGTCAGAAACATGAAACAGGAAGGCATGGCAGCCAAGGAGGCTCATCTGGAGCCCCCACAGCACTAGAGATTGGGCGGTGAGAAATTGGAACAAAATTCCAATCAAGCTGTGACGCTCTAGACCAGTGGTTCTCAACTCTGCCCACACATTAGAATCACTAGGGAAGCTGTGACAGGGTGTCCAGCTGGCCACCAGAGATTTATGATTCCCTCCTAGCATTGCTTGAAAGTGGCTTCCCTGCCAAGGATTAGATTTCCTGACTTCTCTTGCATATAGATGGGCCCGTTGATGGAGCTCAGGCCAATGTAGTGTGGGTGGATGTGGTGTGCCTCACTTCTAGGCCTGGCCGGTAAAAATCCTCCCAAGCAACCCTTCACTCTCTCTTTCCCCATCTGCTGACTAGAAACCCAGCTCACCTTGGAAGCCGCATGTTGAAGACAACTGAGCTTCCATCCACTGGTCCTGAATGACTGTGTGGAACATAATCAGCCCAGGGCACAATAGACTATGTAAGCAAGAAATCCTTCTCCTGAGTGAGGCCTCTAAGATTTAAAGGTTTATCCCTTACGGCCACTAAGATGACCTTAATTAATATAGGAGTTTTGAAAAAAGGCATGCCTGAGTCCCAATCCCAGATTCTGACTTAATTGATCGGGGATGGAACCCAGACACCAACGTGTTGTAAAAGCTACCCAGGTGATTCTAATGTCAGGGTTGAGGACCAGATTTCAGGCTCAGAAGTATCCATGGATCTTCCCACAAGCGATTCAGCAAGTCATGGAGCCCTACTACATGCCAGGCCCTCTGCTGCTCCCTGGAAGTTTTGTCCCTAAAGCTGATCAAAGACCCAGCTTTGATCCCATATGCATGGCCATGGCTGGGAATCCTGTTGCCCAAGACTTGAAGGCAAGAGGAAGACTGGAAGGCCCCTTTGATTCCTCTAAGAGCCCTACCTTTCTCCCCCTCCCCACCCCAAGTCCTTGCCTACCACCAAGACGAGGACATAGAGGACAGAGTGCAGATTTGTCTGCAGTTGGAGAAAAGTTGAAGAGTCTCCTCTGGGCAGGTCATGATGCTACCCCAGGATACACCAATGCCTTCATATAGTCCCACCAAAATTGGCAGACCCTTGGGATGGCTGGCAACGGAGACATAGTGATGATGAAGACATGTCCACTACCCTCAAATAACTCATAGTCTACTTGCAGACGTAGACTATGGTATTGAGGATGAAGCACAGGTGCCATCCAAAACCATCCTGGGTCCCCCCATCCCAGAGGCAGCACAGGATGATAGAAAAAACACTGAACTCAGAGTCTGGATGCCCATGCTCTCATGCTGCCTCTAGCACTGTCTTGACCTGGTTGGAGAGAAGGGAGCAAAGAGAATGGGACAGGTGACGAAGATAGGGAGAGGGCTGGGACTGGTCTCTACAGATCCTAGAATATGAGGCTCAGGGGCTTGGACTTCATTCTGTAGACTCTCAGGGGCCCGGACTTCATTCTGTAGACTCTCAGGGGCCCTTGTGAGGTTTTGAGCAGGGGCAGGACATAGTCAGAATCATGGTTTGCAAAGGACTCTGTGATGGGGGATGGACTGGTTGGAAGGACAGAGGCATGTGAGAACCTGGTTGGAGGACTTAGTCATGAAGGCAGTGGCCAGTGATAGAGAAAAAGGTGACACCCCAAAGATCTCTGGAGCTCCCTCCTCAAGAGGCAGCAGGATCATTTGGAAAGAGAACTGGATTTGGAGTCTACACCTGCTGCTTCTTCAGCCCGAGAAGCTATTCCTCCCTCTCTTTATTCTCACCTTACAGCTCTGTTCAAAGACCACCTCCTCAGAGAGGCTGTTCCAGATTATTGTATCAAAGTGGATGTCTCAGTTTCTCCCTGCCACACCACCCCATGATTTCCTTTACTGCAATTTCATGATCTATGACTATTATTCATTCACGTGTTTACATCTTTATTTCAAGTTCCATGGGGTCAGTGACCTTGTCTGTCCTGTTTACTGTAAATCCCTATCTCTGGGCACAGTACCTGGCACCTGGCAGATGTTTGCCTCTTCCTGTATTCATGCTTTTTGCCATGAACTTTGCAGTGCCCTCTCATGTGGGTGGGTGTATTTCTCACTTCTCCTTTTGAGTTTCGCCATGTGACCTGCTCTGACCAATCGAATGAGGTGAAGCAATGGTGTGCTAGCTCTAAGCCCAGGCCTCTGGAGGCCTTGTGTATTTCTGCTTGCTCTCTGCCACCACTGCCACAGCCATGAAGAGAACATGCCTAGGCCATCCCACTGGTCTCAGGAGCTGAAGGAGAAGGGGCATGTGAAGCAAAGCCACCTCCAGCCAACCGCAGCCTACATCTGCTGACCCACAGATCAATGGAAATGAATGATTGCTGTTTTAGGACATAGAGTTTGGGGAGTGGATTGTTAGGTAACATTCTCCTCCACCTGTAAAATTAAGAGGCCGCTAGTTGAAGCATCTCCCCTAAAGGTCTCTGGTTTTTCTCTAAACATGGCGGCTCCCAACTTTCCAGTCCTACCTCTTCTGCCTTCCTGAAAAATGGCTTTCCCTTCTCACACGCTCTGCCTTTGCCTCAGCCCTCATAAATAACCATGTGGCATCCACTTCTAGGGGCCAAGTTCATGGCTCCCATGAGCCCCACTTTCAAGACACCTCTTCAGTGGCTTCCGCTTTGCCTGCTTCACTGCGGCCTGGGGGCATGAACAGCTAAAAGCCCTTCTTGGGTTCTGATGTGCAAATCAGAGAGCCCCAGATGGCTGAAGAAGAGCCTGTCCTTGCCAGGACTGCCCTGCCCCACATCCCAGGTGAGATCAGGGAGGGCAGCTGGGCTGGATTTGGAATACAGGGTGCCCATTTGGCCAGGGTGCGAACAGAAGTGAGTCAGAACCTCAGGTCGTGGAATTCTAAGGCTGGAGGGAACTTCAAAGACCATTTGAGACCATTTCTCACCTAACATATGGGCAAACTGAGGCACACGGAAGTAAAGAGACTTGCCCAACCATTCAGTGGCAGAGTCAGGAACCAGATTTCCTGACTCCCAGCCCAGTGCTCATTCCCCGGCACCTGGCTGGTCACAAGCAGGGAAGAGCACAAGCAAAGGTTTGGAGGCTGGAGGTGCGGATTCATTCAACACCATGTCCAGATCACCCGCAGGCAAGGGGCATCCACCATAGGCCAGGTTTTGTGCTAGGGCTAGGGGGTAGGGGGCAGATCTATTGGATGTCAATTCCCATAGTGGGGAGCTTATGCCAGGATCTATGCTGGGTGAGCAACTTTGAGTGCCAACAAGGGCCGGGCCATGGATTGACTGAGTGCTTACTATGTGCAGGTTCTGTGCCAAGTGCCACCCACTTGATGGCCAATGGCTGAAATACTCTGACCACCTCTGTCTCCCTGCTAGTCGCTGTGCCCTCCTTCGAACCTCTCTAATTGGCAGCCTCTTTCTGCCTCTGATCCTTTGTGTCTCTTGCTCTCTTTGCATCTCTGTTCCTGCTTCCTGTATGTATGTCTCTCTCTAGTCTCCCACCTCTTTCTCTTGGTCTCTGGATGAACCCCCTTTTCTCTCTGGGGTTGTATGATTCTTCTCTCTCTTGCTTGTGTTCTCATTTTCTTCTCTCTGTGTGTCTCTTTGTGTCTGTGATCCTACCACCCTCCATATCTCTGTCTCTCTCTCCCAGTCTGTCTCCCCTTCCTCCATTTTTGTACCCTCCACCCTGGGTTCCTGTCCAGTGTCCTCCCCCTGCCCACCCCGGGCTCTGTTCTCTGCCAGCTACAATTACAAGTGCATCTGCTGAAGTAGTCAAGCTCTTTTTCCATGGTAGGGTAACAAGGGGCTGTATGTTTGCAGCCACTGACTGGAAATACTGAATTCTTTTTCAGCAAAGAAAGACGAGCACCCTCTTGGTTTATAAATATTAATTATAGGCACCCGGTAATGAGAGAACAGGGCAGCTGTTGGCTGTGATCTCTGACTGTTTGACTAATCCTAGAGACAGTTTAAACAAGACAGTTATTGCCTGACGGGAAAAGGAATTAGGGTGCTGTGGTCCTTCCAGAAAGATCAGCTTAGGAAATCCAGGAGAAGCATGATCTCACCGAGGACACTAGAAGAGTAGCCTTGGGCAAAGCCTCTTCCCCTCTGGGCCCCAATTTCCCCCTTTATCCTACAGGGCCCTTCTGGCTCTGACCTTTACTATGTGGAGGTCCTGTTTGGGGAGGCAGCTGGACAGAGTATTTCAGGGCATCTGCCCAGCAGGGAGCATGGTCCCAACAGGGGGAAGGCCAGCACAGGGGAAAAGGTCTGAGAGTCAGTCAGGACAGCATCTGGCTCCTCGTCGTTGGGGTGACACATGGGTCTGTCCTAGTTTGAATCAACTCCTTCCCAGGAAAAGATCCTGGCTTGAGACAAAACCTGAAGCATAAACGGAGGTGTGTCAGTTCCATGTTGCAAGCCAGATGTTCTGGACCTAGCACTGGCTGGGCAGGTCTTCCAGATACCTCAGTTTTGCTTTCTGCAAAATGGGAGTAATGAGGAGGAACTTTTTGCAGCTCTTTTGATGCCAGAAAAATCTATCTAAATTGAATCTGAGAAGTCCCAGACTGCCTGTGTCTGCCAGAAGCCATTTGACAATTGCCCTATCTCCAAGCTCATGCCTCAATTCGACAGTTATTGACATTGCTATGTGTAAAGCAAGGAAGTCACTCCCGATGCACAACCAGGAAGAAGGTTGGTTGGGGGAAGAGGAGCAATGTCTGGAACAGAGCGTGCCTCTGAGACGTCCCCAGTCAAGGTCCCCACATAGAAGAAAAGTAGGCTATTCCTTCTAGAACACATTTTCTAAAACTCCCTCACCCCTGGGGAGATGTTTAAATTTGTAAAACACTAAGCCATTTATCATCTCATGGAAACACAAGCCAGCCTGCAGGAGAGCCAGTGCGAAGCACGCACTGCCCGTTTGAAGGAAGCAGAACCTGGGCTGCGAGGTGTCCTGGTCTCTTGCCCAAGACCATTCATCTAGGAGGCAGCTGAGCTGGAAGTCAAGCCCTGGTTCATGATCCCAAAACCCAGCTGAGGCTCCTCCCTAGGCTCCCAGCTCCATCAGCCCACAGCAACGCCAAGGTGGGCACAGCCCAAGTGAGCATCCTTAGAGGCTGGGACTAGCCCCTCCTCTTCTATCATTCTGCCCTCCCACCATCGCAGAGGAGCCCGGGCTTGGGCCACTGATGGTGCTTACAAAACGTAAGCAGAAAGAAAAGGAAGGAAAGAATGTTCTTCCAGGTTTCAGTTGTGTTTCCACCAGTCCCTGACTGATACTTACAGGAACAGGTACCTGGATTCACATCCTGGCTCTACTGTGGATGTATGAGAACTTGGGCAAAGTCCTTAAGCTCTCTGTGCCTCGGTTTTCTTTTTTGTTTATTTATTTTTATTGTGTCTCAGTTTTCTGACCTTAAAATGAGAATGATATTAGGACCAACTTCATTGTCATATCGCGTTATAAAAGTGTCAGCTGTTATTACTAATAACCGTCTCTAGTCCTGCCTACTTTCAGAGCTCAGAAGCCAGTTTACCCAATTTCACCTGAAGTCAAATGAGGGGGGAACATTAGGCTGCTCTCTTATGTTATGCGGCATTGCGTCAGAGGTTGAGCTGAGGGGTCCGGCTCAACTCCTACACTTGTGGAGCCAGAGGCTGGGGAGGACCCTTGTCTATTGCCCTCTGTTCCCTGAGAGCTTGATCTGTGGAAAGACCCCGCAGGCCCTATCCTGGTTGACCCCGAATGGGAGGAATAAAAGCTTAGGGTTCTGCCTTGCCACGGGCTCTGTGCCTTGTAGCAAATTCCTGCCACAATCCCATAGGCTTGGAAGGAACAGAGTGGGGGGCAACTTGCTTAAGAAAACCCGAAGCTCTGAGCGCCCCCGCTATCCCCCTCCTTGGCCCAGGCCAGACTAAACACCTCTGCAGAACCGTTTCAACTCCAAGTACAGATGCCGCCACCAGAGCCAGTCCTTGGGGAGCCTCAGGCTGGGCTTGCACACAGATCAGAGCAGGGTGGCCCAGGTGGCCAGAGTAGCAGCGACAGCTTTGGGGAAAGAGGCTGGGCACGTCCTTCCCTGCATTCTTTCTCTTCCAGCCTTCCTGAGCTGCTTGACGGGGCTCACAGGTCTTAAGTCTTCATAGGGGCCAGGGCCCCACATTACATCCTCTCCTACGCCTTCAGAAGAGGCAAGCGGGCTCAAAGGCTAGCACTGGGCCCATACTCAGGCTGGGCTGCTGGAGGCTCCAGCCTGCCATTCCCAGATCTTCTTGACACTCTCCCCTAGAAGTTTGCAGCCTTGGCAAAATCTGTGTGTGCAGCCCCTTACATCTGTGTGATCCCCCCCTTCATCCCCCTCCTTCTGGCCCTCCCACCACCCTCTCCTCCCCAGTGAGCCAGACAAGAGAAGAACTGTTTCTGCCTGTAAGCAGCACCCTCACAGCTCCCCCTAAAGATTTACAGGAAAATCTTCCGGCAGATTCAAAAGGAGGCCATGAGCTCAGTGCCAGTCGTTCAAATTTTCCACCTGAATTGATTCGTCTGCACATTCAGAGAACTCACACCCATTCCATCAGCCAACTCTGTAATCTGGGGCCAGTGTGTTGACCCCTGTGAGCCTCAATGTCTTCATCTGTAAAATGGGAAGAATAGTCAGAGCTACCTCCTAGGGTGAGGAAGGAGCAATGAAAAGATGCAAATAAAGTGTTTAGCCCAGTGCCCCGCACATAGAGAAAGTGAGACTTTTTTTTTTTTTTTTTTGAGGCTGAGTTTCACTTTTGTTGCTCAGGCTGGAGTACAGTGGTGCAATCTTGGCTCAAATCTTGGTGCAATCTTGCTACCTCCACCTCCCAGGTTCAAGCAATTCTCCTGCCTCAGCCTCCCAAGTAGCTGGGATTACAGGCATGCACCACCATGCCCGACTAATTTTGTATTTTTAGTAGAGACGGGGTTTCACCATGTTGGTCAGCCTGGTCTCCAACTCCTGACCTCAGGTGATCCGCCTGCCTTGGCCTCCCAAACTGCTGGGATTACAGGCATGAGGCACCGCACCTGGCCAAGTGAGACATTCTTGCTAGCTGTTAGGATATGTATTTTTTAATTCATGATTACATGCCATATGCCAGACCCTGGAGCCACAGTAATGAATCCAGCCAGCATCTCTGTTCCCAAAGAGTTCACTGTGACATGGGAGAGAAGAACAGGTAAACTAAAATGCTGCCAGTGTGACAGGATACATTTGCATAGCAGAAGAATGTACAAATCAGGGTTGTGGGGGAGGCGCAAAGAAGGAAGACCTTGGTTGCGGGATGCAGGGATGCTGGGACGGAATTTGAAGACTGAGTAGGAGCTCACCAGGCAGTTGAAGCAGAAAAGGCATTGCAGGTAGACAGAACGATCAATACAGAGACTCAAAGGCAGGAAACAGCACCATAAGTCCAGGGCCATAGAGAGTGATAGGAATCCAGGTTAAGGGAGGCCCTAACTCCAGCCACAGGAGGGTCTGGACTCATGCTGCACACGTTAAGTTCAGTCGTGAGAAGGGTTTTAAGCAGGAGTGACACGATCACACTCCAGTCTTAGGCTGCATGCACATCCAAGTCTGGGCAGTTTATGTAACTTTTCCTTTTCTTCTCGAGCATTTATCCAGCCTAGAAATTTTAGAGCAAGCACTTTCCCTTATTTCTATTCAACCTGAAAGCGGCAGTCGAATCCAGCTTGCATGGTATTGAAATGCAGGTGGCCTGTGCAACAGTGTTGCTAAAATTACCAAAACTAACCACACCAGGGAAGGGCCATTATCAGAAACAGATTTTATTACCATGGAAACCAGCAGATAATGCCAAGTCCAGTCATTTTTATTCTCCGAAAAGAGAGAGAGACAAGGAGAGAGAAAAAGAGAAACAGAGAGAGCAGCAGGAGAGGAGCGCAGTTGAAATGGAGTGAGAATGCCGGAGACGCCTGGAAGAGGGGTGGCGAGCTGGGGAATGACTGCGGGGCTCGTGCCACACATGCCTCTGTCCATCCATACACTTCGCCAGCATGTACGGAATTCATGCTACCTGCCACAAGAAGCTAGCAGGAAGCAGCCAGAAATGGCAGAAATGGCTTTGCAGTGTGACTTCCACCATGGGTCTAAAATGTGGGAAACTGTGCAAATGCCCCAGAAAGAGCTACCTAGGGTGTATTTCAGTGCAACCCTGGTGATCTCTACAGAGAGCACTGAACTTGGGATCAGAAGCCCCAGCTTTGAGTTCAGGCTCTGCCTAGAGTGGCTTGTGACCTTGGGCAAGGTCACAGAAATTCTCAGAGCCTCAGTTTATTTATGTGTCTGAAGAGGGACCTCCTGGGGGTGGCTGTGAGAGTCTGGTGTGCATGGGTGCCAGGGCGTTTTGTAACTGTAGAGGGCTGTGGGCACAGAACGCCCTGCAGGTTCCAGGATTCTTACCCCTGGGTCTCTACTTTGTCCCCTGATTTGAGGAGTTCCTTCCAACCACACACAGCTTTCTGGCCTTCTGCAGCCTGTGGAATGCATCCCCAGCCCACACAGCCCCAAAAGAGGAGAGCAGGGCAGGAGGCCCTGGTGAGAGTTTTGATGGAGTGGAGGGGTGGATGCTGCTGAGAAGAGGGGTGACAGGAGAGTCAGGATGAGTACGGTTTTGTGAACAGGGCTGAGACAAGGTTTTGACTGGATCACCGTAAGGGAAAGGAAAAACCAAGGACAGAGTGGGAGGAAGCAGGTGAGACAGAATGAGGAGAGCCAGGTGACCCTAGGGAAGGGGACTTGTCAATAGCCTAGGATCCTGGGGAAGTAGTAAGTGGGAGGTTTTAGCTGCCCAAGTGTGTAGTACAGGGGAGAACAGGTGAAAGGGAGTCACAGAATATCCGCAAAGACCCATAACATCACAGGCGCATACACAAAGGGCATCCAGCCCTTGCTCCTCGAAGCGTGCATCACCTGAGAGCTGGCTAGAAATACAGACTCTGCCCCAGACCTCCTGATGATTCATCTGTATGCTCAAGTTTAAAAGGCATTGGTCTAAGTCCTTTCCCTTCTCTAAGTCTCAGTTTCTTCATCTATAAAATTGGAATCATAATACCCTTCCAGTCTCACAGGGCTATTTGGAGGATTGAAAAAAAACAAAAATGTTTGAATGAATCACTTTGAAAAATTAAAAGCACCATATTGAATATAAGATATTGTTTTACTATTACGTATTTATTATTATTATATACAGGCAGCCCCAATCTCCCAGGGCAACAAGGCGCTCTCATAACAAAATGACTTGATTAGACCGTTCTCCTAAAAACACTGCTCCCCAGCTAGCATTTTTCCTATCAGCGTGCCTCTTCTTGCAGCTGCATATTAAATCTTCATCCCATCAGCACTTGACTGAATTTGTAGAAACAAAATGGAAGAGGGAACTCAGGCATGAATTAGCAGTTTAAGACAGGAATGAGATTACGATAAAATCCCCACTCTCTCCATCCATCAAAATGTAATAAGAATAGAAACTAATGTGAAAATATCAACATGACCTATTGCTTCGATCCTGGCACTGCCATCCTTTATGATCGAGCCTTGCAAGATGCAAGCATCTCATTTCACTGTAAGCGTCACGGTTTAGGCAGGGGACACAAACCATGTCCGAGACAGCCTGCACACTTAGGCAGATCCCTCTCGGGGAAACGGGAAGGGACCAAATATGACGCGGTTCCCTGACTTTCCAAGTCACGGAGAATGAGAATGAATCAGAGGTGACTTGGTCTGAAGGGTGTTTGGTTTTGCTTTCAATTCTGTCTGTGGATATAGAAACCCCAGCTCCATCAAAGGATCGTGGAAGATGCCCAGAGAGGACATTTCTGAAGTTTCAAATGTCTCCAGGAGCCTCTGCTCCTTGGTTGCAGCAGAAATGGTGGCCCCATGTACCAGCCTCATACCATGATGGCAGAAAACCTTGTGTACCTGCACGGGCATCATGGGATATAGAGCATGTTCCTGGAGACAGTGGTGCGGCCACTGATCCCTACAGTGGCAGGTGAGGAACAGACGAACTCAGATAAGCAATGGGACTTGCTCAAGGACACACAGCAAGTAAGGGTTAGACTCCAGGTCTGCCAGACTCCTTGTCCATTGCCCTTCAAACAGCATCACATTGACAGAGAGGTGCCAGGACCGAGCTCAGGTTAGAAGTACACAAAACATGAGCAGCAGTACCTGCCTCTGGGAACTCAATGCCTCACTCCCATCTGAGCTCATTCTCCCTCCAACCTCCCACCTCCATTCTGCCATGGCCACCTGCTTCCTCTTGCTCCATAAAAGCACTGAATTTTCTTTCCAATCACAGACTTTGAACAGTCTCTTCCCTGGAATGCTTTTCCTCCCACCGTTCACTGGGACCACTCCCTGTCCATCAAGTCTCACCTGAGGTACCACCTCCTCAAAGAAGCCCTCCCAGATACACCTTCTCCCTACACCCTTTCCTCCGCTTCAGGACTCTCAGTTAATTCACTTTCATATCAGCCTGTGCTATGCCCCTGTAGCACATTTCTCAATAGTAGTTAAATCATTGTTTGTGTTATTACTTGGTATTTATCACCTCCATGGGACAGCAAGCTATAAAGTATAACTCTCTGGATACTCTGTCTTGTTTACCATTGTATGCCCAGCACCTAGCACAAGACTTGCCACTTATTCTTCCACTTATTCAAAAGTGTTTATTGAATACCTACTATGTGCCAAGCACTGACAGCATCCCTGTTTGCATGGAAGCTTCATTCTAGTGGAGGAGCATATACAATAAACAAACCTATGTCTGGTGATGATGAGTGTGAGAAGAAAAAGAGAACAGGGTGTGCCAACTTTTGAGCTGATGTTCAGGAATTCTCTTAGAGGTGACATTTGAGCAGAGCCTGGGAGGAAGCGAGAGGATGAGATACACAAACACTGAAGGGAACAGCATTCCACACAGCAGGATCAGTAACTGCAGGAGCCCAGGGGCTGGTCTGTGCATGGCATGTTCCTACAGGTTGGGGTGAGAGGGCAGTGGAGAAGGTGGGTCAGAGAGGTCGGGGGGCCCAGTGTTGAAAACTTTAGAGTTGACTCTGTGTGAGAGAGGAAGCCATTGGAGGGTTGTGAGCAGAGGGAGGACTTGATCTGACTTTGATTCTAGAAGGACAGCTCTGGGTACTGTGCAGAGACCACCCAGAGGGTTCAAGGGCAGGAGCAGGAGAACCTGCTGAGAGGCTACTGCACCAGTCCAGGTAAAAGGTTGTGGTGGCTTGGACCAGAAGAGTAGCAATGAAGGTGGAAGAAGAGTATGGACTGCAGGTATATTCTGCAGATGGAGTCAACGGGGTTTGCTAAGGGATTAAATGTTGGGTATAATGGCATGAAAGGAGTCAAGGATGATGCCACAGATGCTGGCCTGAGAAACTGGAAAAATGGAGCTTCTGTAAACCAATAAATTACCTTTTATGTTTAAGCCCAGTTGAACTAGGGTTTATCACTTGGAATTTTTTTTAAATATTGAGTAATTCAGAGACTAACCAACAGGCCAGAGGTAGCAAGGTAGGAAGTAGAGAGGAAGGGACAGATAGGGGGAGGACAGGAAAGTGCCCGACTGGATGCAGCAGAGAGTGGGGCCTCGAGATGGAACAAAGAGGACTCTGGGATCGCCTCCCCAGGAGCTGGGGAGGATAGCAGCCTCAATCATGGGAAGCACAGACTCAACTGAGTATGCCTTTTCCTTTTTAATTTGAGGCACCAGCTGCTGGAAACGTGGGATTGGAGCCTTGGAGGGAAACCAGAGCTCCCAGGTAATACATGCTTTCAATAAGCCAAGCACAGGGTGAAGCTCACATGTACTGTGTTGCTAAGCACTGCAAAGCTTTGTCAGATTAGTGTCGCTGCTCCCATTTTACAGACGAGGAAATAGAGGCTCAGAGAAGCTATGGGGCCTGCCCAAAGCCACACAATTAGAAATAGACTCGGAACCACCCAGGAGAAAGTAAGTCTTTTGCCTATAGGTGACATTAGGAACACCTCGGCTGGAGGTCAAAAGACACTGGCTCCTTGAGTGACCTTGGGAGCTCATCCTCCTCTCTGCACTCCGCTTCCCCATCTGGGAAATGCCAAGATTTGGCTTGTTGATCTCAGACTCACTCAGCCCTCCTCCCTCCTGTTCTGTCTTCAGAGAACCAGGACAGGCAGAAATGATCCGTCCGCCACACAGCTTGGGCACCTACTGTGTACAGTACCTTGTCTTGGGAAGAGGGAGGGAGGAGGAGCCTGGAGCCCACCTTCAGAGGACTCCCAGAATGCTTGGGGCTGGGAGCGCAGGGCCTTAGCAGACAGCACTGCCAGGAGGGACCAGGGAGCCAAGCCAAGCTCCTGCACACAAATCGCTCCCGGCATATGCTCCTCATTTCATACATCATTTGCAAGGAGCTGCAGCCATTTTGCAAAGTCTCTTCCTGCTCCAGGAGCATCTGGGCTTTGGCTTCTGTCTTTTCTGCTCGGTCTCCTTTCCTTTATGTTGTCCCCTTCCACTGCCACCAGCAGCCACAGGCAATACTTCTCTGTAGGTTTGGGAGATCCAGGTGGAGGTGAGCAGAGTAACTTTCCCCTGGAGGACTCGATGGTGTAAAGAGTGTGCATGGTACAGGCAGTCCTGGGAGATGCACACCACTAGGGTGGAGCGAGAAGTGTGAGTGATGCCTCTGGGAGGCTGCACCAAGTAAGATAAGGAATGGCTGCATTGGGATTCACCGAGTAACACACACACTGCCAGAATTAGGCTCCCACAAGGAACTGTTATGATACAGTAATGTGGAAAAATGTCCATGGTATGGTCCACTGCAGGTTGGGAATATCGCCATCAAGTTAGGTTTCAGGGAGTAGCTCGCTATCTTGGAAGGGCTGGGGGATGTGAGTAATACCACCGTTGGGGGCTTTGCAATGTAGGCAATGTGCAGAAAGTGCAGACCCATGACTTGTTCAAGTTATATCCAGGGCTTACTGCATAGTAGATGCTCAATGAATATTTGCTAAGCAAATGGATAAATGAACTGAGTGAATAACACTGTGCCCAGATACACTGAGTGATGGGACCCAACATTGCCAAGGATTCCTCCCAGCACTGCCCCCAGGGCCTTCCCTGGACATCAGGAACCACAGATGCAATGGAAATGGGTCATCTGACCCAATTAGAGGGACCAATTCCATCTCTCTCTCTCTCTCTCTATTTCTTTCTTTCTCTCTCTCTCTCTCTCTCTTGCTCACCCTCTGTCTCCTTTTTCAGTCTCTGGTTTTGTGGCTGGAAGGAAAACAAAGAAAGTTCTCCCATTTCATGCTGGAACCTCTCACCAAGCCTGAACTTCCCAGAGCCCAGGGTGTTTGCTCCCCGCAATCTTTCCAAAGCTGGGCCCGCAGCTCAGAGCCAAGGATATGGGGAAGTTAGAGCTCTGGCTTCCACCCACCCACCAGAACAAACCCCAGCCCAGCTACAGTGGCTGTGGAGCCTGCTGGAGCCAATGCCAGATTCCAATCTGACAGAGCTGACACATACCACCTCCCTCTCTGGGGGTGCCTACTGCCAGACCTCTCCAGCCTGAACCCAAGTGAGGACCAAGATGGCCCAGGGGAGCCCTGAGCAACAGAGCCACTGGGTTGTATCTAGGGCCTAATACATATTCTCATTCTTTGTCTATTCTTCCATTTGGTGGAGTTCTTGAGGACCTGCTACATGCCAGGCACACACTCAGCCTTGGGGATCTCAGAGTGGGCCAAGCTGACAAGGTCCCTGCCCTTGTGGACTTGACATTCTAGCAGAGAAGAAAGCCAATCAACTATCAACCAACCAAATGAGTATGAATATTTTAGGTGGTGAGAAGGACAACAAACACAACATAAAGTTGTGCTGGCTTTTCTCAGTTTCTTCCCCTGGCTTCCATTCAGTTCTTTTCCCTGCTCTGATCTGCTCCATGCCCTGGGGCTGAGCCCTGTGGAATGCACCCCTGGGCTCCCTTGCCTCTGGCTGGCTTCTACTTGGGTTCAGGCAATGGAAGACCCCAGCAGGAAGTCAGAGCATTGGAGGAGAGAGAAGTTCATGCATGTCTTCTCCTGCCCCTCCTTTCTATGTTGCCCAGGTTCTAGCAGTGGCTGCAACTTTCTGTGACTCTGGCTCAGCCCTCTTCACGTTCTGATAGCACATTTCCTCCCAGCGCCTCCTCAGACCCCAGGTGCTAGCATCTTCCCACAGTTGCTAGCTGCAGGGTCCCTTATCCTTGTCCACAGTCTTCAGATTCCCAGTCAAGTGTGCCTGCTATTCCTGCTGGGCCCCTGACTGATGCACAGGTAAATGGCATAGGATGTCATGGTCAGGCTTGGGTTGTTCAGGCTTGGGTTGTTAAGGAACAGAAAGCTGGCCAGCATGTCTGGAAAGCAGTGAATGAGGGAATAAAGTTGAGGTGAAATTTAAAATAGTTAACAACTGGCTTGGCACAGGCGCTGCCCAATCAGAAGGGACCCAGTTGCAATCGGCCATTGCGCCTGCTGCACTAGCATCCTGGGTGATCAGAGAGGCAGTCAGGGGTGCACCGGCCAGGGTCCTGCAGACACCAATGACTCATGCAAGCTCCACTTGCAATTTCTCCATGCAGTTTCTCCACTTCATATCTGATGCCTTTCTCCTTTTCTCCCAGGGCCACACCAAAGGAGATAGCTGGCTTGCCAGGTGTTTCTCTGACAATTAGCCATGTGGGCAAACCTTGAGTCCTGGGGGCACTTCTAAAAGGTATGCTGCTATGGGTTCTGGCTCAAGACCCAGAGAAGTGTTCAAGAGAAGCCTGAAAAAAAATACAGCTCAGAGAGGTTATGTGACTTGCCCAGGACCACACAGCCAGGTGAGGAGGCAGGTGAGGAGAGTTTAATAAAGGGGCACTTTACACAAGTGCGGATGAGGAAGCCTCAAGGGTGAGGCAGAACTGCAGGACTATAACAATCCCATGCAAGAGGGTGAGGGGAGAGTGCCGTTACTAGACGCAGACAGAGTTGTGAAGAGGGGGCTGCCTTGAAAAAAGCTAGGACCTTCCCTCGAGGACCACACGTAAGCTGCGGTGGCCCTACGGGAAAGCATCAGAGAAACCAATGTCCCAACCCAGCTCTCCACCCTGTCCCCAGCCTCCTTATGGTGACACCCACTCACCAGTGCCACTCAGGAGCCAGAGATTGTCCATATGGGTCACCCTCCCAAAGCCTAGAGCAGGATGAGAAGGAGGGTGCCTGGATCTTGAGAGGGAAATGGGAAATCTCCAGCCCCCAGATCATGTCACACCTTGAAAGTCATGGCAAGTGGGAAAACACTGGGAAGGAGAGTGACAAAAATCACATCTGGACCCTTTACCTCCATCCACAGGGAGGTGACAATGGGCTCTGCTCATGAGAGCCTGGACCAGACACCTCCCAGAAGCATGTAGTGATGCTGGTTGGGAGACAGAAGGAAGCTGGGAGCCCCCCCTCGGGAGCCCAGGCCCCGCGACCAACCTCCTCAGAGAACCCAGGGGCCCCAGCCCATGGGAGGCAAACTCACTGGGCCCTGCACCCCACGAGTGTGGCACACAGGACCACCCTAGATGCAATGGGATTTGGTTTCCCTCCACCAGGTAGGCAGCCTTCAGAAATCAGAAAATGCCCGATGCTTTCCTTGAGGGGCTCCTGCTGAGCTACCGAGGAGAGGCGGAGGAGGAGGCAGAAACCCTCCCAGACTCAGCTTTGCCAGGCTGAGAAGTGGGAGAGGTGGTTTTGGAAAGCTACCCACACGTTCCCTTCTCCCAACCATCATGAGGGTTAAGACAGAGAAGCAGAAGAAAGGGAGCAACTTGTCCCCGCTTTGTGTACTCATCTCAACTTGTGTACTCATCTGCGGAAGTGGTCAGGGCACCAGGACAGGAGGACAAACTCCAGACCCCCGCAGGTTCTACAGGTGCTTGGAATTTGCAATCAACAGGACTTCCAGAAGAAGATTCTACAGGACCTCCAGAAGAATCTGGGGGCTGAATTTCTCATAGCTTGAATGTTGGAGTCAAGAAAATCCCTAGACTTGGAATCAGAAGCCTGGGGTTCTAATCATAGCCTGCATGTAGCAGGTGCACGCAAACATGGTTTTAAGGCAAGAGAGAGAAAACTGATAACATGGGATATCATGTCACAGCTCCTCATCTGACCGGCGCATGAGCCAGGCCCTGGCTCTGCAAATGCACCTGATGTTCTTTTTCACATTGTCTCAGCAGGAGCCTGATCCATTTCACAGAGGAAGAAACTGAGGCTCAGGGAGACTACGTCCCTCGCCCCAGTCCTGCAAGCTGGTCAGCAGTAGAGCCAGGAGGCAAGCCCAGGCCACTGGTGGTAAAAGCCTTGGCCCTCCACCACCAGACCTCCTACCTAAGAAGAGAACAATGCAGCCCCAAAGCCTGGGTTTCCTCAGCAAATGCTGGAGTCTCCGAAAAAGAGCTCAGATGACTCTGGGTTCTACAACTCTCCGCCTCCATTATTACAGCCCAATGCTCCCGTTCCCAGACTCACTAGGCAGAGGCTGGATCCTGCCTGATTCATTCCTTTAATCAGGGCTGAAGCAGCTTCCTGAAGAACACTTAGACCCTCGTTAAAATTAAGTCATTGCTTTAATAACCACAGGGCAGAGATGGCTGCAGCTGGGAGCGTGTGAGCTCTCAGCACTCCCCATGGGTCTTGATGAGCTGGGCACTGCCGTGGGATACCAGGTGCTCCAATTTCTCCACTTCACATCTGATGCCTTTCTCCTTTTCTCCCAGGGCCACACCAAAGGAGATAGCTGGCTTGCCAGGTGTTTCTCTGACAATTAGCCATGTGGGCAAACCTTGAGTCCTGGGGGCACTTCTAAAAGGTATGCTGCTATGGGGTTCTGGCTCCAAATCCAGAGAAGTGTTCAAGAGAAGCTTGAAAAAAAAAAAAAACACTGCTCAGAGCAGTTACATTACTTGCCCAGGAGGACACAACCAGCTAGAGGGAGCACAGGATCTGAAACCCAAGTCTGTGTAAACCTTAAACCCAACACAGTATATTCCTCTTACCTCATCACATGGTGTCAGTGTGTCTTCGTGGGTCCCACAAAGGCACCTGTTCCGGGGACAAGTGCCATCTCACCTGGGAGGACAGACCTGCCATTGTTACTCACTAGCTCTGAGAGTTGAGGTAAATTGCCTGACTTTTCTGTGCCTCAAATTCTTCATCTGTCATACAGGATATCAGATTATTGTGAAGCTTGAATGAGACAATAAATGTGCAAATGCTCTGTCAATTGTAAAGTCTGGTGTACGTTGAGGATAAGTGAGCCTGTGGGAAAAGTCAGATTCCAGCAAACATAATGGCAGGGGCTGGGGAGCATCAGGGAAGAAAAGGGGGAGAGGGTGTGGGCTGGGAAATGATGAATGGGTGCCTGCACATTCCTGGGGAAGAAGCATGCAGAGATCTGTGAGGCAGGAGCCCAGCTCTGGGAGAGAGAGGCACTCTAGCTGGACCACACAGGGCTGGAGCAGGTGCAACCTGGGGAGTTAACAGTGAGTACCTGGAGACCACACTCCTCCAGGACAATGCAGGAAGTGGCCATGGTCAGGCAAGCTGTGGCTGGGCTGTGCGCCACGATGGCCACATCTCTTGCCCTCTGAGCCTTGGTTTCCTCTCTGTACCATGGAGGTAATAGATCTACTTTACAAGGTCATGGTGGGGATTGGCAATAATGGACGTAAAGTGCCTGACATATAGCAGGTGCTCAATAAATGGTTTCCATTGTTATCATGATGATGACTATGATGATTAGCAAATATCTCTGAGTCTACTTCCTAGACTATAAAGTGAAAATAATCAGATCTATGTCACAGTATTCTTGGAATGCTAAAAGGTCATAGTCTACCTGAGACTACCAAGCACAGGGCCTTATGCGCAGCAGGTGCTCAACAATCTATTCTCCCCTTCCCTTCTTTTTCTGACCAAGGAACAGGTGTGGAGCCTACAGATAGGCATGGTAGGAAGATAGGCTTTGGTTCCATCCTAGAGCTCCCAGCTTCCTTTGAAAGGTAGGGAGCTCTCCAACCCTGGAGACATCCAAAGAGAAGTTAGATGACTTTGTGATAAAAATTGGTCACTTTCCTTTTATTAGTGAAGGAAGGTGACAAATTTCAGGCAAGGAGCTGAACTCAAGGCCAAAGCCCTTGCAGCTTGGAGGATGTGCAGTCCTATGACTGCAGGTTCTGATGTCACTGGACTGCCCAGCCCTGGCCTATAGTAAACACAACCTTGGATTTAGAGTCCAAAGATTGTAGGCGGAATCCTGGATCAGCTTCTTCCATTTCCTCAGGACCTGCATGTAACAAGTGAGCAATAATCCATGTTTCCTTAAGACAGGATGGAAGCCTGCCTCTTCAGCTGCCCACCAGCTAAAGATTCATACTCAGACATCTGTAGGAATAGTACAGCCCTCCCATTCCTCCAAATTCCTTTGGAATGTTGGGAATTTCCCCAAATTAGGAAAAGGGCAGAGGCTCCTCCAAAAGCAGGCAGAGGCTGGCCTGGCCCCTCATGCAGAGGAGCACCCAGTGGGTGCTGGAGGCTTCCCAGCACCTTTCCTACGCCTGGGCAGCCCCAGCCCAGCCCCAGCAGGTGTGTTTGGAGAAGCACATCCCAAGTCTCACCCCGTACATGTTCCCTGGCTCAATTACAGGCTCAATTTTCTTTTCTGTTTAATCCCCAAATCAATATGTGTTCATACATATTTAATCGGGAGACTGTTTTTATTAGAGTGGGGATTAGTTTTACATCTTTCTCCCCACTGCTTGGAAGACATCCACCACTCACAAGAAAGACGAGTGGATGAATGAAGAAAAGACCCACGTGCAGGCCAGGCCCAGCCCAGTGCCCGGGCCAAGTTAAAGACACTGAGAGCACTCTCCTGCACCTGGCATCCCTGCCGCATGGGGCCAGAGCCCTGCTGCCTCCCAGCCCCCTCTCTCTGGGGCTGAACCTGCAGCCTGCTCCTCACTTCCCAATCCTTGCCGTAAGTCCCTGCTCAGGGATGGGCCCCAGGGGGTCTTCCAGGCCTGTTCTCCAGGAGCCAGGAGACCAAGGGCCGGCTGCCTGTTAGAGGTCAGAAAGGGAGGTCACCCTCAGTCTTGCCTTTCAGAAGTAATTGATTTCTCCTTCCAACTCCGAGTCAAGGCTGAACAGAATAAATTATCACCCTTTCACAGTGTCATCACCGTCACACTCAGCCCCGGCTGCCATCTGCTTCTTCACCAGCATCCCCACCTAGCCAAGCTGGAAGGAAGGAGAGAACACGTGGACAGGTAGACCGCTGTGCTGGCCAGAGAAGGAAAAGGGCAAGAACACCCTGGGGCCCAGAGTGAGAGAGAGGAGGCTGGGGCAAATTTCTCAGCACTCCTGTTAAAATAGGTAAAAACGGCGTGTGTCAAACCAGCTGCACATCATCTCATTTAATCCTCGTCTCACCTTGGAGAGACAGAGCCTCTTCTCATCATCTGCATTTTACAGAGGAGAAAACTGAGGTTCAGTGGGATTACAGGTCTTGCCAAAGCCTCACAAACAGGAAGTAGCAGAACCTGGACTTGAGCCACACCACATGGCTCAGGGCCTGTGCTTCTAGCTGTTTGGACTGCCTTCTCCCCAGCATACAATAATCTTCCCCTCCTCAACACAAGCTGGGGGTCATTCAAGGTGACGAGATTTTGGGAGCACCAGTTATTGGCTAGAAGTTGCCAGCCACCAAGGAAACTGGGGATGTTGGATGTGGTCAGCACCACAGCTCATGGCCACCACCACTCTCCTGTCTCTTCACTGACCTCATGCCTAGTGTGCCTACTGAGCCCCTCCACCAGGTCTGTGCTAGGAGCTGGGCTACGTGGATGAACAAAGCCAGGCATGGTTCATCTCTCACTCAACTAACACTCTGTGGGTGAGGTGTCCTGCCAGCAGAGTCGAGGTCCTGGAGAGCGTGCCCTGCCTGGGCTTCCCGACGTCCCCAAGCCTTGTCTGCCCGTCACCTAGCTTCCTGCAGCTGTCTTCAGCAGGGGCTCCCCAACACACAGTCAGGGAGTGCCCTGCGCCTCGCCTTCCGAAAACTCACCACATTGGCAACTATCTGATTGCAAACACCGGGTCTGTCTTATCCAAAGCAGGATCTTATTCGTCACTGGAATAGAAAAAAAAAATTGGGGAGGAGGAAAGAAGGAGGAGAGGAGAAAGGACAGGAGGGGGAAAGGAAAGGAGGGAAGGAAAGAGGGTGAAGTCGGGAAGAAAAGAAATCGGGGAGAAGGAAAGAACAAGGTAGAAGGGGAGAAGGAAAGAACAAGGTAGAAGGGAAGAAGAAAGAAACTTGGCCATTTTTGAAAGACCAGATGCACCCACAAAGATCCCTCGCTTCCCTCTTGCTCTGAGCTGAAGCTTGAGTTTGTACCCAGAAACGTGCTGAGAAGGTAAAGCAAGTAGACCCACTGCAGTAGGAAAGAGTCAAGTATTTCAAGGATTTCCCAAAAGAAGAGCTATCAGCTTAGCTGAATTAACCCTTTCATAGAGGTCAGGGGTTGATGCCTCTCTTCTCAAGGCTGCCAGAGGCAGATGGAGGGGCAGAATGACCTCACATCTGATGACACCATGAACTTAGCAAAGGATCAGGCCAAAGCACCTGGAGAGTTCTTCTGGTTGAGAAGCCTGTGGCTGGAGCTCGGGGACATGCAGAGCTCCATGTTGGGCTTCAGCCCTTCTTGAGAAGCTGGTATGTCTCCTGCCGGCCACCTTTTCCAAGCAAGTCCTCAGGATGGCCAGCTGGATGGGCCCCGTGTGACACGGGCCATCTAGGGCTGGTGCAGTCACTCTCTGCTCACACCAACCACTTGGCAGCCCGTGTTTGATGATGGGTTAATTCCTGAACAAAACACATAATGTAGGCAGTGTGATTCCTCATTTAGCTGTCAGATTGGGATAAAAAATGTGTGAGAGAGAAAACTCAAGGGAAAAAAAAATTGGATAATGATGAATTGTGACTGAATGCTCCAAAGAAACACAAGCCGTCTCCCCCATCGTGTTGTGCCCGCTGTCACTTAATTTGAAAATATTCTAAGTGTGCAGGGCCTTCTCCTTGGCACTTTTCAGCTCTTCTCGAGAAGAGCCGGGTCCGCTTTTGTCACCAGTGTCGTTTCCTCCGCAAATGCAGCAGTGCATGAAAGGCCCAGGTGGGAATGCTGGCCAAGACGCCCTCCCGTGGCCCCCCACGCGGCAGCGCCTCTCATGCCACCCTCCGAAGAGATGAACAGAAGCCTTTTCACTGCGGTATTCTAATGCCATCATGCACGCTCGCTCAGGAGGGAGTGACGGAGGGGGAGGAAAGAGAAACAAAATAATGCTTTTGCTGTGATAACTGTCAGCTCTGCCTGCGTCTAAAGAGAACTTGTTGTTTTGCAAAATGGAACATTATCCAAATGTACAGAAGCAATAGATTGAAGCAAGGAGGCTTCCAAGATCAGAAGTTGTCTGGCTGCCCTGGGAGTTGAAGTAAACACTTGTGTCTGGACGTCTCCTCGCACCCCACAAGGACGAGTTGAAAAATGAGCCACTCTGGGAGCCTCCTTGGGACTTTGGCCAGTGCCCTTTCCCTGAAGACAGCCAGGAATCACATGCCTCGGCCAAGGAAGCTCAGCTCCCTAGCAACCTCCAAGAACAGGCAGGCCACCTGCTGGTCGGAGATACTTTGGGTCTGAAGGCAGGAGGTGGGACATAATGACCTTTAGGGGGTCAGCCTGCCTGAGGATGGCCTGTGGCTTCTTGAACACCAGCAAGTTTAAATGGCACACTGGGCGACCTTGAGAAGGTCCTCTCCTTCTCTGAGTGCCTGGCTGCCCATCTTGGAACAGGAAGCTGGCTTGGACAACCTCCAAGTCTCCCTCAGGGGTTCAAAGCAGTGGGCTTTTGGGACTAGCACCACAGTCCAGGGGTTGCCCAAAGTGTGGTTTAAGAAACAGCCACTGGGGGGTAGATCAGCCCAAACCTTTCTGGATAAGAGCAGACCTGGAGGTGGCTCATGTAATGGGAGGGGAAGATTAGACGTTTTGTTCCAAGGTGGATTCCAATGGTGGTCCATTGAGTATGAACCAAACAGGGAAGATTAGATGTTCCGTTCCAAGGTGGATTCCAACAGTGGTCCATTGAGTGTGAACCAAACGGCCTCAAAGCAACCCTAAGAAGCAGGAATTGTTCTCCCCATTTTAGAGATGGGGAAATGGAGGCTCAGCAAGGTCGAGTGACTTGCCCCAAAACCTAGGGTCATGCTTGCCACTCTCTCATGCCAACACCCCTCCGTCACCAAGCCCTTAGTTCCACCTCCAAAATACCTCTGGACTCTGCCATACCTCTCCACCCCCATTGCCACCACTGGAATCCAAGCCACCATATCCCTCCCTGGCATTGCCATGACAGCCTCCTAACTGGCCTCCCTGCCTCCAGTCCAGCCTCCCCACCATCAGCCAGAGGTCACTTTCTAAAATGCAACACCACATGATGCCTGCTTAGACCCTTCAGTGGCTCCCCTTGGGATGAAATCCAGCTTCCTTCACAGGGTACTGGATGCCCCTCAGTCACCAGCCACCTCTGTAGCATCATCTCTTACCACTTCTTCCTCACACTCCAACCCCAGCCATCTGACTCACTCTGAGCTTTTCCCAAGAGGCAAGCTCTCTTTGCTTCTGGGCCTTTGCAGATGCTAATCTCTTTGCCTGGTGCACCCTCTCCTCTCCCTACCCTTTGGTTGTATCACCCTTCAGAGCTCCCGTAGATGTCACCTCCTTCAGGAGCCTCTGTGAACCGCCCCCTGCCCCGAGGTTAATTTCCAAACCCCCTGTATTATTCCAGAGCCCCCTGCACATTCTACCAAAGTGGCCTATGTGCTGTCTGGGACCCCCACTGGCCCTTAATGCCAGAAATGCCTCATTCATCATCACACCCTGAGCACCCAGGACCATTCCTGGCACACAGTAGGCACTCCAGAACTATTTGCTGGATGAATGACTGACTGAATGAATGAATAAGTGAATAAGAGCATGAACGACACAGCCAGAGTGAGCTTTCCTTCTCCACGTATCCAAATGTGTAAAAAGCACCAGGCAAGTCCATCAATAAGGCAGGCACTCGCTCCTCGCAGCCTGTCCTTGGCTGGGAGTCGGGTGATAGATTTCCGGAGGTGATGCATGGGCGCGTGAGAAGGGTGGAGTGGACGCATGGAAGAATAGAATATAGATTTCTATAGATTAATCATTTGTCATTCCTGCCACTCGGCACACTCGCGTGCACTGTCTCTCTCTCACACACACACACACACACGCACACACACACCCACATACTCCTTCCCTACCCAGGTTTCCCTGTTCACACCAAAGAAGCACAACTCACACAGCCCTTGGACCATGCAGCAGGGGCCCACACACACACAAACACACACACCCCAAGCATCCCAGACACATTCACAGACACTTCATGCACGTTTGTGCATCACAAAAACCCTCAAATACACAAACACGTACTCTGCACCGAATCTTCCTTCACATCTTCCCTGTCACCCCACCTAGGATACACATACATGCACACGGGCCGGCGTGCAGGTGTACACTGACTCTGACACACACAGCGAAGTACACACATACTCCTCTACACAGAGTAAGTGAGAGTGCACACTTACTCTTATACACACATAGAGCTGCACACTTAGAGGCATATACTTACTCTTACACACTGAGGAACTCACTTTTTTTTTTTTTTTTTGATACAGAGTCTCGCTCTTTCGCCCAGGCCAGAGTGCAGTGGCGTTATCTCAGCTCGCTGCAAGCTCCACCTCCCAGGTTCACACCATTCTCCTGCCTCAGCCTCCGGAGTAGCTGGGACTACGGGCGCCCACCACCGAGCCCGGCTAATTTTTTGTATTTTTAGGGGAGACGGGGTTTCACCGTCTTAGCCAGGATCTTTATCTGACCTTGTGATCTGCCGGCCTCGGCCTCCCAAAGTGCTGGGATTACAGGCGTGAGCCACCGTGCCCGAAACTCACACACAAAGGTGCACACTTACTCATACACACACAAAGGTGCACACTTGCTGTGACACACACACTCTCACAAATCTGCTCTCATTGCCTTTACTTGCTCACCTTATTCCCAAGCTCCCATCTGTCTTCCTTACGGAGCTGTGAGCTCCTCCAGGACTGAGGTCAGGGCTCTGAGCACTCACTTCTTTTTCTCAGGGGAGAAAAACCACTTCTCAGACCCTCCCTGAGGTCCAGCTCTACCAGGCCCTGAGCTTCTCCTCCCCAGGGGCCCCTCTCCCACCCCAGTGAGTTCAACCCCATGCCCCATAAGGCAGATGCCTGTTCATCTATTTCTTGTGTTGGGTCCCCCACATTGCAGGTGAATGGCTGAGGGGAAGGCCAAGGCGAGCTGAGGGTGGGTTCCCCCAGTTACCTCTGCTGGCCTTACCAGTTGGGTATACATGGTTTCACATGTGCTCTGTGAGTTGCTTTCTATAGTATGCAGAGGCTGAGGAGGAAATTCTCTTACATCCCAACTGAAGGGGGAAAAGCCCTAAGCCCAGCCTTTCCCTGGCCAGCCACTCCAATTAGTGCTGGGAAGATAGAGCTTGAAGGAATGCCCCTTCCCCCAACATCCCAGAGGCCCCTGCATCTGCCCTCCCAGAGGCCCTGTCTGCCCTACCTGGAACTCCAGGCACCCCGAGGCACCTCCTCACCTTGTGGGACCATGCCCTCTACTCCAAGTTCTCACAGCATCTCCCAAAGACCCCCACAAATACCTCTTGGGGTCCCAGGCCCAGAACCTTCATGCATTTCTCCGAAGTTCAGAGCTGTTATCACACACACACACACACACACACACACAGTCCTCCAGCCTCCAGACCCACAGGCTATGTGAGTGCCCTGTGTTCACTGAAGCCTTTGGAGTTATCCTGAGCTGCCCCCTTCTGCCTCAATAGCACTTGAAGACTCTCAGCTTCTGCCCTGTTCACTCTCCTAAGCCCACCTTTCCCACAAGTTCCCCTATACTCCCTATCCCAGTCATCTGCGTAAACATGGAGTTTTTACCTTGCGCTGCCAAAAACCTAGCCCTTGACCTTCCTCCAAGCCTCCATCCTGGATTCTGGTTATTAGAAACTAAACCCTTTAAATGTCTCACCCTCCACAAAGCCCAGAAACCTAGGCACCCAGATCCCTACCTACTCCCAGAAGGGAGCTTCTCCTGAACTGCACCTGTCATAGCACAATCAAAATGTCAGTCATTACTCATTCACTTATTCACTCAAACTCTTATTATTGGCTCTGAGCTGTGTCCAAAAGGATGGTCAGTGCCTCTTCCAGGGACTCTGCCTCATGGAGCTTGCTGTCCATGGAGACCCAGGCACTCACAGAAGAGCTAGATCTAAGAGCAGAGAAATGACTCAAAATAGGAACAGGTCACTGCTGGCTGCAGGGTCAACAGGCAATGACTCCTGCCCAGATCCAGGGGCACCATCAAGACTTAAGAAGAGGCCAGGCACAGTGGCTCATGCCTATAATCCCAGAACTTTGGGAGGACAAGGTGGGAGGATCACTTGAGCTCAGGAGTTTGAGACCAGCCTGGGCAACATAGTGAGACTCTCTCTCTACACAAAATATAAATAAATTTTTAAAAAGACCTAGGAAGAAAATCTTACAATAAGGGGCCATCTGGTCCATGCCCCTATTCCCAAGAACAATGGATCCCAAGCCTGCCAAGCAGAGGGGAGCAACCCCCAAACAACCTCCATCTCTTAACCCACCCCAGAGATGCAGCAAAAATAACCAGCCCTTCCTGACCATGTCGGTTTGGTTCCCCACTTACATGCCACATACCAACTGCCACGACAACTTCATAACTTTCTGAAGGACTGGAGGGGAATCTAGGGGCACGCACAAACCCACACAGGGGACACCACTGTGGCTCAAAGGGATCATTATTTCCTCCTAGGAGTCCTTAATTATTTGCCTGGAGGAGGGGGCCCCAGAATGTAGGAACCCTAAGCTCCTCAGACCCCCACCCAGGAGGGGCTGTCTGGTCTATGGGGGGCTTCTTGTGCCCCTTCTGCTGGATTCAAGTTTCCTGGTGCCTCTTTTTCCTTCCTAGGGATCCCTCCATCCCAGCATCTCTGTGGATGCTTAGGCTGGGGCAAGGGGTTGGGGAAATGCACAGAACCACCTTCCATTGCCTTTGATCTCCGTCACATTCAAGCTGCTTCAGCATCTAACTGCCTCTCTCGCTCTTCTCATCTCCCTTTGAAGTCCTTAAGTAAAGATGGCTGTAGATTACAGCCATTACAGCCGCCTGGAGTGAGACCTTCTCAGGCTGCCTTCCTTTTGCCACTAGCCTGTCTGTTCCATCTGGAGGTTCCCGAAGCCCCTGCTCCAGGCTGGCGAATGCCAAGGCTTCTCCCTTCCACAAGTCCAGGGCATTCATGCAGTAATGACCCAGCATCTCTTTGTTTGCCTTGCTCCCATGAGACAGCTCTACAATGACTTTGCCAGCTCTCCAAGCACTAAGCTGAGCATCCCTGGGGATATAACCAAGGCTCCCAAAGCTTCCATGAATGGTTTGAGGAACTCTCCGCTGGAGTGAGGTGCCACATCACTGTCATCTGAGAGTTTAAAATCAGCCCCCCAAATTATGGTCTGCTCGGTACTGCACTGAATGGGAAGATGGCCAGCATCTCTCTCCTCTTTCTAATACAACTTTGATTTTCTCTGGGCAAACTGCCTCTTCTCCATCCTTACCGAGGTCCTTCCTCCTCTCTCTCTCTTTCTATCTCTCTCTCTCTCTCTCCATCTCTCTTTCTCTCCCTCTCTCTCTCTCCCCCTCCCTCCCTCCCTTCCTCCTCTCTCCTCTCCCCTCTCTCCATAGGCTCCTCCACCCTTCTTTGCAGCTTAATGCTCCCAATGCTACCTCTGATATGTCACTGGAAACCAGAGAAAACTTTTTAAAGCACAAATCACACCACTCCTCTGCCTTAAACCCTTCAAAGTTTTACCATTGCTTCCACAGTAAAGAATTAAACTCCTTAACTGCTTCACATGTGCTGGGATGCCAGCCTTGTCCTACTGACCCTCTTTGCTGTCCCATTACTGCCCCTTGCTCTCTCTCTGGGGTGGACTTTTGCTCAAATGTTCTCCTCCTCCCTCATTGTCTGAGGAATTCACCCCCGCAGAGCTCAGTCCACCTAGCACAGCCTTCAGGAAGCTTTCTCTGGCCCCACCATCCAGGTTAGGTCTTCCTAGGATTACTTTCTTAGAAGTGTTCTCCTTTCCTTCAAAGCACATGCTTTGGTTTTAATTAGTCACTCATCTGTGTGACTATCTGGCTAGTATCTGCCCCCACAATTCCATGAGACGGAGAAAAGACCTCGCCTGATTTTATTCAGAGTCATCACTAGGGGCTAACACACCACATTGACCCTCATGGGCACTCAATACATATTACTGATGGATGGAATGAATGAATGAATGAATGGCTGAGAAAAGGCTAATCGCTGTAGGTTTGACAAAGCTGGTAGCCCCCATCCAGGTCATCTTAACACTCTGATCATGCCATTTTATTAGACCAAACACGAGATTGGCTCCTAAGAAAAAAAATAAGAAACAGCCCCTCTTCTCAGCCCCACTTTGATTACACAGAGCAGTGCCATGGAAGGTCAAGTGCACAGACATTGGTTCAAGTCTTGATGTCAGCTCCTCCTAAAAAATCCACACTCTATGAAATAAAACAGTAATTCCAGAAGACCTGTGCCAATAAACCCAGAACTTCACAGACCAGCCCTCTTCCTGGTAGGTCTCAGCTTGCACAAACCACCTTCAGGTTTAGAACCAAGACCAGAGAAATGGGTAGACCAGGAAAATTCTAGGAGCCCACAAGAGATGCTGGAAAGGGCCAGAACCTGGAAGTCCAGACCCTTAGCTTCAAATCTGATATTCACTCTCCCAGAGCATGTCCTGGGGTTGTCATCTCCCTGCCTCATTCCAGTCCCCAAGCCCTTTGGGGGCAAAGAGCTCAGCGCCGAGGACCTTGGATATTTCTCCCCTCCTTTGAGGGTGGCAGTGGCTGTCAGTTCACTCCTGGGTCCACACCCACTCCCCCATCACATGCCCCCACCCCCTGAGCTCTGGCTTTTGTTCTGGAGAAATCATGTTCTTCGATTCTGCTAGAAATTAAGATGCACTCTAGTTGGTTAGTCACCCCTGCATCACTAAAACCAGGGGAAAGAACCTGCTTCTTGTCTTCCAACTCTCTCCTCCAAAGGCCTTTTCAAAGGGAAAGGGAAAAACCACACAGCGACATCCCCTTGCAGCTCCAGGTGCTTTAATGAATTCCAGCCTTCAGGGAGAACGACGGCTGTGTTAACGGTGCTGGTGAAAAATGAGGGGAGGAACAGGGAAGCAAATTTCTTTTTATTGACTTTTAGTGAGCTATTTAATCCAAACAGCTCATTATCTGCAATATAAATATACTATATAATGGATTTTGCAATAAGAACAATTAGTTTTGCAATTAGCATGAGAATAAGCTCTCCCCAACTGCAGAGAAGGCAAGGCCTAGGCATTGGGGGTTGGGGAAAGCTGGGTTGGAGGAGGGGTGTGAGGAAGAGAAGTAAGAAAGCAGCCTTCCAGGTGAAGAAAGCAGAGCCCTGTCCCCCTCCTCCACTCCATATCCCATGAAGGTCTCAGATCTGCAGGGATATTGCCAGTAGACAAGATAGCAGAGTCACATTTGTTAAAACATAGGCTTTCAGCAGAGCTGGGTTTAAGGCTCAGTTCTGTCACTTCTCAGCTGTGCAACCCCGGGCAAGTCACTAAAGCTCTCTTCAACTCAGCTTTCTCATTTGAAAAAATGGACATCACAGTAGTACTTCTTTATAGAGTTGTTATGAGGGATGACATAGGGTGATGTACCAGTCTTTGGCATAGAGTACATCCTTGATAAATGCTTCCGAGGGTGCTGAGCTGGGATTTCTTTGCATCTCCTTGGCCAGCCTCCAGGTAGGAAGGAATTTTGTCTGTCTTTCTCACCACTGAATCCCTAGTGCCTGGCCCAGTACAGAGTGGGCACTTAATAAATATTTATTGAATAAATGTTGTTAAGCAAAGGAAACTCAACGGCTGCTTGGCCCGGTGCCTGGTACATAGTAGGCCCTTAATAAATATTCGTTGAATAGATATTGCTAAGTAAACGAAACTCAGCAGCCACTTCCCTCCTGTCACAGGGCAGCAGCCTTGTCTCAGGAAGCCTTGCAGATAAGCATAGCGGCAAAAATCAGTCTGCAAAACAAAGTGCTCTCTGCAGACCCCATGTCCAGACACAATTTCATGAATTTCCGAGCCCAGCTCTCTCTGCTTTCTGCCTTAGAGTCAGGGTATCCCACCAATGTTCCTTCTTCTCTGTGGCCAGGTGCCTTCCTGAACACAGCTTGGGTTCAGCCCTGTCCCTCCAGCTGCGCCCAGTCTCCTGCCCCTGCCCTGGACTGGAATGTGGGACATACTGGAGTTCATAGGCAATGGGAGAAGTGCTCGCATTGTATTCCAAAAGCAAAGGGAGCAGAACTTTGGGATTTTCTGAATAATCCCAAACACAGGTAAGCGCAGTAGTAAACGCACTGACACTTAGCCAGACAGCCTGGGTTTGTATCCAGGAGCTCCGTTTCCTAAATATGTGACACTGGCAGGATCTTTGATCTTATTTGACTCATCCATAAAATGGGAATCATAATAATGTTCATTATCACCCAGAGTTTCGGGAGAATTAGATGAGAAATCCATGGGAAGCACTAGTGTTTGTTCCACAGTGAGGTCTCATCAAATGTTAATTACCATTGTGGTTACCATCTTCTGCGGTAGAGTATCAAGACCACACATAGACCACATGCCTGGGACCCAACTCCACTGCTTCCTGTCCTCTCTCCAGCAAGCTTTGGTAAAGGTGTTTCACCTTGGTCTCAACCAGCTAGCAGGTTCACTTTCAGATACTTCACACACACGATGGCATCTAAGCCTCATGTCTCTACGAGTTGGTTTAGGAATTGTGCAAGTGAGGAAGTCAAGCCTCAAGGAGGTGCAGGACTTGTTCAAGGTCATGCTGCTGGCCACTGATGGAGCCTGGACTCAGCTCCAAATCTTTCTAAACTCCACCCTCTTCTTCAGGAGCTAAACATGATTCTGAAGAAATGAACAAAACAGCAAAGAAGAGAGTCCTTTTGCTCTTCCACTAAGTCCCCAGATGTTTTGCCTGGTGCCCTGGTGCATCGTTGCTACAGTGGCAGGAGCAGGACTTAGTGGAGGAAAGAGGATGGGGCCGTTAACGAGTTCCAGGATCCCCCCAAGTCAACCCCTGGGACATACGGTCTAGCGATATCCAAAGACAGACTTCCTGTGCTCACCATGGAGCTCCTGACCTCCTGATCTTGGGCTGAGGCTGCAGTGGCCTTCAACCCCCACCAATGGCCAGCTACAGAGGGATACTCAAACATGTGGCACACACACAAATAAACAGGCAGAAAGTGAAGCTTCCCTGTACAAGAGCACACCGACAAGGAAAGTTCAGCTACAGCCCTGCTGAAGAAGGAAGGTGGCGAGAGGTCCCCCACCCAAAAGCAGAATGGATTCTCTCTGGATACAATGGCCAAGAACGTTGGCTCCAAGGATGCCCAGCCCCAACCTGAGCCCCAGTTCCGTTATTTGTCTGTTTTGTGATCCTGCACTAGTCACTTGTTCTTCCTGAGCCTCCGTTTCCTCATCTGTAAAGAGGTGATGGTAATATTCTACTTCCCGTGACTGGAGCAAGATAAAGCCTGGGAAACACAAACACTCTCTTGGCACCTACCCAATGGCAGCTCTCACTGTCACTATCACTCTTGAAAAGACGGGGGCCGCGTGTGGCATCGTGCCCTCTCCCCGTCTCAGCTTCCCGCCTGTGTGAGACATTGGGCGCGGTGGTGCCCAGGGCCCGGGCCCTTCCTCCTCCCGTTGCCCTTGCCCTCGCTCCCCCCTCTCTGCAGCCTCCCCGGAGCCGTCTGCGTCGTGTCCGGCTGAGCCCCGTGGCCCTTTCTCAGGAGAGCAGAACGGAGTGCTGTTAGTCACGGTGTGGAGAGGTGCAATCCATCCGAAAAGGCCAGCGGGACGCGGAGAGGTCATCTCCATTACAAACTGGCTGTGATTAAGCCATTACTTACCGTAATGGGATCCTTGCAGTCGTAGGTGATGCCTGCCACAGCCGATAAGCCGCAGCGGCCACCGCGGCCCGGCAGGCTGCAATAACACAGGCTCTCCCCTCTGTGACAGGTTCAAGCTCTCACGCTCATCGAAAAGTCCATTTTCCAGCACAACTGGGTACACTTCCCCATGACAAATGCCTGTTCGCCTTTAATCTGTTACAAGCCGAAGAAGCCCAAAGGAAGCACTCCATCACGGGAAGAATGTTTTTATAAGCGTGCTCTTTGAGGGCCCCGAGTGAGGGGCTGCGGCAGCGCGGGGACGCGGGATGGCTGCACATTTACGGGGAACGACGGCGGGGGTGGGCACAGGCAGGTCCAGAGCTGCCGCTGGGAGGAGGGGTGTGCCCATGGTGTGTGGGTTCGGGAGGAGTGTGTGGGTTCACACAGGCGTGTGGGGGTGTACCTTCATGTGCCTGTGCTTCAGGAGGGTGTGGGGGCGTCTGGGAGGGTGTAGAGGTGTCCACGTGTGCTCATATGTGTGAGTGCACGTGTGTGTCTGTGAGCCAGGGCAGGAGGGGGATGTTAATATCTACAGTGTGTGAGGAGATAAGTGCGGGGTGGTGGGGTTCAGATACGTGTTCAGGATCCTGGAGCTTCTACAAGCGTGTAAGAGTAGAGGTGTGTAAGTGTGTGTGTGCTTGCATAAGGGTCTAGGTGTGTGTCTCTGGGTGTGTGTGTGTCCCTGGCTGAGGGCCCAAGTGTGTGTGGGTGTGCCTGAGTGTGTGTGTGCCTGTCTGTTGGGGGTGTGCGTGTGTATGGGTCTGGGTGAGGGCCTGGGTGTATGTGTGTCTAGGTGTGTGTGTGTCCCTGGGTGAGGGCCTGAGTGAGTGTGTGTGCCTGTCTGTTGGAGGTGTGCGTGTGTATGTGTCTGGGTGAGGGCCTGGGTGTATGTGTGTCTAGGTGTGTGTGTGTACCTGGGTGAGGGCCTGGGTGTGTGTGTCTCTGGGTATGTGTGTGTGTGTGTCCCTGGGTGAGGGCCTGGGTGTGTGTGTGTCCCTGGGTGAGGGCCTGGGTGTGCGTGTGTCTCTGGGTGTATGTGTGTGTGTCTCTGGGTGAGGTCCTGGGTATGTGTATATCCCTGGATGAGGGCCTGGGGGGGTGTGTGTGCCCCTGGGTAAGGGCCTGGGTGTGTATGTGTCTCTGGGTAAGGGCCTGTGTGTGTGTGTGTGTGTGTGTGTGTGCGCGTGTGTGCCTGGGTGAGGGCCTGGGTATGTGGGGCGTGTCTAGGGAAAGACCTGGGCATACATTCCTGTGCACATGATAGAGAGGGTATGTGTGTGGCATATATGTGATCATTCACGTGTCTACCTGAAGAGGGACAGAATGAGTCTAACTGACAAAACCAGCTTCCCCAGGCCCCACGAGTGATTATTTTCTTGCAGTCCCCAGGGCCTCCTGAAAATGTGGGTGTGGCCCTAAGCACAGGCCCTTAGGACCTCATAGTTCACGCCAAGGTTGTCCCAACACCTAGGAGGTTCCTGGGAGGCTGGGGATGCACCCTGAACTGGGGATTGGGAATGAGGAAGGGGGCATCAGTGCCCAGAGATCCTCTCCTTCCAGACTAGATTCTGGGTGCAGAGTCAGGGCTCCAGAGGATCTCAAGATCCCCCTCTCAGAAGGGGCACTCAGTTCCGGGTTGACACTAAAGCCTACAAGAGTCATGTCCATCTGAGGATGGCCACGGGGTGGGAGAAGTAGGGCAACCCTGGAGCAGCCCACAGAGGTACTGGTAGTGCTCAAGCCGCCTGACCAGCCTAGAGTCTGCCAAGGCCAGAAGAGCCAGACCTGGAGACAGCCAGGATGCAGGAGAAGGGTGGCTGCCTTGTGCCCAGGAGTTACTAAAAGGGACGCTGCAGCCTAGGGCTCTGCAGTTTTCTGGTCTGAGGAATGCGCCCCTGGTGCTGGAGGGAGATGGAAAGAAACATGCACCAAGTACCCAGCATGTGCCCCACCCTGTGGGAAGTGCTTTACAAACTTGGTCTCATTTCATGATCATCAGTATTGATACCACCATGCACTCACCACCAGCAGGCACAGGCACTGTAGCAAGGGGTCTACACTCAGAATCCCCCTGGATTTTTCTTAAGAATCTTTACTGAGGACCCATTCTGTGCCCACCAAGGACTTTGAGTACATTATTTATTATGATTATGAGCATGATTATTATAAATAGCTATCACTAGATGTTGGTGGGAATGCAAATTAGTACAGCCACTATGCAGCACAGTATGGAGGTTCCTCAAAAAACTCAAAATAGAACCACCATATGATCAGCAAGCCCGCTACTGGGTATAGATCCAAAAGAAAGGAAATCAATACATCAAAGAGATAATCTGCACTCCTGTGTTCATTGTAGCACTCTTCACAGTAGCTGAGAGACGGAATCAACCTAAGTGCCCATCAAGAGATGAATGGATAAAGAGAATGTGGAATACATACACCATGGAATATTATTCAGCCATAAAAAAAAGTATAAAATCCTGTCGTTTGCAGCAACATGGATGGAACTGGAGGCCATGAGGTTAAGTGAAATCAATTAGGCACAGAAAGACAAATATCACATGTTCTCACTCATAGGTGGCAGCTTAAGAAGGGGATCTCATGAAGATAAAGAGTATATTAGTGGTTACCTGAGGTCAGGAAGGGGAGAAGTGAGGGGTATGGAATAAATAAATAAATTGCTACCACAAATTGACCCCTTATTCTGTGCAAAGTATGTGCGTGTGATTCACACACATGATCTCATTATATGAATAGTAATAGCAATAGCCAACGGCTGATTGAGCCCCTAATGTGAGCATTATGTCTATAACAACATGACGTCCTCCCTGAGGAAGGTGAGGGTCAGGGCCAGGCAGCCAAGTGCTTTGGGTCCCACCACCAACCAGCAGAGGATCCAGCATTAGAACTGTGGCCTGCCTTCCAGAAGGCTCCTTGAGGGAAGGTTCTAGCAAGAATATCTCCTTTGCCTGCCTCTCACCCTGGAGCCTCACACCAGCTGAGCAGACGGCAAAACCAGGGTGCACTTGCTTGCGGACTGATGGAGACTGTTAAATTCATTCAACAGTCAGGTCCGTGGGTGGAAACCACCCAAGTCCTCCACTTAATAGAAAAAAGTAATAAGTGCTAAGGAAAACCTCCTGACCTCAGTATTCATATCAGAAAACATCCTGCAAAATAAAAACAGTAGCATCTGTAAACTGTTTCACCTTTCCGCATATTATGGTGCCCAAGGTTGCACACTGGGGAATGTCAGAGCCAGGATTCAGCACAACTCTCCTTCCCCACCCATGCTCTTAGAGATCCAGGACTGGGGAGAGCATGACTTATTTTTCTCTGTTCCAAAGAGGATATTCTGGAAACGTATGATTGTGTCTGCTGTTGAATGTGTAGTCTATTTTATAAAAAGGTATGTGCAAAAGGAGTGGCCAGGGTGAGCCCCGGATGAAGCAGAGGATGGAGAGGAGACACAGGCAGGAGTGGGGACTTGTGACTTTGAGGTCCTGGGGGCTGTGCCCTGGGGTTGGTGGATGTGAGAGCAACAGAAGACAGGAGTTTCCTGGGAGCAATTATTCTACTTGGAAGAGGAGCAGGAGGCAGAGGAATGGAACACAAATTTATTGAACATCAACTGCGAGTCAGGCACAGTGCTAGGCCCTTACCTTCCTAATCCCATTTAATCACCCCATCCACAAAGCAGACAGAAAATGTCCATCCCACAAATGACAATGCTGAAGCTCAGAGAGTTTAAGTAAGTTGCTTAAGATCACACAGTTCATCAGCAGGGAAACAGAATACAAAACCAGATCAGGAGAGCTTATTCTCCTATATGTCAAACTTTGTGCACCTGACTTCCAAGCCTTCCTGCTGTAACTGTGGGCCTGGAGCCTCCTCAGCCCCAGAGTCCTCAGCCTTCAGCTCCCCTGTGAGCACTGCTCATCCTTCTGATGGAATTTGGAATCTTGTTGGCCTGAGAGCCGGGGACCTCCATTCTCTGCCCCAATTTTCCTTCCCAAAATGCTAGCCTGAGACCCTCTCTCTGGTCTTTGAAGGAGCTGTCCACTCTCCCCAGACCCTCCCAAAGCCTCTCCTTTGCTGGCCTGGGCACCCACTGCTCTCACAGCACATGCTCTGGGTGGAAGGAAGCAGGGAAGCTGCTCTGCTCCCTCGTCTCTTCCCCAGTGGATTTCTGCTCTGTCCTGCACATTCTATGGAGGAAAAGGGTCCAACTTTGACCGTCTGGGACACCTTCCCAGCAAGTGTCCTCTTCTCCAGATCATGGCCCTTTCTGAGTTATACCCTCCCCAGTGGGCATTTAGCTCATTTCTGGAACTAAATGGCCAGTGGCTGGCCTGGTCAATGGACAAGTTATACTCCTATTCATCCTTCAGATCTCAGACCAAACATCACTTCCTCAGGGAAGGCCTCCCTGACCCACCCGCGGACGCTCATTGCACTGTAAATTTGTCCCTCAGATTATTCTATACAATATCCAACCAAATCATACATAACATCATTCAGCGTTCGGTATTTGCCTCCCCTAATGAGCTGTGCACGCCATGGAGGTAAGGATTCTGTGTATCTTGTTCGACTATGAATCCCAGGCATTCTGCACACGATAGGAATGCAGTAAATATTTACTGAATGAATAATGAATGAATGCTCCAGACAGAATTGGGGCTCCCTCCTCTGGGCTCCCACAGTTCTCTGGACACAGCTTCTTTACCACTCTATCACACTGTGCCATAAGCCTCTATTTCAGAGTCTCAAACTCACAGCACGAGAGTCAAACCAGGCCCACAATTTTAAAGTAAGAGATGTTTTATATATATATATAGATAGATATAGATATATATATATATAGATATATATATATAGATAGATAGATAGATAGATATAGATAGATAGATAGATATAGATATAGATATAGATATAAAACCTAAACATTTAATTTATCTTGAAGAATAGGAAGATATGGCAGTGTTGTGCCACATTCCCACCTTGCAACAATCACGTGGAACTGAGTGGCAGCTGCCACCCTCTAGGTGGGGCCCCAAGTCTCCAGGTTGCCCCTCCCCAACTCCCTGTTCTTCTTACTCAGACCCAATTCACCCATCTCCATTACCACCCTGGCCATGGAAGGCACTTGGGTTTGTGACCCCCCTCTCTGTTTCCATAGCCCTTCCCCTTCCCTCCCCCGGCTGAGCACTCCCCTGCATGGGGTCCACACGGAGAAGATGCACCTCAAGGTTGGCTGAACGAGTGAACAAAAGCCAGAGCAAAAGGAAGCTACAGGGAGTGGTGACACCAAGTGGAGTGAACCTGAGTGTTGAGAGAAGAGAATGCCTTCCCTGAGGAATGGGAGCACCGGATTAGACGCTCTTTAGGGATTAGTCCAGAAAAGATAATTGAGTGTACCAAACACTTTGTATTTTGTCTCATTAGCTGCTCTGATGCTTGCCATGCTTAAAGTTGAGGGTGGTAAGTAGGTTAATCTCATTGAACTGGTTTAATAAGTAGAAATCCATTTTTAAATGTCTCCCAAGGATGGAAATCTTTGCTATGGCCCGGCTCCCCAAAGCGGCCTGGGACTCTACTGCCACCTGGTGACAATGAGTGCATATTGCAGGAAGAGTGTACTAAAAAGACAAGTGGTCAAGAACCTGGACCCTCCCCTGCCAGAAACAACCCTGAAAAGGGGACCCGGCGCCGTGGTTCACGCCTGTAGTCCCAGCACTTTGGGAAGCCGAGGCAGGCAGATCACGAGGTCAAGAGTTCGAGACCAGCCTGGCCAATATGGTGAAACCCCCGTCTCTACTAAAAACACAAAAATTAGCTGGGCGTGGTGGCAGGCGCCTGTAATTCAAGCTACTCAGGAGGCTGAGGCAGGAGAATTGTTTGAACCCAGGAGGCAGAGGTTGCAGTGAGCCGAGACTGCACCATTGCACTTCAGCCTGGGTGACAGGGCAAGACTTCGTCTCAAAAAAAAAAAAAAGAAAGAAAGGAAGGTAACCAGTGGAGCTGAAATTACTGGTTTAAAGGAGGAATTAAATTTAGTGCAACTCAAAACACAATTACCTAGTATTTGAGGTATCTGAGCTTGGAGTTTCCAACCCTCTGGGAGCTTCTAACTATAATCACGACAGACATACATAATTTACTCTAATGCAAAGTAGACTGAGGCCCAGGTCCAGAACTGTCAAATCCTTCTGCATGTGGGTGCTTCTGCTCAGCTTGAACTAACAACCAAGAGCTGGCAAATATGGACCAGGCACCAAGTAAAGTGTTTCTTACACATTTTTCTTTTCTCCAGTAAACCTTCACAACAATCTTCTAAAGTCCTATTATTACCCCATTCTACAGGACAAGGAAATGGAGGCTCAAAGAGTTGACATCAAGTGCCCATGGTCAAGAGCTACCATGAGCAGCAGAGAAAGGACTCAGGTCTGGCTTAGGTCTGGCTGACTCCAGGCCCTTCACTGCTTCTCTATAGTTTCCTATCTGCTCTAGACCCAAGGTAACCTCTTTGAAATTCCAGAGCTCACCCAAAACCAGCATCTCCCCTACCTGTAATTCCTGGAAGGACGGAATAGCACAAAGAGGAATGTTAGAACTTCCCACCTCATACCTTGGTTGTCTCCCTGTCCTTTCTGTCCTCTCCTCCTCCGCCTCTGTTCTACAAGACCCTCTGGGGCTCTTCTGGTCCCTGCCTGCCCCAGGGGAGGCTAGCTGCCTGTCCTGAGTCTGGATCCCAGGATTTTGGTCATCCCCATGCCAAGTTCACATCCCATCTGGTGGCATGGAGCCTGGTTTGCTGATCGGCAAGTTCACAGCATGAGCCTGTGCTCCCCAGAGAGAAATACAAAACCATAATTGTCCCCAGATTGGCTTGTGTTCTTTGTAGAAAGAAACAATACACAGCCTTTGTGTTCAAAAGAAAAAATTACTGAAACAAAAAATTTCCAGTTCACACTCTTTTGAATTGAGAGAAATAAGTAAACACTATTTCCCAAATCTATGTTCACTGGGAAGCCTCCTTTTATTATATTTATGCAAAAACATGAGCCAAATCTCATCCTACGCTGATATAAGACACATTTGATAATAAAATGCAAACGCTGTTTGCAAAGAATTAGAGAGGATCAAGTTCTGGTCTATTGTGAGGACTAGTTTTAAAATTAAGACTTTTAAGCTTCATGTATCCCAATTTTATTTTGCAATAATCCATGCCTTCAACTTACCCTGTTTATATTTGCTCCGAAAAATGTAGCCAAAAATTCACTGAACATTGATTGTGAAAAGGGTAACTCATTATCTGCTTTCATCCAGAAATAACAGAGAACGAAAGAAAGGTGTTTGCTTGTGTTCCCACAATTCTTTGGGAAATATTTGCTTTCAGACATTTTGTAATATTGTGACGTGTGCACATTTCTGCATGGAAGCTTTGTAATTTTTAAAAAGATACCAAAAGGAGCAGAAAGGAGACTAAAGGTTTGCACCTGTGCCCAGGTCACAGCAGAGCCTAATCTGCATACTCACCTGAAGGATTATGGGACATTGCCATAGCCCTCCGATGAGCATTGACACGAGGGGTCTCCAAGCAAGGAGGACTTTGGGAGGTTGCTGGAGGGACGTTGCATACTAAGCCCCATGGCCATGAAAGGAATATAGAGAGACCACCCCTGGTGCTAAAAAGGACACTCTCAGGGGGAGAGGGAAGGCTTACAGGAAAGCTACCCTAAGCCAAAAAGTAAGTAAAAGTATATGACCCACTATAACAGTGGAAGCCAGTGGCTTCCTCAATGGTATAACAGACAGGCTAGGGAGCCCCAGTGCCTGCTGACCAGTGTCCTGGGTTTCAACCCCCCGGCTTCTGAATCTCCCCCTTTGCTTAGGAGTTGAGCCTAGCCCACTTGGGATTTGCATTCACTGCCTGACCAGCGCCCCATCCCATTTCTATTCCTACCTCTCCCCTTGCCTTCCCTTTTTCATCTTCCGTTCATCCATCTTGCTAACTGACGGATGTGTTTCCATTACTGCCAACATTCACATTAAAACTCTCTGACCTTTATGTCGCTTTTTTTCTGTTCTTTCTAGAGCACTTTTACTTACACGAATGCTTCTTCAACTGAATACACACAACCCTTGGGGGCTCCCACCCGTGGGCCAGGGAGTATGCAGAGCCACATGACAAACACGGCCCATCTTGCTGGCACTGAAATTACCCAATGATAAGTAACTTAAAACACTGTGTTAAAAGAAACAACATGGATACATTATGGAGCAGAATGCAAAATGCACCTGAATTTTTAAGCTACAGTAAGACTTCAAATAAATTCTGAGCTTGTGGCTATCTGCTTTAAGCTATACCCTCAAACCCCAGGATACAGCTTACTCTCTTTTGCCATTAGGTTTTGCTTTAGTGGAAAAGCTGGAGAAGCTCTGACTTAATTTATCACATAAAATTCTCAAACTAGGCCAGGCATGGTGGCTGACGCCTGTAATCCCAGCACTTTGGGAGGCCAAGGCAGGCAGATCACCTGAGGTCAGGAGTTCGAGACCAGCTTGGCCAACATGGTGAAACCCCATCTCTACCAAAAATACAAAAATTAGCCAGGCATGGTGGCAGGCGCCTGTAATCCCAGCTACTTGGGAGGCTAAGGTAGGAGAATCGCTTGAACCTGGGAGGTGGAGGTTGCAGTGAGCCAAGACCACACCACTGCACTCCAGCCTGGGCAACAGAGCAAGACTCCATCTCAAAAAAAAAAAAGAAAAAAGAAAATTCTCACAACAGCCCTTTAAAAAGCTAAACAGTTTTAGAGATGGAAAAATAGGGACTCAGAGATGCTTAGCAACTTGCCCCGGGTCACCTAGCAAGCAGGTGTCAGAGCCTAATGTCTATCCAGCTATTCTGGCTCCAGGCAGGATACTCATTCCATTGCAAGGTATCGCCAGGTGCCTTGAACTTCCCGAGGCAAGAAGACCCTGGAGACAGGTAGCAGGGTGGCCAGGGCTGGGGTGGCTTCAAAACTCACAGACAAGCAGATGCTTCAAGTCTGGGAAGCCTAAGCCCAGGTGGCTGCAATTCTGATGTCACCTAGATAAGCCACTGTCAACTCTGCCATCCCCTTCCCCAGGCTCAGAGGCTGAGGACAGAGAAGCTGGGGTTGTGCCCCAGTTCTTTCTAGTAAGACTCAAAGGACAAAGGGTGGGCCCAGGGAACATGGGTGACCCTGGCCTCATCCTCAGTGCCCATTGCTGTCAGGGCAGGGGCTCCAGCTTGCAGCACTCTGGGCCCAGCAGGATTCTATAGACTGCTGCTGAATTGGCTGGGACAGGATTGAAAACCCCACACCTTTCCCACTCAGCCACCCTCTGTGAGGTTATGGCAGGAGTCCCTTCCCAGAGTCAGGAGGCCTAAGTTCTAGCCCAGTTTCTCCAAAAGAAGCTCAGGCCAGGCCCTCCTCCCTCTGGCTCTGGCACAGCGGGGCTCACTCAAGCACAGTGATTGAGCTCAGGGGTTCTCGAGCCAGAGCTACCTGGCTTCAAATTCCAGTTTTTCCATGAACTAGCTGTGTGGTCTTGGGTATGTTACTTAAGTGCCTGTGCCTCAGTCTCCTCACCTATAAGTGGGGGATGCTATGTGTGCTTACCCTCAAAGGCTCGTTGCGAGGGTTAAGTGAGTTAATCCACATAAGGCAATTAGAACTGTGCCTGGGCCAGGCGAGGTGGCTTGCGCCTGTAATCCCAGCACTCTGGGAGGCCGAGGCGGGCGGATCATTTGAGGTCAGGAGTTCGAGACCAGCCTCGCCAATATGGTGAAACCCCCGTCGCAACTAAAAATACAAAAATTTGCCTGGCATGGTGGTGGGCGCCTGTGGTCCCAGCTACTCGGGTAGCTGAGGCAGGAGAATTGCTTGAACCTGGGAGGCAGAGGCTGCAGTGAACGGAGATCACCCCAATGCACTCCAGCCTGGGTGACAGAGTGAGACTCCATCTCAAAAAAAAAAAAACAAAAAAAAAACTTCGCCTGGACCCAGTCAGTGTTTGGTGAAGGTGAGATGTTATTATAGTAAAACGGAGGACGAGGGAAGGTAGGGTGGCCCCAGGGACCCTCCCCAACTCCCCGTCCTTGCAGCAGAGCGTCTCTGACTGGCAGATAGGACGGCCGCCCATGCACGGCCACCTTTTTTTCTGGCTCCTGCTATGTCAGACTTAAACAGCTGCCCCAGAGTCAACTGCCACTTCCCATCTCTCCAAGACCCAAGGATTGAGTGAGAAAAGCGTCAATGAGAAATCACCAGGGCCCACAGCCTCCTCAGCAACCCCTCCCAGGTGCCATTCCTCAGCCACCCAACCCCCAGTCCCACAGCTGAGCATTCGTTCAACAATGATTTAATGAGCATCTACTCTGGGCCAGAAATTGGCTGGGGCATGGAGGATAGCATGGTGAGCAAAACCAGGCATGGTTTCTGTGCTCACAGACTCAGCGTCTAGAGCAAGACAATAAATAAATACACAGTGGGATGACAGGCAGTGGTAAGTACACTGTCAGGGTAAACCAGGGGAAGGGGAGAGAGATGGGAGAGGTGGTTTACATAAGGTGGTTAGGAGAGGCCTCACTAATAAAAAAAAATAGGAAAATATGTCTTATTATAAATAACATTTATAATATAATTATATAAATAATATGTAATATTACATGTAATATTTATTAAGAAATAAAGAAAGTGATTATAGGATTGCATCTGAGTGAATGGCATTCCTGGCAGAGGGACGAGCACATGCAAAGGCCCTGAGAACGGAACAGGCTGAGGACTTTGGCTTTTATTCTCAGTGTGAGAGGGTAGATGACTCTTTAGAGCAGACAGAATAGGAGATGTCAATCACATGATAATCCGGAGTCCAAAGGAGTCCAGAGTGTCCAAGGTCACCGACCACCCCAAAGTCCCTTCCAATTCTATTGAGACAGAAAAAAAAAATAGATTGCACAGTAGCCCAAAGGATGTTAAAAGCTCTGTTTTTATTATTAGAAAGAAAAAAAAACCATGAATGAACACGGCCTCCTCCTCACACCGAACAGTTGTATTTAATGTACAGATCACAGAGGCAGGTAACTCATACATGGTTAGTAGCAAATGGAGAAATCAAAGCAAAATAAGTTAAAAAAGAGACACAGCAGAGGAGAATATTCCTCCTAAATCAGCCTTTTTAAACTGCTGCAGGGCACCCTGGAGGGTCCCATGAAATGCCAGGCACATGCTTGTCAGGATTTCTGATGCAGGTGTGGCCCCACCAAGGGCATACATGGGTTCGCCTCTGCCTCCTTGGAGTTTAAATTATCACTACTCAGAGATGTCTGCTGCTCACGAAGCACTTACCACAGGCTAGGCATCACGCTAGGTATCTCATCTGTGTTGTCTTGTTTAATTCCCAAAAAATCCTGGGAAGTAGGGATTATTTTCCCCATTTTAGAGATAAAAATACTGAGTCCCAGAGAATTTAAGAAGCTTGCCTGGGCCGGGTGTTGTGGCTCATGCCTGTAATCCCAGCACTTTGGGAGGCTGAGGTGGATGGATCACCTGAGGTCAGGAGTTCAAGACCAGCCTGGCCAACATGGTGAAACCCCGTCTCTACTAAAAATACAAAATATTGCCTGTGTGTGGTGGTGCATGCCTGTAATCCCAGGTACTTGGGAGGCTGAGGCAGGAGAATTGCTTGAACCTGGGAGGCGGAGGTTGCAGTGAGCCAAGATCGTGCCACTGCGCTCCAGCCTGGGTGACAGCGCAAGACTCTGTCTCAAAAATTAATTAATTAATTAATTAATTAGTAAAAATAAGCTCGCCTGAAGATATGCAGTTTAAGGTAACTCAAAACCTGGCCATTTCAGAAGATTTTGTAAGATCTTGGTTAAAAGTGAAAAGGTTGGCCCCGAAATGGGGGATTTGGAATGTTGAGGCCAAGCTTTGAAGAGCGGAAAGGAGAAGAGATGCAAAACATTTCCTGAGCACTTACTATGGGCTGGTGCAATACAAGGCATCTTTTTACCGTGTCCTGTTCAGTCCTCACGATTATGCTGTAAGATGAGGATTGCTAGTTTTACCTGAAGGGTGAGGAAACTGAAGCTCAGAGGGGAAGGAGGAATGTACTTGCCCAAGGTTGCCAGCTAGTAAGCCCAGAGCCCAGATCTGAGCCAGGTGCATCTGGCTCCAGAACCCACAGCTACTGCTGCAGCTGGTCATGGCACCAGCCTGTGAGCTGGAACCAGCCTGTCCCAGGAATCACAGTGCCTGGGATGTGACCCCAGCTTTTCCAGTGACTTGCTATGTGACCATGAGCCCATCACTTCCCTCTCTGGGTCTCAGTTTCCTCATCTGTAAAATGAAGGGGTGAACTCCAATGCCCCCTTGATAGTGAGCCTCTGAGCCTATGAGGAACAAGAAACAAAACGCACCTTTTCCTTTTGCCTCGTTACACTTCTGAAAGCAAGATGGGTCACCAGCAGCTCTACTGGAGCCACCAACAAAAATTCGGCCAGGGTTCTTGCTCTTGTCACGTCTGCTCAAACCAGCAGGGTCTGATCCAGAAATACGGCCTCCATGTGTGCAGCTATGTTTCTGTCGGAGGATGTAGGTAGTCTTCATGAAGCTGGCCTTGAGTAGATTAGCCAAGGCACCCACTCAAGGAAAGAAATCATGCTAGCTCTTTGTACATAAAATAATTTTTTTTTTTGAGATAGAGTTCCGCTCTTATTGCCCAGGCTGGAGTGCAATGGCGTGATCTTGGTTCACTGCAACCTCCATCTCCCAGATTCAAGTGATTCTCCTGTCTCAGCCTCCCATGTCGCTGGGATTACAGGCATGCGCCACCACGCCCGGCTAATTTTGCATTTTTTTAGTAGAGACGGGGTTTCACCATGTTGGTCAGGCTGGTCTGGAACTCCTGACCTCAAGTGATCCACCCGCCTCGGCCTCCCAAAGTGCTGGGATTACAGGCGTGAGCCACCGAGAAAGCAAAACACAAACCAAGACCGGCCATTTGCTGACTCCTACCACCCTAGGCGGCGCATGAGAGAGAACAGCAAAATCCCTGCTGCCATGTCTCTGGAACACCACCCAGCAATCTGTCTTAGCTCAAGGAGCCTCCTATGCTGGAAAGTCAAAGATCTGTCCTGCCTGCATCCTCCCCATCCCCCTCCCTGCCCCCTACCTCTGCTCAGTCACCAAAACCAGTCCCCTCTATCTCACTATCTTCTCATACATTGGCCCCATTGTCTCTACCCCCAAAGCACGTGCCAGGGTTCCAATCCTTCACTGTCTCCCAAGGGCCATGCGGAGCCATGAGCCTGGTCACCTGGCCCCAGTTTCCTCCCTCCAACCATCTTCCACACAGGTGGCAAGAGGGATCACATCTTTTGCATACTCCAAATCCTCCAAAGTCTCCCTTAGGCCAACAGAATAAATCCCTTAGCATGACATTTAAAGCTCTTCAAGACCTGGTCCTAATCAGCCTCAATTGATTAATTGCCATCCACCACTCTCCTCCTCCTCACCCTCACCCACATGTCTGTCATGAGCTCTGCTTTTCCACCTAACTGCCAATCTAGGCTATTCTTCTAGTCTGGAATTTCCAGCCGTCTCCGCTCTGCGCCTTCCTTCAAATGCTGTCCTCCCTAACACCCCACGGAGGCCACAGTTCATCCCTTCTCTCCACTCCCATGCAGCACTTTGCACAGACCATGATTTATTCGATTCCATATCTCTGGTGCCTGGCACTGAGCCTGGCACACAGGATGGATGTAGAGGCATATTTGACGGATGAAGTGAAGTTTGGCATCTCATTCTCTCATGGCCCAGGGATTTTTTTTCATCTAGAATGTCAAGTTGCCCAAGAAAGCCTAGGCATCGCCCCAGCTCTGCTGCCCACTCAAGTAACGCGTCCCGATGTCCCCCTCGCCTACATCCAGTCATCCTGCCAGCTGGGTGCCCGGAATACTCTCTCTCTCTCTCATTATCTCACTCCCCTGCTCTCTGAGGACACTGAGCCTCTTCCTCCTCTCTTTGTCCATCTCGAACCCTGGGGACCTCTATCCAGGGGCAGTTCAGAGAGGAGGAGGAAGAAACATGTGTGGCCGGAGGACATGAGTATTTTCCATACCAAGTCCCTTGAAACACACACATCTGTATTTTAGAAAAGAAGTACAACCAATAAGATCTAAATGAACAATGATGCATCCAAAAATGGAAGCCCATACAGCATGGAATGACAAGGTACCTCTACAGATACTGCTGGGGCAATCATGGTCTGTTGCAAAGTGAGAAGCTAGGATGGAATCCAGTTTGTATGATCTGACACCATTCTGGCAAACAGGAAAAGTCTGAATGACTGCACACCCAAATGTCATGGGGCCTATTTCTGGATGGTGGGGAGTATGGATTATTTTTACATTTGTCTTTAAACTTTTATACTGTCTGGATTTTTTTTACAAAGAGCATGAACTTTTATCTTCAGAAAAACAATCATATTTCCATATTGAAAGAAGAGGAGGAGGAAGAAGAGAGCAAAGAGGAGGACAGAAGGAGAAAAAAAAAAAAAGCTAAATCAGAAACATGAAGACGAAGATAAATGCCCCACAAGGTGCTCTGAGCTGCTCCTCCAACCCAGGATCTGTAAGCCCTCATCAGTGCCCACTGCCCTGGACAGACCCCTGACTGTGATTCCAGGACTCACCCCAGACCCTGCTCTCCTGCCTGCAGCTCACTCCTCTGGGACCCCAGCTTCCTTCTGATGTCTAAGGCTCAGCTAAACCTCTGGATCACAATCCCATCCTGCCTCTGGCTGAAGGGTAGAGTGACCATCAGGGCTGTTGTCTCAGACCAACCCCTTTCGCTCATCTGTCTCTGGACAAAACACCAGGGAAGGAAGCCAATCCCTTGTCCCTGGTCCCTGTAAGGGGAGACTCATGCAGAAACACTGCACCAATGGCCAGCTTGGCTTGGTACCATCTGCAAACATATTCCTTTAAGGCACTGATGAGAACCCACCATGGAGGGTTTGAATTGGTTAAAGCCTCTGTGTGAATCTACAGAGCACCGGGCTCCCATACAGCAAGGTGACATTGTCAGCGCAGGTCCTGGCCCACTTGCTGGTAGCAGCATCACCTTGGCCTAGTTACTTAACTTCCCTGCACCTCTCTTTCCTCCCCTGTGAAGTGGGAGTGCTGATCATCATAATGCAAGTGTTTCAGGACTATCAAGAAGACCGAACCAGATCACCAATGTAAAGCACTGAGCACAGTGCCTGGCACACAGTCGGCGAGGCTCGAGAAATAAGAGGTTTTTTCTTTGTTGGCAGAATTGTTCTAATCCTGTAGTGGTAGGTCAGAGACACAGCCATGACCACTGGCAGTCCCGCTAACAACAGGAGTCCAGTGTGTCCTCAGCAGTTACCATTAGGAGGCTGGCAATGCCTGAGGGATTCTGATGACGGGAAAATCGATTGGGGTTCATGTACAGGGGAAAGAACTATATTTGTCAGGGGAGGATTTTTGCACAAGAGAAATGTGAAGGGCGTCTTTCAGCTCATCCTCTTTCCTCCTTGAGAACATCTAGTCTTATTAAAGATATAACAAGGAGGATGGTTCCCACCTTCATCAGGGCTGGTTAGGGAGAGAAGATGCCAAGGCAAAGGAGAAGAAGGAGGAAGTCATCTGTCTGTTGAGGCCAAGACCTCAGGACACCTCTAAGGAGCTCCAAGGAGAGAAACCCATGCATGTGCATGTGAAAAGCAGCAAGAGTGCTCCAGCCTGTGGTCAGCTGCAGGAGACTCACGTGAGACCTGGATGACTGAGGGTTTCCAGACTCTCCACCATCTTTTGGTTTCGGACTCCTTTTCTTGCTTCCAGAATCCCTCATGTCCTAGCTCATGGCTCTTCACTCATAGCCACACCGATGTTTTCAGCCTGCATTGGACAGTCCCATCCATGGGTCAGGACCTGATTCTTCATTCAGTCCATAAACCTGTGCAGATGCCTGCTGTGTGCTGGGAGAGACAGAGGTGAAACCGATGTAGACCCTGGAGGGAGGAAGAGAACAGGACGCGCACGTCCTTCAGTCAGTGAGACGTGGCATGTGCACAAATAAACCCAAGTCGTGTCATCCGTCATGTCACTCTTCTACTGAACAATCTTCAGGGGCTCCCTATAATCTTTATGACAGTGTTCAAATCCCTGAGCATAGCATCCAGATCCGCTCCCCATCAGCCCTAACTGACCTGCTCCATCACTCTGCCTCCTCTATTCCAGCTTTGCTGAACACCAACATGTTCATGCCTCTGGGTCTTTGCCCATGCTCTGAATTTTCCCCATTTGACAGACTCCTACATTTCCCTCAGTACCCTGTTCAAATGCCCACTCTTCCACCTATTGTCTTAAGCAACCCCAGAAATTTTTGATCTTTTTGACTTCTGTGTTCCCAAAACAGTGAGTGCAAATGTTTATTTCAGTGCTTATTATGATATTTCATATATTTTTATATGTTCATCTTTCCCATTAAGCTTTGAGGGCAAGGTCCATGTCTTATTAATATCTCAACTATATAACAGTACCTGGCACACAGTAAGGGCTCAGCAAATGTTTGTCTGAAAAAATATAGTTGGACACCAACCCAAATGCCCATCAATGATAGACTGGATAAAGAAAATGCGGTACATATACACCATGGAATACTATGCAGCCATAAAAAGGAATGAGATCATGTCCTTTGCAGAGACATGGATGAAGCTGGAAACCATCATCCTCAGCAAACTAACACAGGAACAGAAAACCAAACACCACAGGTTCTCATTCATAAATGGGAGCTGAACATTGAGAACACATGGACACAGAGAGGGGAAAAACACACACCACGGCCTGTTGGGGGTGGGGGGTGAGGGGAGGGAATTTAGAGGATGGGTCAATAGGTGCAGCAAACCACCATGACACACGTATACCTATGCAACAAACCTGCAAATTCTGCATATGTATCTTGTAAACCTGCACGTTCTGCACATGCATCTTGTTTTCCTTTTTTAGAAAGAAAAAGAAAAAAAAACATATATATATATATATATATATATATATATATATATATATATATATATATATATACACACATATATTTGGACAAAAAATACAAGAAAAAAATTATTGTCCATCTCTCTATGCTCCCAATGTTCAACTTCCCTAGTAGTAAGGGAAATTCAAACTACAACAATGATAAGGTGCCATGAAACCCACTGGATTAGCAAAAAGCGTGAAAGATTGATGATATTCTGTTTTGATGAAGATGTAAAGGCAAGAACTGGTGAAAACAGGAATTGCTACAATTTTTGGAAGGAAATATCATCCCATATGTTAACAGAATGTATATACCTGTTGACTCTTCAATCCCACTATTATGAATTTATCCTATAGAAATAAAAGCACCAGCATAGAAGGTATAATAGTAATCTATTGTTGCTTAATAAATCACCCAGACCTGGTATGGTGGCTCACACCTGTAATTCCATCACTTTGAAGGCTGAGGCAGGAGGATCACTTGAGCCCAGGAGTTCAAGACCACCCTGGGCAACCTGGTAAAACCCTGTCTCTACCCAAAAAATACAAAAATTAGCCCGGCATGGTGGCAGATGCCTATAGTCGCAGCTATTTGGGAGGCTGAGGTGGGAGGATCTCTTGAACCTAGGAGGCAGAGGTTGAGGTGGGTCAAGATCACGCCACTGCACTCCAGCCTGGGTGACAGAGAGAGACCCTGTCTCTCTCTCTCTCACACACACACACACACACACACACAAAGCTTGGCAGCTTGGAACAACATGCATTTATTATCTCCTGACTTCTGTGGGTAAGGAATCCAGGCACAGCTTAGCTGAGTGCCCTGGCTCAGGGTCTCTCACAGGCTGCATTCAACATGTCTGTTGGGGCTGCAGTCATCTGAAGGCTTGACTGGGGAAGGATCTGATTCTAGGCTCACTCGCGTGGTTGTTAGCAGGATTCAGCTCCTCAAGGGCCTTCGGATGGAAGTCCTCAGTTCCTCACTGATGGTTGGCTTCAGGCCACCGTCAGCTCCTTGCCAAGCAGCCCTCTCTGTTAGAGTAAGCACATGAGAAGAGCCAGGGAGAAGACACCAAGATGACAGAAGTCACAGTCTTTTGTAACGTAATCACAGAGGTGACATCCTGTTGATTTTGCTGTGTTCTGTTCATTAGAAGCAAGTTACTAGGTCCAGCTCACATGTGAGATGAGGCGATAACACAAGAGGATGAATACCAGGAGGTGGGAATCACTGGGAGCCACATCAGAAGCTGCTGGTCACAGTGTGTGTTTGTGCGAGTGTGCATGTCTGAGTGCATGTGTGTATGTGTGTGTGTATGCATAAGAGTGTGCACATGCATGTGAATCATGGAGAAAGACATGTAAGGAACACTCAAAATCCTTACAAGGGTTATTGGGGACTTGGGTGAGGAGTGGGGAATTGAAGAGGCAGAAGTGGGAGGGGAAAATGCATTGTATAAATCTCTATTTTGTTTGACCTTTTAAATAAGTAGGCATTAATTTTATAACTTAAAAAAATGGTAGATTTGAGGTCATAAATGCCCAAAGTGTAGTGTCCTGAGAATTGATAGAAGGAAAAACCTATCCCAGTATGGGGAGAGAGGTAAGGAAATCAGGGAAGCCTTCACAGTGGAGACTGTTTGAAGTGGGTCTTGAAATATGAGCTGGATTTGGACATGCAGAAATGGCAGGAATGACTTAGAAGGGAAGAGTGCAACAGATGGCAAGCTAACTGTCCCAGGGCCAGAGAGTTGTCAAGGTGAGACAAGCTAACAGAGCACAGGCATTGAGCCAAGGCACCCAGACCAACCTGGGACGTGCCTACCTGGCTTTCTCCAGACCCATGTAAGTGGGGCTGCAGGGGAGACATCAGCTGCAACTGAGCCCTCAGGGTCTCTGGCAGAAAGTTCTAGACCTTTGCACCTCCTCACACTGCTTCCAAACTCCAGAGTCACAAGCACAAGTCCCATTCTAAGGGCCAGGGCAACTAGGAGCCTGAGCCCCACCCAACCGAGCCTACCGAGAGGCCCACAGCAATGGAAGGAGAAACACTAGCATTCCCTTTCTCTCCCCATGGCTCCACTGAAGGGGGTCCTCCATTCATCACAGAGACAGAGTCCACACTCTGCTTGTTCTGTGGGGCAAAGCCCTTTATATCTCCCTGGCCATTAACTTCACTAAATTTACCCTAATCCATCTCCAGGAAGAACTGGCTTCATCAGAGCCACAGGGCTGAGGCTGGCCCTAGCTCAGAGGTCCCTCCAACAAAAGGGAAATTAGAACTACAAGGCTGAACCAACAAGCCTTTTGGTTAGCATGTAAACATAAACCTCAAGAAAATTAGTCCTTCAAAGGCTATCTCTGATTATCTCCTCTGGGTTGGCTCCAAGCTGGAGAAGGGAAGAGGCTTAGACCCAGCTCCCTGCCTTGGAGCAGCCCTTAGCCAAGTTGGGGTCAAGAGGACTGTATTGGACCATTCCAGAACAGGATGGTGTGGGGCCTAAGGGAGGTGAAGAATGGTTTCACAAAGAGGAGGAGACACATGGACTGGGTTTTGAAGAGTGAGTAGGAGTTTGATGAAAAGAAAGGGAGGACAGGCACTTTAAGCAGACAAAACAGCACATGCAAAGACTTGGCATCTGGACCAGCAGTTCAATGTAGCTGGAACTTGAAGGAGGAGAAGGAGGGGAGAGGGGGCAGGATTGGCAGGAGGAGAGAGGAAAGGGAGCTCAGGGCCAGAGGTGAGGGAGTTTATAAGGTAAAGTGTAACAAGGTTCTTTGACAGTCACTGAGGGGTTTGTGGCTCATTAAAGATGATTTAAGAAGTGTAACCTCTGGAGAGGTATGCGGAGGTGGGTGGATAAGAAAAGACAAGACAGGGATGAGACTTTTACTTATATCCTCCGGTATCTTTTACAGCAAGTCTGTATTTTTATTATAATATATTTTTTAGTATGTTAAGCCTTCTCTCTTGGCAAGGCTCATAAATCACTGACAATAGCTGCCATTTATTGAGCACTTACTCTAAAGGCTTCATATGGGTTATCTTATTTAATCTTGCATGAACCCTCTGGGAAAGGTAGTGTTACCCCCATTTCCCCACCAGCAATTGAAGGCCTAGGGTCACACACACAAATAGGTGGACAAGCCAGAATTTGAAATGGGGTCTGACCCCAAAGCCCATGCTCCTAACTACTGTGCCCCGTGGCCTTCTGGTTAGCACAGATGACAGGGAGGTAAGTTCATCACTTTCACAGATGCCATAAGGCTGGAAGACAAAGCAAATACTCAGGACAATAGAGCTGATTCAAGCCATCTGGATAGGCTGGCATGCTGGGCATGGGGCCAGCATGCCAGGGCAGAATGCATCAGGCACAGATGTGAAGTCCTGGACTTGGGAGCAAAGCCCTGCCCAAGGACAGGCAGGAGATGTGTGGCTTACCCATGGCCTTGAGCACTCTGCAGCTTCCAGAGCCTGGGCCTGCCCGCCCAGGGCCCTGGGCCAGGAGAATCAGATTAAGAAGTCCTCATCCCAATTGGGGGGCTGGGCAGCCGGTAACTGGAGATGAACTCCAGGCTGACTTCAGCTTGTAGCCTTGGAGGACTGTTGTTCTCCTGTCTCTTCTGTCCTCATCACTGTCCCCACTCATGTCTCCTCTGGTGGTCCTCATGAAGCTGGAGCCAGCCCTTAACCATTCTAACCAAGAGGCAAGGTTGAAGTGAGGCTGGGGCTCACAGGAGGTGGGAGAGCCCACTGTGTGACTTCCAAAAATTGCCCCAGGCCAGTGTTTTTACATTTTCTTTTTCTTTTTTTCATTTATTTAATTATACTTTAAGTTCTAGGGTACATGTGCACAATGTGCAGGTTTGTTACATATGTATACATGTGCCATGTTGGTGTGCTGCACCCGTTAACTCATCATTTACATTAGGTATATCTCCTAATGCTATCCCTCCCCACTCCCCCGACCCCACGACAGGCCCCAGTGTGTGATTTTCCCCACTCTGTGTCCAAGTGTTCTCATTGTTCAATTCCCACCTATCAGTGAGAACATGCAGTGTTTGCTTTTCTGTCCTTGCGATAGTTTGCTCAGAATGATGGTTTCCAGCTTCATCCATGTCCCTAAAAAGGACATGAACTCATCCTTTTTTATGGCTGCATAGTATTCCATGGTGTATATGTGCCACATTTTCTTAATCCAGTCTATCATTGATGGACATTTGGGTTGGTTCCAAGTCTTTGCTATTGTGAATAGTGCCGCAATAAACATACGTGTGCATGTGTCTTTATAGCAGCATGATTTATAATCCTCTTGGTATATACCCAGTAATGGGATCCCTGGGTCAAATGGTATTTCTAGTTTTTACATTTTTTTAAGCTGCAGACCCTTTTCTTTCATTTAAATCTTACACAGAACCCAGTGTGTGAAATAGGTAAGGTAGGAACATCTCTGGTTGAAACCAGGTGGGGGCTGGACTCTCACTGGTCTTCCAGCACCCCCCCAGGGGGTCTCTGAGAGGTCTGTAAGGGGACATCTGAACACAGTGTGAAACCCACCAGGCTAGATCCCTTCAAAAGACCCCAATAGACTGAATGTTTGTGCAGAGCCCTCATAAAAGGGATCAGTGCCCTTACAAAAGAGACCCTACAGAGCTCTCTACCCCTTCCACCATGTGAAGACACAGCAAGAGGGTGCCATCTAGAAACCAGGAGGTGAGCCCTCGCCAGACACTGAATCTGCCAGTGCCTTGATCTTGGACTTCCCAGCCTCCAGAACTGTGAGAAATAAACTTCTGTTGTATATAAGCCACCCAGTCTAGGATACAGGCAGTCCCCAACTTACAAGGGTTCAACTTATTATTTTTTGACTTCATAATGGCACAAAAGCAATATGCATTAAGTAGAAACTCTACTTGAGTACCTGTACAACCATTCTGGTTTTCACTTTCAGTGCAGTATTCAAAAAATTACATGAGATATTCGACACTTTTTAATAAAATCGGCTTTGTGTTAGATGATTTTGCTCAACTATAGGCAAACGTAAATGTTCTGAGCACGTTTAAGGTTGGCTAGGCTAAGCGATGCTGTTCAGTAGGTTGGGGTATTAAATGCATTTTCAACTTATGATATTTTCAACTTACAATGGATTTATCAGGGCATAACCCTATCATAAGTCAAGGAGTATCTGTATTCTGTTATAGCAGCCTGAGCAGACTAAAACAGGCCCCCAGCTCAGAAATGCTGTGACCCTTTAATTCCTAGCGAATAATCATAGAAAAAAACTAACACGTATTGAGTATTAACTATGCACCAGGCACTAAACTAAGGGCTTTATACAAATTCCCTCCTTTAATCCTCATCACAAACCTACAAAGTAGGTTTTATTACATGGCAGAGACTGCCAGCTGCCCACCAAACACTACTCTCTCTTTCATTTAATTACAATTAAAGCTGGACTCGTGACTACATTGCCCAGCTTCCTTTGCAGTGTGGTGAGGCCATGCAACCAAGTTCTGCCCAAAGCATGTGAGCAAGGGTGATGTCCACCACTTCCAGGCAAGGGCAGCTGAGAGAGTGGGTGAATTCCCCACCCTCTACCTCCTGCCCTCTGGCTGGAACTGCGACCATTAGAGCTACTGTGGAAGCCTGATGCTGAAACGTAGGGCGGGGGTCCCTGAATTGACCCAGTGTGGCCAGTGCCCCCTGCTGACCTGAAGCCCACCCCACCTGTACTATTACCTGAGGGAGAAAAATGTCCATCTAGCTTGAGCCATCACAGTGTAGGTGTCTGTGTAACAGCAGTGTAGCCTTATCATAGCCCCATTTTTCAGAGGGAGGAAGTCAAAAGGATTAAGTAACTCCCTAGATCACCCAACTAGCGGCACAGGCAGAGTGTGGAGATATTCAGTCTGATTTTAAAGTCCCTGCCTTGAAACCAGGACACTGGCCTGCCAGGTGTTACAAAATTAATAATGACAAAACTTGGAGCAGTCAAGATGTCCTTTGGCGTGAAGGGATAAATAAACCATTGTACATCTATACAATGGAATATTACTCAACGATAGAGACAAATGAGCTATTGAGCCATGAAAAGATATGGAGGAAGCTTAAATGCACACTGCTAAGTGAAAGAAGCCAATCCCAACCAGCTACATACTGCATGTTTCCAACTCTATGGCATTCTTCAAAAGGCAAAACTACGAGATAGTAGAAAGACCAGTGGTTGCCGAGGGTTACAAGGGTTGGAGGCAAAGAGGAAGACATAGGCAGAGCACAGAAGATTTTTATTCTCATTTTTCTGTTTTCCTTATTTTTTTAGGCTGCCTGGATTTACAAAGGACACAGAGGATGTTTAAGGCAGTGGAACCTTAATGGTGGAGACATGGCATTATGCATTTGTCAAAACCTGTAGAATGTGCAACGTCAAGAGTGAACCCTAGTGTAAACTAAGGACTTGAGTTAATAACAGGGTATCAATCTTGGTTCATCAATTGTAATAAATGTACTACACTAATATGAGATGTGAATAGTAGGAGAAACTGATGGGAAGGGGATATATGACAACTCTCCTTACTTTCTGATCAATTTGTCTATAAACCTAAAAGCATTCTAAAAAATAAAGCCTATTAATTCATATATATGTATAGTTTCAATAAAAACTCATGCATGGAAAAAATTAATCATGATTTTGCCATGCACCAGACACTTCCATCAGCACTCACTTAATCTTCCTAACAACCTAGTTGTAGGGACTAATGATATCCCATTTTCAGATGAGGAAACTGAGGCACGAAGAGGCCACGTAATTTGCCAAAGCCAGGATAAAGCTCCCATTTGTTTTACTTCCTGCCACTTCCCCTTCCCAGGACCTCCTCCTTCTACTTTCCCTGAATGTTTGCCCTCACCAAGGAAGGGTGACTGATTCCCCAGCTCGGAACAGCCAGCAGGGTACCGTGTGGCAGACACCTCTGCACGTGAGCCATGGTGAAGAAGTCTCACAACAGCCCTGTGGGAGGCTGCAAGGTCACCCAGCAAAACAGACTGCCTGTGTAGCGCCCCCTCCTCTGCAGAGCACTCACTAGGAACAGCTCAGTCCCAATGCCACTACACCCCTTAATACACACACGAGCTTGCAAACACACGCATTTGTGTGTACACATGTGCATACACATATATACACAAGAACACACTCATTACATTTATTAATACACTCACACAGTCACACACATATACACACAGACATGGATGTGCACAAACACACACACACACATGCTTCCACTTTGTCGTTTGACCCTCAAAGAGAAAGGCTTTGGACTTCCCTTCAGCACTTATACAAGTTAGCAATTCTCACCAAAAACCGAGGGTCATTTAGGGACATTTTTTTTCTTGGAGATTGTCAAGAGCTCCTTCAAAATGCATAACCACACCTGCACATTAACTCAAGGCATCACTTTCTCTGCTCTCTGTAACCCCTAGAGGGGAACTGAAGGAATGTATCAAATTCTTAATTTAAGAAAAAATCCCCGGCGCCAGCATGTCGTGAAAGGGCCATTTCACACGTTGGAAGGTTATGAAGAAAGTGCTGCCTGAAAAAGACTCACCTGACTGCAGTTCCTTAGGATGCTGGGCCTTCCCATGAAAGAAAAAGGACCTCATCCAGCTCTGGCATTTAGAGGACATAAATGAGGTTCAGGGACGGCATGATGTCTGACTGTCAGGCCTATGGACTATCTGTTATCTGACGACAGGGCAAGATGATTCAAACCCCACAGAGTTTTAATAAACGCACTGACTCCATCCTACTGTTAAGTAGCAAGGACAGCACTGGGGCCCAATGAGCAGCCCCAAAAGCTGTTGATGCCTTCGAGAGTGAGAACCTGGTCTTCAGTCCCTTTCCTCTAGAAGGGTCCACCGAGGTTCTGGAATCAGACAGGCCCCACCATGTCCCGGCTGTGTGATCCTAGGTGTGTTACCTAACATCTCTGAGCTGTCATTGTCTCCTCTGAAAAAAGATGGGCAAATAATTATAGGATTCAGTGAGATAAGGCAGGTAAGCACATACATAGCACATAGAAACATTCAATAAACACGAATGATTTTGTGATGATGCTCACTTGAGAGCTAGTGAGGTTCTTACATATTATCTCCTCCAATCCCTTCATTATCCAGATGGGAAAATGGAAGCTCAGAGAGAGGAAGGGACTTGCCCAAGATCACACAGCAAGTTGAAAGACCAGGGACTAGAACCCATGTCTGTGTTTCTCGGACCAAGGTTTTCTTTATGCACCCACAAGTCACATTCCAAGAATATCTTAGAAATGTAAAAAGTATTCCAATAGACTTGTGAGTTATATTAAGAAAACCAGGCCTGGAATAAGCAAAGCCTGGAATGTCCTATTCCACAGCCAACCTGGAGTTCCCGCCCAGTTGCCCTAAGGGCTGGGGTCTGCCTCAGCCCCTCTGTAGAAGGAAATGGTTACTAGAAAGTGGGACGTGTGGGAGGGAATCATTGCTGCCTTTTGTCAGACATCTCCATTTCTAGAGACGCCACAGGAGGAGATCTAGGTGGGTCATCAGCTCTGCAACTCAACCCTACTCAGCAAATAAGACAGTCTCCACTTTCTTAAAGTCCATTCCAGAAGCCAGCCCTTTTCTCCCCAGGCCTCTCAGTAGGCACCTCCGGTTTTCAGGACTAAATCAGCCATTGGGCCTTTGCAGGTGCTCTGCACAAACACTGGAAGCCCACAGCCGCGAGCCTACAAGAAAGTCCCTGTGTGCAGGGATGAATATGCTCAGGATCTCCTGGAATCACTCCTCCATGTCCCCTTCTGAGCCCTGGGGGTGCCCCACCTGATCCTTCTGAATGGGCAGCTAGCTGCTCAGCTTTGCTACCATCCTATCTTGGGAGCATGGAGGTGTTAAGGCCCTGTCCCTGTGAGCAGGAAGGGGGCAGGAGCTAGGATGTGCCCTGACTGTTTGGTGGGTTTTAGAGGGCATGTTTGGCCTGTGTTCCTTTACTAAAGGTATTCATCATCATTGGCCTCCCATGCTTCTACTGAGTGGGACCAGCCATGTTCTGTATCACATGACCCCATCACCACCTAGCCACAGATGTTTGGTCAAAGAGGAAACATCTGACTCCACTGGCTAGCCAGTCATCCTAGGAGCTGGCCACAGTCATCTCTGGAGGAATTTGAACTTGGTAATTAAAAGGGTATTTAGAGCCAAGTACAGTGGCTCACACCTATAACTCCAGCTCTCTGGGGGTTCCAGGCAGGAGAACTGCTTGAAGCCAGGAGTTGGAGACCAACTTGGGCAAGATAACGAGACCTTGTCCCTACCAAAACAAACAAACAAACAAAAAACAAAAAAAAACTTTTTAAATTAGCTAGGTGTGGTGGCGCATACCTGTAGTCCTAGCTACATGGGAGGATGAGGCAGGATTGCTGGAGCCCAGGAGTTCAAGGCTGCCATGAACTATGATTACACCACTGCACTCCAACCTGGGTGACACAGCAAGACTCTGTCTCTATTTTTTTAAGTTGGGGGGTGAAATTTAGGGATACACACTGGAGCCAAAAGGCTATGTGCAGGGGATGGAGAGATTAATGGGGAAAGAGGGCAGCATTAGAGTCTTGTGATCTCAGAAGGTTGAAAGAAGACAGGAGCATGAGTGGGCCTTCTTCAGGAAAGAATTCACAGGGGTGGTGGGTGTCGGTGCTGACGAAGGAGAAGAGAGAATCCCAGAGGCACCACCAGAGAGTATGGAGACAGGGATGCAGGCCAGATGCTCAGATGACTGACTCTCCCCAGGATGATGGGAAGACTCCAGAAAAAGTCCAGAAAGAGACTTGATTTTGTGTCATACATTCTATGGGTTTGGACCCAGAGAGAGACTCCAGAAAGAGAAATAGGCCAGGTATGGTGGCTCACACCTGTAATCCCAACACTTTGGAAGGCCAAGGCAGGTGGATCACGAGGTCAGGAATTCAAGACCGGCCTGGCCAAGATGGTGAAACCCTGTCTCTACTACAAATACAAAAATTAGCTGGGCATGGTGGCGGGTGCCTGTAATCCCAGCTACTCAGGAGTCTGAGGCAGAGAATTGCTTGAACCCAGGAGGTGGAGGTTTCAGTGAGCCAAGATCGCGCCCTGCACTCCAGCCTGGGTGACAGAGCGAGACTCTGTCTCAAAAAAAAAAAAAAAAGAGAGAGACAGAGAGAAATAATAAGGCCACAATGGCACCCAAAAGTAAGGAAAGCTAAGTGTACTCGTAACAGAGGCTGACAATCCCTAGAAAAGGAAGTCCCCACAATGCACCCTGATATAAGAGGAGTGGGTCCCTGAGATTGAGAATTGGTGGAAATAAAAGAAATTCTCTCAAACTCTGGAGCAGAGCCTACCCATGGGCTCAAGACCACTTCCTCCTGACCTGTGGCAGCTGCTTTAGAGCACCTGAATGGGTATTTTTTTCTTGTGGATAGTAGCAGAGACGTGGAAGTTGAATTTCTGAAAATGCATCAAAAGGCAGGAGAAAACCGTAACATCCTTACTGTATTTAGCAGGAAGACTGGCGAAACGGTCTAGGCTGAAGCAAAAGAGAATGTGGGGTGGGGTGCAAGGGGGTTGCAATGAAAAGCTGCTGTGGACGATCAGGCTACAGAGAAGGCCAGGAGGATCTCCTCCATTCTCACTGCTAATGGCGTTGATTGGGGAGGAGGGCAGGAAGGAGCTGGCATAATGGCTTGGAAAGAGAGTCAGCAGGAAGGCCTGGCCCAGGCCTTGGCATAGGGATTCATATAACTTTGCCCATCCATTGAGGTCATATCCACATGGCTCCTGGGACTGGAACTATCCAAGCTCATCCCCAAGAGCTAAGCCACAGGATCCAACACAGAGCAGGATCAGACTAGGAGCACCATGCCTCAGCTGCCAAACTCCACAGTCAAGATAGGGACGGTGGAGAGACGTCCTGCAGCCACTAATGAAGAATCTGCTCAATAAGCAGCCTGGCTACTCTTCCCCCAGGTTGGTAGGGCCCTGAGACAATCGGGAGATCAGCATGAAAGAGAGGCTGTGCTCTGCAGGGCCAGACAGGGAAGACACACAAACATCACGATTTCTACTATGAACACCGGCTCCTCGTCCCTCTATAAAGGGGGCCTGAGGCAGGTGATGGGAGCAAGGAAAGAGGCAGACACAGCTGCTGACAGCTGGCAGGACCCACTGAGAAGGTGGAGGGACAGGAGAGGCCCCTGCAGAGTTCCTGAGTGCAGGGAGATGGCTGGACATCCTGCTCGAGTACTTCCTTCATTTCCCAAACAGTAGGTGCCACACTCTATAGAAGGCCATCCTGGTCTTTCATCCCTCACCCCTGACCACCCTTTCCCCTGAGTCCTCAGAGTCCATTGTATCACTCTTATGCTTTGGGTTCAGTGTATACTGCTCGGGTAATGGATGCACCAAAAAATCTCACAAATCACCACTAAAGAACTTACTCATGAAACCAAATACCACCAGTTCCTCAAAAAACTGTGGAAATAAAAAAAAATTTTTTTAAAGAATTTATGATGCAAATGTATAATAACATAAATAAGATTTTAAAATGCAATTTAGGAAAACATGAAAAAAAGTCATCCTGGGAGGAAGAGAGGACAACCCCAGCTCTAGTTCTTCTTCGTGTGCCTCATCTAGGAAATGCCAGCCCTGGTGCCAGAGTTTCCACAAACCTGAGGAGTGAATGCCTGCTTGGTGAGGAAAGCAGGCCTAGAACTGTGCTTTCTCCGCATGAGTGGGTCCTGAGCTGTGCCTGATCAAAGTGCCCACTTGGAGAGAGCTTAGAGACCAGCAGGTGCAGATTAAGGAGGTGCTGAGCAACAGGATTATTGGTGATCTCCCTCCAGCTGTGTAAATGGGGAATGCGCTCTGGAGAGGCCCAGAGGTCCACATAGTGAGGCCTGCTGCACATATGCCCCACTGAGCAGCACCCACCAGAAGTCAGTAACAAGTGATAGATGAGCCCCATGGCAGGGGCACCACTGGTCACCTGACACTTATGAGATCATCCTCCATTGTGTGGGCAAAATCCCATTTTTTTAAAATAGAGACAGGGTTTCGCTCTGTCACCCAGGCTGGAGTGCCGTGATGCGATCACGGCTCACCGCACCCTCAATCTCCTGGGCTGAAGCCATCCTCCCACCTCAGCCTCCCGAGTAGCTGAGACCACAGGCATGTGCCACCACGCCCAGCCCAGAATCCCATTCTTGACCCACCTGCTGTCTCACTTGGTCCTCCCTCTCATGCCTTAGCCTTAGACATTCGTGCAACCTGTATCTGAACTTCCCAGCAGCCCCCCTCCAACTTCCAGAGAGTCTGACTTTCCCCTTTCCAGGCACCACTTTGACTTGTTCATGTTTTTCCAAGTTTGTGTCTTTTCCACATCACTAACTCCATTCATCTTGGATAGAATTAGACCCAGTTCCCCCTGGCCACTTCCTCTCCTCTCAGAGAAACCAAAAACAGGCAAGACCGCTTCAGGCCTCTTTGTCCAACCAAATGAGATGGCCAGCAAGTGTCCAGGGCTTTGCTGTTCCCATCTTCTGGTCGCCCACCTTTGGGCTTGTGTGATGATTTGCACCAGGACACATCCTTCATCTTCCCCAGGAGGCTGGGACCCACCACTCAGCCATGGTCCCTCAGCATCTTTCCCCTGCCTTCTAATGACAGCAGGAAAAAAAAAAAAGCCATCATTCATGGAAGGGCTGGGGCAAGCCAGGCACTCTACAGAGTGCTTCAAATAAATATCTCAGAAAATCATCCCAATTACCCAGAAAGTGGGTAGTTTCTCCATTTTACAGGTGAGGAAACTGTGGCTCATGGATTTGCCAAATGTCACACAGCTAAAAAGTGGCAGAACATGGATTCATGAGACTGTTTAACTCTGAAGGCAGGACTGAGAACACTCAGCTAGATGCCCACCAATGCCCTAAGCTCCCAAGAGAAGGTGTGAGCATTTCCACGGGTTTGGAGCCTCCTGCTCCGTCAGACCTTTTATTTCAGTCGAAGTGGACCTTCCCTGCCCCATCACTGAGTGTCAGTGACCACATGCAGAACCAGCAGTGACCCTGCACGTAGCTGAGAACAAATGCAGGAATGGGTTCGTGAATCCTGTGTTTACGTCCCAGGTTCATCTGTGTATCCCGACCTCCCCAAGGCTAAGAGAACTGGAGCCAGCTCCCTTTGCAGATGCTTGCCCTGGGGACTCCTCTCTGGGCACTGTTCTCCTATCATGTCAGCATTCCTCTATAATTTTTCAGTTGTTTCCCCCTTTGAACGTGTTACTCGGACACTTATTAAAACTCTACTACAGCCGAGCATGGTGGCTCATGCCTGTAATCCCAGCACTTTGGGAGGCCAAGGTGGGTGGATCACTTGAGGTCAGGAGTTTGAGACCAGTCTGGCCAATGTAGTGAAACCCCGTCTCTACTAAAAATACAAAAATTAGCTGAGTGTGGTGGTGCATGCCTGTAATCCCAGCTATCAGGAGGCTGAGGCAGGAGAATCTCTTGAACCCAGGAGGCAGAGGTTGCAGTGAGCTGAGATCATGCCACTGCACTCCAGCCTGGGTGACAGAGACAGACTCCATCTAAAAAACAAAAAACAAACAAACAAACAAACAAACAAACAAACAAAACTGTACTGCCAGCCTCTAGGAAATCTAGGAAATCACCATTCTGCCCTCCTGGAGCTCACAGTGCAATGGCCAGTCGGGGAGCCCTGGACGTGGTAATAGTAATTCCATGCTGTGGGAGGAGCTGTCAGGCCAGGATCTAGGCCAGAGTCTGGTCCTGAAATCAAACCCCTGCCTTCATCACAAAACCTCAGCCAGGCACTTGCTTGCCACAATCTCTTTTTCTCCCTCAGTTCCAAGAAAATGTGGAAACCTCGCCAACGCCCCTATGTCCTCCCTTAAGCATCGTGCCTGACATGGTTTGGCTCTGTGTCCCCACCCAAATCTCATATTGAATTGTACCCCCATAATTCAATACATCAATTCATCTTGAATTGTATTCCCATAATTCCCGTGTGTGGGAGATAACTGAATCATGGAGGCAGTTTCCCCCATACTGTTCTCATGGCAGTGAATAAGTCTCATGAGAGCTGATGGTTTGATAAGGGGAAACTTATTTCACGTGGCTCTCATTCTCTCTCTTGCCACCACCATGTAAGAAGTGCCTTTCACCTTCCACCGTAATTGTGAGGCCTCCCCAGCCACGTGGAACTGTAAGTCCAATAAACCTCTTTCTTTAGTAAATTGCCCAGTCTCAGGTATGTCTTTATCAGCAGCATGAAAACGGACTAATACAGTGCCCAAGATGTCATAGGACAAGTTCCCAAGAAAAGCTCAGAGGGTTAGGAGACTCTGAGCTCAGAGTGTAGAGGCCAAACAGCTAGAACCCTAAGGCCATATTAACAGAAGCATAGGCCCACTCATGGGAGGTGGCTATTTCTCTAGACTAGATGTTGAAACTCAAATGCCCAAGTGTCTAGCAGCACATAGAACACAGGAGTAAAGGGGCTGGTGTAAGGGGTTGGGAAGTCAGCACAGCTGGGCCTGGTCTGGATTATAAAAGGCTAGAGAGCGCAACTCTGCCCCCAATAGGGGCCACCTCTACTCAGCCAGCCAAGAGCTCTGTCTCATGGGAATGTGGTCCAGTGTGGCCCAATCTTCTTATTTTTGAGAGAAACCAGAAATCCAGATTTGTATGTGAATCTCTAGAATTTTAAACATTAAAAACAATTTCAAGTTATTTTCAACCATTATGCATGTCAATAGTGTGTGCTAAATAAAACGTATCTGGGGGCTTGATGAGGCCTCAGGCCATCAGTTTACAAACTCTACCCTGGACTGTGCTGCTCCAACACGTGATCCTTAGAGCCTCATGTTCTTTCTGCAGGCCCCACTTTAAGGCAAATAGGTGAGGCCCAGGACCCAGGGCCGACTCACCAGGGTGGAGAGGATCTGAAAGCTCGCCACGTGAGAAGTAGCTGAAGAAAATATTCCAGTGCTATTTGGGCTAGTGAAGAGGAGACACAGAGTTTGGGCAACTATGTTTTGGTTGTTGTTATTTTTTAAGACTTTTTGTTTTTAGATTCACAGCCAAGTTGAGAGGAAGGTACAGAGATTTCCCATATGCCTTCTGCCCCACACATGCCTGGCCTCCCCCATTATCAATGCCCCCCACTAGAGCACCAGGAGACTCTGAGCTCAGTAAGTACCCTGCAAATAGCTAAGAATGAAACAAACATTGTGCAAGGCAATGGTGAATGAATGGGTTAGTGAATCCTTGTGTTTACTTATCTTGTCCTCCCCAAAGCTAAGAGGGCTGGACCCAACTCCCTCTGCAGATGCTTTTCCTAGGACCCTCTCTCTGGGCACCTTTCTCCTCTGTTAGACCAGCATTCCTCTGTAACTCATTTGGTATAAAAGAATTTGTTACCATTGATGAACCTACAATGAAACATCATCACCACCCAGAGTCCACAGTCCATAGTTTGCATCATGGTTCTCTCTGGGTATCCCCATTATAGTATCATACAGAGCATTTTCACTGCCCTAAAGATCTTCTATGCTCTACCTACTCATACCTTCCCACCCTTACCCCAAGAACCCCTGGCAAACACAAATCTTTTTACCATCTCCATAGTTTTGCCTGAGAAACTATTTTTTAAACTAGAAAATTAGAGCATATGACCTCACCAAGTATGAATGTTCAGTTATCTACGGCTGTGTAACAACGTACCCCAAAATTTAGTGGCCTAAAACTACACTGAGGGCACCTGGGCAACATAGCCAGCCTCCTTCCCATCTCTACAAAAAATAAAATAAAAAGCTAGGCTTGGTGGCACACGTCTGTAGTCCTAGCTACTCAGGAGGCTGAGGTGGGAGGATCACTTGAACCCAGGAGTTGGAGGTTACAGTGAGCATGATCCTGCCACTGCACTCCAGCCTAGGTGAGAGAGTGAGACCCTTTCTCAAAAAAAAATGGGGAAAAAAAAACCTACACTAAGGGGTGGGGGAATGGGGAATTGTTGTGTAATGGCTACAGAGTTTCTGTCTGGAATGATGAAAAAGTTCTGGAGGTGGATAGTGATGATGTTTATACAACAATGTGACTGTACCTAATGCCACTGACCTGCACACCTAAAAGTAGCTGAAATGGTTAATTGTATGTTGTCTATATTTTACCACGATAAAAAAGCAGTGAATTTTATTTTGTATAAGTTAATAAAGCTAATAAATATCTTCAAATTTAGATTATTCTAATATGGTTACACTAAACTTTACTTAGTATATTATCACTGACTATGCAATGGAATATAATGACAGATCAACCAATTAATAGAAAAATATTTTCTCAGCCTAAAAAAAATGTCTACAGTGAGTTATTTTTTTCACAGTTGTGTGTATTGACCAGGGCTCTTCCATTCTCCTCCGTGTAACTTCTCAGCCTCTGCTAAGTTGGGTTTTTTCACAGCATGATGTGGCCTCAGGACAGGGAAAACTGCAAGGACTCTTAAGGCCTAGTTTCGAAGTCACATGACATCATTTCCACCAGAGTTCAGCCAGGGGAGCAGAATCCTGTGAGTGCTTTGAGATCCAGTATTTATTCTAGGAATCAGACCTAGAATTTGCATAATTGAGGGAAGCTGCGGAAGCAAAGGTCCAGAAGATCAGATGGAGGCCCAGGGGAGGCACTAACCTGTCACTTGGAGAAGCCAAGCACACCCAACATCAAAGGAGGACCCTGAAACGGGTGCTGGCAGAGAGGGTTGTGAAGAGCCGGTGCCTCTGCATGGCTCCCACCTCCGTGTGTCTGCAGCCACATGCCTGGTGATGAGCATGAGCCGCCATTGGCCAACAGGGTAGGTAGCCAGGGAGAAGAGCTGGAGGCAAAGGGAGAAGAACGAGGACAAGCTGGGACCCACCAGGCATCTCTTCATCTGTCACTCCATCTGACTGTGGCGACCTCAGAGAGTGATGGCTGATGCTTCTCTCCCACCTTCCAATCCTGAGCAGCTTCCTCTTTGCCCAGCTCTAACCTGAGTCCACAAAGGAAAGCAGAATTGCAAATTAACCAAGTTGACTAATTGCAAACCACCACAGTGGGAGTACTTGTGGGACAACAAGACAGGAGATTTGAAATCAGGGCTGTCCTGACAACTGTGGCATGTATGCTCTCTGGATATGGCACGGAGTGGCAGGTAAGGAGACTCTATCCTGTAGGGCAAACTCGTTTTCAGCAGCTCCAAAACAGAAGACCTAGGAAAGCCAATATGGGGTCTTAGAAAATAAGACAGATCTGGGTTTAATCCCAGCCCATCAGTTTACCAGCTGTGTGAGTTTGGACAAGTTGCCTAACCTCTCTGAACCTTAATTTCTCTATCTCTAAAATATGGCACAATAACCTCAGCTTCATGGAGATGTGCCTGCTGTGGTGCCTGGCTTCAGAGTTGGTACCCGGCTTCAGAGTTGGTACCCATTAGTCTCAATTTCCCTATCCCCCAACTCCAATGAGTGGGTGTGTCCAACATTGAGCTAGGCTGGGTGCACATTGGAGGAGCACAGTAAATATCTGTTTAATTGTGCAAGCTATAGGGAAGCATACTTTGGCTGAACTACAGAAGGTCATAACCATCCAATTCTAGCAAGGGCTCCTTTGGAGTAAAGAGTTTCCCTTTGCAAGATGTATGCAAGAGTATTGGAAAACCAGTTGGACCAGGTAAATTCTAAAGACTCCTATAGTTCCAATAAATTGACTCTACAGAAAAGCCAAATGAGTTTATGAAGAAGCATTTTCCCATTAATTTCAGAAATGTTCCATATTTATTATAAAATGCCCAGCACCATTCACTGTTGGTGGGATTATAAATTGATGCAACCTTTCTGAAGGGCAATTTGGCATGATGTATCAAGATTCTTAAAAATATCCACACCATTTGACCCTGAGGGAATTTGTCCTGAGGAAATAATCTGTAATGTGCCAGAGATATAAGTACGAGAATGTGCCTTGTTATTTATAATAGCAAAAAAGTGGAAATAATTGAACTGTCCAACAATAGAGGAATGATTAAATAAATTAGGATGCGGCCAAAAGATGGAAAGCCATGCTTCCATTAATCTTGTCTTTAAAAATACATCATGTATTTCCAAATGTAACATGGGGATTTTTCCCACAATTATCTTAGAAAACAGAAAATCTCTTTAAATTCAAATTCTTACAATGACTTTCCTATTAAGCATACTCTTTCTTAGTTACTTTATTTTAAACAACAAAGTACTGTTCGGGGAAATCACATTAGCCGTACCTGACCTCAATCAATGCTAGTTGGGGATGTTTATAGGGGTTACCTGAGGGAACCGGCAAAAAGGAGGCAAAGGAATTTAAGAGATTTAGTAATTATTCTCAGGGTTACAACCTCACAATTGCAAGTGTTGGCTGTCATTGTAAACAAGCCTTTAAAGGTCACCTTGAGAAGCAATCCAGTTAGCAGTTACGTTGTGGGTATCACGAATACACACTTATGGGACAAATGAAAAGACTGCCCTAATGTTATGCAAATAGGTACTCGTGGCTTAAAATACAATTGCCAGAGACAACATTGTACACAGATTTTAAAAGCATTGCATCTTAATCTCGAACAAGTTAGACAAAAGGGAAAATGGTGTGCTCCGGACAGCTATGTTGGGTAATTCATAAAAGCAGCCCCAGGGAAGATGGAAGCACAGATGTCAAAGATGCTGACAGAGTTGGTGAAATGTGAAATGGAAAAATGAATCTTTCTAAATTTAACATATTTTATATGTGGTTTAAATGTCTATGTGTAACTGAATTTGTCAATTAAACATTGTCAGTTAGCATTTGATGATTTCAGCTCTACCCCTAAATATTTGTATACTCAAGTTGGCCCCAAAACTTTTAATTAAATCTTCCAGATGGGAAAATTGGGCCCTTATATGCTTGGCTACCAGATATTTGGGCCCATATAATACATAGCTGTGAGAGAAAACATCTATGAAATAATGTTAAGTAGAAAACACAAATTACAAATGTTATGGTGTGATTCTGTTTAAATACACACACACACACACACACACAAGCACACACACACACACAAGCACACAAAAAAAGTGAACATAGAAAAAAGACTAGAAAGAACTGTACCAAAATGTTAACAATGATTATGTATGAGTAGTGAGATTATGAGATACATAATGCTTTTTACAGGAGGAGGGTTAAAAGTACATTAATGTTTTAACCAGGGAAAATAATTTTTAAAGGCTTTTATAAAAGTGATTTCTTTCTTAGATTGTCCCTTAAACCCTAAGAAAAGCTTTTGTCCCTTTTTATTCCTTAAATCTTCTGAGAATATGGTGGGGGTGGGGGTGATTTTGATAGAAATATATGTATTGATATAAGATGTACCTGACACAATAATGGGGGGGGGGGAAGAACAGTACTAAGCAATGTCAATAATATGTTTGTGGTATGATTCTTCTCTGAAAGAAGAGAAAGGGGAAGAGAGAAAGAAAGCAAGAGAAGGAGGGAAAGAGAGAGGGAGAGAAAGGAGGAAGGAGGGAGGGAAAAGAGGAAGGAGGGAGGGAAAGAAGGAAGGAGGGAGGGAAAGAAGGAGGGACAGAAGCATGGTGATTGCATATGACATATGTTTGCACACATGTAAGGGTAGGTCTGAAGGGAATGCATCAAACTGCCAACAGCCCCCCAGGGTGGAGGAATCTATACCCTTCTGTAGCGTTCATTTTTTTTCATTTGTGCAGTACATGTTTATAATAGGATGTAATTGACTTTTTGCTGATTCTACTGAAACGGGGAAATGCTGAGGGCAAGGCCCATCCGTTTGCTGCGGCTTCACTGCTCTGCAAATGAAAAAAATGTTTTTCTAATTACCCAATATTTTCTAGCCAACCCCCAAGCCTGTGGGGTATGAAGGAGTTTACGATCACAGCAACAAGCAGCATTCCTCTGGCTATAACTTCCATGTGCTGCTGCAGGACTTCCAGTCTCTAAGAGGACACAGAGACACAACTGAGCATGAAGAGCTGTTCACTGAGGGTTTTCTACATCCCAGGCACTTTGCCAAGTGCTTTCGCATGCATTCGCTTGTTAATCCTGAGTGCAATCTTCTATCCACTTTACAGGTGAAGAGACTGAGGCATTGAGAGGATAGGGATACACAGCTGGTCAGAGACAGAGCTCAGTGAGACTGACCCCAGACAGCCTGGGCACCCCATGGGCGACTCACATGTGCCCATAAACACACCCTCTCGGCTGCCACCTTACAGCTGACATTTGCCACCTTTCCTGATCTGAATCCATCAGTGAGAGCTGACGCCACAGCCTCTGCTGCCCATGCTCCTGTGGCCATGGCCAGTACCCACTACAAAGGGCACAGATATGGGGGCCGAGAATGCTGCTGCCCCAGGCTCTCAAGGCTGCCAGCACCCTCTACCACCACTGGGTTGGGGTTTTATGACTGGAGTGCTACTGAGATTGAATTGTTAGGATGACATCGAAGCCATTCCAGAATTCCCAAATCCTGCCTTGGCCCAGCTCCCTCCCTCCTCCTGAAAGGCCCTTAGGGAAAAGAGACATAACAAGGAAGACCCAGGGCCAGCACCTTCTTAGCTGGGCTCCAGTCCCAACCCCTAATACAAGCACACTGGGCTGGACCCACCCAGGACCCCTTTCCCTAAGCTAGGCTAAGTCACCCGCTTCCCAACCTGACCTCAGGCCTCACTACTATGAGACAAGACCTGGCTCCAGCACAAGCCCCACCCCCGCCCTGCCCTCAAGGACCAGAGAGAAAGCAGCAGTGAGATGGGGGTAAAGGAGAGTGCCCCCACTCCACCCCCGCAAGACCTACTAGTTGGGAGAGTGGAGGGAAAAGAAACACAGGCAGAGAACTTGATCTTCCACTGGAAACAGCCCTGCCCAACACTCCATCCTATCTCCTGCAAGGGCTGCAAGAGAGAGGAGGGCACACCCACCAGCCCTAGCTGTGGCCTCCAGGGGCTCCTTCACTTAGGCAACAAGCATCCTTCCTCCTTTGGAGGTGGTGAGGGGGCACAGTTTCTTGCCATCAATGCTGACCCATCTTCAGGCAGAGTATGGTGGGCAACGGGGGAGAGGGGAGAGGTCTCCTTGAGTCCCACCTGAGCTGCCTCAGTGCCCCCCAGCTGCTGCAGGTGAGGGCCTGTCACCATCAAGCCATCAGTGGGACAAAAAACTTGGGCCCTCAACCCACCAGCACTGCTCTGCATTCTCTGAAGCCCTGGAGATAAGCTGGGGACCATGGCCCCCACACTCTCAGACACAGATGACACAAGTGGGACCATTCTGAGCCTAAGAGATTTTACCAAAAATACCTCAATATGGTTTGGCTACGTCCCCACCCAAATCTTATCTTGAATTGTAATCGCCGTAATCCCCACGTGTTGAGGGAGGGATCCAGTGGAAGGTGATTAGGTCATGGAGGTGGTTTTCCCCATGCTGTTCTCATGATAGTGAGGGAGTTTTCACAAGATCTGATGGTTTTATAAGCCAGTTTCCCCTGCTCTTGCTAGCTCTCTCGTCTGCCACCATGTAAGACATGCCTCTTCCCCTTCCACCATGATTGTAAGTTTCCTGAGGCCACTCCAGCCATACGGAAATGTAAGTCAACTAAACCTCTTTTCTTTATAAATTACCCAGTCTTGGGTACGTCTTTATAGCAGTGTGAAAACAGACTAATACACATTTCCTTGTTTCTCCTTGCAGTCCTCTCCCCCATCACTTTCCAAGGACTCAGGCAGGAACTCAGGTGAGCACCCAGAATTGCCTCTCCCCTAAGAGCAAGCTGGCAGACCCCACTCTCCCCTCCCTTGGGATGCTTTCCCACCCTAGTGATGTCTCCAGATTCCCTCCAGCCAGCCCTCCGCCCCTCCATTCCCCCAGCCCTTGCCTGAACATGCCCAATCTCAGGTTAGCTCAGGGTAGAAAGAGCCCTCCCCTGCTCATCCCCATCTTCATCTCCACCTCCCTTTACTCACACAAGCTTAGAAGATAACAGCTGTCCACCAAACCTCCATCAGAGAGAGGTCCCGTCTCACTCAACTTGTCCCTGAATTGGCAGAGGTGTGACTGGCTTCCCAATGTCATAAGAAAAGGTCAGAGAAATCCACAGTAGTGTGCCTCAAGGGAAGCAGAGTTCCCAGGGGCTGGGGCTTCAGATCTGTGACCCCCTTTGGAAATAGGAGAAAGACCTAAGAACTTCTGGAAACCAACATCCATTTCTCATCTCAGATTTTATCTCCTCCTTGGTCTTCCTTTTGATCTTATTTTCAAGCCAGAGATGAGCATTTCCACATTGACTCCAGCTGATTATAACTGACTCCGAACCTTTCTAGTGATTAAAGTAGCTGTGAGGCTATGTTCTCCAGAGATCTGTACTGCAGGTTGAATAATTCAAGGCAGCCTTTCCAAAAGGCTGAGAGATCTGGGACAAAAAAAAATCACAGAAAAGAAAAGTTTTTTTTGTTTTTTTTTTTAAGAAAAAAGTAATTTCCCCCATGCTGGCTACACAATAAGCACTTGATAAACATTGGTTAATTCTGATTGATGTAAACACTGGGACAGAAATCAAATAGAGAGACTGGCAGTGACTGGGCAGGGCTGGGCTGGGGCAAGATACTGGATGCTTCCAGAGAGTGGAGCAGCTCAGGTGATCACCTCCTCTTTACCCACCGCTGGCTGATCTGCTTGGGAGCTTCTAGTGTTTTTCTGCATTGAAAGGAAGTTTGAGAAAACAGCAGAGGCATGGGGTAAGATGGCATCTGTTGCCCTAGCTCAACCTGCTGGGCTGAGATTGAATTCAGTGGAGGGGGTAAAGCCCAGAAGATGAAGGAGCTGTTTTCACGAAAGACTGTGTGAGACTTTGGGCCCAGGCTGAGCTGCTTTGGTGCCCACACAGCCAGGTTTGACACAGGAGGAAGAAGGAGAGGTGGGCCTTCTCTCCACCCCAGCTCTGGTGCCCTGCGGCAGGGTCTAAGGGACATGGAGCAGGGATGAAGCAGAAGCAGGGCCAGCTGTGCCAGGCAGAGTGCCCAGGAAGTGGTCTTCACACTGAGAAGTGAGCCGCATAGCAGTGACCAATTGCCACCTGCAAATGACAGTGCACAGAGGGCTTCCCCAGGAAGAGCAGAGTTAAAGAAAAGGCATAGATCGGAGAGCCTGCTGCCCCCAGCAACCCAACAGAGCAACCTTGTCCAGCCAGGGGAGACTTCAGGGGGAAGGGGAGCCCTCGCAAAAAGCAGATAGAGCTTGCTGCTCTTACAATCAAAGACTAATAATATGGTGGCTGTGTTCCCCAGCTGGTACAGTCTGGATGGTTCGGGTTCTAGAACCTCCTCCACATGATTGATCTGATGTTTGGCATCTCTATCTCATGGGAAACCCTATGCTAAGAAGGCTCTGGAATCTTCCCATCCAACCCCTCATCTTGTAGAAACTGAAGCCCCGAGAGTTTAGGCTGCCCAAGGTCACACAGCTAGTTAGCTAGAGAGGAGTGAGAGCCAGGATCCCTCATGCCCAGTTCCCAGGATTGTGTGTGTGTGTGTTGGGGGCTGGGGGTGGCAGGGGAGGAGAAACAGAGAGAGGTTGGGATCTGGGCCCATTGCATGAGACCACGAAACCATGCCAACACCTGTGCCAGCGACTCTGTCCACTGTGTTGTCAGCACCTCATGGAGCTGGAATCCCAGCTGCTGCTGCCACCTCCCCAAGGTTGCACAGTCAGCATCCACAGAGCCAATTCATCTACCTGTGGTTTAATGAGCATCCGATGCTATGACCAGGGACCTGGAGCCCAGAAAAATTCCAATTTCAAGCCCACTGTTTATAGTTAATTAGCATCACAACCCCACACCCTGGAGAGTCCAGGGGCACAGGAGCCACAGAGGCTGTGGCTTAGGGTGGCTCCCCAAACATAAGCCCTGACTCTAGGGGCACAGAGTCTCAGTGTTCAAACACCGGAAATGTCTCCAGTCATGGAAAATGAGCAAATAATGAGCAAATGCAATCTAATGTTGATCCAGAATGAGAGAAGTCCCAGCTTCTCTAGGCAGGACAGATCTTCAGGGAATGACGTACCCTCTGCTTCCAGACCTCCTCCTCCAAAACCACTTCAGGTTGGTGAATAAGACTTTATGAACTCAGGAAGAGCCCAGATAGAGGGGTTCAGATAGGTGAGCTATGCCACACCTACTGGGTTCTGTCCAGCCCCGTTTCCAGCTGCACCGATGAGTCCCTTCCCTGAGGACTGTGGGAAACTGGAGGTGGAGCGAGGTGGAGATCAAGTCCCACTGGGCAACTGGAGCTCAGAAACTGTGGGACGGGGCCTCTTCCACCCACCCTGTGGACCACAGAAGCAAAGGACTTCTAGCTTCAGAGAAAGCAGCATGAAGCGGAAGGAACAAAGGTGAGTTCAGGGAAATCCCAAATCAGACTCACTGTCATGCCCCTTGCTTGTCCTCTGGGGCTCACAGGCCCCTTTGCTCTGTTTCTGCTAAGTTGTTTCTCTTCTAGTTTGAACACTCAGGTTCTTCAACTGCCCTTTCCTGGGTATGATTCGGAAGGCCACCCTCATGTGAAACAGCCCCCACTGTGTCTCTGGGCCCTTTGGAGTACAGCATTGGAACACAGCCAGACGCACTGAGCTCAAGAGCTAGGAGTGGCCTGTGACAAGAACGGGGGACTGGCACCTTGCTGCTTCTCTGTTTATGAGAGGTCCCTCTGCCTGGGGGCAGCCACATCACTCGGCTGGATCACACAAAGGTCACGGTCTACTAGGACCCCTGTGTTTTTTCACGGTTGTTTTAGTAAAGCCACATTTTTCTCACATTCCTTCATTTCACTTTGGCGGGTCTCTCGGGATGCTGCCTTCTCATTGCCTGTTCCTCTCCATCATCTCCCTCCCCTTCTTCCCGTGGGGTCCCTGCCTTCACTCTGCCTCCTGGCACACCACACTGAAGCCAGGGTGTGCTGTCTAAAACACAGATCTGGCCACCCTATGCCCCCAGGTGAACCCTTCTGTGGCTCCCTGGGCCTATCAGAGAGTCAAACTCCTGGGAATAGTGAGGGTCCCCCAGGCACTGCCTAGCCCCATCTCACCAGCCTGTCTCCCTCCTCCTCCTCCACACCTGGAAGACGACATCACACCACACCACCAGCACTTGTTCTCCTAGTGGTGCCACACTTTGGGGCACACTGCTCCTTCCTCATGGCAGGTGGCTTGGGAGTCAGACAGATGGGGTTGGAATCTGAATTCTGCCAACTAGTGGTCTATAACCTGGAGAAACCCCATTCCCTCCCTGGGCTTCTGTTGTTACCCCATCATAAATGGGTAATAAAAGTACCCACTTTGCAGCACAGAGAAGAAGATTTGAAATAACTTGGGTCAATCATCAAGCATATGCCTTAAGTTACCCATAATGTACTTACTAGGACTCTATGCCCACATCCGTATTGCTAGAAAATTCCTATTCATATATCAAAACCTGGTTCAAGTGCCACCACATCCTTGAAGCCTTCTCGGATTCCTCACCCAGTCTCAGACTCCAAAAGAGCTCCTGCCTCTGACCTCACGGCCACTTCAACCTGCCTCTGATTGATTCCACGTACCCCACAGTGTCATCATCTGCATCTGGGTCTGACTCCCCAAACTCATGTCTGAGCCCCGCCAAGGCAAGGACCAGGTCTGACTTCTCTCTCCTCAGTGCAAAGCCTGGCACACAGACAAAGTCCGTAGATGTTTATTTAATTGAATCATGTTGAATTATTCATACCTTATTGAATTCTGTCACCCAGCATATTCCCCATCCCTCCCACCTTGTAGAAGTTGGAACTCCTCCTTCATCAATAACAATAATAATAGTGAAACCTTATTGATTACTTCTTGTGTGCCAGGCACCTTCTAGGTGCGTACCTCATAATTAGCTCAGTTAATCCTTTCAACAAGCCTACTGAGATGAACACTGTTTTCCAAATGAGGAAAAATAGGCCTTTGTTTTCCTAATGAGGAAACTGAGGCTCAGGGAGTTGAGTTTCATGTCTAAAGTTCAGCAGCCAGGAAGTGGAGGGGCTGGATTTGAGGCCATGTGTTCTAGTTAAGAACACTTGTCCTTTTTTAGCTTTTTATTTTAAAATAATTTTAAGTTTATGGAAAAGTTACAAAGATGGAGCAGAGAATTCTCATATACTCTTCACCCTTTTCCTCTAATATTTAGGTCTCACCTAGCCATGGTATGTTTATCAAAATTTAAAAATTAACATGGCACACTATTATTAACCAAACTACAGACATTATTAGGATTTTCCCAGTCTTTCCACTCACGTCCTTTTTCTGTTTCAGGACCTAATCCAGCATCCCGCATTGCATTTAGTCATCCTGTCTCTTTGTCTCCTCTGATCTGTGACCATTTGTCAGTCTTTCATTGTCTTTCATGACCCTGACACTTTTATTTTTTAACAGAGTTTCGCTCTTGTTGCCCAGGCTGAAGTGCAGTGGTGTAATCTTGGCTCACTGCAACCTCTGTCTCCCAGGTTCAAACGATTCTCCTGCCTCAGTCTCCAGAGTAGCTGGGATTACAGGCATGCACCACTACGCCCAATTAATTTTGTATTTTTTGTATTTTTTATTTTTTTAGTAGAGATGGGATTTCACCATGCTGATCAGGCTGGTCTCAAACTCCTGACCTCAGGTGATCCACCTACCTCGGCCTCCCAAAGTGCTGGGATTACAGGCACGAGCCACCGCGCCCAACCACCCTGACACTTTTAAAGAGCAGCATCAGGTATCTTACAGGATATTCGTTAGTCTAGGTTTGATGGATATGTTCTCATGAATAGTCTGAGGTTACAGATTTGGGGAAGCGTACCACAGAGGTGTGGCACCCTTCTCCTCACATCGTATCAGGGGCCGCATGATACCAGCATGACTTGTCACCTTGACCACATGGTTAAGCTGATGTTTCTAGGTCTCTCCACTGTGGAGTGACTATCTGACTGCATTTGCTTTTAACCACCACACTCCGATGACTCTCAGTCAATGTCACTGATGCTGGAAAAGAATGATGCCTGGCAGAACAGGGGATTCCAGTACAGAGCCCAGAGAAAAAGGATTCTGGAGCTGTCCAAGGTGGGGCTAAAGGGCCAGTGGCCCCCTAGGGCACCCAGAGCATCAGGAAAGGCATTCTCCCTACAGTTGGAGCCACCAAGAAAGGCTTCCCAGAGACAGCGGGACTAAGGAGGGATCTGTACAGGTGACAGGGAGGGACATCTACTCCAGGCAGGGGAACCAGCACCAGCGTGTACATACTCACAAGGAGACGAGAGCATGGACAAGGTCTAGATAAGGCAGTGGCTGGACTAAAATCACACAAAGGTCATGATAGCCATCTCTCTGTCTCCAGGCAGAATGATTCTAAAACTTTCCCAGTCCCTTGAAAACATCTCCACATCTGTAACCTAGAAACTCAGAGCAATGGTTTCCAGACAGGGGCAAGATCAAGCCAGCAGAGCATTCCACACTTCCCCCACCCACCGTCCGCCAGTCTCTGTGTTCCCGCTGCACTTGGACGCTCTGCCTGGTATTTATCACAGCTGCCTCTGCTCCTGGATGCAAGCGTGCTTGTCTGAGTTCCCCACTAGACTGCAGCAAGGGCGGGGCCCCGCCCCATCCTCCTTTGCCTCCCATCCCCCTCCTCCTCCAGGCACTGAGCTCAGAGCCTGACACACAGTAGGGGCTTAGCAAATGCTTGTGGAAAGGCAGGAAGAAAACAGATTCACTTCTGCAAGAAGCTTTGAGAATATTCTGAAGACATTTTGTGACTCGCACTGACTTCCAAAGCGCAGAAAATCATTTTAAAAACTGATGACTGTGAAATTTCAATTATATTCACAAGGAGAGCCAAAGTAAGCTGCAAGAAGCACAAAACAGCAGCTTTGCATTTGAGAAGCCAAAGAGCCTGGAATAAGAGCAAGCAGGATGCGGACCAGCCTTGAAGCCAGATCCAGCTGTTTTCAGAGATGAGCTGCACATGAGCAAACTTGAATTCATAGCCCTTGAAAGAGAGGACAGTTCCAGGGACATCAAACGTCTGTAAGGATAGCTGAGTCAATCCCATGAACCTACTGCCAAAAATAATTTAGTGCTCAGAGGCTGCATTAATAGAGGTACAGCACCTACACAAAAGGAGGTAATAGATCTGTTCAACGTACAGAGAATGGCACAGTCAAAGAATTGGGTTCAGAAAGACAAACCGGATTTTGTGTAGAGGTCTTAAGAATGGAGAAAGGCCTGGAGTTAGCCAGTGAAAGGGCAGGAAGAGTGTTCCAGACAGCAGGAAAATATATGTAAAGCATCTGCAGAACAAATCCTAACTCTTTCTAAAGGCCTGTGAGAAAGGCCAGCGTGGCTTAAGGAGAGAAAGTAAATTGTAGCCAGACTTAAGGCTGGAGAAGTGGGTAATAACCAAAGCCACAGGGATTTTTGGGTCATACAGAGTTTGGGTTTCACCCCTAAGAGCAATGGAAAGCCCTAATCTGTCCTGTCCTTGCATATTGGGCAGAGACCCATACTGGGCTAAAGTCCTAGACACACACACACACACAGACACACACACACACACACACACACACACACACAGAGAGAGAGAGAGAGAGAGAGAGAGAGAAAGGACAACTCTTCCATGTCCAGTAGGAACACCGCATTGGAAGAGCTTCAAAGGAGCAGGAACTGGGGATCCCCTGAGCCTTGACTCTGGCAACAGGGCCCAGTGGAGAACTTAGCCAAAGCTCTCATTGAACAACCTGCATTCTCTTTTAGACCTGGCCCTCAGGGATCTCAGAGAACCAGCAGCTGGCAGAAAAAGCTTTCTGCAGCAGAATTACATGATTTCAACTTTTTTTGCCTCATCCTGCAGAAAACTGGGGCCAGAGCTCACCTCTTTCCTGCTGTACTTCTCTTAAAGTCAAAGAAGTAACCACTTGCTTCACTCTTCCTACAGAGTACATTGCCAAGTCTCTGGCCACCCCATGGTGGGTACACATCTGGGTTCCTAGGGATCACTTCTTAGGTGCCTCACTGCAGTGAAGCACAGATGTGATCCTTTCATCCCTGGGTGTGAAGGAGAGTCCCATTGCCCTCTGCCCCACACTACCACCAGCAGCCCCGATTTTCATATTTCCATATTTCAGGTTTCCTAGAACCTCCTCCATGGATGCCTCCAGAAATAAGTTGCAGCTGCTGCTTTTGCTGCCGTCTCACAGGAATGGCTTCTGTAGGTACCTGTTTCTTGACTCCCTAGTCAAAGTCTAGGATGGGTGTGTCTGCTCTGCAGAACCAAAGTTCCAAGCCTAGGCCCCAACTTCAAGGAAGGTTAGGCAAGTGAGTTTTCAGATTCTCTACTGAGGCTGTCTGGTTCCCACCAAGAATCAAAAGCTGGAAAAATTCCCAAACATGGTGTGACGGCTAATACTCAGTGTCAACTTGATTGGATTGAGGGATACAAAGTATTAATCCGGTGTGTCTGTGTGGGTATTGCCAAAAGAGATTAACATTTGAGTCGATGGGCTGGGGAAGGCAGATCCACTTTTAATCTGGTGGGCATAATCTAATCAGCTTCCAGTGAATATAAAGCAGTCAGAAAAATGTGAAAAGGAGAGACAGGCTTAGCCTCCCAGCCTACATCTTTCTCCTGTGCTGGATGCTTCCTGCCTTTGAACATCAGACTCCAAGTTCTTCAGTTTTGGGACTCAGACTGGCTCTCCTTTCTCCTCAGCTTGCAGACAGCCTATTGTGGGACCTTGCGATTGTGTAAGTTAATACTTAATAAACATATATATATGTTTGCTTGGTTAGCTGAAATATGGATATATATATCCGTCTATATCTATATCTATATCTATATCTATATATATCCTATTATTTCTATCCCTCTAAGAGAACCTAATACAGATTTTGGTACCAGGAGTGGTTCTAAAGGAACAGAATATTAAGGATGGAGTTCCTTTGTTGGTTTTGGGGTTTCTGGAGGTGACTGCTTAATATGATTAGATCCAAAAATGCTAAGGACTCTACTTCTAATAGTATGGAGAACACTGATAGTCCTTGGCATGAACTCTTTAGAGAGTTATACAAAATAAATGCATTTGACACTCCTGATTCACCACTCATGAGAGGCAAGGAGTTTAGTGACTCTATACATAATACCTTTGACCATATGTGGAGAACCAAGGAATATAATGAAGCTAGTTGGCTGCTCCTAAGTTCAGTTGACAAAGTGATGAAAGAAAATGATGAAATCAGGGATTCTGTCTCCTAGCTTCAAAAGCAGATACTAAGCCTCAAATCTGCTGAGGCTGCCCTCAGTAAGAGTCTTATCTCCTGTAGAGAAAGAGCTGAAATTGTGGAAAAACAGACACAAGCTCTTATGTAAGTGGCTGACCTGCAACGAAAGGTGCATGCATAGCCTCACCAGGTGTTTACTGTTAAAGTGAGGGCATTGATTAGAAAAGAATGGGACTCTGAAACTTGGAATGGGGACACGTGGGAGGACCCTGATGAAGCTGGGGACACTGAGTTTGTGAACTCTGATGAACCTTTTTTGCCAAAAGGAACAGCTTTCTCATCCCAAGTAGTGGCAACATCCCCTCCCAGACCCATGCTGCCATCAGCCTTTCCACCGTTGCCTGAGGAGATAAACTCTGTGCTGCCTAAGGCAACAGTGATGGCCTCTCCTGAGGCAGTTGCCAGGCAAAATAATGTCGATTCTCTTCAGGAGCCACCCCCAACACCCCTGTTTGCTTCTAGACCTAAAACCACACTAAAGTCCCGGTGAGCCCCTGGAAATGAGGTTGAGAGTGTGACCCATGAGGAGGTGTGCTACACTCGAAAAGAACGGTTTGAGTTCTCTAATTTATATAAATGGCAATCCAGAGAACAAGCACGGCAATGGATATTAAGAGCATGAGATAATGGTGGAAGGAACATAGAGTTGGATCAAGCTGAATTTATTGATTTGGGTCCACTAAGTAGGGACTCTGCATTTAATGTTGCAGCTCGAGGAGTTAAAAAAAAAAAAGTTCTAATAGTTTATTTGCATGGTTAGCTGAACTATGGATTAAAAGATGGCCACTGTGAGTCAGCTGGAAATGCCTGATCTCCCTTTGTTTAATGTAGAGGAAGGCATCCAAAGGCTTAGGGAGATTGGGATGGTGGAGTTGATTAGTCACTTTAGACCTACTCATCCCAGCTGGGAAAGTCCAGAAGATATACCCTTGACCAATGCCTTGCAAAATAGATTTGTGAGGGCAGCACCTGCATCTTTGAAGAGCCCTGTAATTGCTCTTTTTGTATGTCAGAACTAATGGTGGGAACCACGGTCACTCAACTACAAAATTTAAATACAATGGGAGTAATTGGATCTCGAGGTGACAGGGACCAAGTGGCAGCACTCAACCATCAAAGGCAAGGTGGGCATAGCTACCATAATGGACAGCAGAGGCAAAGCTGCAATCAGAATAGTCTGATTCACGTAGCACTCTGGCACTGGCTAATTAATCATGGTGTTCGTAGAAGTGAAATTGATAGGAAGCCTCCTGCTTTCCTACTTAATTTATACAAGTAGAAAACTCCTAGGTCAAATGGACAAAAGACTAATTTGAATTATAGAAACAGAGAATCACAGCCCCTCAATCAATTTCCAGACTTGAGCCAGTTTAGAGACCCAGAACTCCCCTGAATGAAGGGGAGGCCAGGTCCCCTTGAGGAAGGACCCCACTACATTACTGACAATTTATGCAGTGAATCTTTCTCCCATCTTTCCCCAAGGAGACCTCCAGCCTTTTACCAGAGTAACTGTGCACTGGGTAAAGAGAAATGATCAGACATTTCAGGAACTACTGAACACTGGCTCTGAGCTGACGTTGATTCCAAGGGATCCAAAACGTCATTGTGGTCCTCCAGTTAAAGTAGGGGCTTGTGGAGGTCAGGTAATTAATGGAGTTTTAGCTCAGATCTGACTTACAGTGGGTCCAGTGAGTCCCTGGACTCATCCTGTGGTCATTTTCCCAGTGCCAGAATGCATAATTGGCATAGGCATACTTAGCAGCTGGCAGAACCCCCACATTGGCTCCCTGACTGGTAGGGTGAGTGCTATTACGGTGGGAAAGGCCAAATGGAAGCCATTAGGGCTGGCTTTACCTAGAAAAATAATAAATCAAAAACAGCATCACATCCCTGGAGGGATTGTGGAGATCGGTGCCACCATCAAGGACTTGAAGGACACAGGGGTGGGGATTCCACCACGTCCCAGTTCAACTCTTCCATTTGGCCTGTGCAGAAGATAAATAGATCTTGGAGAATGACAGTGGATTATTGTAAGCTTAACCAAGTGGTGACTCCAATTGCAGCTGCTGTACCAGATGTGGTTTCTTTGCTTGAGCAAATTAACACATCTCCTGGTACCTGGTATGCAGCCATTGACTTGGCAAATGCCTTTTTCTCCATTCCTGTCCATAAGGCCCACCAGAAGCAATTTGCCTTCAGCTGGTAAGGCCAGCAATATACCTTTACTATCCTACCTCAGGGGTATATCAAATTTCCAGCTTTGTGTCACAGACTTATTCAGAGAGACCTTGATCACTTTTCACTTCTGCAAGATATCACACTGGTCTATTACACGGATGACATTATGCTGATTGCATCCGGTGAGCAGGAAGTAGCAAACACGCTGGACTTACTGGTGAGATATTTGTGTGTCAGAGGATGGGAAATAAATCTGACTAAAATTCAGGGAACTTCTACCTCAGTAAAATTTCTAGGGGTCCAGTGGTGTGGGGCTTGTCGAGATATTCCTTAAGGTGAAGGATAAGTTGCTGCACTTGGTGCCTCCTACAGCCAAGAAAGAGGCACAATGCCTAGTGGGCCTATTTGGATTTTGGAAGAAACACATTCCTCATTTGTGTGTGTTACTCCAGCCCATTTATTGAGTGATCCAAAAGGCTGCCAGTTTTTAGTGGGATCCAGAACAGGAGACAGCTCTGCAACAGGTCCAGGCTACTGTGCAAGCTGCTCTGCCACTTGGGCCATATGACCCAGCAGATCCAATGGTGCTTGAGATGTCAGTGGGAGATAGGGATGCTGTTTAGAGTCTTTGGCAGGCTCCCATAGGTGAATCACAGAGGAAGCCTCTAGGATTTTGGAGCAAAGCCCTGCCATCTTCTGCAGATAACTACTCTCTTTTTGACAGCTCTTGGCCTGTTACTTGGCTTTGGTGGAAACTGAATGTTTGACTATGAGTCAAGTTACCATGTGACCTGAACTGCCTATGCTGAACTGGGTGCTTTCTGACCCATGTAGCCATAAAATGGGTCGTGTACAGCAGCATTCCATCATCAAATGGAAGTGGTATATATGTGATCGGCCTCCAGCAGGTCCTGAAAGCACAAGTAAGTTACATGAGGAAGTGGCTCAAATGCCCATGGTCTCCACTCCTGCCACCCTGCCTTCTCTCCCCCAGGCTGCACTGATGGCCTCATGGGGAGTTCCCTATGATCACTTGAAAGAGGAAGAGAAGACCAGGGCCTGGTTCACAGATGGTTCTGCACAATATGCAGGCACCACCCAAAAGTGGGCAGCTGCAACACTACAGCCCCTTGCTAGGACATCCCTGAAGGACAGCGGGGAAGGGAAATCTTCCCAGTGGGCAGAACTTCAAGCAGTGCACCTGGTTGTCCACCTTGCATGAAAGGAGAAATGGCCAGATCTGCGATTATGTACTGATTCATGGACTATAGCCAATGGTTTGGCTGAACGGTCAGGGAATTGGAAGAAGCATGTTTGGAAAATTGATGACAAAGAAATCTGAGGAAGAGGTATATGGATGGACCTCTCTGAGTAGTGAAAAACTATGAAGATATTTGTATCCCATGTGAGTGCTCACCAAAGAGTGATCTCAGTGGAGGAGGATTTTAATAATCAAGTGGATAGGATGGCCTGTTCTGTGGACACCACTCGGCCTCTTTCCCCAGCCACCCCTGCCATCGCCCACTGGGACCATGAACAAAGTAGCCATGGTGGCAGGGATGGAGGTTACACATGGGCTCAGCAACATGGACTTCCACTCACCAAGGCTGACCTGGCTACAGCCATTGCTGAGTGCCTAATATGCGAGCAACAGAGACCAACACTGAGCCCTTGGTATGGCACCATTCTTCGGTGTGATCAGCCAGCCACCTGGTGGCAGGTTGATTATGCTGGACCTCTTCCATCATGGAAAGGGCAGAGGTTTGTCCTCACTGGAATAGACACTTACTCCAGATATGGGCTTGCCTATCCTGCACATAATGCTTCTGCCAAGACTACCATCCGTGGACTCACGAAATGCCTTATCCACCATCATGATATTCCACACAGCATTGCCTCTGACCAAGGCACTCACTTTGTGGCTTAAGAAGTGCAGCAGTGGACTCATGGTCATGGAATTCACTGGTCTTACCATGTTCCCCATTATCCTGAAGCAGCTGGATTGATAGAATGGTGGAGTGGCCTTCTGAAGTCGCAATTACAACACCAACTAGGTGACAATATTTCACAGGGCTGGGGCAAAGTTCTCCAGAAGGCTGTGTATGCTCTGAATCAGTGTCCAATATATGGCAGTATTTTTCCCATAGCCAGGATTCACAGGCCCAGGAATCAAGGGATGAAAGTGGAAGTGGCACCACTCACCATCACCCCTCGTGATCCACTAGAAAAATTTTTGGTTCCTGTTCCTGCAACATTACATTCTGCTGGCCTATGGGTCTTAGTTCTAGAGGGAGGAACACTGCCACCAGGAGACACAACAATGATCTCATTAAACTGGAAGTTAAGATTGCTACCTGGACACTTCGGGCTCCTCCTACCTTGAAGTCAACAGGCTAAGAAGGGAGTTACAGTGTTGGCTGGGGTGATTGACCCCGACTATCAAGATGAGATCAGTCTACTACTCCACAACGGAGGTAAGGAAGAGTATGCATGGAATACAGGAGACCATTAGGGTGTCTCTTAGTATTACCATGCCCTGTGATTAAGGTCAATGGGAAACTACAACAGCCCAATCCAGGCAGGACTACAGATGGCCCAGACCCTTCAGGAATGAAGGTCTGGGTCACTCCCCACCAGGAAAAAACAAAAACAAAAAACAAACACACACACACACATGACCTGCTGAGGTACTTGCTGAAGGCAAAGGGAATACAGAATGAGTAGTAGTAGAAGGCAGTAGTCAATACCAGCTACAACCGCATGACCAGCTGCAGAAATGAAGACTGTAACTGTCATGAGTATTTCCTCTTTTGTTAAAAACATGTTTATGCATGTATACACTTCTACCAAAGAAAAATTCATTTTATTTCCTTTTTCCTTTATAATGTGACGTAAGATTTATTGACTTCATGTCAGCATGTAAGTATTGTTAACTTTATGTAATAGCATTTGGGTTGGGGATTGGTGCATTTCCAGTTGTACAAAGGATAGTTGTATTATGTTAGCCGTAATTACAACCTTGTTATTGTCTTTATTTGAAGATTATGTATGCTCTCAGAGGTGCGTATGGGTTCAAGTTGACAAGGGGTGGACTTGTGACAGTTAATACTGAGTGTCAACATGATTGGATTGAGGGATACAAAGTATTGATCCTGGATGTGTCTGTGTGGGTGTTGCCAAAAGAAATTAACATTTGAGTCAGTGGGCTGAGGAAGGCAGATTCACCCTTAATCTGGTGGGCACAATCTATTCAGCTTCCAGTGAATAAAAAGCAGGCAGAAAAATGTGAAAATCCCAGCCTACATCTTTCTCCTGTGCTGGATGCTTCCTGCCCTCAAACATCAGACTCCAAATTCTTCAGTTTTGGGGCTCAGACTGGCTCTCCTTTCTTCTCAGCTTGCAGACAGCCTATTGTGGGACCTTGTGATCATGTAAGTTAATACTTAATAAACTCCCCTACATACACACACACACACATATATATATGGATATATACATATCCCATTAGTTCTGTCCCTCTAAGAGAATCCTGACTAATACACATGGGAAGGTGGTTCTGATGCTAAAAAGACCAGTAAGTATGGTGTATGCCCACTGCAGGTGGTTTCATACAACCCAGCTCCTGGTACCAATTTCTATCCTTGTCAAGGCTCTCTTAGTTTTAGGAAGCAGTAAATACAAGACCAGGAGTGATGGGGGTTGGACCCAGGATCCTCATAAACTCCTGCCAGCAGCAAAGAGTGGGACTTGAGGGTCCCACCTGGGCAGACCCTCCACACTCATTCCTGATGGGGATGGAAAATCAAAGCCATCAGCAGAATCCAAGTGATGAGCTGAGCTGTCTGTCTCCCTTCCCCCAGGATGGCCAGTGTTGCAGGGGCTGAAGACAAAAGTTGCAGAGACTTTGTCCTAAAGAACAAGCAGGCAAAGAGAGACTGGCCCCCTCCCCACAGCCTGACCCCAACATACCCTGGAAGCTCCTGCTTCTTTACTTGAAGTCCCACATCAAGATTTCTGGGAGGCAACCACAAGTTCCCCAGCATGAAGCCAGACTTCATCCTCTTCCTCAGGTCCTAAGTTCCTAACTCCTTAGAGGCTGTCTATCTGCACTCCTGGGCCCTTCCAAGATGGAAAACCACACAAAGAGGCCAGGACATCTGTCTCCTGGGAAACTCCTACACCTTATAAAATCCTCTCCTGACACTCCAAGCCCAGAGGAGCCCACTTGGCAGAAGGAGAGTACAGAGGCCAAGTTCTGTCTCTGAGCCAGCCAAGGAGTGGGTGGCATCTGCCAGCCAACACTCCCTCTTTCTTTCCAGGCTTGTAATTACCTAAGACTAGGTAGAGGCTGGGAAGGAGGGCTACCCCAGGGAAACATGCTAAAATTAAACCACAACGAGAGCAGGATGACTAAAGCTTCCCCCCGTGATTAATTTGGACACACCACACTGGCCATCTCTTAACAGAAATTAGATGAAACCTTTAGGGAAAAGGAGTGCTCTGTGTTACATAATCACACACTTGAGATACCAACCCCCCACCCTCCACCTCCTCCCCTTTTGCCTAGAGAAAAGAATAACAGTAATAATTAAGCTGGTATATTTACGGTTCTGGAAATCAGCCGTTCTGGGCCACACCTGCCAGGGTCGAGCTGAGCTGTGGAAGGACTCTGCAAGACATCCCTAAGTCTGCCCAACTGTAGCAGGCAAGACGAGGGAGCTGCCAACATCCCTCCTTCAGGGACAACACAAGGGCCATTTAGAACACCTCGTTGGTGGGGTCAAGGAGAGGAAGCCCAAGACTCTGAAGGGCATTTCATGTCGTGAAATCCAGCCGGCGGCCCGGGCGCATCGTTCAGCGTAAGCCATACAGATTTATTTATATTTTGCACGAAAGAGGGAAATTACTTAGCTGTAGGGATCAATTCTTCAATCCAATGTTTCTAACATGGCAATAAATTTATTTCACCGTCTCCTTTTTTCTTTTCCCTCTTCTTGAGCTTAAAGAAATAAGCCGCCCTCTGGGGAGGCAAAGGGAGAAAGGACATTCAAAGCAAGTCAGTACCCTGAGAAACCAGCCATCCAGCCAGGAAGCCACTCACTGAGGCAGCTGGCTTTGTGGCACGAGCACTGGTGTTGGAGTCAAGAGACCCAAGTTCCGACCCTGGATCTGCCCCTTTTCTGCAGCATAAGTAACCCTGAGCAAGTCAGTGCTCCATTTTGTAATCCCTGAAATGGGGATAGCTGGGTTGGTGTGAGAAGTAAATAAGACCAGGAATATTCAGGCTTCCAGGTCAGCTCCAGATACAACATCAACATGATTGATTGAAGATGAATTTCAATCAGATTTGATGGTGTGACCCATAGCCTCTCTCTATCCAAGTTGCATAGATTGTGATGCTACAGAGATGTCATAGCTGAAGCAATGGAATATCAGGGGCCATTTCTCAAGGCCAGAGAGTACTTGGAGCTCCCTCCCCTCACAGGGACAAGGTGAATGTGGGATGTTTGTGACAGCTCTGACCTAAGACACCAAAGCCCAGGAGAGCCTCCAGAAGCTGGGCAGGTGTGATGAATGGTCCCTCCAGCACGACACAACTCTTCACTGGAGACAGGCTCGGGCTGATGTATGGTCCAGGTAAATGCAGCTTCTGGTTAATACGATGCTGTAATGGAAAAACATTAGCATGAGATTGACTTGGAGGAAACCACATCATGGGGATGAGGGCCAGGGAAGTGACAGGAAGCTTTCCTCCTGGAAGATGCTTGAAGGATGGTCTGGATAGAGGCAATAACCCGGACCAAAGCAAGAAGATGAGCAGCAAAAGGGATGCTGGGAAAATCACAGAAAAGCTCATCCAGGCCGGGGGCAGTGGCTCACATCTGTAATCCCAGTGCTTTGGGAGGCCGAGGCCAGAAGATTGTTTGAGTCCAGGAGTTCAAGACCAGCTTGAGCAACATAGTGAAACCTTGTCTCATCTGTCAAGACCTGTGCCAAGCGTCTCCTCTTCCAGGAAGATCTTTCTCACCTAGGGCTGCGTCCCTGCTCCAGAGCAGCAATTGATCGTACTCCTGGAAGGATCAGACTCCTTTATGGCATCATTCAAGACCTCCAGATCTGGCCCCAGCCTACCTTAATTCTTCTAGACTTTCATTCTCCAAATCCAGTCCTGACCACCCAGGTCCAGGCCTTTGCTCCAGACACTTCCTCCATGTAGAATGCCTCCCCTCCTCCACTTTCACCTATCGAGACTCTAAGTATCTCCTTAAGTCCAATCCAAATGCCCCGCTTTTCTAGAACACCACCCTAGGCCATCCAACCCCCTGAATTCTTGTCATCCTGCCACCCTGAATCCATAGAACACTTTGTCCTTCGCACGGGGCTCCTTATGTAGCTTACCATGTTGCACTGACATTCATTCAAAAACAAATATTTATTAAAGGTGGATACACAAACATGGCATAGGCAGACAGTGGAACTCCACTCTGCAATGAAAAGGGAACAAATTACTGATAAACACAACATGGATCTCGAAAATATTATGTAGAGTAAAAGAAACCAAACACACGAGTTTGAGCTCTTTACAAGTTCAAGAACAGGCAAAACTAATCTATGGTGATAGAAATCAGAAAAGCAGTTGCATCTGGTAACAAGGGGATTGACTCACAGGCAGGCAGAAATCAGAATTTCCTAGGGTGAAGAAAAGGTTCTGATTCTGTGTTGTCCAACACAGTAGGCACTAACCACATGTGGCTATTCAGCACTTAAAATATGGCTAGTCTGAACTGAAATGTGCTTTAAGTATAAAACCTGGTTTCCAAAGACTTAGGATAGGCAAAATATATAAAACATCTCATTCATAAATTTTACATTGCTTACATATGGAAATGACCATATTTTGGACATATTAGTTTAGGTAAATTTTTTTTCTTTTTTTATTATACTTTAAGTTCTAGAGTACATGTGCACAACGTGCAGGTTTGTTACATAGGTATACATGTGACATGTTGGTTTGCTGCACCCATCAACTCATCATTTACATTAGGTATTCCTCCTAATGCTATCCCTCCCCAATCCCCCCACCTCGTGACAGGCCCTGGTGTATGATGTTCCCTGTCCTGTGTCCAAGTGTTCTCATTGTTCAATTCCCACCTGTGGTGAGAACATGCGGTGTTTGGTTTTCTGTCCTTGTGATAGTTTGCTGAGAATGATGATTTCCAGCTTCATCCATGTCCCTGCAAAGGACATGAACTCATCCTTTTTTATGGATGCATAGTATTCCATGGTGTATATGTGCCATATTTTCTTAATCCAGTCTATCATTGATGGATATTTGGGTTGGTTCCAAGTCTTTGCAATTGTGAATAGTGTCACAATAAACGTATGTGTGCATGTGTCTTTATAGCAGCATGATTTATAATCCTTTGGGTATATACCCAGTAATGGGATCACTGGGTCAAATGGTATTTCTAGTTCTAGATCCTTGAGGAATTGCCACACTGTCTTCCACAATGGTTGAACTAATTTACACTCCCAACAACAGTGTAAAAGCGTTCCTATTTCTCCACATCCTCTCCAGCATTTGTTGTTTCCTGACTTTTTAATGATTGCCATTCTAACTGGTGTGAGATGGTATCTCATGGTGGTTTTGATTTGCATTTCTCTGATGACCAGTGATGATAAGCATTTTTTCATGTGTCTGTTGGCTGCATAAATGTCTTCTTTTGAGAAGTGTCTGTTCATATCCTTCGCCCACTTTTGGATGGGTTTTTTTGTTTTTTTTTCTTGTAAATTTGTTTAAGTTCTTTGTAGATTCTGGATATTAGCCCTTTGTCAGATGGGTAGATTGCAAAAATTTTCTCCCATTCTGTAGGTTGCCTGTTCACTCTGATGGTAGTTTCTTTTGCCATACAGAAGCTCTTTAGTTTAATTAGATCCCATTTGTCTATTTTGGCTTTTGTTGCCTTTGCTTTTGGTGTTTTAGTCATGAAGTCCTTGCTCATGCCTATGTCCTTAATGATATTGCCTAGGCTTTCTTCTAGGGTTTTTATGGTTTTAGGTCTAACATTTAAATCTTTAATCCATCTTGAATTAATTTTTGTATAAGGTGTAAGGAAGGGATGCAGTTTCAGCTTTCTACAGATGGCTAGCCAGTTCTCCCAGCACCATTTATTAAATAGGGAATCATTTCCCCATATCTTGTTTTTGTCAGGTTTGTCAAAGATCAGATGGTTGTAGATGTGTAGTGTTATTTCTGAGGCCTCTGTCCTGTTCCATTGGTCTATGTATCTGTTTTGGTGCCAGTATCATGCTGTTTTGGTTACTGTAGCCTTGTAGTATAGTTTGAAGTCAGGTAGCATGATGCCTCTAGCTTTATTCTTTTTGCTTAGGATTGTCTTGGCTATGTGGGCTCTTTTTTGGTTCCATATGAACTTTAGAATAGTTTTTTCCAATTCTGTGAAGAAAGTCATTGGTAGCTTGATGGGGATGGCATTGAATCTATAAATTACCTTGGGCAGTATGGCCATTTTCACAATATTGATTCTTCCTATCCATGAGCATGGATGTTCTTCCATTTGTTAGTGTCCTCTTTTATTTTGTTGAGCAGTGATTTGTAGTTCTCCTTGAAGAGGTCCTTCACATCCCTTGTAAGTTGGATTCCGAGGTATTTTATTCTCCTTGTAGCAATTACGAATGGGAGTTCATTCATGATTTGGCTCTCTGTTTGTCTGTTATTGGTGTATAGGAATGCTTGTGATTTTTGCACATTGATTTTGTATGCTGAGACTTTGCTGAAGTTGCTTATCAGCTTAAGGAGATTTTGGGCTGAGACGATGGGGTTTTCTAAATATACCACCATGTCATCTGCAAACAGGGACAATTTGACTTCCTTTTTTCCTAACTGAATACCCTTTATTTCTTTCTCTTGCCTGATTGCCCTGGCCAGAACTTCCAATGCCATGATGAATAGGAGTGGTGAGAGAGGGCATCCTTGTCTTGTGCCAGTTTTCAAAGGCAATACTTCCAGTTTTTCCCATTCAGTATGATATTGGCTGTGTGTTTGTCATAAATAGTTCTTAATATTTTGAGATACATTCCATCAATACTTAGTTTATTGAGAGTTTTTAACATGAAGTGCTGTTGAATTTTGTCGAAGGCCTTTTCTGCATCTATTGAGATAATCATGTGGTTTTTGTCATTGGTTCTGTTCATGTGATGGATTACGTTTATTGATTTGTGTATGTTGAACCAGCCTTGCATCCCAGGGATGAAGCTAACTTGATCATGGTGGATAAGTTTTTTGATGTGCTGCTGGATTCGGTTTGCAAGTATTTTATTGAGGATTTTCGCATCGATGTTCATCAGGGATATTGTTCTAAAATTCTCTTTTTTTGTTGTGTCTCTGCCAGGTTTTGGTATCAGGATGATGCTGGCCTCATAAAATGAGTTAGGGAGGATTCCCTCTTTTTCTGTTGATTGGAATAGTTTCAGAAGGAATGGTACCAGCTCCTCTTTGTATCTCTGGCTGAATTCGGCTGTGAATCCATCTGGTCCTGGACTTTTTTTGGTTGGTAAGCTATTAATTATGCCTCAATTTCAGAGCCTGCTATTGGTCTATTCAGAGATTCAATGTCTTCTTGGTTTAGTCTTGGGAGGGTGTATGTGTCCACGAATTTATCCATTTCTTCTAGATTTTCTAGTTTATTTGCTTAGTGGTGTTTACAGTATTCTCTGATGGTAGTTTGTGTTTCTGTGGGATCGGTGGTGATATCCCCTTTATCATTTTTTATCACATCTATTTGATTCTTCTCTCTTTTCTTCTTTATTAGTCTTGCTAGTGGTCTATCAATTTTGTTGATCCTTTCAAAAAAACCAGCTCCTGGATTCATTGATTTTTTGAAGGGTTTTTGTGTCTCTATCTCCTTCAGTTCTGCTCTGATCTTAGTTATTTCTTGCCTTCTGCTAGCTTTTGAATTTGTTTGCTCTTACTTCTCTAGTTCTTTTAATTGTGATGTTAGGGTTTTGATTTTGGATCTTTCCTGCTTTCTCTTGTGGGCATTTAGTGCTATAAATTTCCCTCTACACACTGCTTTAAATATGTCCCAGAGATTCTGGTATGTTGTGTCTTTGTTCTCATTGGTTTCAAAGAACATCTTTATTTATGCCTTCATTTTGTTATGTACCCAGTAGTCATTCAGGAGCAGGTTGTTCAGTTTCCATGTAGTTGTGCAGTTTTGAGTGAGTTTCTTAATCCTGAGTTCTAATTTGATTGCAGTGTGGTCTGAGAGACAGTTTGTTGTGATTTCTGTTCTTTTATATTTGCTGAGGAGTGCTTTACTTCCAATTATGGGTCAGTTTTAGAATAAGAGTGATGTGGTGCTGAGAAGAATGTATATTCTGTTGATTTGGAGAGTTCTGTAGATGTCTATTAGGTCCGCTTGGTGCAGAGCTGAGTTCAATTCCTGGATATCCTTGTTAACCTTCTGTCTCGTTGATCTGTCTAATATTGACAGTGGGGTGTTAAAGTCTCCCATTATTATTGTGTGGGAGTCTAAGTCTCTTTGTAGGTCTCTAAGGACTTGCTTTATGAATCTGGGTGCTCCTGTATTGGGTGCATATATATTCAGGATAGTTAGCTCTTCTTGTTGAATTGATCCCTTTACCATTATGTAATGGCCTTCTTTGTCTCTTTTGATCTTTGTTGGTTTAAAGTCTGTTTTATCAGAGACTAGGATTGCAACCCTTACTTTTTTTTTTCCTTTTGTCTTTTTTTCTTCTTTCCATTTACTTGGCAGATCTTCCTCCATCCCTTTATTTTGAGCCTATGTGTGTCTCTGCACATGAGATGGGTCTCCTGAATACAGCACGCTGATGGGTCTTGACTCTTTACCCAATTTGTCGGTCTGTATCTTTTAATTGGGGCATTTAGCCCATTTACATTTAAGGTTAATATTGTTATGTGTGAATTTGATCCTGTCATTATGATGTTAGCTGGTTATTTTGCCCATTAATTGATGCAGTTTCTTCATAGCATCGATGGTCTTTACAATTTGGCATGTTTTTGCAGTGGCTGGTACCAGATGTTCCTTTCCATGTTTAGTGCATCCTTCAGGAGCTCTTGTAAGGCAGGCCTGGTGGTGACAAAATCTCTCAGCATTTGCTTGTCTGTAAGGGATTTTATTTCTCCTTCACTTATGAAGTTTAGTTTGGCTGGATATGAAATTCTGGGTTGAAAATTGTTTTCTTTAAGAATGTTGAATATTGGCCCCCACACTCTTCTGGCTTGTAAGGTTTCTGCTGAGAGATCCACTGTTAGTCTGATGGGCTTCCCTTTGTGGGTAACCCGACCTTTCTCTCTGGCTGCCTTTAACATTTTTTCCTTCATTTCAACCTTGGTGAATCTGACAATTATGTGTCTTGGGGTTGCTCTTCTCAAGGAGTATCTTTGTGGTATTCTCTGTATTTCCTGAATTTGAATGTTGGCCTACCTTGCTAGATTGGGGAAGTTCTCCTGCATAATATCCTGAAGAGTGTTTTGTGACTTGGTTCCATTCTCCCTGTCACTTTCAGGTACACCATTCAAATGTCGGTTTGGTCTTTTCACATAGTCCCATATTTCTTGGAGGCTTGGTTTGTTTCTTTTTACTCTTCTCTCTAAATTTGTCTTCTTGCTTTATTTCATTAATTTGATCTTCAATCACTGATATCCTTTCTTCCACTTGATCAAATCGGCTATTGAAGCTTGTGCATGTGTCACGAAGTTCTCATGCCATGTTTTTCAGCTCCATCAGGTCATTTAAGGTCTTCTCTACACTGTTGATTCTAGTTAGCCATTCGTCTAACATTTTTTCAAGGTTTTTAGCTTCCTTGTGATGGGTTAGAACATACTCCTTTAGCTTGAAGAAGTTTGTTATTACCGACCTTCTGAAGCCTACTTCTGTCAACTCATCAAAGTCATTCTCCATCCAGCTTTGTTCTGTTGCTGGCGAGGAGCTGTGATCCTTTGGAGGAGAAGAGACACTCTGGTTTTTAGAATTTTCAGCTTTTCTGCTCTAGGTTTCTCCCCATTTTTGTGGTTTTATCTAACTTTGGTCTTTGATGTTGGTGACCTACAGATGAGTTTTTGGTGTGGATGTCCTTTTTGTTGATGTTGATGCTATTCCTTTCTGTTTGTTAGTTTTCCTTCTAACAGTCAGGTCCCTCAGCTGCAGGTCTATTGGAGTTTTCTGGAGGTCCACTCCAGACGCTGTTTGCCTGGGTATCACCAGTGGAGGCTGCAGAACAGCAAATACTGCAGAACAGCAATTATTGCTGCCTGATCCTTCCTCTGGAAGCTTCATCCTAGAGGGGCACCTGCCTGTATGAGGTGTCTGTCAGCCCCTACTGGGAGGCGTCCCCCAGTTAGGCTACGTGGGGGTCAGGGACCCACTTGAGGAGGCAGTCTGGCCATTCTCAGAGCTCAAACACCATGCTGGGAGAACCACTGCTCTCTTCAGAGCTGTCAGACAGGGACATTTAGCTCTTCAGAAGTTTCTGCTCCCTTCTGTTCAGCTATGCCCTGCCCACAGAGTTGGAGTCTACAGAGGCAGTAGGCCTTGCTGACACGCGGTGGGCTCCACCCAGTTTGAGCTTCCTGGCTGCTTTGTTTACCTACTCAAGCCTCAGCAATGGCAGACGCCCCTCCCCCCGCCAGGCTGCTGCCTTGCAGGTCAATCTCAGACTGCTGCCCTCGCAGTGAGCAAGTCTCCATGGGCGTGGGACCTGCCAAGTGTGGCACGGGAGAGAATCTCCTGGTCTACCGGTTGCTAAGACTGTGGGAAAAACGCAGTATTTGGACAGAAGTGTCCCATTTTCCCAGGTACCATCTGTCATGGCTTCCCTTGGCTAGGAAAGGGAAATCCCCTGACCCTTAGCGCTTCCCAGGTGAGGCGAAGCCCCACCCTGCTTTGGCTCACCCACTGCAGGCTGCACCCACTGTCCAACCAGTCTCAATGAGATGAACCAGGTACCTCAGTTGGAAATGCAGAAATCACCCATCTTCTTTGTCAATCATGCTGGGAGCTGCAGACCTGAGCTGTTCCTAGTTGGCCATCTTGGAATGGATGCCTTAAATATATTACTAAATTAATTTCACCTGTTTCTTTTTCCTTTTTTTTTTTTTTAGACAGAGTCTCGCTCTGTTGCCCAGGCTGCAGTACAGTGGCATGATCTCAGCTCACTGTTACCTCTGCCTTCCAGGTTCAAGTGATTCTCCTGCCTCAGCCTCTTGAGTAGCTGGGATTACAGGTGTGTGCCATCACCTTCACTTAATTTTTGTATTTTTAGTAGAGACAGGGTCTCACCATATTGGCCAGACTGGTCTCAAACTCCTGACCTAAACATGATCCTCCCACCTCTGCCTCCCAAAGTGCTGGGATTACAGGCATGAGCCACTGTGTCCAGTCTTTTTTTGCTTTTGTAATGAGGCTGCTAGAAAAATTTAAAAATTTTAATTACCTGTGTGGCTCACACTATGTTTCAGTGGGACAATGCTGCTGTAGATCTTGATTAGGGTGTTGGTTGCACATTTGCCAAAACTCATCAGGAATATCTTATGGATATAAGATCTGTCCATTTCACCATATATAGATTATACCTTGATTATAAAACAAATTTTAGTGAGCACCTACTAAGTGCTGCCAGACATTGTATTAGGCATTGGTAATGCCATGCTGTAGAAGAAACACACCCAGTCTCTGCTCAACCTAGTCAGAGAAACTGACTCTAATTAAATAATTCCTCTAAAAATGAATGTATTGCCTTACCAAGCTTAAGACTGCTGAGGCCAAAACGGCATTTAGGCATCTTTGCCACCCATCACTGCCTAGCCCAGGGAGGGGTGCATATTAGACGACCAGCAAATTCTGATGCACTGGGTTGAACTATTGAACTAGTTAAAGCTCATTTCCTGAAACAGGCAGCTCAACAGAGGCTATCTGGGGAATGTTTCTGCCTTTGAGCCAGACCAACTAATATGAGACAAAAAAGCTTTTGTCTTTCTATAAAATTTCCAGGGATAGAAGGATCTAGTCTATCCCCATTTTTGGCCTGCTCTTTGGGGATATAATCCTAGTGTAAGTCATAAAATTTTTTGGTTAAATACTCTGAGCCTCATGGGTAAATAGTGTGAGAACCAGGGTAGTCAAAATTCGTCCAAAAAAAGTAGATTTGCTTATTTAAGTTTGAGAGTGTATGTACAGGCTGCTTTTGCTTTCCAGATATTTTGAAGTAAAGTGTTAGGAAACATCCCCACAGAACAGGTGTTCCTGCCACAGTGGGTTTACTCATGTTTGTTAGTTTTTTAGGAAAGGTTTGTAAATAGGCTCCAGCTGGCTTTCCTGCCCAGTTCTTCAAGCCTTCGTAGAGGAGTTGCTCCTTGCCTCAGAGCTCTCTCTCTCTGCAATATCCACTTCCACGCATCTTAGGACTAAAGGGGAACCACTCAAGCAGTCCCTCTTTGCTGATGAGGTTTTAAAGGAAGCCACCCCATGACCTGGTAGAAGTCACTTAAGTGTCTGGATCCATTAGAGACCACTGAAGTGAAAATCCAACTTGTAGCAGCTGTAGAAAAACCCTTTATATTAATTCATTTCAGGGAGGTTATTGACTTCTGCTCTGAGCTGAGCCTACAGGGGCCCAGGAGACATATAGAAGGACCTAGGTCTCTACCCTCAAGAATCCCAAATCCAGCAGGAGTATAATGAGCACCGTTACCACCAAGTCACAGGTAAGAGGGCCCAAAGAGAGTATTGGGGGATACAGGGAAGGGTGGGTTCATTCCAGCTACGGAGGGCTGAACAACAGCTCCTGAGCACCTCTACTATGCCAGGCACTGTGCTGGGCTCTGAGTCTGGACACATGGCTTAGGGTGGTCTCTTGCCTCCTCCATACACCTTACCCTCCTCACAGCAGCCAGAGAGATCATTTGCAATCATAAACCAGATCATGTTACACTTCTAGTTAAACACTTTCAATGACATCCCATTGTACTTAGAATAAAGCTCAAATTTCTCATTATTGTTAGTCTTAGTCAGCTACTATTGTGTAACAAACCATCCCCAAAACAAGCCATTCCAAAACACAGTGGGCTAACAACAACAGTAACATATTATCACATGTCCATCTGTCAGCTGGATCAGCTGATTTAGGCTAACGACCGTTCCGCATGCTTTGGACCAGCACATTAGCCTTGACGTGTTTTGCTGGTGATGCTGGCAGAAACAAGATAGCAATTTAAAACATATGAATCCTCTCAAGGCCTAGGCTGGAACTTCTATAGGAATATCAGTTGGCCAAAGTAAATCTTGTGGCCAAGCCCAAAGGCAAAGGACAGGTGTCTACACCCACAATGACACTGAGGCAAGGCTGTGAATGCAGGGAGGGGTTAAAAGTTGGGGCCAACAATGCAATCTGTGACCTATCCTCTACCTACATCACCATACTCACCTTGTATCATGTCCTCTTCCTTCGCTCCAACAACACTGGCCTTTCTTCACCCCTTAAATGCAACACACTCTTTCCTACTCCAAGGCTTTTGCACAATTCTTCCCTCTGCCTGAAAGAATCTTTTCCTCGTTCTTTCCAGGATGACTTTCTCTTATCCTGATGTCAGCTAAAATGTCTCTCCTTAGAGATGCTTTTCCTAACCCCCCAAGTAGAGTAGACTCCACTTTTAATTTTCTCATGATGCCCTTCATCATACCCATCACAATTTGTACTTATATTTTTAACTGTTCATTGTCCATGTCCCCAATAGACTGAAAGCTTCACAAAGAATGACAATGTGTCTGTTTTGTCCACCAAATTGTATCCTCAATGCCTTTACAGTGTCTGGCATATAGCAGGTGTCCAGTTCATAAAGCGTCATTGAGGTTGCATTTGAGCTGATCTTTCAAAACAGCTACAATTTAAAAGGCAGTTGGAGAAAAGGCATTCCAGGCATAAGAAACAGCCTTAAGCCAATGGTTCTCAATGTGTGGCCGCAGATCAGCAGCACGGGCATCAGCATCACCTAGGAACTTGTTAGAAATGCACATTCTTGGCCAGGCACAGTGGCTCACACCTATAATCCTAGCACTTTGGGAGGCCAGCGAGGGCAGATCATGAGGTCAGGAGTTCAAGACCAGCCTGGCCAACATAGTGAAACCCCATCTCTACTAAAAATACAAAAATTAGCCAGCCGTGGTGGTGCGCACCCGTAGTCCCAGCTACTCGGGAGGCTGAGGCAGGAAAATCGCTTGAACCCAGGAGATGGATGTTGCAGTGAGCTGAGATAGCGCCACTGCACTCCAGCTTGGGCAGCAGAGTGAGACTTTGTCTCAAGAAAAGTAAGAAAGAAAGAAAGAAAGAAAGAAAGAAAGAAAGAAAGAAAGAAAGAAAGAAAGAAAGAAAGAAAGAAAGAAAGAAAGAAAGAAAGAAAGAAGGAAGGAAGGAAGGAAGGAAGGAAGGAAGGAAGGAAGGAAGGAAGGAAGGAAGGAAGGAAAGAAATGCACATTCTTAGGCTCTGCCACAGATCTTTTAAATCAGGATCTCTGGGGGTGGGGCCCAACAATATTTGTTTTAACAAGCTCCTTAGATGATTCTGATATAGACTAAAGTTCGAGAACCACTGGCCCAAGCCAGAATTCAGAAAACTTTTTTTCTATAAAGGACAAGATAGTAAATATTTTAGGCTTTGCGGGTCAGATAGTCCCTGTTGCAAACTCTGAACTCTGTAGTTGTTGTGTGAAAGCAGCCACAGATGATATGCAAATAAATGGGTGTAGTGATATTACTTACAAAAAACGGGCAGGTGTGGCCTGTGAGCTGTAGTTTCCCCACCCCCAACCTCAGCAAAGGTACCCATGTCAAAGCATGCACTTTTTTTTTTTTTTTTTTTGAGACAGAGTCTCACTCTGTTGCCAAGGCTGAAGTGCAGTGGCACTATCTATCTCAGCTCACTGCAACCTCCACCTCCCAGGTTCAAGCGATTCTCCTGTCTCAGCCTCCCTAGTAGCTGGGATTACAGGCACACACCACCACACCCAGCTAATTTTTGTGTTTTTGTTTTCTTTTTATTGAGATGGAGTATCGCTCTTGTTGCCCAGGCTGGAGTGCAATGGTGCAATCACGGCTCACTGCAACCTCTGTCTCCCAGGTTCAAGCAATTCTCCTGCCTCAGCCTCCTGAGTAGCTGGGATTACAGGCGTGCACCCCCACGCCCAGCTAATTTTTTGTATGTTTAGTAGAGACGGGGTTTCACCATGTTGACCAGGCTGGTCTTGAACTCCTGACCTCACGTGATTCACTCGCCTCAGCCTCCCAGAGTGCTAGGATTACAGGCATGAACCAGCGCGCCCGGCCTAATTTTTGTATTTTTAGTAGAGACAGGGTTTCACCATGTTGGCCAGGTTGGTCTCGAACTCCTAACCTCAGGTGATCCGCCTACCTCGGCCTCCCAAAGTGCTGGGATTATAGGTGTGAGCCACCGCCCCTGGCCCGCAACATGCACTTTTTTTTTTTTTTCTGAGATGGAGTCTCACTCTGTTGCCCAGGCTGGAGTGCAGTGGCACCGTATCAGCTCACTGCAACCTCCATCTCCTGGGTTCAAGCAATTCTCCTGTCTCAGCCTCCCAAGTAGCTGGGATTACAGGTGCCCACCACCACATGCCCAGCTAATTTTTTTATATTGTTATTAGAGACAGGGTTTCACCATGTTGGCCAGGCTGGTCTCGAACTCCTGACCTCAGGTGATCCACCCGCCTCGGCCTCCCAAAGTGCTGGGATTACAGGCATGAGCCACCGCACCATTTAAGCTCACAATTCACATCTCTAGCTAACGGAAGTAAAATTTCAGAGCTAAACAAATTTCTTTTTTATAAAAATTCCATTTATTCAACAAATTAGTAAATGCCTTCTCCACATTTAATATACAGAAATGAAAAAGACGTTATCAGCAACCTTCCAAAAAAGGAACTCAAATTAGCTGAGCGCCTGTCATGAGCCAGCAACTGCACGTGTGTTGTCCCATTTATTCCTCGCACAACCCTACCACGTTGGTGCTATTCTCCCCATTTGACAATTAAGGAGACTGAGGTTCAGAGGCCAAAGTGGCTTGCTCTAGGCCACACAGCCAGGATTCTGACCAATTCCAAAGCCAGGGCTGTGTCTCCCAAGGGAAAGACCCGCCAGTCAGTGCAGACTGGGCTTGTTTCATGAAAACCACTTTGGTGCATGTGTCTTTGTGACAGGGTGTACCTTCACGCCATCAGGCCTGACCAGTAGCCCCACCGCCCTGCCTCCCTAGTCCTGCCACCAGTACCTTCTCCTTCTCCCTTCAGGAAAGTCAGCCAAGCACAGTTACTCATACCTGTAATCCCAGCATTTAGGGAGGCTGAGACAGGAGGATCATTTGAGCCCAAGAGACCAGCCTGGACAATATAGTGAGACCCCATCTCTACAAAAAACAAAAACTTAGCTGGGCATGGTGGTGCATGCCTGTAGTCACCCAGCTTGGGAGGCTGAGGCAGAAGGACCACTTGAGCCCAACAGCTAGAGGCTACAGTGAGCTATGATTGTACCACTGTACTCCAGCAACAGAGCAGGACCCTGTCTCAAAAAAATAAAAAAAAAGGAAAGTCAAATGCCACTTGTCCCATCTGCCAAAAGAGCCGTGAAATGAATCTGAAAGAAAGTGAAGAAATAAATCACAACTTTCCCATGTGTTGTGTGCCTCTTCTCAAAACACAAGCTGGGGCTCCCTGGGAGATGGGAGTGTCACTACTGTTTAATAATACGCAAAGTAATTTTTTAGGAAGAATGTGCTTTTTTGGATGAATATTGATTGAATCCCATCTTTCTGACCAGAGAGCTAAATCAAGCCTTTCAGGCAGGTGATTGAAACGACACTAGAAGTCTATTTGATTTCACTCAAGCCCACCCTTGTGAGAAGGGAACTAAGAGCTTCCTGCTATCTCAAGAATCATCAGATTAAGGAGAACCTGGAGCTAATAAGGAACCAGAGAGTCTGTTTCAGCCCCAGCTTCTGGCTGTATGCAGCTGGTTCTGAAGAGACTGGGATCCCCAGGGGCCAGGAGCAGTGACTTTCCACCTCTCCCGCCCACAAAGTTTCTCCTTCCAGCCAATATAATGTTTTTTGTTTCAGGTTAGCTTTGCAGAAATAAATTCATGCATTTTCTGCAGTTAACTGAGGCATGAAAGGGGCCATGGCTTTGGGGAAGAGACTGGTTTGCACAGCACTGTGCCAGGAAGGGACCCAGACTCCTGGGAGGTGCTTAAGCAAAACAGGAGGAGCTATGGACATGTCCTCAACCTGGCTTTGTTTCTGCACAGCAGCCACTAGTGTACTCTCATCCCCTTGTCCCCTCTCCTGGCCCATCTGAGACCTGGTCCCAGTGAATCCCCTGGGAAGGCTCTGGCTCCCCCAGAAAGGGAGGAACAAAGGACTTTCCAAAATGCTGCAGGCATTCCAAATTCTCTTTTTGGAGCGGTGAATCCTCGGGGACAGCTAACAACACTCTCCCATCAGCCTCTTCTCCATAGCTATCATCTGTCTATCTTTATAAGGCCCCTCCTGATACACTGTCTCTTTTCTGTCTTGCCACCTAGCTCCTCCCCAGGCCTACTTCTCCCTCTTCCCCAAAGACAACCTCAAAACACCTCAGAGATTAACTGAAAGCTGTATCCAGAGTATGATCAGTTTAGCTCAGCCAGAAGCCTCTTGCACCCCCTTTGTCACAGCTCCTGTGACAAAGACGCTCTCCCAAATGGGCAGGAGAACCAGAGGGCAAGGCCCCAGAGCAGCGGCCTGGCAGGCCCAGGGATGGCCTCCTTTTCAGGGAACAAAATTACCCTGAGAACTCTGAAGAGTCACCAGCATGCGGGTCTAGAAGGCGGCCTGCTTGGAAACAAGTGACCTGCCTGGAGACAGGTAACCTCCCTGGAGACAGGTGACAGGTGACCTCCTGGTGACTGCCCTCCTCATGCTACCTGCACTGCTTTGCCTGGTCTGCGATGTGGGCATGGCCTGGAGCCCATGCCCACAGCAGCTTGCAATAGGCAAAAGCATCCCCATTGTTCCCCTCAAAACCAGATTAAACAAAAGGGAGAGAGAAGTGGGGCCCAGTGGTTGCAAAGGATGCAGAGAGAGAGAATGTGACTAGATTGGATGCACCTGCCCAGAAATGGGGTGAGACCTCATTTATCTTTTTTTCAGGACAGAGTTTCACTCTCGTTGCCCAGGCTGGAGTGCAATGGCGTGATCTTGGCTCACTGCAACCTCTGCCTCCTGGGTTCAAGTGATTCTCCTGCCTCAGCCTCCCGAGTAGCTGGGATTACAGGCATGTGCCACCACGCCCGGCTAATTTTGTATTTTTAGTAGAGATGGAGTTTCTCCATGTTGGTCAGGCTGGTCTCGAACTCCCGACCTCAGGTTATCCACCTTCCTCAGCCTCCCAAAGTGCTGGGATTACAGGCGTGAACCACCGCACCTGGCCGACCTCATCTATCTTTTAACCCCAATAGCTGCCTCTGTGCCTGGCTCTGTGCAATGACGAAGAGAGAGTGAGAGGTGAAAAGAGATAGGAAATCAGGAAGAGAAAGAAATTCTTGGAAAGCACGTTGAGCCAGAGCTCAGAAAACTGAATCGCGGGGCAATGCAGATTCCTCAGGCACCAGACAAAAGGATCCTGGATCAGGTTTGGACTCAGGGGGATGGCCAGCCCAGCCAGACTGAGAGAAGCAAGATGCTGGCTGACCTTGGACAGAGAGTGAGAGTAGTGGGCTGGGAATCAGAAAGCCAGCCCCACTAGCCAGCCCCTTGACAGTGTCCCCTGGGCCTCAGTCTCCTCACCAGTAAAATGGGTTGATGACACCATCTCCAAGATGCCTTCTCACATGTGCTCTGTGCTGGCCTCACCTGTAGACAGCTGGGCCTTGACAGAACTCCCTGCCTGGGCAAAATGTTTTGGGGGCACTCAGAGGGCGAGTCAAAACGTGCTGCTGACCTAGGAAGTCCCCAGAAGGAAGATGGAGAGGAAGGTAGAGACACCAGAAGGTGCATATCCAGACCTGGTGGCAACAGTGGGGCTGGCAGGTGGGGAGGGGGCACAGTCAGGCAGCCACATCCCCTTCCCACTCTCCCTCTGAATGCCACTTCTAAAGCCAGTCCTTTCGTGTTCTTCTGTCTTGCTATTTAATACATCCTGTTCTTTTTCCTCATAGCACCCATCCCGATTTGTTTTCTTATTTAGAAAAAAACCATTTATTATAGAGCACTTATATGTGCCGGGCACTGTTCTAAGTGCTTTATGAATATTAATTCCCTTAATCCTCATAACAACCCTCTGAGTTATGTGCTATGGTTCATCCCATTTTACAGATGAGCAAACTGAGACACAGAAAATGAAGGAACTTGCCCAAGATCACTGCAGTGAAAAAGCAGCAGAGCCAGGATTCAAACCCGTGCCCTTCCGAAGCGCAGGGCTTAGATCTGTTTCATTCACAGTCTGGCACACACGAGGTGCCAGATAAATTTACTGAATACAGAATCAAATGCTAGGATGCAGATTGGCTGACACAGGCTCAAACTGCCACCGAAGAGACCTCTGGGGCGAGGCAGGAACCTGCTCCCACGGCTGTGGAGCATCAAAGATGGGGCCGAGTCTGCTCCCCACCCGGCCCTTCTGCATCCTGGGCCAGGGTTGGCCTGGGCCCTAAGCTGTGAGGAGACCTCAAGAGGATCCCAGAACCTGGCTCCAACCCTTCCTGGGGTCTGTGGGAACAGGAGCCTCTGCCTTCCTGTGGCTTCCTCTGCCCGCCTCCACCTCCATGGTTGGAGACTCCAATTAATTATGCTGTGTAATTAGATAAAGAATATTCATTTTTCATTAATGACGGTAAACCCTTGCTCTGTGGCTGAGTTCCTTATGTTTTAATTAAGCAGGGCTCCTGAAAGCCGCGTGGCTCCTCTGCGAGTGCCCCCTCTTCTAATGAACAGTCACTTAGAATTTTAAGAAGTGAAGGATTCCTTCCCCAAGTTAATTACCTCAAAATTAGCTTAATCACAGCTCATTTAAACTTATCTAAACAACAGCGCGAGGAGTTCCAGGAAACAGAGGTTCTGACTTTCCTTGTTAAGAGTCAAAAAAAATAATAATAACATAAACATCCCCTCTAGTAGGTAGTGGTGACCCCTTAGTCCGTTGGCTGCAGCTTGCTCACAGCAGAAATGTTTACAGCATCTGGGGACTGACCCAGGGCTGGGGACATTCGGCCTTTTCCAAGGCCAATGGCCCACCTGTAGCTGCCTGGGTTCCTGGGGTTGAGGAGTGCTAAGGACCCCTCTCCTAGTGGCTCTGAGAGAGGGAAAAGCCCCAGGCCTTGGGCTGTCACTGCCCCTCCCACCCCCAAACACCCCTGCCTCTCCATGCACTCTTAGGTCAAGTCATAACCAGAGTTGTGGCCTGGCTCCTCCCACTGGGCTTGTACAGACCACAGTGTCTTTGCAGAGCAGGGGACGAGGGGCTGGAGAAGCGCAGACCAGGAATTCCATCTCAACTTTCTGCAGACAAGGCCCTCACCAGCACAAGGCCTGACATCATAGACACTCAATATGCATTTATTGAATGAATTAATGAATGACCAACTGCATGGCCCTAGGATGCAGAGCCAGGATCAATAGAAAAACTTCCAGATTTTAGCTCACTGCAAGAAAAGAATTATCTTCCAGTAAAATTTGCTTAAGCTACCTTGGAAGAACATTTATCGAGGCCTCATTGTGTGGCAGGCACTGGGTTAAGTCCTTAATATCAAGTGTCTTGGATAGTCCTCACAACAGCCTTATGGCATAAAGATGAGTATTATTATCTTCATGAAACTGAGGCACAAAGAGGTGACAGAACTCACCACTCACCCAAGGTCACATTGATAATAAATGGCGGGATTTAAGCCCAAACAGTCAGGCTCCAGAGCCTGTTGGATACGGAGTAAGTTCCCTGGGCTGGGGGTTGTATAAGCGGAAGCTATGGGACCACAGGTCTGGAGGATGCTCTAGAGGGGCCCTGTGTTGGAAGGAAAAAGAGGAGAGACTAGGTCACTCATTAACCCCCATTCTGTTGCAGATTGGAAGGGTTTGAGGCATCCGACATTTCCACCTGCCATGGGAATGCTGCTTAATCCCACCCTGTGGTTTGGAATGGTGAGACTGGAGCAAGCCCTGCAGATAAGCATCAGCCTGCCCCACAGGGACCAGGCAGGCCAGCAGGAGGTGCAGCTTCCCTTCCTCAAAGAAGAGCTGAGTGGAGGCTGTTGCACTCCTGTGCAGAGGGGGCTGGGAGATTATTTATCTGCATCCTCTGTTCCACACAGTTGGCTTTCCTTTGCCAACTCCCTGTAGGGGTGGGAATGCTCAAAAAGCCTGGAAGGGGTGGTGAGCCATCATAAAAGGCTTCCAAAAATAAGAGGCTGCCTTCCTGGTAGAGATAAATGGCTCTGGCAGCCCCACGCTCCCTGCCCCTTCTGCCCAATCCCAGGTCACCCTGGCTCGCCAAAGGACTCTAGCTCCTGGCAAAGATCCAGAACTTGCCAGGTATTACCTGTCCCCTCCTCCAACCACCCCCCCAACCCCACCCCCCAACCACCAAGAGGCGGCACCGCTGCGGAGACGCTGTGTAATTCCAGCTGTCACTGCCCTAATTACACCCCATGGTCCTCCCACCAGCACTGTGCACCCCGTGCCGCCTGCATAATGGGCCTTGTTTTTAAAGACACTCTCTCCTTTTCACAGAGGCCTTTTGAAGGCGAACAATCTCACACAATGTCGCTTAATGACAGCACTGCCTAGCTCTCCAGCAATTCCCAACCCCCAGTCCCCAGCCCCCTTCCTCTCTTGCTCTCTTTTTTATTTTTTTACTTGATAATCATCATAATTGTCATAATCACCCTGGAGTTAAGAGAAGGTACCTGGGACATTTCAATCAATTATAAAGTGACCTAATAAAAGGTCAGGATGGTCTGTGAAGCAGAAGCCTGCAGGGAAGGAGAGAGACAGATACACAATCACACATGAGCGAGTGCAGGGATGCACATGCACACGCACACCCCACACGGGTACACAGGCCACACACGTGCACACACCGGGCCCTGAAGGCTGACAGCAAGGGAGTCAGAGACATGGGAGATTTCCTCCTGATGCTTTGCAACAAAGAACAGGGTGGATCCTCTGGGAGAGACCCACAGACCTCACCCACCCCAAGCCCTATAGAAAGCTCTTTTGCCTGGCCAAAGCACAGCACAGGGAGCCTCACAGCAGTGAGCAGGACTACAGGTATTAGAGGCCAGTGCCCTGAATCTGAGTTACTGCTTGGCTCCTTTCTGGCTCCCTATTTAATCCCTCGAAGCCTCACCATAATCATCTGGAAAATGGGACAGCAAATGAACCCACCATAAGGTTCTGGAGAGGACTGAATGTTCTGACCAAATTATCTAAAACGATCTCTCTCGTCTGGGCACGGTGGCTCACGCCTGTAATCCCAACACTTTGGGAGGCTGAGGAGGGAAGACTTCTTGAGCCCAGGAGTTTGAGACCAGCCTGGGCAACATAGCAAGACCTCGTCTCCATGAAAAAAAAAAAAATAGCCTGGCGTAGTGACAGGTGCCTGTAGTCCCAGCTACTGGAGAGGCTGAGGTGGGAGGATTGCTTGATCCCAGAAATTCAAGACTGCAGTGAGCCATGATCACACCACTGCACTCCAGCCTGGGCAACAGAGCAAGACCCTATCTCAAAAATAAAAATAAAAAATAATTTATCTCAGTGTATTAATGTATTTCCTTTAGGGCAATTACAACAATCTGAAAATACATTTTATAGATATATATAGCTGCTTAACACACACCTCCTTCCACGTGGCTATCAGATCCTTGAGGGCAGCTTTATTCACATCTAGAGCATTTGAGATTAAAGAGCACAATCACCAGAGCTCAACTTGCCGAGTTCAAATCCTGATGCCAACACCTACCAACCTACCAACCATGTGACCTTGGGTTAATTACTCAACCTCTCTGTGTCTCAGTTTTCCACAGCTGTAAAATTGGGATAATAATACTACCTACCTTTAGGGCTGTTGTGAGGATTAAAGAATGTATTATACATTAAGTGCTTGGAATGGTGCCTGCTCATAGTAAGCACTGTTTACTAAGGTTGTGGCATTATCCCAAACACTTCAAACAATGCCTGCCATCATGCAGACACTCAATAAAGATCTGTTGAGTGGATAACGCCTGTACAGCTCTTAGCACTGAGTTTATACATGGCAAGCATTCAATACATGTCAGCTATCATTATCATCTTCATCACCATTATTGTCATCCCTGGGCATGGCTCTCGCCCTCCCTGCTTCCTCCGGGACCACTGTCCCCATCATTTGGATGAGGAGTTGAGGCCAGGGACAGCTTGCCACAAAAGTCCCACCACTCTGGGGCAGTCAGGACCCAACCCCTGTTCTCTGGGCCTCAGCACTTGCCCTACACAGAAGCCTCACCTGAGCTGCTGGCTCCAGAGGTGTTTAATAAACACACATCCCTCCTGAAGACACTCGCCTCTCAGCTGCGAAAGTCTGGAGTCCAATCTGCTTTTGATGTGTCGGAGCCTCCTAGGAGCAGGCTCCTCCATCTAGAGGCTGAGCCATCTGCCACTAGCCCAGAGCTGTTGGGAGCCAGCGAGGAACAGGGGCAGGGTGTGAAAGGGTTTTGTGCTCCTTGAAGCAGGGCAGGAGTGGGAGGAAGGGCACAGCCGTGTCAGACCTCTTCCCCTACCCACTTGTAAGATCCCATAGTGAGACACGAGCTGTCAGCACCACACGGGGGAGGCCAAGTCCAGGTCCTCAGCAGAAGGGGACAGAGCCCTGGCCAGAGCTTTGTACCAGGACAGGAAAGTTCTGGATTAGGGGAGCCAGAAGTGGAACCCATACGTCCCTGTAAGCAAAACTAACAAATCAGCTTAAAGCAGATAAGATCAAGGTCAGATCTTTAGATGCCCTAAAAACTGAAAAGAATTTGGTACCATTCCCTTCCCCTCCCCTACTATAAATTTCAAAATAAAATTTGGGTTTTTTTTTTGACATGACACAAAAGTTACAGGAATTACAAAAGCTTCTGTAATCCCTGTGCAGTGATCAGGGTTGTGGACTCTGGAGCCCGGCTGGCTGGATTTAAATCCTGGCTTTGGGCAAGTCACTTGGCCTCACTGTGCCTCAGTGTCCTCATCTTTAAAGGAAGTGATGACGCCAGATTACTTCTTCAGGTGTTTGTGAGGATTAAGGATAACATAAATTAAGTACTGAGAGCAAAACCTGTCACAGAGGGAAAGCCTATTAAATGTTATTATTATTATGACTCTTGAAATTAAAATACCTGCTTTCTAGGTTTTTAAATTGCAAAATTCTGGGTAAGTTCATTGATGCCAAGTGTTTTACCTTTTCTGGTGCCCCCGCTTGTGGCTGCCCTCGGCATGGGCTCAGGTTTGTCATGAGTAACCCAGCCCCCAGCAAGGAGCATGAAGAGGACTAAGGTCATTTCCCCAGACAGCGCCAGCACCACCATGACCCTCTGAGGCCAGCACCTGGCACTGTGCCAGAGCCATGGCTACGAGGAGCATGTGTGGGGGAGCATCAGCAGAGCCCCCAGAGCCTGGAGTTAGTGTCTAGTCACTGAGAAAGGGCAGGGAAAGGCAGGAACCAAGCCCCTCCTAGACACACTTTAGGGCCAGCAGGTCCACACCACAGGGGCGGGGTCTGGATTCATTTGTCAGAGAAAGCACAGAAGCAGCAAGGAAGAGAAAAGGACACAGAGAGAGGCTCAAGCAGGCGAGGGCTTAAATCCTTCCTGGCTGGGACTACACTTGGCACCCAAGCCAGCAGGTGGGGCTGAGAAGAGAAACGGCAGGGCTGGAGCCAAAGGGGGCTCTGTTTTCTGCCTGCCACCTGGGTCCCCTTCAGTGCCGCAGATGAAACCCAGGGGACTTAGCTCTGTCTTCAAGTGCAGGGAAAATCAGATTTTGTATAGTCATTCTTGACTGGGATGGTAATTAATCACTCAAGAAAGGAGCACTGTCTCAGGAAGCAGCCACTAGTTGCCTGCATAGCCCTAGCAGTCTCTAAGGACAGCTCTTCGCTGCCTGTCCTGGGGCTGCAGCTAGAGGCTCCCGCAGCCACTTGGGCTCCCAGTAATCCTGCCCCCTCCACCTCACCAGCCACAGGGGTGGGGATTGGGGCATCTCACCCTGCCAGAGCCAATCAGCACCATCCTTCAGGAACCTGGGATTGGAACAGAGGGAAACATTCCGCTCCTCCTGAGACACTGGTGTTATTCCATGTAGCTCCCAGAGCTGAAGGGGCTGATTCCCTGCCACATGGACCAGAGTAGCAAAGGAAGCTGGACTGCAGGGAAGGAGAGAAACAAGACACAGATGTGAAGACAGGCAGTGAGAAGCAGAGACAGAGGAGACAGCGCATCTCCAGCAGCCAGCTCCAGCCCTTTCCCAATGACCTGCCACATCCCTCCAGGAAAGACTCAATGTCCTTACAGCCAAGTTCCCCTTACAACTGAGCTACTTTAAGTGGTTTCCTATTCCTTCAACCGAGATGCTAACTGGTATGTTTCTTGCTATCTCTGACACTACTAATCCTAAATTCCATCATTCATTTACTAACAATGCGTACATCTGTTTGACATGCATCCCGTCTTCAGAAACAAAATGTGAAAGGGGCGGGAAATACTTCTTATTTAATCCAAATGAATTCCTCTGCCCCACGTGGCCCAGTCTTGCCTTGGTACTACAGGCAAAGAAACAGTCTGATGGCCAAAAGCAATTAGGAAATTCCAATCTTCGCTTGAATCTCTCAAAGTCTAAAAAGGATCCAGTTAAAACCCCATTAGACTCTTCGATAAAGACCCTTTCCTCTTTTCTCTTCCTTTCCCCAGAACCTCACATCCTCCAAACCTTAAAATTCTTGCCCCTCTCACCCAGCACTTGGTTTCTTCCCCTCTCCTCCTCTTTCTCAGCAATTCTTGATGTAAACGTTTGAGGTTTGGGGCTCTTTTGTTCTCTAATTTCCCTCGTACTTCCATTGTCCACAGCAAAAGACAGCCCTGAAATGGACCCTGCAGCTAGAACCTCCACCCCTGTGTCACCCTCCAGTCTGGTCTCTGCTTGGTTTCCCATTCTGGCTCAGAGTCCTGAAAACTAGGCTGGCAAGGCCAGAGTAAGTCCTTAGAGAGTACAGGAGGGGAAGGAGAGTGAGAAGAAAAATCCCTCTCAAAACTGGGGGCAGAGGGAGAGAGTGGGCAGGCTGAGAGCCTCTCAAGTCAGCCCATCTTGACCCTGCCCCTTTCAGTCATGGAAGTGTGATTCTGTGCCCCAGGGGCAGCTGACCCTGGCTTCCCTTCACCTCCACCTGGGGCAAACAGATCCAAAACCCCCAGCTCCCCTCTCCACGCCACATCCCCAAGACGCTACCCAGTCCTGACTTCCAATGGCCCAGTGACGCCACCCCTACTGCCATTTATACAAGATCCGGTCCTAACATCAGTCTGGTTCTCTTTCTCTGCAGCCAACTGGCCACCAGTCCAGAGGGTTCCTCCAGGTCGTCTCTGAATCCATTCTCATAGCCTCTGCCTAGACCACCCATGACTGGGCCACAGCCTCCTGCCTGGCTCCTTCCTGCCAGTGCTATCTAAACTCCACCCAAAACCCTGCCATCTGCTGGGCGCAGTGGCTCACACCTGTAATTCCAGCACTTTGGGAGGCCGAGGTAGGTGGATCACTTGAGGTCAGGAGTTCGAGACCAGCCTGGTCAACATGGTAAAACCCCATCTCCACTAAAAATACAAAAATTAGCCAGGCATGGTGGCAGATGCCTGTAATCCCAGCTACTCAGGAGGCTAAGGCAGGAGAATTGTTTGAACCCGGGAGGTGGAGGTTGCAGCGAGCCAAGATTGCACCACTGCACTCCAACCTGGGTGACAGCGCGAGACTCAGTCTCAAAAAAAAAAAAAAAAAACAACCCTCTCATCTCCAATGCATGTGCACACTTGCACACACAGGCACACACATGCACATTAGAGATCTATATTCCTTCTCCCAGAAGCACCACTTCCATTTTTCTCTCCCAGTGGCTCCCCGCTGCTTAGTTGACACCTTGCTGTTTTCTCTCCCTGGCATTCAAGGCCCTTCATAGTTTGGCCCCTTCTCTCAGCCCAGCCTCCCTGACTCAAGCTCTTCAGTCCATCTCAGCTCACTTGTCACCACTGCAAAGCCTTTGCTCAGCTGGTGCTCACCTGGAATGCTACCTGCACCTGTACAAACCCTGCCCAGCCTTCAGGCTCTCTAGGCCCATGTTCCTTTCTTTGGGTACATAAATGTGATTGAGATACTTCCATTTTTCCATGGCGTATCACTCCAGTTGTAAGCTCTCAAATGGGTCCTTCCAAACTTCAAGAACTACCATAAAAAGCAAATCACAGAATGGTAAATCTAGTACAATCGCATTTTTGCAAAACAAACAAGCAAACAAAAAACTCATGTAGGTGTGTATGTGTATAGGTGAGTGAGTGGGTGGGTATGTGTGCATGCACAGAGAAAAAAGTCTTGAAGGACACAGTCAAACTTTTCACACTGATTGTCTCCAGAGGCTGGGGTAGGCGATAGAGATAGAGAAATTTTCAGTTTTTACTTTATATTTCTTTACTGTTTGAATTTATTACGGCAAGAATATATCACTTTTGTAATTTTTTCCTCAGGGAAAAAAAACAGCACTTTATAGGGAGCCAGGGAGCCAGAATATTTTGGTTCCAGTCCTCGCTGTGCCACTAAGTCACTAGGTGACCACAGCCAAGTCTCTTCCCTCTCTTGGCTTCAGATCCCCTTCCATGTAACATGGGGCTCATTCTAGACCAGTGGTTTCGAAGGTCCCAAGGTGGCTCTGCAGAGCAAGAAGATGCTGGGCAGCTGGGCTGAAGCCCCTGGTTCCTGCATCACCTGAGCTGACTCTTTTCTCTTTTGTCCATTTGACATATTAAATTTCCAGTTATTCGGTTAGGTGTTAGAAAACCACCATCGGGGTGCACGCTTGTGATCCCAGCTAACCGGGAGCCTGGGGCAAGAGAATCGGAGGTTGCAGTGAGCTGAGATTGCGCCACCGCACTCCAGCCTGGGCAACAGAGTGAGACTCCATCTCAAAAAGAAAAGAAAATCATCACCAGGAAGTAATGAGGAATGCCAGGTGGGTTTAGGATGGGATTGGCAAGTCAAATCCATGGGGACAGGAAGCAGAGGAGTGGTTGCCAGAGACTGTGAGGAGGGGAGAATGTGGAGAAACTGCTTAATGGGTATGGGATTCTCTTCTGGGGTGATGGTGGCTAACACATTTTGGAGTAGATAGAGGTGATGATTGTACATTGTGAATATACAAAATGGCACTGAATCATTCACCTTAAAATGGTTAATTTTATATTGTGAGTTCCACCTCAATAAACTTTTTTTTTTTTTTTTTTTTTTTAAGAAGGAGTGTTGCTCTGTCGCCAGCCTGGAGTGCAGTAGCTCAATCTCGGCTCGCTGCAACCTCCACCTCCCAGGTTCAAGTGATTCCCCTGCCTCAGCCTCCCCGGTAGCTGAGACTACAGGCACCCACACAGGGGGACTGGGCAGGAGCATTGGTCAGCAGGCTATGGAGAGACAGCAAGGAAGAGACCACATGGCGAGAAGGCTGTGGGGACCGGCAGGTAGAATGACGTTCAGGGAAGCGAGGAGAGTCAGCCACATCATCTTCACCTGGGAAACCGAGCAAGGGGGAACAGAGCCTGGGGAGGGGAACCAGTCGGCTTCCCCCAGCATCAGAGAGGGTCAAGGAGAGTTTGCGCAGAGAGAACCTGTTGATCCAGAGGAGGCGATTATCACTCAAAGAGCAATCACAGGGTGTTCCTCACAATCCCCTTGTCTGGGCAGACTTTGTCCTGAAAACACCAGGAAAAGGCAGGAACCTGGCTGGTCCCCCAAGGTAGGGCCAGATCCCAGCACTCTGGAGTCTGTCCAGGGAGCACCCAGCTGCTCAGACCGAGGCCAGGGCAAAAGCCTTTCCCCATCACCTTCTTTCCTTGAGGTAGCCGCCCTATCACCCGGATGGGCAGAATAGCCTCTCTCACATGGCTCAGGGAGAGATGAGTCTCCAGGAGCTCAAGCTTCCCCAGCATGAAGCCACGCAGCTCATGCTGACAGTCTGGCAGGCAGCCACCTCCACATTGGACTGTGGGACTCTGATGAGCTGGGACTGTATGTTGTTCATCTCCTGGTCCCCAGTGCCAGCACAAGTTCAACTCAGTGTATGTTCAACAAAGCTGAAAGTTCAGGCCCTGGAGCCAACCTGTCCGTGTTCAAATTCAGACTCTACCTCTATTTGCTGTGTAACCGTAGGCTAGTAACTACACCTTTCTGAGTCGCAGTTTCTCACCAGTAAAACACAGCTAATAAAAGTACTCATCTTCTAGGATTGCTGTGAGGATTTAAAAAAATAGTGTATATAAAGTGCTTAACACAGGATGTGGCACTTGGTGAATACTCAATACAGATTAGCTGTCATTATTATTACTACTATTACAGCAACCCACACTGACTTCTGAACCAACTTCACAAAGTCATGGGGTCTTGCATCTGGAAGGACCTCAGTTTCAAATAAGGAAACTGAGACTCAGAGAGGCTAAGAGACTTGACCAAGGCCACACAGGTACTAAGAGACTAAACTGAGACTAAATTTCCCACAGCAGCATTATTTCCTCTGCAAGCCTCCCTGAATCCTTTCTCATCTGCCCACTCATTCCAGCTTTGAATCACACATAATTTTGTTTTATTGCTTAACTTCTCATCTCTGAGTATGCAGGAGCATGTGTGTGTTTGTGTGCATGTGTATGAATGCACACAGGTTTGAGAGCTATTGGGTCTTGGTTGTGTGTGTGTGTGTTTCTATGCATGCTCAGATGTGTGCACTTATTTTCCTGTGTGGGGTGGGGTACCCACATGCATTTGTATGGTGTGTGGATGAGTGTGAGCACGTGCCTGTGCACATGGGGTTAAGTGTGGGTCCCTGTGGGAAGGCTGCACTACATGCATGTCCGTGTGTATAACTGGGGTGAGTTTCCTCCCTAAAATGATGGTAAGATCATGGAGGGTAGGGCTGTGTCCTTCACTTCTTGGTATCCTCACAGAGCCCAGCAGAGTGCCTAGCACAAAGTAGGCCTCAATAAACAGGAGTGGAGTGGCGTGGAATGAGGCATATGTCCCTTGAGAAAGCAGAAAGGATTTCCGCCTCTTCAGCAGCCTCTTCTACCGAGCTCAGCAGTTCCAGGAGGGGTGCTCCCTCAAGGCCCCCTCCAGCTGGGCCATCCCTGCCTTCCCTGAATCAGGGGTGAATGCAGAGCAGCTGGCCGGAGTCCTCCCCGAGGGGTGAAACAAGTGGGTGCGCAGGGGCACACCCCCAGCCTGAGGGTGGTTTCTTAAGCGGCAGTAAAGGAAACAAAAGATGAAATACATCAGCCATTGGCAGGCATAAAAAGAATAAAATCGCTCAGCAGAAAGCCGCGTGCTATCCATCATCCGGCCCTTCTCCACTTCAGCTGCCGAAGCAAGAGAGTTTTTTTAATGCCCTCCAATTCATTTGCATTCGTACAGCCACTCTTTTATGGTATCAGGGGTTGCCAAGAAGATCTGAGCGGTTTTTTAAAGACGTTGATAAACCATTTCCGCCAGGGAATAAAAGTTTTTTTGGGAAAAGGGAAAAGAAAGTTTTCCGAAATCATGCATTCCGTCTGCAGAGTGACGGGTAAGTGATTCCGCAGATGTATTGGCCCCATAAAACTGAGCAAGGAGTTTGGCCCAAATGTGCTCTGTGCTGGCGAGATGAGCAGTTCATTCATTTTGCAGCTGAGTTGAGACCTAAAACTTTGCAAGAGAGTCACTGAGAAGAGCTTCAAAGGTAGCCTACATCTTTAATATGACCAGGGCTTGTGACCCCTGAGACACATACACGCCATCAGGTTCCCTGAGCCTTACAGCCACCTTCAGAAACTCCCACTGGCTTGGAAAGTATAGCTGTAAGTCATCTAACAGAGGGTGATTTTCCTTCCCTTCCCTGGGTCCAAAAGCCTAAGCACCTTGATAGGTGATCCCTATTCTCTTGTAACACTTGACTAGGCTTTTCCGCATAACTGACTTTGCAGCTAAACTCTGGCTTCATGACCCAGAGCAAGCCCCTTCTGCAGTCTGGGCTTCTATTTCTGCATTAACCAAGTGAACATATGGGTCTACGTTTGGTCCGCTGAAGGAGTCAAGTATTATCATCCCTGTGTTATAGATAACTGAGGCCCAGAGAAGAGAAGTCACTTGTCTAAGAGCAGACGCCTGGTAAAGGCAGGGGCAGGACTTGAATGTGGGCTTCCTGATCCTCAGGTAATGGCTTTCTCCTTACTCTCTTCCACATTTACTAAACACGTGCTATGCATCAGGCAGTTGTCCATTGTCTCCCTGCATTCTCAGAACCTGGGGGCAGGAGAGAGGGACAGATGGAACAATGCCTGGGTACCCTAGTCCTATTGTGAGAACTGCAGATCTCCTCAAAAGACCTCTCAACCAAAGGAGCATAAAGCACCCCACTCTTAATCCCAAGTGAGAAGTTCCAGATCTTCTCTTAGTCTGAGTTTTATACTCATCATCAGTGTCCACACACGAAGGCATAGTAGATAACATAACTTCTGGATATGTTTGTCTGACCAGCACCAAAAAGACCCCTCTGCCCCTGAAATAGCTTCATTCCCACCATTAGTCACACCTGTGGGTCAAGGCATGAAGGCACAGTTAAAACTGAAGTGACATCTCATTGAAAGAGGACAATAACAACTCTCTGCTCCTCCTTGGTCAGTTGCCCAAAAGGGCCAGAGGCAACGTTTTAAGGACAAGAGTCTCTGAAAGATGAAGAGGTTGAGAGCACCTATTATGGGCCTCTGGGTACCTAGTGCTGGTGGGATAGGAGAGATTGAAATGGAAAAGGGTGCCAATGGCGAGAAAGTCAGCATTCTGGCAGCAGAAGCAGCTAATAACAGTAATGAACACTGCCAGGTGTGGTGGCTCACACCTATAATGTCAGCACTTTGGGAGGCCAAGGCAGGAGGATTGCTTGAGCTCAGGAGTTCAAGACAAGCCTGGGCAACATAGCAAGACCTCATCTCTACTAAAAATCAAAAAAAAAATTGGCCAGCCATGGTGGCTCACACCTGTAATCCTAGCATTTTGAGAGGCCGAGGCAGGTGGATTGCTTGAGCCCAGGAGTTCAAGACAAGCCTGGGCAACACAGTAAAACCCCATCTCTATAAAAAATATGAAAAATTAGCCAGGCATGGTGGCAGGTGCCCATAGTCCCAGCTACTCAGGAGGCGGAGGTGGGAGGATCACTTGAACCCGGGAGGTTGCAGCTGCAGTGAGTCGATATCACACCACTGCACTCCAGCCTGGGCAACAGGGCAAGACACTGTCAATAATAATAATAATAATGGACATTACATATTGAACTCTTACTGTGGCACCATCATTGACCCATTTTATCTCATTTGGCCTTCACAATAACATGCTAGGAGGTAATTCCTAATCACCTCGTTTACAGAAAAATAAAACTAAGGCTCAGAGAGGTTAAGTAACATGCTCAAAGTCACATACATAGTATGTTAATGTAGAGCCAGGATTTAAGTCCTACAATCCAACTTCAGTGCTATACTTCACCCAGCTCAGTGCAGTACCACGTCATAGGATCACAGGTTGGGACAGATGTCGGTGCCCTGCCCACATCCCCTCAGAGTCAAATGCCTGCTAGCGACCCTTAAGGGCCTGCTCCATGAACTGTTTCCCCCGAGCATTTTCAAAACCTAATTCATCATCTTCTCCTCCACTCCACAAACTCCTGTATCTGTGTCCTGTATTCCAAGGCAACCTGGCAGTCAAACTCGACTCCTCCCTCTCCCTCCCTCTCACATCTGATCATTCACTAAGCCCTGTCTCATCCAGCCTCTATCAGCCTTCTCCTCCCTGGGCCTAACAGGGCTCATTGACTGTCATTCCCATTTTCCCCTCTGGAAGGTGCCAAGGACCTGGGGCTTCCCACCCAGGCATTCGCAGGCCCTGGAATGGGATCCTCCACCTCCTGCCCCACTGATCGTGGATCAGGAAATAGTCTGCGCAGCATCTTGCAGCAGGACCTGGGTCCTGACACTTCCCAGCTTGTCCACTTGGGCAAATGCCTTTCTTTCCAGGCCTATTTTCTCATATGAAACCTCCATCTGCCAGCTAGAGAGCCCAGAGGTAGATAAGAGCTGGTCTTGCCTTTGAGAGAGGCTCAGAGAATACCAGCAAGACAGACATGTTCAGAGAATACCAGCAAGACAGTTAAAATAGTCTAATAAGCTTCTAGAAGAGAAGTGTATGAAACAGTAAGGGCACAAAGGAGGGAGCAATTAGGTGATTAATAATGGCAACTATGGTTTATTGATTATCTTTAATGTGCTGGGCATTTTACTTATATGAGTTCATCCAATCCTTATGTTAAGTCTTCCAAGAAGGCATAATTACCCTACTGCATAGTAGAAAACACAGGTTTACAGAAGTGACTTTCTCAAAGCTACAGCCAGGCTGCCAAGGTTTCCAACACTCCTCTTCTTCCTATGCTCACAATACAGTCTCATCCATGACCTCCCTCCAGTGGTGTCAGCCTCAGTTTCCCCATTTACCCTAAGAAAGATTAGCACACGGTAATCTCTCTGTGGCCTTCACTTTCTCATCTGTAAGAGGGGGATAATACTAAAACCTACTACAAAGGTTGGCACTAAGGACCTAAAGGAGTTAATACATTGAAAGCATTCAGAGCAGCAGCACTCTGAAAAGCATTCAGAGTCAGGGTTATGTGGATGATATATCATTTTTAGTAATGTTATTGTTATTATCTCCAAAAGCACCATCTTACCATAATCCGGCAGACCACTTAGGCTCACCCAGGAGCCCATTGTCTATGTCAAATAATGCAGATGAGTCTCCTGCCCTGCATGAGCTCCATCTAAATCAGTGGTCTCCAACCATTTTGGCACCAGGGACTGGTTTTGTGGAAGACAATTTTTCCATGGACTTGGGGTGGGAATGATGGTTTCGGGATGAAACTGTTCCACCTCAGATTGTCAGGCATTAGATTCTCATAAGGAGCGTGCAACCTAGATCCCTCACATGTACAGTTCACAATAGGGTTTGTGTTTCTATGAGAACATACTGCCACCACTGATCTGACAGGAGGTGGAGCTCAGGCAAGTAACGCTCACTTGCCCACCATTTACCTCCTGCTGTGTGGCCTTGTTCCTAATAGGCCATGGACCAGTAGGTTGGGGTCCCCTGGTCTAAATTGAAGTCCCCAACCCCTCCCAGTCCACCAGCTCTTTCCCCAACCCCAACTTTGAACAGGCCTCTCACAAACCCCCATTTCCACCATCACTGGGGGCCCCCCCAGACCCTTCATTTTCCCAGCCAAGAAAAGGGAAGCCAGAGGGGCCTTGGAGAGGCCAATGGAAAAAGGGGAAGGATTATTTTTCCCCTGGGATCTCGGGAAGTGGTAAAATGTATGCTTGCGGCTTATGAACAAAAGCCCTTCTGCTTCCAGGAGTGCTGGGTGTTGGCAGCTATATCACGGGCCAGCCAAGAGACTCTGTCAGAAACTGCCCATTCCTGGTGAATTTCAATGAGGAACCCTTTCTGTGGGGAGGAGAAAAGCCATCGTTTAAAAGGTGAAGGCTGCTTTCACTTGGCAAGATATGATGATAGAGCAAATGCTGCCTTAGGGTAGGGAGAGGGGGCTGGAGGTCTTCACCCACTGCAAGTTACACACAGTGCATGTCAGCAAGTTCCCTGCTTTGTGATTTGTCTTAGGTTGGGTGCTAAGATGCAGGGATGCATGGAACACTGTTGCACAAGTAAACAGGTAATTACTAGACAGAGCAAAACAGAGTTAAAGATTTCAGGATACAGACATGCACAGGAAGCTGGTGGAGTGAGGGAAGGGGCAGTGGAAATTCCAAACCCAACATGGAACAGATAGAACTTCACAGAGCAGACAACGTTTGAGAAAGGTATTGAAAGAAGAGTCCACTAGGCAGAGAAAAAGGCTGGGAGAGGGAAGTAGATGAGGCATTCTAGACAGAAGAAATAGCATGCACCAGGACAAGATTGCCTGGGAAAGTCTGGAATATCAGGAAATGGTGCATTGCAAGATCTTGTTAGAGCACAGGGGAATGGTAAGGAGTGAAACTGGAAAAGAAGTCAGGGCCAGACTGCAAATGGCTATCTATGCCATGGTTTTCATCTATATATGGATTTCCTCTTTTAAAGGACTGAAGGATTTCAAAAAGGGGTGTAATATGTGCATTGTATGTTTGAGGAAGTATAGTGCATGGATTAGAAGGGTTGTAAGAATGGAGACAAGAAATAGTTAAGATGAAATTGGAAATCATTCTCAGTAAACTATCGCAAGAACAAAAAACCAAACACCGCATATTCTCACTCATAGTGGGAATTGAACAATGAGAACACATGGACACAGGAAGGGGAACATCACACTCTGGGGACTGTTGTGGGGTGGGGGGACGGGGGAGGGATAGCATTGGGAGATATACCTAATGCTAGATGACGAGTTACTGGGTGCAGCGCACCAGCATGGCACATGTATACATATGTAACTAACTTGCACATTGTGCACATGTACCCTAAAACTTAAAGTATAATAATAAATAAATAAATAGAAAAAAAAAAGAGAGACTCTTGGCAGTTCCAGACTAGAGGTAATGAGGGTCTGATCTGGGATCCCTAAAGTGAGCCTGGGATGAGAACAAAGATGCTGCAGACATTTTAGCTGAAGAATGGGCAAATTAGTATGGGGGAATAAAGAAGGAGACCTAGGATCACCCTCAGGGGTACATCTTGGCTAACCAGATGGATGGTGTCTGAGGATTCTCCAAGACCAACAGAGAGGCCTGGCATTCTAGGCCAGCTAGGATGTGGGATCTGAGACCGGCAAGGGATGAGTCTAGAGCCCAACCCATATCACCTGCAGCTAGGATGGCAAATATATTTCATCCTACATGCCAACTCTGATGGATTGGTGGTGTCTACCTAAATTACCATTTGAGAAGGATTATAAGACCATATCTGGGCCCAGTGGGGATGAACGCTGTGATTGATTAGCAGAGTGTCGTGGGTGCTGGGTCAGGAGGGGTAGTACATGTATCTCATGCTTGCTTTCCCTGTACTGCATACTCAGACTGCCTGCTGAGAATTAGTGAGATTAGTCTTGGGTGTCTCTCAATCAGCCCAGTTAACAGAGAGCAGCAGATGCACACAGGAGATGAGCAGCTATGCTGGAAGACATGAAGCTGACAGCCATGTTATGTGGACCTGCAGCTAGTCTATAGGAGCACCAGTAGGCATCTCCATCTCTGAGAATCAGTGCTGGCCCTTGCATGACTGGTCCCTGGCATCCTGAATGGTATCTTAGAGACCCTCCTGGGAAACCCACGCAATGCGCCAGACACTGACCAGCTACTTGAGCATGGATACTGCCCAAGGGTACAGAAGTTGTGTCAAGAGGTAGAAGCCAGAAAAACTCAGGTTGGAAATTCTTTACCTAGGATCCATGGATAAGCTACAGGAGGTCTGTAAACCCCTCAAAATCATGCACAAGTTGTTCTTAGTATGTGCATTTTTGTCAGTCTCTCAAACAGATCCCTGCCCCACAATAAATGATTTTAATCACCACTCAAGATGAAGTAACACTAGTGAATTCTGCTAAGGTGAGGGAGGTGAAGCACCTGTATCTCAACAGGAGGTGAACTTCCAGGGGTGTCACCTGATTATGCAGCCAGCACAATCCACTTAGCCTTAAAAAGTGTCCTCCAGACCACTTGAGTCCAGGAGTTCAAGACTAGCCTGGGCAACATGGCAAGATCCTGTCGCTATAAAAAAAAATTTTTTTTTAATTAGCCAGGCATAGTAGTACAAACCTGTGGTCCCAGCTATTCAGGAGGCTGAGGCAGGAAGATCGCTTGAGCCCAGGAGGTTGAGGCTGCAGTGAGCTAAAGATCGCACCACTGCACTCCAGACTAGGTGACAGAGTGAGACTCTGACTCCAAAAAGAAAAAGAAAAAGTGTCCTAAAATCTGGGATGCAAACTTGGGGCTACTTTTGACTAGCTTGGGAATCCAGGAAGGCATTTTTTCTGCAAAGAATGTTCTTAGTTTTTGGTAATCTCTCAAAGAGATTCGTGCCAAAAAAAAAAAAAAAGCTTCTACCACTGCTCCAAGTGGAAAACAATGCTATCTATGATCAAATAACCAAGGAGGTTTGTGGCAATAAAACTTTACCTCCCTTGAGCTGGGAGAAGAGCTAGGATTGGCCACACCTGAAGACACTATTCATCCCAAGGAAACTGTGGCAGGTAAGGAAGACACTTTGGACATTACATTGGGATCCTGGACTGGTGGAAACTCCTGAAAACTATTAGGCTTAGGAAATTGTATCTGATGAAAGTTCAGAGATGTGGGTCATGATTGGAAAATAGGGCTGGATGCAGTGGCTCATGCCTGTAATCCCAACACTTTGGGAGGCCAAGTCGGGAGGATCACTTGAGGCCAGGAGACCAGCCTGAGCAACATAGCATGACCTCATCTCTATAAAAAGTTTTAAAATGAGCTGGGCATGGTGGCACACATGTGTAGTACCAGCTACTTGGGAGGCTGAAGCCAGAGGATTGCCTGCGCCCAGGGGTTTGAAGTTATAGTGAGCTATATCACACCATTGCACCCCAGCCTCAGTGACAGAGAGAGACCTTGTCATTAAAAAAAAAAAAAAAGTTGGGAAATGGGATGCATGGCCTGGGTTGGCAGCCTTAGCTGTGATGCAAAGGCGCTGCAACCCTGTCCTTCAGAGCACCTATGTCTACTTATAAATACACACTCATTGGTGTGTTAATGTATTATCTGTCTGCCCCATAAGTCTCTCAGCTCTAGGACAGCAAGGACTGTGTCTGATTTTGCTTCTACTGTCACCTGGCAGAATCTTGGGCACAGAGTAGATATATTCAATAAATACTTGTTGAATGAAGAACTGGGTAGCTGAATGGATAGATGAATGGATGAATGGATGGATGGGTGGGTGGGCAGGTGGCTGGGCAAGCCAAGGTCATCCATCTGAAAGGCAGAAACTAAAAAAAAAAAAACTAAACCAAATGCCTCATGGGTTTGGCATTTGGGAGGCAATGTAGTATAGTGCTCAGAGAACAGAGTTTGCAGACTTTGCTTATTTAGTGTATGATCCTAGGCAAAATATTTAACCTCTGTCTCAGTTTTCTCATCTGTAAAATAGAGATAATAGTTCCTGCTTCATAGAGCTACTATGAAGATTAAATGAATTGATACATCTACAGCACTTAAATAGTACCTGACACATCATAAGCACTAGGCAATAAGTCAAAGAAACTTAAAAAAATACATGGAGAATCTAGATAAAAGGCAAAGGGATACAGAGGGTAGCAAGGGGGCTGAAAGCTAAAAGTGAGAAATGGGGGCTTCAATGTCATCTTCTAAGGTGACAGTGGCTCACCCATGGCACCTTAGACAAATCCATCCGGGGTACTGAACCAGGCCTGGACAAGAGTGATTGTTTTTTGTTTGTTTGGTTGACTGGTGTTATTGTTTGTTTGTTTGTTTGTTTGTTTTGGTTCACGGGGGTAAGAGCAAGGTTAGAGGAAAATGAGCTGATTTTGAGACATGATGTGGACGTCTGCATGGGGGTGTCCAGTAGGAAAGCCTGAGTTCAGGAGGAAGATTTCAATGGGCTTAATCTTGCTGGGGAAAGTCAGTTCTGCTCTCAGATGTAAGGAAACAGTGTAAGAAAAAACCACCCTCTAAGTCCTCTCCACTCAAGTGGTCTGTACTCCAGCACTCAGGCTGCTGAACTCAGGCCCCTTCTGCACCCTCCTCAATTCCTGCCAGGATCATGGGCACTAATCCATCAGATAAACCCCCAGAGGAAGCCCCCAAGGCTCCTACCCTTTGGCCTTTGGGATTGTGTAGGGGGAAAAAATTAGTACAGGAAATTGGATCAATATCATCTTCAAATAGCCCCAGTAGACTCTTCATGCCTAGGACAGTTGGGTATCTCCAGTCCTCCAGTGTTTGATGGTGAAAGAGAAATGCATCCATGGATGGAAAAGGAGATTTTGAAGGCCTAGGATGTCAGGCTTATATAGACTGTGCCATATTCTGCTTCTCCTGGCCTATGTCCAACTAGAACACTAACCACCAAATGCCTCTCTATCCATCATTATAAATGACAATGATAACCCCTCAAAGCACAGACTGACTTCTCCACCTCCTCCAGGTGTCTTGTCAATAGTGGGAAAAGCTATGCACCTTATGTAAGGAATAGTGACTCTGATCTACAGGTCAACTCAATACAGGCATACCCATCGTAACTTCTACCCACAAGTCAAATTATGTTAGAATCTGTTACAACTTAAAGACACCATGTCACCTTGAAAATGTTCATGTCACCTGCTATTTTGTTCCAACGTGGTAGAGTGAAGATACCATCACAGTGACAATCTTGATCTTTTCGCTAGTTCGCAGATGTGCCAACATAAGTCCATTTCTTCTAAATTTATCAAAGTGTTGACAGACAGAAAAATACCAAGCTGTCAATTGAAACACAGACCTCACTTCAGTCTTCAAGACAAATGCATTCTAAAGACGTTCTGTAGTGGAAATCGTGCTGGACTGGGAATCAACACACCCAGGTTCCAGTTCTTGGCTTGGTCATCACTGGCTGTGTGGATTTAAGAAGTCACTTTACTGCTCTGGGCCTCAGACACCTCATCTGCAATGTGAGAGGCTTGGGCTAGATGAAAATATGCTGAGATAAATTATAGAGCCTATAGTACTTCTCACTTTGCCCCCACGCGAGTTCTCTGAGTCATCCTCTTCTGCCCTCCCCCGTTCTCACGTTGATTGGCAGCACTGCAAGCTGATTGGCCCTTTCTTCTCTGGCGATGTGGGGGATGGTGCCCTGTGTTATAAATAAATGAACAGGGTGGGGCGGGGCAAAGGGAGGGGCTGTCAGAGGCCCTCGGAGAGCTCATTAGTGGGGAAAGCTCCTTGACTGGGGACTTCTGATCTTCAGCCCTGATTCACTCAAGCAGTCACAAGCAAAAGGAGAGGAAAAAGAGGAGCTGGGAGAGATTCATGTGTACAGGGCACTGGGGACATGATGGAGGTGGGGACCATGACTGGGCTGAGGGGAAGCAGGGAATCCCTCCCCCAACCCAGGTCAGACTTCGCTGGCCTACTTACAATCAAGATTGGGTCCCTGGCTAGGCCCTGGCCCTAAAATATGTGCACCCCAGAGAATGACAGGATCACCCACCAACAAACTGGACTCTTGAAAGATGTGAACCCCTCAGGGAAACCCCAAATAGGTCAAAGTCATGGGCATTCCTCTGGAAACAGAGCTGGAGAGCTGTTAGAGTGACTTCTTAAAGACCACGCTAAGAAGGAGGTGTGCAAAGGCTCTTGAACAACTACAGAAATATAGGGGCTTAAGTGACTCTCAGGTAAAGGTCTCAAACTGCGGCGGGATCTGAACAACAGAAGGACGCCTCCCCAGAGCTGTCCGTGGTGCTGGAGCCTTTCCCTGAGGCTGGTTCCTGACCGCCTCCATCCTCCACACCAGCTGTCAGCCCACACTATGTCCTCTCCGACCTCAGCCAACTGCAGAGCCAGCTGCCTGCCCAGCTTCACTTCCTACCTGACCAGGACTCCCCCCAGCCTGCCCCAATTCATGATTGCCCTGGCCTAACACCTCTGCCAGCTGCCTGCCCAGAACCATGCGGCCAGTTATGCTAACTGCTACCTACATGTGTGGTCTATTTGCCCCAGTCCTTCCCAGCCTGGCAGCCTGATTCTCCATTCATTTCCCAAAAACACAGCTGGAGGTGGTGAATCAGCCACAGGGAGGGGCACTGGGCCTTGGCTGGGCACCCAAGAGGCCAGGCCAAAAGGTCAGATGCAGGAGAAACAGAGCCACCCCTCCACACCCACCCTGACCAGTGCACCCTAAACAGAATGGTAGAGAACAGCTTCCCAGTCCAGAAATCCTTGCCTACACATCAGCTAGCTAAATAGGAGCCCAGACCAAGCAGAAATTCCCTGGGAGTCTCCTTATTGCTCCACCCCACCACACGTGGGCTCACAAATTCTGTCTTTAAGGGGTTTGGGAGGAGACACGGTTTGGATGTTTTGTCCCCTCCAAATCTCATGTTGAAATATGACCTCCAGTGTTGGAGGTGGGCCTAGTGGGAGGTGTTTGGGTCATGGGGGCAGTTCCCTAATAAATAGCTTGGTGCTGTCCCCATAGTAATGAGTAAGTTCTCAGTCTATTCATTCATGAGAGAGCTGGCTGTTTAAAAGAGATAGCATCTCCCCCCTCACTTGCTCCCTCTTTCGCCATGTGACATGCCAGCTCCCCCTCTGCCTTCTGCCATGATTGGAAGATTCTTGAGGCCTCACCAAAAGCAGATGCTGGCACTACACTTCTTGTACAGCTTGCAGAACTGTGAGCCAAACAAACCTGTTTTCTTTATAAATTACCCAGTCTCCAGTATTCCTTTATAGTAATGCAAAATGGGCTAACACAGAAGGCTTTGTCACCAGCAGCAATCAGTTGGCACAGTGGGTCTCAGGGCAGAAGTATACCCCTCCCCTTTCCTATGTCCCAGTGAGTGACTTTGAGCAACTCACTGAATTTCTCTCAACCTCAGTTTTCCCATCAGTGTTGCCCCATACTATCATGAGATAAAGGACAGGAAAGTACTTGGTAAGTTCTAGAATGTGGTGCAAGGGGCAGTTATCATTACTATCTAAATCCTACCCAGGTCTCCATGTTACTCTGATCCTTGCCAAGGGGGATGCAGGAGGCTGGCTGGGGAAACAGAAGAACATGTAAGTATTTCAATGTGCCTGGGGCTTCTCCGCATGTTGTCTTATTTAATCCAGTGAGGTGGATGTCACTGTCACCATTCCACAGATGAGGTTAAGTGGCCTGCCTAAGGCCACACTGCTAAGATGCTACCTAGCCCGGACCTGAACCAAATGCTGTGTAGCTCCCAAAACTGTGCATTTTGACCATTACACTAACCAACCTCCCTCTTGCCCACTTACTGCAGCCCACCCCATCAGGGCCAGATCTTGTTTCCAAAAACCCAGAGAAGCAACCCCACCTCAAAAGAAGGCCTCTGCTCCCACTTTTCCCCTCAGATCAGACCTACCGGCTTGTGCTCTGTTCTGAGCCAGACCTGACCCCAGTTTGCCAAACTGGCTGGAATGTGGCTTTGGACTAGGCCCCCCTTGAAGACACAGCTTTCCTCACCACCCCTCCCCCATCCAGTCTCTCCCCTCAACCCTCCACCCAGTGATGTGCTCAGCCCTTCCCTCCCCAGAAGCAAGGGCACTGGAGATGCAGTACTTGCCCTTAGGCCAAAGGTTCTCAAACATTACAATGCACAAGAATTACTGGGGCAATGCAATGAAAATGCAGTCATCATCCACAGAGATCCCGAGTCAGCAGATCCACAGTGGGGCCCACAAATCTGGATTTTTAAGAAAGTGATTCCAAAACAGGTGGTCCATGCTGCCCTGGACTCTCAGGCCTGTGGTCTTTTCTCTGGGCTGGAAGTTTGCACTGATTATGGATCCCAGATACTACACTTCTCAGGGGCAGGTATCACCCTCATGTGAGGCAGCTCTCACTGTCACCGTTCTGCATTACAGAGATCATGTAGTGGTCCTTCCCTTCTTCCACTTTACAGATGAGAAAGTTGGGGCCTAGAGAGAAAAGGAGACTCCTCCAAGGTCAGGCCACTGGTTAATGGTAGAACCAGGACTGGGGCCTGGGGCTGCTGACAGTCAAGGCAGTCCAGTACCCAAGAGGCCCAGACATCTGGGGAGGCAGTGGTAGGAAGTGAAGCCATGGCAGCCACAGAGTCTTTGGGTCACTTAGCTGTGGGGCTGTGGGATGACTCCACAGGGACTAGGAGCCTTTCACACTGATTTATGAGATGGTCCCTGCCAGAGGACTCCTGGGCAGGGATGCCATTTGTTACTTCCCCAAGGAAAGCCCCAAAATGATGATCACAGCACACAGATCCAGCACAGGAACACACACACAGTCTCTCATTAATAACTCCTGGGCCATCTGGTACAACAGCAACTGGGGCTCCAGACCTGGGCATCAGGTGCAGGAAACGTGACAAGAGGTGGCACAGAGCTGGGCTCTTTCTGCCAACAGGAGAGGAGTTTGTGCAACACACTGAATAAGAATTTGGGGAAAGCACAGGTGCATCCATACCCAAATCTAGAGAAGTGTGGGACCTCCTTGGAGTTCAACCCATTCCACACCAAAGGTCTACAGCAGCACTGTGCAATAGAACTTTCTGCCATGATGGAGATATTCTTTATCTGCTCTAAGACTCTAGTCACTGCCCACATGTGGGTATTGAGCACTTTATATGTAGCTAATGGGACTAAGGAACTTTTTTTAACTTTAATAAACACTAAAATTAGTTAATATATTAACTCATTTAAATCTCACAAGAGATCTATGAATAGGTACTATTATTTTCCCCATTTATAGAATGAGGAAGCTGAGGCACAAAGAGGGCAAGTAACTTGTCCAAGGTCATTCTGGCTAGTAAAAGGTAGAGCTGAGAATTGAACCCAGGCAGTCTGGAACCACTCTTTTTTTTTTTTTTTTTTTTTTTTTTTAGACAGGGTCTCACTCTGTTGCCCAGGTCAAAGTGTAGTGGTGCAATCATGGCTTACTACAGCCTCAACCTCCCAGGCCCACCTCAGCCTGAGTAGCTGGGACCACAGGTGCATGCCACCATGCCCAGCTAACTTTTTAATTTTTTGTAGAGATGGAGTCCCATTATGTTTCCCAGGCTGGTCTCAAACTGCTATGCTCAAATGATCCTCCCACTTCGGCCTCCCAAAGCACTGGGATTACAGGTGTAGGCTACCATGCCCGGCCCAGAGTCTCTTTTAACCACTACCTAAGTTACATCCCTGCTGGCATGCTGCATTCCTGACACACTGTCTGGGCTACACTGCAATACACATACATGCACACACGCACATCCATGAGGGCTTGTCATGAATAAAACACCAGCAGCGGCATTTGGAGCCTTTATTCAGTGAAACAGACATGGATCCCTGAGTGACAAAGTGGCCAGTCTGATGGGAAGAAGTACAACCCCTGTCTTGGAGAACCTTCCAATCAGATGGAAGAAGCAGAGAAACTACATAGGTTCAAGCTGGGGGGTGTCATGAATCTGAAGGGAAGTATCCTATTGAACTGTTGACTCCCTGACTCCATTTCAGCTGGTCCTAAGAAAGCCTTTGGGGTTCCTGGGAGCTCCAGGATGAGCTCTCCCTGAGCCTCTCTGAAAGTGAAAGTTTGGAGAAAGCGAAGCATGGCATCTCAGATGATCACTTCTCTCACACTCCAGAGAAGGTGGGGGAGGGGGGAATCTGCTACAGCTAATTAGGAAAATGCATTAAGAACATAACTTACAAATGGCCCCATGGGTCCCCACATCTCATTTGCATTGAGCTGTTGTTACCTTATTGATTATATTAAATTAGGAGATAGTCACAACTGTCTGCAATACAACAATTACCATCATCAAACCAATTAGTATCAAATGGGATGTGGTCCCTGTCACTCCAGCGCTGCACTTGGCTATTTCCAACACCGTTAGCCCAGCCTTACGAAATAATTGTGTTTCTAATGAAATGACGGCAATCAGCAGAGATATTCCCAAGAGATCCACTCCTATTTCTATGGCCCTGTGTCAGGATAGCTTGAAACACAAGCACAGGCCGGGCGCAGTGGCTCACGCCTGTAATCCCAGGACTTTGGGAGGCCAAGGTAGGTGGATCACTTGAGGTCGGCAGTTTGAGACCAGCCTGGACAACATGGTGAAACCCTGTCTCTAGTAAAAATACAAAAATTACCCGGGTGTGGTGGTATGCACCTATAATCCCAGCTACTTGAGAAGCTGAGGCAGGAGAATCACTTGACCCTGGAGGTGGAGGTTGCAGTGAGCCGAGATCGCGCCACTGCACTCCAGCCTGGGGGACAGAGCTAGACTCTGTCTCAGAAAGAAAAAAGAAAAAAGAAAGAAAAGAAACACAAGCACAAGCAAAATGATACAACTGGTGTCTTCAGTAGCCAAGTCCTTATGGACAAACTACCCCTGGCCCCAGAAACCCTTCATCCATCAGTCACAGAATTTCATTCATAGGTAAGTTCACACACAATCCATGTGTGCAAACTTGGTTGTCAACACCCTCTCACAACTAGAATACACACATAAAACATGTTCAAACCTGCTCACACGGAGACACACGCCTCTCCATGAACTTCATGCACACACTCCCACAGCTCACCCTTAAGCTGTGCCTCAAGGCACTCATACTCACCCACGCACCCTCACACCCTGTCATACCTTCTACACAGGTCTGCACCCAGCACACATGTACAGTTACACACACGATTGTTCACCCAACACATATAAGCAAGCACACGCTAAACAGCCACACACTTGTGCAAGGAACCAAGCGCAGGATATAGACTTATACACACACAGCCCAGCATCCGCATGGTGACTCATCACACTCCCCCACAGTCACACACAAGCACACACCAGTTTTGGAGACACTTTAGACAGAATCCAGAAGCCTGGCAGGAGGACCCTAAGACCGCTTCTCCTCGCTGCTCAGGGCCAGGAACCTCATTCTTCAGAAACCTCCGCACTACCACTCTACAACCCCCAAGACTGGCATACCTACCCCGTGGTGTAGGAGGAAGCCTTGTCCAAGATCACTGGCAGCTTTACAGTTCTCTCAACGATTGCAAAGGAGGCAAGCGAGGAGAGAAGGGCAGAAAACCAGATGCCTTGGGCTTTCCTGTGCAGAGGCAGCCTTTGCAGAGGAGCTTCCTCATAGCTTCTCCTTTGCGATGGTGTCTGTTCATTTGCTCACATGGCTTTACCCCAGTTGCCATTTATTGAGCACTTACCCTATGCCTGTCATGGAGATATCCCTTCCTTGACTCAATATTTCCTGGGTGCCTCCCATACCCTGGGTGCTGTTTTGGGTGCTCGAGATTCCACCATAAGCAAAACATAGTCCCTGTTCTTGTGATACAGTCTACAGGCAGAGACCGACCAGAAAGTTGTAAACCACTACATATAAATATGTAAGAGCTATGAATAAAAATAAAGCAGAGAGAACAGAGCGTGGGTTGCTGTTTTAGACAAGGAGGTCAGAAAGTTCCCCCTGATAAGGTGACATTTAAGGAGTGACCTGCCAGAAGGCGAAGCAAGCCATGTAAATACAGCCCTGTGTCACATAACAGCGCTTCGGTCATCCACGGACCACATACACAAACAGTGATCCCATAAGCCTATAATGGACCTGAAAATGTCCTATCACTAGTGACACGGTAGCTGTCATAACATCAAGCAGTGGAAATGTCATAGCACAACAGGTTACTCATGCCTTTATGGTAGGACTGGTGTAAGCAAACCTACTGCGCTGCCACAGTCGTGTAAAAGTCTAGCACAATGGGTGGGGTGCGGTGGCTCACACCTGTAATCCCAGCACTTTGGGAGGCCAAAGAGGGCAGATCACTTGAGGTCAGGAGTTCGAGACCAGCCTGGCCAACATGGTGAAACCCCATCTCTATTAAAAATACAAAATTAGCCAGGCATGGTGGCACATGCCTGTAATCCCAGCTACTTGCAAGGCTGAGGCACAAGAATCGCTTGAACCCCAAAAGCGAAGGTTGCAGTGAGCCGAGATCGCACCACTGCACTCCAGCCTGGGCAGCAAGAGCGAAACTCTGTCTCAAAAAAAATAAATAAATAAAAAAGTCCAGCACATACAATTATGTACAAGTACATAATACTTGAAAATAAACGACAATGTTACTGACTTATGTATTTACTATGCTATGCTTTTTATTGTTATTTCAATGTGTACTCCTGCTACTTATGAAAAAAAAAAAAAAAAAACTAACTGTAAAACAGCCTTAGGCAGGTCCTTCAGGAGCTATTCCAGAAGGCATTGTTATCAGAAGAGATGACAGCTCTATGTATGCTATTGCCCCTGAAGACCTTCCAGTGGGACAAGATGTGGAGATGGAAGACAGTGATATTGATGATCCTGACCCTAGGTAGGCCTAGGCTAATGTGTGTGTTTGTGTCTTCATTTTTAACAAAAAAGTCTAAAAAGAAAAAAAAAGAAAAGGAAATAATTTTATAATAGAAAAAAGCCTAAATTGACAGTTTTTACAAAAGGTATATATGAAAAGAAAAAAATCTTATATAGAATAAGGATATAAACAAAGAAAATAATTTCATATAGCTGTATATGTCTATGTTTTAAGCTATGTGTTATTACAACAGTCCAAAAGTTTTTACAAATCAAAAAAAGATAAGAGTAAAAATGTTACATTTTTATTATTGAAGAAAAGAAAAAAGTTTATGAATTTAGTGTAGCCTAAGTGTACGGGGTTTATAAAGTCTACAGTAGTGGGTCGGGTGCGGTGTCTCACGCCTATAATTCCCAGCACATGGGAAGGCCGAGGGGGACAGATCACTTGAGGTCAGGAGTTTGAGACCAGCCTGGCCAACATGGCGAAATCCTGTCTCTATTAAAAATACAAAAGTTAGCCGGGCGTGGTAGCGCATGCCTGTAATTCCAGCTACTCAGGAGGCTGAGGCAGGAGAATCAGTTGAAACCAGGATGCGGAGGTTTGCAGTGAGCCAAGATTCCACCACTGCACTCCAGCCTGGGCGATAGAGTGAAACACTGTCTCAAAACATAAAAAAAAAAAAAAGAAAAGAAAAAAGAAAAAAAAAAGAATCCATCCCCATCACTAAGCAACCCATGACTATGAATATGGGGAGAGCATGCCAGGTGGAGGGAACAGCCAGTGCAAAGGGCCTGCAGCAGGTGCACAGGTGCCATTCCTCAGAGCAGTAATGCAACCAGCCTAGCTGGAGAGAGTAAGCAAGAGAGGTGCTGAGAGGTGTTGCCTATTTCAGTTGCATTATCTCATTTAACCATCACACCTCTGTAGGAGATGGAATATTATCATCTCTAATTTAGATGAGAAAACTGAGGCTCAGAGAGGTAACGGAACAGTGCCACGTCACACAGCTCTGAAGATACTGAGCAGAGATGCATGCCTGGGTCTGCCCATTCCAGGACTGCCTCTTAGCCCCAGGCCCTTTCTTTCCCTCAGCCACCCGTCTCCCTGCCAGGTTGTACCGGGCCTGTTAACATAAAGTCGTACACTAGCTTACGCTCACATGGTCATCAAAGTCATGATGGATCTATTAATTCATTGCTGGAGCTTTCATTACACACATTATTACAATGCACATGATTATGGTTGTTAGTGGCGCTTACAACTACAAACACCATTAATAACTCATAACTCTTTCCATCACCACAAAGGGGCCTTCTCCAGTGTGTATGTCCCTCATAACATACACACAGAGCCAGGAAGGGACCCCTATGAGTGCTGGGGAAACAACCCCCTTATCAGAGAGTGGTGCCTCCAAGTCCTCAGCTGTCTGCCCCAGCCCCCGCAGTCACCCCCTTTATCCACCCCAGGGGGCCCGGGCCCTAGCCATCCCAGAGCTGTCCTCCTCCATCTTGGCTCTGCTGCCTGGAGTTATTTTGATTCACTTGCTTCTTTGGGTTAGAGTGGAAGAAAGGGCAGAAGCAGCCTGCAACATGCAGAGAATTGAACACTGACTATGGCTAATCCACAATTCAAGGTCCAGTATTAGGCAGGAAGGAAGGAAGTCCCTGAAACAAAACATCAGAGGTTCAAAGAGTTCGCCAGAATCATCTCTAGCTAAAAGGAGATGAAGAAATAAGAAAATATTTTTGTCTCTAGATCTTTGAAAATGCTACATGTAAACCTTTTCTCAGTTAATCTTGACAACGACCTTATGAGAAAATCATTACATGCATTTTATAAACGTAGAAGCAGTGGCTCAGAGACATTGAATCACTTGCCTGAGGTCACACAGCTAGTAAGTGGTAGGGCTGGGATTTAAACCTAGGTTGATCTGGCATCACAGCCTGTGGTCCTGCCTGAGTTGCCAGATCAGAGGGATTGAGAAGGGTCACAGCATGCCCAGCTGACTGTTCCGCAGCAAGACATTCCCTCCACTGTGATCCTCTCCCTACAGAGGCACCTGAAGGGAGTGGACTTAAGACAGCAAAAGGGGCCAGGCACGGTGGCTCACGCCTGTAATCCCAGGACTTTGGCAGGCTAAGGCAGACAGATCACAAAGTCAAGAGATCGAGACCATCCTGGCCAACATGGTGAAACCCCGTCTCTACTAAAAATACAAAAATTAGCTTGGCTTGGTGGCAAGTGCCTGTGGTCCCAGCTACTTGGGAGGCTGAGGCAGGAGAATCACTTGAACCCAGGAGGCAGAGGTTTCAGTAAGCTGAGATCGCACCACTGCACTCCAGCCTGGCAACAGAGCAAGACTCCATCTCAAAAAAAAAAAAAAAAAAGATAGCAAAAGGGAGGGAGGGAAAGGGAATTGGAGGAGAGAGAAATAAGGAAGAGGGGATTGGGGGAGAAAACAAAGGAGTTAAAGGAGAGGAGAAAGGAATAAAGAAGGAGACAAAGGAAGAGGAGGCCCACATGCCCCACCACCCTCCACCCCACTCCATACCTAACGTGCATTTGCCACACATGATCCTTAATCCATATTCCAATATATGACAAGAATTAGACTGCTTCACAGGAGCAAGAACTAAGATCCAGTGGCCTTTCCGAGGGGTTCCATATGCTTTTTTTTTTTTTTTTTCCTGAAACAAGATCCCATTCTGTTGCCCAGGCTGGAGTGCAGTGGTACGATCAGGGCTCACTGCAGCCTCAACCTCCCAGGCTCAAGAGATCCTCCCATCTCAACCTCCTGAGTAGCTGGGACTACAGGCACACACCATCACACCTGGCTAATTTTTGCATTTTTTGTAGAGATGGAGTTCCACCACGCTTCCCAGGCTGGTCTCGAACTCCTGGGCTCAAGCGATCTACCCACCTCAGCCTCCCAAAGTGCTGGGATTACAGGTTTGAGCCAATGCGCCTGGCCTGCATTCTCTCATTTTAATCTTCATAGCAACATTCTTCATGAGTGAGCAGCCACACAACACTGCTGTCCTTTCTCCACTCATGTGCTTCCACATCTCTGTGCCTCTGCCTAAAATGCCACTCCCTACCCTCATTCCCAGCCTCATTGGCTGGCAAACTCCCAACCATTCTTCAACACTCAACTCAAATGTCACCACCTCTATGGAGCCACCCATGACTCTCCAGCTATACCAGTTGAGTAATGCAGATATGTGGGAAAAGTTCATTTTCTTCTCCTCCCTGCCTTCAATCTTATCTCCCTGAGGTTACAACAGATGACACATCTTTTCATATACCATCATCCCTCAGTATCCACAGGGAGATTCGTTCTAGGACCCCCCCCAGATATCAAAATCTGCAGATGTTCAAGTTCCTAATATAAAATGGTATTGTACTTGCAACTAACCTACACATACCCACCCATATACTTTTGATCATCTCTAGATTACTTATAATACCTAATGCAATGTAAATGCTATGTAGCTATACTGTATTTTTATTTGTATTCATTTTTACTGTTAAATATTTTTTCTTTTTTTTTTTTTTTTTTTTTTTTTTTTACATTTTTGAGCTGTAGTTGGTTGAATGAATCTATGGATACAGAACCCCCTGATGAAGAGGGCCGGCTGTAATTTTCTAGACCCTTACAGACAAACAAAAAAAATGTGGGCTTTTTAAATTTCTATTTATTGGCCGGGCACAGAGGCTCATGCCTGTAATCCCAGCACTTTGGGAGGCCGAGGCAGGTGGATCACTTGTCGAGACCAGCCTGGACAACATGGTGAAACCCCATCTCTACTAAAAAATATACAAAAAATTAGCTGAGCGTGGTGGCACACACCTGTAAGCCCAGCTACTCGGGAGGCTGAGGCATGAGAATCACTTGAACCCAGGAGGTGGAGGTTGCAGTGAGCTGAGATCGAGCCACTGCGCTCCAGCCTGGGCGACAGAGGGAGACTCTGTCTCAAAAAAATAAATAAAAAATAAATTTCTATTTATGTATCTAATAAAAATAGGATTCACATTACTCCAAACTTGCTTTGTTCACTTAACACATCATGAACCACCCTTGAGGTCAGTGCATCTGGAAGGTTCTCCCTCCTGTCATTAGCTGGGTCACCATCCGCAGCCATCAGTTAACCATTTCCCTCCTGATAGATATTCGACTGTTTCATTCATGACTACAGATGGTGCAGTAGTAAATGTCTTTGTGCATTTATCCTTATGTTCTGATGCTTTTATTCCCGCAGGCTAGACTCCCCAAAGAACAATTTGTGAATCAAGGGTGTTCGTACTTTAAATTTTAATTGCCACTGCTGATTTTGTTCCCTAGCACTCACGGCAATTCTCAGTCCCCAGCAATGGATGCAAAAGCCCTCTTCCCACATCATGGCCAGAACTGGACATTCTTTTTGCATTCTTGCCAATAGATGGATGATAGTACCTATCCCATAGAATTGTTGTGAGGTTTAAATGTAAAATACAGTACCCATCATTTAAGTCTCTAATAAACATTAGCCATTTATTTAACTCCAATGTTATCTTATTATTATATATCTAAGGAAAGCCTAGAGTACATAATGACTTCTAGATTCAGGAGACTGTATTTTTTTAAGCAGACCTAGATTCCAAGCCAGCCTTTCCTGACCAGAGCTTTGTGGCTCTCAGCTAGCCACTTAACCTCTTGGAGCCTCAGTTGCTTCACCTGTAGAACAGGGATGATGAGCCCTGGGCTTTCTCCTTCACAAGAGAGTAATAGATCTCAAATGAATTCATGAATGTGAAACCACCCTGGAAAAAAAAAAAACCTAAGACTTCACACAAGTGTGGGGGTTTTATGCTACCAGTTCCACTGATGACCAGGCATAACCTCTGGGTAATTACCAGGAAGCCACTTCTTAAAGAAGCAGCAACCGTCACAGTCAGAGACAAAGGTGGAGGTCCCCTGATTCTTGGTCCTTGTATTAGTCTGTTCTTGCAATGCTATAAAAAAACTACCTGAGACTGGGTAATTTATAGAGAAAAGGGGTTTAATGGGCTCATGGTTCCACGCTGCCGAGGAGGCCTCAGGAAAATTACAATTATGGTAGAAGGCAAAGGGAAAGCAGGCACATCTACATGGCAGGAGCCGGAGGAAGAAAGACAGCAAAGGGGGAGGTGCTACACACTTTTAAACAACCAGATCTCGTGAGAACTCACTATCACGAGTGCAAGGGGACCCTATAATCCAATCACCTCCCACCAGGCCCCTCCTCCAACACTGGGGATTACAATTCCACATGAGATCTGGGTGGGAACACAGAGCCAAACCATATCAGTCCTCAGCCCTTCAGCCAGGCATTTGTGCTCCAGGGATCCTTGAGAACAGGGTGCATCCGTGGATACAAGCATGGGGTCATGTAAGGAGCTCCAAAAGAATCCCCTCCTACTCACAAATGCCCCCTAACCCAGAAGCTATTGTCAGCTGTCTGACATTTCACCATTAGAGACCCATTCCTCCCTACAACACTCCCCGAAGGATCAAGTGGATTCCCATGACTTCCCATATTACTTATGAAACATTTCCTGAGCACACGCTTTGTGCCAGGTAGGGTGCCCAGTACTCTGCACATGGTGCCTCAGGATCAACTCTATGCTGACACTGCCAAAGCCCACCTCTACAGCTCGGACTTCTCTCCAAGCTTCAGACCCACATTCCCATCTGTCTACTAGAAACCCTGCCCTCAACCTCCCACAGGCATCGCAAACTCCTCAGACCCCAAAGTGAACTTACCAGCCTCCTCCACAAACCCAAATTCCCTCCTCCTGCTTCCCCATCTCCGGGCCTGGCTTCCTGATCTCCAGCCCACACCACCAAAAGCCTCAGCATTCCCCAGAGAAAGGAGGGTCCCTCTCCTCACCACCTGCAACCCACCAGTTATTGAGCCCATACATTCAGGTGTCTTCTCCATCACCCTGCCCAGGGCCAGTTCTAGGATGGGATGAGTGAAGCAAAATTCAGGAGGCTCCTGCAAGGGCTGGCCCTGAGAGGGAGCAGGGCCACTTAAATGTGGTGTCCCCAGAGCCTCACTTGCCTACCCTGGTCCTGGCCTGGCCCACGCTCTAGATCAGGCCAGCTCAGCTCATCTCCTCTCACTGGACTAAGGCAGCAACCACCTACCTTGCCTCCCTGCCTGTCCTCTCACCCTCCAACCAACCTCTTCTCTGCAACCAGATAATATTCACAAGTCTCAGCTTTGACCATATCACATCCTCAAGAACCTTAGAGGCCTCACCATCACCTGCTGAATTACGTACCGAGCCTGGCATTCACACAGGACTCACCAGCCTCCACGCTGACAAAATCAACTTCCGTTTAAAACTACCCCGCCCAGACGGCCAGCTCAGAGATGGCATCTGATTGGACCATGAATGAGCACCTGAAACAAGGGCAGCCCATCTATAGGCTATCTCATAGCCTATCACATGGCCTGACACAAAAGGCTCCGCAAAGAGAAAATAGTCATCAGCTGAGCCAATTGAATGTCTTCTCTCAGGTGGTTGAATGGAAGGAAAAAGAGAAGAGTTGGTGAAGTGTTAGCAGGACAGGAAAGGCAGCCACAAGGAATTGACCACAAGTTGTGTTAATAGAGTTAATAAATTCCCTCCCGATGCTGAGGTCCTGGCGCCATCTTAAATCCAGTCTGCCTCAGTTTCCTGCGGGCCCCAGCCCTGACAGTTTCTCTTGTAGGATTTCCACGAGTGCCCTTATTATGCCACTAGTGTCTCGAGTGAGCTAGCTTGAGAGGACCTCTGATCCATAAAACCAAAACATGCAAGGCTCTTTGCAATACATCCCTGCTTAGAATCTTAGCTGCAAGTAACAGACACCACCTCAAGCTGACATCACTGGGGCTCTTACAACAAAGATACAAGGAACTTCGTGGAAGAGGACTGGAGCTGGAATGCAGAAGGCCAGCAGGAATGTCAGTCCTTTCTCTCTCCCACTCCACAGTCCACTTGGTTGCTGGGTAGAACCTGCCCAATCCCAGCCTCCCAGTGAGAGATGCAATCACTCACAGACAAACCCTGCTCTCTCCCAGTCCCAGCCCTATATTTCCAGAAAAGAGAGTCTAATTGACACTATTTGGGTCAGATATCTAATCAGCCATGAATCATGAGACCAGCTCATCAGGGAGACACATGGCTCCCGAGCCTCTGAATTATTCTTCTAGGTTAATCATTGCCTTATCCCTGTTCAGCCCTCCCATGGCTGTGTCCTCAGTGAGGTTCTGAGGTGGGAACTAGAAGTAGGAGGCCCTGCCTTTCCTGAACTTGATCTAGCTCACTCAGGCCTGGCACTGTGTGAAGAAGGTTGGATCCCACCAAGACCCAGGGCAGGAGACAGCTGTCTGGAGAGGGATGGAAACCCCAGCTCCTGCCAGACAGCCCAAGCTTGAATGTGACACTCACACACCCACAAGAAAAGAGGCATCCAACATTTCTGTGCAGTTCCAAAAAGCTGGAGACATCTCACACCCACAAATAATAATCATGATTTTCTGTAATTATTATTTGTGTATTTTGCATAATTGTCATAATTATTATCATCAGCTCATCAGCTTCCCATCCCAGCATGCCCTCCTCCCGTCCTCAGCCCTGAAATCTGATCACATGGACACCCTTTCCTGCCTCTGACTTCCTCCCGAGAGCCAGTTCTCAGGGATCCCATCAGGAAATGGCATAGGACGTTCCTGAGGGCTCTTCTCCACTGTTTGTCCTTCCAGAATATTTCTGGCCTCAGTGCTAACTCTGTGCAGGGCTTATGGTCGCTGCTGGGAGAGGAGACAGGGAATGAGAGAAGAGCTCCCTCACTCTCTCACTCTAGGGAAATAGATAAGGCCTCCCTGCTCCACTCCAACCAGCGGTGTGCTGAAGCCAGCTTGTGCCAGCTCAGGAGATCAGACCATTAGCATCTCATCCCAACTCTGTGTTCAGCAACATCACATTGATACCTCGAGAACAGTCACAGTGGGAGTATTTTACACCACAGCAATTGGCCAAAAGGCTTTTTTTCTGAAGTGACCATTGTTAGACATTCACCAGCACACCCTCACACCCACCCTTCACACTACACACAAGGTGCTTTTTTTTTCTTTTGAGACGGTGTCTCACTCTGTCACCCAGGCTGGATTACAGTGATGCAATCTCAGCTCACTGTAGCCTCCACCTCCAGGGTTCAAGTGATCCTCCTGCCTCAGTCTCCCCAGTAGCTGGGACTACAGGCGTGTACCACCACGCCTGGTTAATTTTTGTATTTTTGGTAGAGATGAGGTTTCGCCATGTTGGCCAAGCTGGTCTCAAACTCCTGACCTCAGGTGATCTGCCCACCTCGGCCTCCCAAAGTGCTGGGATTACAGGCATGAGCCACCATGCCCAGTCACAAGTTGCTCTTTAAAGACTGCACATGTATCACTCTCCCTCAAGGGCTCTGCATCGCCCCCAGGTATAGCCCAAACTCTTAAATGTAAGGCCTCCAAAGCCTTGCATGCCAAGGCCCCAGCCCAACCCTCTGACTTCCTCCTTTACCATCTCCCCATGACCTTCCAGATCCTTCTGTGACCTAGAGAAGTTATCTCCAGGCCCCACACTCTCTGGCCTCCAGTCTCCACTACACACCATCCCTGCCTGAAATACCTGAAACACCTTAGTCACCCGCAGCCTTCTCCCCTTCATCCCTTGGGTCTTGGCTGAGGCACCACAACTATCTGGCATCTTCACTGACTTCATTGACCCACAGCCTGAGTTAGGAACCCTTGCCCGATGCCCCTGGTACCCCACTGTCATGGCAGTACTGTGCATGGTAATCCTGTGTCTACATACCTAGAGCCCCACTTAACTACAGGCCCCATAAGGCAGGAGTTAAGTCTAATTCAGTGTCTGGCACAGAGTCTAGCACTGTTGAATTGAATTGAATCAAACTGAATTGAATTGAATTAAATAGAATGAACACCACAGCCCAAGACACTAACCGAGGCTGTGATCAGTGCCCTCACAGAGACCCAAATAGAGTCCTCTGAGGGGGTCAGAGTAGGGCAGTGTGCTTCCTATGGATGAGTCTGCAGAAACGTCCTAGACACATCCCCAAGGAGAAACACCAAGCCACACCTTCCTTAGTGGGACAGTTCATGAGGCTCGGGATCACGAACTCAGCAGCTCCCACTCAGTGGCATGCCTTACACCAACTCACTGCTTCTTGTCTATCTACTCCACCCTCCTAAGGGGGCACCCTCAGTAATCCCTACCCTCAGGTGCCTGTCTGCTCCCAGCTTCACACTACTTCTATTACAGGAACCCCCACCTGCACCTCTTTCACACACACACACACACACACACACACACACACGTACACACGCATGCACATCTCCAACTTAGCCCCAAGAGCATCTGAGCCTGAATTTCACACATTCCTAGAGGAAGAAATGGGGGTTCAATATTGGACCGTAAAATTGGTTTCAAAGGAGCAAAAAGGCCAGGTGCGGTGGCTCACGCCTGTAATCCCAGCACTTTGGGAGGCCAAGGCGGGCGGATCACAAGGTCAGGAGTTCCAGACCAGCCTGGCCAACATGGTGAAACTCCATCTCCACTAAAAATACAAAAAATTAGCCAGGCTTGGTGGCGGATGCCTGTAATCCCAGCCACTCGGGAGGCTGAGGCAGGAGAATCGCTTGAACCCAGGAGGCGGAGGTTGAAGTGAGCCGAGATCGTACCACTGCACTCCAGCCTGGGTGACAGAGCAAGACTCCATCAAAAAAAAAAAAGAAAGAGGAGGGAAGGAAAGAAAGAAAGAAAGAGAGAGAGGGAGGGAGGGAAGGAAGGACGGAAGGGAGAGAGACAGAGAGAGAAAGAGAGAGAGAGAGAGAGAGAAAGAAAGAAAGAAAGAAAGAAAGAGAGAAAGAAAGAAAGAAAGAAAGAAAGAAAGAAGGAAAGAAGAAAGAAAGAAAGAAAAGAAAGAAAGAAAGAAAGAAAGAAAGAAAGAAAGAAAGAAGGAAGGAAGGAAGGAAGGAAAGAAAGAAAGAGGGAGGGAGGGAAAGAAGGAAGGAAGGGAGAGAGAGAAAGGAAGAAAGAAAGAAAGAAAGAAAGAAAGAAAGAAAGACAGAAAGAAAGAAAGAAAAGAAAAGAAAGAGGCAAAAAAAATGGTATTTCTTACATACCTAAGTATGCAGATTGAGATTCCTATACCATAGCTAACATTTATTGAGAAACGTCAAGAAGCAAAACAAAGACCAGCAGAACTAAATTAAATAATAACAAAATAAAACAAAATCTGAAAGGCTGGGCATGGTGGTGCACACCTGTAATCCCAGTGCTTCGGGAGGGCAAGGCAGAAGAACTGCTTGAGGCCAGGAGTTCAAGACCAGCCTGGACAACATAGCAACATCCTGTCCCTACAAAAAGTGTTTTTAAAAATGAGCTGCGTGTGGTGGTATGCGCCTATAGTTCCATCTACTTGGGAGGCTGAGGCAGGAGGATCTCTGGAGCCCAGGAGTTCGAGGTTACAGTGAGCTACAGTTGTGCCACTGCACATCAGCCTGGGCAAACACAGTGAGACCCCATTTCTTTAAAAAACAAACAACAACAACAAAAACAAACAAACAGGCCGGGCGCAGTGGCTCACACCTATAATCCCAGCACTTTGGGAGGCCAAGGCAAGCAGATCACTTGAGGTCAGGAGTTCGAGACCAGCCTGGCCAACAATGATGAACCCCCCATCTCTACTAAAAAATACAAAAATTAGCCGGGTGTGGTGGTGTGCACTTGTAATCCCACCTGCTCGGGAGGCTGAGGCAGGAGAATCGCCTGAACCCAGGAGGTGGAGGTTGCAGTGAGCTGAGATCATGCCACTGCACTCCAGCCTGAGTGACAAAGCAAGACTCCATCTCAAAAAACAACAACAACAAAAAAAAAAAACCCTGAGTATTTTAATGTACCAGAAGTTCATATGCCAGTGAAGATATTCACCAAGTAGTTCACTGAAGGGGAAAATTGAAGGTTTTTTAATGCCAGAAAGGGTGAAGACAGTTTATTGTGGTTCTTTTACTCATAGATGAAAACTAGCACTCTACCAAGGGCGGGATGGAGGATGAGTCCAGTGGTTATACACAGCTGGACACAGCAAATCCCATTGCTCATAGGTCCAGGGTCTCCAGTTCAGTCCAGAAAGGATCTGGCACATGTCACATGGTGACAACAGCCCTCGGCTTTGATCCATCATAGGCGAGTGCTGCTGAAAGTGGATGTTCTCCCTTGCCCGGTGCTAACACTTCTTGTGCACTTACTATGTTTAAGGATTCTGCCTCCCTCAACCAGAGGGGCAGTGGTTAAGAATCCAGGCTCGGGGCCAGACCACCTGTATCCAATCCCCCATTTAAGACTTGAATGAGTCAATACCTCAGCTTTCTCTTCTATAAAATGGGTAATGATAGCAACTACCACATAGGATTGTCAAGAGGATTAGATGTGTTATTCTGTGAACAGCCCTTGGTAGATACAATCTTTTAAGAGATGACCATTATTATCTCATTAATCTTGACATCAAGAGGCAGATCGTATTCTTATCTCTGTTTTACAGATGGGGCACTGTGACTTGCTCACAGCCTACTTCCCACCATACGCAGCTGCCGTCACCACTGCACCCTGGGTTTCAAGAATTGGCAGTGTCGTGCCAGGGCTCAGGGTGGGGAGGACTTGCTTATGGTGGCCATTACTCCACAGTGATGCTGTGAGACGCTGCTATGGCTTAAATAGGGTTTGTTTGGCCCCACCAAGTTTCATCCCCAGTGTTGGAGGTGGGACCTGGTGGGAGGTGTTTGGGTCGTGAGGCTTGGTGCCATTCTTGTGGGAGTGAGTGAGTTCTCACTCTTAGTTCCCCTGAGAACTAGTTGTTGAAAAGAATCTAGCATCTCCTCTTCTCCCTCCCTATCTCTCTCCCCCTCTCGCTCCCTCTCCCTCTTCTGTCCCCCTCTCTCCCTCCCTTTCCCTCTTCTCTCCCGCTCTTTCTCTCCCTCTCCCCTTCTCCCTCTCTCTCTCCCCCATCCCTCTTTCTCCCCCTTTCCTCTCTCTCTCCCCCTTCCCTCTCTCTTTCTCCCCCTTTCCTCTCTCTTTCTCCCCCTTTCCTCTCTCTCTCCCCCTTTCCTCTCTCTCCCCCTTCCCTCTCTGTCTCTCCCCCATCTCTCTCACCCCTCTCCCTCCCTCTCCCTCCCCCTCCCTCTTTCTCTCCCTCCCTCCCTCTCTCCCTCCCTCCCTCCTTCTTTCCCTCCCTCCCTCTCTCTCTCCCTCGCTTCCTTTCTCTCTCTCCCTCCCTCCCCCTCTCCCTCTCTCTTTGTCTACACATGTTATCTCTGCACACAGGTCCCCTCTCCTTTCTGCCATGAGTGGAAGCATCCTGCAGCCCTCACCTGGGGCAGCACCTTTGCCGCCACCATGCTTCCAGTACAGCCTGAAGAACCATGAGCCAAGTAAACCTCTTTTCTTTAAAATTACCCTGCCTCAGGTATTCCTTCATAGCAATGCAAATGGACTGAGACAGACACCCACTGACCCCCAACCCCAGGGCTACTTTAGCATATTGGCAAGGCTGGGACCCAAAGAGCCCCTTGGAAATCCTACCTCCTACAAGGCCCTGCAGGGGAACAGACACAAGCCCCTCTGCCTGGGCAATGCCAGATGTTCCTTCCCTCCCAGTCTCCAGAGTTTGTAACCATCCTCCCTGCAGTCAGGGGAATCCCTCCTCTTTTCAATGTTCCCTCACTTTTCCCACCAGATCACACAGCTTAATTCCCAGGGGAGGCTTCAGCTTTAGGGAAATAAAACCTGAATGGAGAAGTGTCTTGCAGACAAAGTCTCTTCCAGTCTCAAGGCAGCTCAGGCCAGCCGCCTGCCTGAACGGAGACGAGAGAAAACGCCACCATCTCCAAGCGTTGCCCTCACCAGTGGGCGAGTGGGCCCTGGAGCCCCACTCAGGGTGGATCCCCGAGAATCTGGAGTCAGATTCTGAGGGGCTAGGCTGACCCAGGCACATCCCTGAGATAGCCCCAGAGGAGGCAGCGTTCAGTGAGGACACACACCCCAGCTGACTGTGACTATGCACAGCGGGCAGCTTGCATCCAGGATTGAAGCTAACTCTGGGTAAGGAGCCAGCAGCTCCACCTGAAAAGGGCAGGGGAGGCTTCCAGGGATGGAAGCTGTGGGCTTGGCCAGGCCAGGTGAGGACAGGGCACCAGCCAGAGGGGTAGGAGGCTCAGTGCAGGAAAGAGCTGGAGGCTGGACCTTGCACTGGCATCCAAGGAGATAGTGCCAGGTGGCCCTTAGCATCGTGGGCATGGTGTGGGTGGAGGGAGGAGTTAGGACAGGCAAATGAGGGCCAGTTGTAGGGGCCTTGAATGCCCGGCCAAGGAGCTTGGCCTTTATCCTGTGGGCAGTAGGGAGGCCACAGAAGGGTTTTAAGTGAAGAGGCTGTGCCCAGATTTGAGTGTTGAGAAACCATACTGGCCACAGGGTGGCTAGCAGAGTGGATAGGAGAAGGAGGGGAAGGGGTGCAGGGGAGAGGCAAGGAGGCCAAATTAAAAGTGACTGCAATCATTCAGGTGGTGGTGACCCAGACAGCGGTCTGGGATAAGGGGTGGGGAAGTAGAATCTCAACTGGGCTCGCCAGATAGGCACAGGAGCTGTGCCCTGGCCAGGTGGTCTCCTGGGCCAGGGCACAGCTCCTGTGCAAACTGCCATCCAACTGTCCCTCCACTGTAGAGGACTGCTTCCTTCAAGCCCACAGACAGGACCCTGCTGGCCTCCCAAGGTCAGTATGGTTGGGGCAGCAGCAGTTCAGAGCCCACCCCACCTCAGCGGCAGCCCAAAGGCTGGGAGGAGCCCTGGGGAGGCCTGGCCAAGGCTTGCAAGTGCTAGACTGGAGGGCTGAGACCTTGAACCTGTCCCAGGGAATCCCATTCATAGTCACGCACACAGGCATGCATTACACACCACACACCCTCACACATACAGGCACACCCAATTCACCTGACCCAATAGAAGGCACATGCCACAATCACACACGTGGCACCTGCCTTGCATGCACTTGACATCCCACCAGCTGGATACTCATATCATACTGACCTCCATGTCCCCAAAAATGATCACCACTCACACAAAACCCATTCTTCACTACCCCGGAAACACCCAGACATCACACACTCCATGCAACTCACACCCCATCCAGACCCACACCACCCAAAACAATATACGTTCCTTGTACTCAAACATCAGACACACCATGAAAACACACAAACCAGTACACACCACCCACCCTCCCACATCTAAGCTGGCCTGCCCACCACACACACACAGGCAGGTGCCCCTTACACACCACACACAGGGCTGAGGGAGGTCCCAGCCAACCTCCACTCCCAAACCTGCATATCCATGTCCACGGGGCTGGAGCTGCCTGAATGAGGCACCTTTGTCTGACTCACAAAAAGGCAGTACTGGTTTAGGGTAAACATGGCCTGCAGAGCTGGCTGAAATTTTCAAACCAAACAATGCCTGATAAAGACTTCTGTCTCTGGGGCCAGGCGCGTTGGCTCATGCCTGTAATCCCAGCACTGGGATGCCAAGGTGGGCAGATGACCTGAGGTCAGGAGTTCAAGACCAGCCTGGCCAATATGGTGAAACCCCGTCTCTACTAAAAATACAAAAATTAACTGGGCCTAGTGGTAGGCACCTGTAATCCCAGCTACTCGGGAGGCTGAGGCAGGAGAATCACTTGAACCCAGGAGGCAGAGATTGCAGTGAGCCGAGACTGCGCCTGGGCAACAGTGCGAGACTCCGTCTCAAAAAAAGAGTTATGTCTCTGGGAACAAACTACGTATCCACAGCTATGTAACAGTTACCTCCATCCTTAGTGAATCACAATGTACATCCAATTATAAATGATGGGAAAACTCCGATATCAAAGGCTAAGTTAACATGTATGTGATGCTTGGTGCATGCAATAAATTCCATTTTTTATTATAAGCAGATATACTGGGGTTTTTTTTAACTAACAGAATATCATTTTACCTTCTCCACTAAATAAATGTTGTACAAATATTTAGAGAATATTGACATAAAGTGGCACCAAACTGGCCTGCTTGGGAGGTCCTTCTGTCTCCATCTGGCCCTGCTTAGCTGAGATCCCTCCTATGGCCTTTCCAACATGGTGGGCAGGGAGGGGCGGTGGGCCTGGCACGCTCGGTGGGCCGACGGTGCCTGTTGCTGGCTGCATCGGCCGCAAGGAGGCTCTGGCCAGCAAGACCGGCTGCACACCTAGAGGGAGGCTGACTGGAGGTATTACTCCTAGAGGGGCTGTGGTGGATCTTTCTAAGCCCACACTTGACTCTGTCCACACAGAACTCGCCTGTGTGTGGTCTTTGGGGAGGCTGCACGGGAGCAGCATACTGATCAGGCTGGAAGGAGAGAAAGAAAGAGAAAAAACACCTTCAAACAGCAGAGCTTCATATTCGTCGTTGGCTCTAAAAGACCCAAGAACACAGATGTGCACAGGCCAGCCCTGAGATAGCCACACACCATGACACACAAAAGACACAGAGGCAACGTGTATGCAGAGACAACCTGCAGACAGAGACAGCTCACAGCTGCTGGCGCAGAGCAACACTCGTGTCCCAACACATACACAAAGCACAGAGGCAAAAGCCAGCATGCCAGGCAGACAGAACCAGCCCCAAAAGCCCCTTCACATGCCGGACAGACACACTTGCATGCACGTAGGTACCCAGCACCTGCACACAGGGATGTGCCCCCGCACGCGCAGCGGTGCTGAGACACACTCCCGAGCACACCCCACAGCCACTCTGAATGCCTCATCCTTGGCAGGTGGGAGCAGGTGTCTCCTTGCAGGCGACCCTGCTCCCCACCTTCTCTCAGCCTTGAGGCCAAGGGCCAAGGGCCGTCGGACCCCCTGCTGTGACTATAGTGGGCATGAGATCTAAATGACCCAGACCTACCCCACAGGAGGGAAAAGAAGGTCCTGACATTTGTTGGCTCACTCCTCTCAAACCCCTGCCACTGGGCAATTCAGTGCGTACTGGAATTGCCAAGGGATCGTGCCACTGCATTCCAGCCTGGGTGACAGAGTGAGACCCCGTCTCAATTAAAAAAATAAAAGAAAAAAAAGAAACAAACAAAAGAGAATTGCCAGGGGAGTTTTTTGTTTGTTTGTTTGTTTTTGGGTTTTTTTGTTTTTGAGACAGAGTCTCACTCTTGTTGCCCAGGCTGGAATGCAATGGCGTGATCTCGGCTCACCACAACCTCCACCTCCCGATTTCAAGCGATTCTCCTGCCTCAGCCTCCCAAGTAGCTGGGATTAGAGGCATACGCCACTGCACCCGGCTAATTTTTTGTATTTTTAGTAGAGACAGGGTTTCACCATGTTGGCCAGGCTGGTCTTGAACTCCTGACCTCAGGTAATCCACCCGCCTCGGCCTCCCAAAGTGCTAGGATTACGGGCGTGAGACACCGCACCTGGCCAGGGGAGATTTTTTTTTTTTTTTTTTTTTTTAATGACTGGTGCCTGAGCCCCACCCTCAGACTCTGATTCATGGATCTGGGGAGGGCACCAGGCCTGGGTGGGTTTTTAACACTCCCCAGGCTACTCTAATGTGCTCCCAGGGTTGAAAATTACTTAGGCTTCCCAGGGTCTTGCGGGCATCCCTGGTCTCCGCAGGACTGCCCCAATCAACAAGATCCTGAGGGTGTGAAGGTGCCCCCTCTCTGCCCTTCAGCTCGCCAAGGAAGCCCTTGCCACACTGGGTCCGACCCACCCACCACGAAGACCCTTTTCTAAGTGCTGGTGGCACTTAGAAAAGGCGCCGGGCACGCCCATCTGCGCACTGCGGCTGCCCCCTGCTGGACAGAGCCAGTCAGGCCCAGCTGCTGGCATGACCTGCCTCTCCCACACAGGGCAACCCCAGGCTGAGCTGTTAGGGGAGCCAGAAGCACATGACCCTCAAGAGAAGTCCCCACACCTTCTGCAAGAGTCCACAAACCGTCAGCTCTGCACCCTCCTACAAAACCCCAGCTACCTCTCTGGTCCCAGCTGTCTCAGGCCTAGATGATCACAGGTATTTTCCTTTGTTCATCTACTCAGTGGTAGCCAGCAATGCTGTGCTGGACTGACCAGTCCTGGCAGCTGGGGCTGCAGAGATGAATAAGGAAGGGAACTGACAAGTCCTCCCATGCCCAGCCATCTTCCAACAGCTGCCCAAGCCACCTTCCTCCAGCTGCCTATGTCCTTGCTACTCCACAGCCCTTGGTGCTCCCTCCTGCCCTTAGGATAAAGCCCAGGCTCCTCACAGCCGGGCTCCTGCTGCCCAGAGCACATCTCTTCTTAGTCTCCCGGAAGGCCTTCCACCCTGGGACTGCCTGGCAAACTGTCATTCGCAGTTCTACTTTCTACTTATGCCACCTCCTCCAGGAAGCCTTCTCTGACCTCCTCCCTCCACCAGCCTTCATATCCATTAGCCACTACCTCCTCTTTTCCCCTGAACATTACATACTTGCCTCTTATACTGATTCTCTGTTTATGTGTCTGCCTCCCTCCGCTCTAGACTTGGGGTTCCCGGTGGGGCGGGGGAGGTTCAGGGACCTGGGATCGATAAAGGTCTGTAGAATTAATGAAGCCTTCTCCAACCTGCCCAGTCCATAGAAAGCTCTTCTGTCTCTGGGTGCACCACACCAGTAGGCTGAGTGCCTCCCTCAGAGAAGCAATCCCTAGGGCAAGGAAGAGAAAAAATAACAGCTATGACACTACTAAAGCACATGCTTACTAGGTACCAGATGTGTATTCGATTCCACATGTTTTACATATATCAATTCATTTAACCCTCACAACATTATTATGAGCTAGATGGGAAACCTAAGGTACGGAGAGGTTAGATAACTTGCCCAAGCAAACATACAGCTGTCAGTCTAGAGCTGGGATCCTGCCCAGGAGTTGGCTCCAGAGGCCATACTGTTAACCATGTTAACCACATTTTCCGGTTTTTTGTTTGTTTGTTTGTTTGTTTGTTGTCGTTGTCTTCTTTTTGAGACAAGGTCTCGCTCTGTTGCCCAGGCTGGAGTGCAGTGGCACAGTGGCTCACTGCAGCCTCCACCTCCCAGGCCTCAATAGATCCTCCACCTCAGCTTCCTGAGTAGCTGGGTCTACAGGTGCGTGCCACCACGCCCGGCTAATTTTCTTGTAGAGACGGGGTTTTGCCATGTCGCCCAGGCTGGTCCCACTCCTAGGATCAAATGATCCACCCGATCACCCGCCGTGGCCTCTCAAAGTGCTGGAATTACAGATGTGAGCCACTGCCTGTGGCCCACACTTCCCTCTCAAGGGAAGAGAATGTTGGTGGAGAACCCATGTCCATTGCGGCCCTGAGCTGCCTCCCAGGCACCTCCTACGGGAGACAGGAAAGGTCTTCGCAGGAGAGGCCAGACCCAGATTCCCTAGCCATCCGCTCTAGGGCTGTGGCTTCTTTCACTTCCTTCTTAATTTTTCCAACAAGAACAGATGCCACTGCAGCTGACAACTGCCTGTGTGAATGGAAAGGCGGATCCAGCCCCTCATTTGTCTGGTGAGAAAATGAAATTGGACAAGGAGGCAGCTGAGCTTCGGGAGACCTGGAGGATCCAGGGGTGGTGGCAGGCATAGGAGGGCACCCAACAGGCAGGGAATGCAATACAGGGACAGGATGGTAGGTCTGAAATGCCCCAAGACCCTCTGCACAAGCCCCTGCCTCTAACACTTTTTTTTTTTTTAAGATGGAGTCTTACTCTGTTGCCCAGTCTAGAGTGCAATGGCACAATCTCAGCTCACTGCAACCTCCCCCTCCTGGGTTCAAGCGATTCTCCTGCCTCAGCCTCCTGAGTAGCTGGGACTACAGATGCACGCCACCACACCCGGCTAATTTCTGTATATTTCGTAGAGATGGGGTTTCACCATGTTGGTCAGGCTGGTCTCCAACTCCCAACCTCAAGTGATCTGCCCGCCTTGGCCTCCCAAAGTTCTGGGATTACATGTGTGAGCCACCACATCCCGCCCTCCAATACTTTCTTCCTTTGTCTCTCCCTCTCTTCTTCCCTTCCTTATGTCCTTCCTTTCTTCCTTCCAGACGTGGTGAGCAACTACCAGATACTCCCCCGTGCTGGCTCCTGGGAACACAAGGGAGAAGGAGTCACTAGCATCGTACTCAAGGAGCTCCCAGTCTGGAGAAACAGACAGGGCCAGACCATCAGTGAGTGCTATGATGGAGCAGATTCTGAGGTCCATCTGTCTGGGCTCCTATCAGCTTCCGCCACTTCCAAGCTGTGTGAATTGCACAAAGTATTTAAGTTCTGCATCTGTAAAATGGGATACTCAAGACACCTGCTTCACTGAGTGTTAGAAGGATTAATGGAGTTAACACATGTAACATGCTTCGGAATCGTGCCTGGCACACAGCAAGCTCCTTCTACCACATCTCCCAGGAATGTAGCCCCTCACCAAATCCCAGGATCCTCCTTGCTGCTGTTCCTTTTACTCCTCTGTTGTTCCTCACACCCCCTCACAATCTAGAAGTAGCCCCTGAGGTCTAATCACTATCCCTCCGGTTGCAAGGCACTTATCATCCACAGCAGATATTTACATGCACCACCCATAATAGGCATCACACTGAGCTCACCAGGGGAGCTGTCTAAGCATACCAGGGGAGGGCCCCTGGTGACTCCGAGACCCTGGTCTTGGGAGAGGATAAGAGTTTGGCCTGGGGTAGAACAGCTCCCTGCCCCAAACCAGGTGTGTCTGCCTCACCAGTCACTCAGGCCTGGGGTGGTAAGTGGCAGCCCTAACTGCAGAAAGCTGCCCCACCACTGGCTTCTCAGCCAGACAATTCTTATTGATAGCTGGCCTCAGGCTCTCTAGCTGTAGTGCCAAGGGTCACATTCTGACAGAGCAGAGGGAATGCTGGGGTGACCTGCAGAGGATGTTCTCCCTGACTCGGCCCCAGCCATGCAGCCCACGGTCCCAGGGAGCAAAGTTACAAGGTCAAGGAGTTGGGGCACACCTCTGGCCTTAGCAAACCCCTCAAAGATGAACTCACAGTTGTGGATCTGGTGTGTCAAGCCTGACTTTGTACATGTCTTTGGGGTGAGGATAGGTGTGTGTTTGTCTCTGTGCTTTGTGTAATGGTAGCTCCCATGTCTGTGTCTACTTGTGTCTCTGCAGCAGCATGTCTACGTATCCCTGGGACACTATCCTTGGCTGATCACCTTGTTATCATTGTCAACATCATCCACAGAGCACCCACTTTGTGCTTCGCCTACATGTTTTCATTCACTCCTCATAAAAAAACTTCCTGACTCCAACCCTTCCCCAAACCCTAGGCAAATAGAGTCTCAGAAGCTAGCATGTCAAGCCCAAATCCCATGGTGGGGTCTTTGAGGCCCCTCACAATCTAGCCTAAAGCCATTTCTCATGCTGTAACTCCCATTCTCCTCTCTCCTGTACCCTCCTTCCAGTCCTTTGCCTATGCTGTTCCCTCCACCCGAATCCCTACCCTTCACATCCAGGAAACCACTATTCACTTTGCACAACCTTGCTCCCTCTGGGAAGTCTCCCCTGATGGCCCTGCCACCTCCTCCAGGAAGCCTTCCCTGACTTACCAAGGTTGACACCATCAGCCTGGGCTCTGTGCCTCTGATGCCACCCTGGATGGTCCTTACTTCTTCCATACCAGCTCCTTGAGGACAAGGCAGAGTCCGATTCCCCCAAAGAATCTCCACCCTGGCACACAGTAGGTATTCAGGAAGTGGCTCAGTGTGTGCTTCTTGGTTGTTGATGGGTAAAGGGAAGCAAGAGGGTAGCCCAACGTCCATCCATTCCCTGCATCTGCCCCCAGTTGCGCCCAAGGGAGCACCTCTGCTGTCTCTCCTGGCTCATCTGGAAGGGCACAGGCACTTGGTCTGTCACAGGCTCCTCAGACCTAGAGGAGCTCTGCAGGAGGCTGCCCAGGGGAGAACAGACTTCTGCTTGAGACTGATTCTCCCCCTCTCCCCAGAACAGCTACTCTCCCCAGACCTGAGGTCAGTCCCTGGATCCCTACAGCCGCCCACTGCCACCACCATCAAAGAGGCCTCCCTCTGAAGGGGCGGGGTGGAGGAGGCATGGCAGAGGGAGAAGGAGGGAAGCAAGGTGGGGAGATAAAAGGCTGAAAGGAGAGGGATAGGAGGGAAAGGGGGAGAGGAGAAAGGAGGACTGAGCATTTGCTTCTGTGTCTTTGCAGGCTGTTACTTCCCCCTAGTTAACAATTGCAGTCCAAGCACAGCCCCCAGCCCCTCCTAATTACCATGATTAGCACTAAGCGAGCTGCTGCATTTTATGACTCTCCAAACCAAAAAAATAATTAAAGCAATTACTGTCATTAACACTCTGCCCTCTTCACCACCTTCTCTGAGAGTGAGCAATGAACAGGCCCCAGGGAGTCATGACTGAACCCCTAGCGCCTCCCTCCTCCCCTTCCATCCCCCACCACCACCACCTGCCACCTCCAGGACCACAAGCCTGGACAGCTCGAGCCACCAGCAAGGCTGAGAGGCAGCAGGAAGGGCCTCAGTAGGCCCCAGGCAGACCCCCCACATGCCTGGAAAAGCTAGAGCCAGGCCCTGGGAAACTGCACAGAGAGGCTGAGGCAGGAACTCCCCCCAAAACCACCCAGATCGAAGCTTTCTTTCCCAGATACTTCCTCCTTCCCATTCCCCACCCCAGGCAGGAGTCCACCAGGCCCAGACACCCCTGAGAGTTGGCCTTGTCCCTCTGCAACTCCTCAATGCCAGGGCCCCCAACCCCACAGGCAGGTCTCCCTCAAGCCCTAATCTCTCTGACTCCCAAGTCTCCCATCACAGCCCAGCCCAATGCTCTGCCACCCCACAACTGACTGGTCAGATCACCTAACACCTCAGAGCCTCAGTTTCCTTATCTGTAAAATGGGCTCTATTGAGTTAGCTCCAACTACTATAACTAATACCACAGACTGGGGGGTTTAAACAACAGATATTTATTGCTCACAGTTCTGGAGGCTGGGAAGTCTAAGAGCAAAGTGCCAGCAGATTCAGTCCCTGGGGAGGGCTCTCTTCCTTACTTGCAGACAGCTGCCTTCTCGCTGTGTCCTCATATGGTGGGGGATGGGAGTCTCCAGGGTGTTTATTCTTATAAGGACACTAATCCCATCACGAGGGACCCCCTCCTGAGCTCATCTAAACCTAATTATACCCCAAAGGCCCCATCTCCAAATACACTGGGGATTAGAGCCTCAACTTAGGAATTTAGGGAGGTCACAATTCAGTCCATAGCATGGGCTTTGAAATGTCTGTGGAACAACCACTTCTTCACAAGTCTCTTTGAAGATTAAATGAGGTCATCAACACAAGGCACCTAAAACAATGCCTGGCACATAGTAGGTCCTCAGTAACAGTGGTTCTCTTCCAAGCTTCCCCTCAAGCAGATGACGGCTGGGGTAGAGGTAGAAGATTTGCTGAGGAGGCTGGGTAGGGGCCAGGCTCTGTGCTGTAATGATCCACCAGCCACTGGAACCACAGTACCTGTGACCCAGGATTACTGTGGCAGCCTTCTAACTGGTCTCCCCGTTTCTGTCCCTGCCTCTCCAACCCCTCTTCAATTTATTCTCAACACACAGACCAATGTGAATCCTTTAAAACATAAGTCAGGCCGGGTGCAGTGGCTCATGCCTGTAATTCCAACACCTTGGGAGGCCAAGGCGGGTGGATCACCTGAGGTCAGGAATTCAAGACCAGCCTGGCCAAGATGGTGAAACCCAGTCTCTATTAAAAATACAAAATTAGCCAGGCGTGGTGGTGCGTGCCTGTAGTCCCAGCTACTCAGGAGGCTGAGGCAGGATAATTGCTTGAACCCAGGAGGCGGAGGTTGCAGTGAGCCGAGATTGTGCCACTGCACTCCAGCCTGGGTGACAGAGCGAGACTCTGTCTCAAAAAATAAATAAATAAATAAAAATAAAACAAAAGTCAGATCATGTCATTTCTATGCTCAAAATCCTACCATGGTTTCCCATCTCACTTGGAGTTAAACCTAAGTTCTTAAAATGGCCTCCAAGGTCATGTTCTTCTCCCACTACCCATCCCCCTCACTCACTCTGACCTCAGACATAACTGATGTACTCTCACCAATCTGGAACCCTTCCTCCCAATACAATTCACCTCCTTCAAGACTATCGAATGTCTTCCCAATGATGCAACTCTGACCCAATACCCCGTCACACGCTCCCAATCCCCCTCACCCTGTTTTACTGTTTCCTCCTGTGCTTAACCTTTTAACATGCATTGTAGGCTGGATGCAGTGGCTTATGCCTGTAATCCCAGAACTTTGGGAGGCCAAAGCAGGAGGATCACTTGAGCCTGGGAGTTTGAGACCAGCTTGAGAACACTGCAACATAACCCCATCTCCATCAAAAATAAAAAAAATCAAAAAATTAGCTGGGTGTGGTGGTGCACAACTGTAGTCTCAGGTATTCAGGAGGCTGAGGTGGGAGGATCACTTGAGCCCAGGAGTTCAAGGCTGCTGCAGCCCAGGCAACAGAGCGAGACTCTGTCTAAATAAATAAATAAAATAATATTGAAACGATCGATTTTGTTTTGTATATTTTAACACAATTTTAAATTTTTAATTTTAAAAAAAAGCACTAGTCTGGGCAACATAGTGAAACCCCATCTCTAATAAAAATAGAAAAATGTGTGGTGGTGCCTTCCTATAGTCCCATCTACTGAGGGGGCTGAGGTGGGAGGATCACCTGCGCCCAGGAGATCGAGGCTGCAGTGAGCCGTGATCATGCCTCTGCACTCCAGCCTGGGTGACAGGGTGAGACCCTGTCTCAAAAAGTAAATAGATAAATAAATAAATACAAATAAAAGTTTTAAAAGAAAAAAAAACCCTCCAGAAAACGAAAAGCTTGATGCGACTCTGAAGTCTAAGGAGAGGTGCTTCGAAGCCCGGCATAGCGGTGGGTACAGGCCATCTCCTCACCCCCACAAGTTGTCCCCAGGCCACGGGTACCACGTGACGCTGCTTCTCTGTGCCCCACCTCACCATGTTGGGATCCAAGTGTGGCTCATATTTCTTCTCAGAGTCCATTTAAAATGACTTTGAACCCCCAAAACCCAAACCAAACATGGTCTATTTCTCCATGAGATTCTAAAACTGGCAAAAATGTGGTTTAATTCCTCTCCACGCCCCAAGCATTGGCCAACAAGCCTGTCTAGAGTAACGAGAATGTTCGACATTCTATTTGACTAGTCTATTTGACTATTGCTTAGGGCCCAGGCTCTGTAAAATTAGATGTTTACTTGTAGAAAACTGGTAAGGGGCAAGTGATTTCCATCCACTAGAGAAAATAATCCCAAAAGGTTATGGTTTTAATGTCCTATAGGCTATCAACCAATTTCATATCTAATTTAGTATCTTATTCCATCATCATTTTTCATGCGAGTTTCTCATATTCTTCTTTGAACCACCTTGTTTAAAGATTCTCTCATTGAGCTAAATAATATTTTGATGGTGCTCACTGTGTATTGCATGAGAATTATGGTTTTAATATTTTGAGAATTATACTTTGGCATCTGGGGGATCCAGACAGGTGCTTGTATGTTCCACACACAGTCCTGGGGCCACTTCTCAACTCACTGTCTCACCGCTCCTTCTCCTGCCGGCTTCTCTTGCATCCCCTCCGCTCTCCCTCTCTCTGTCTCTCTCTCTCTCTCTCCCTCCACTCTCCCTCTCTCTGTCTCTCTCTCTCCCTCCACTCTCTCTCTCTCTGTCTCTCTCTCTCCCTCCACTCTCCGTCTCTCTCTCTCCCTCCACTCTCCCTCTCTCTGTCTCTCTCTCTCCCTCCACTCTCCCTCTCTCTCTCTCTCTCCCTCCACTCTCCCTCTCTCTGTCTCTGTGTGTGTGTGTCTCTCCCTGTCTGTCAGTCTTTCTCTCTCTCCCTATCTCTCTCTCTTTCTCTGTGTCTGTCTCTGTCTGTCTCTCTCTGTCTCTCCCTCTCTCTGTGTTTCTATTTCTGTCTGTCTCTTTCTCTGTCTCTCTCTGTCTCTCTCTCTCTTTCTCCGTGTCTGTCTGTCTCTCTGTGTTTGTCGGTGTCTCTGTCTCTGTGTCTCTCTGTGTCTGTCTCTGTCTTTTTCTGTCTCTCTCTGTCTCTGTGTGTGTCTGTCTGTCTCTGTGTGTGTGTGTGTGTCTGTCTGTCTCTCTGTCTCTCTGTGTGTGTGTCTCTCTCTGCCTGTCTCTTTCTGTCTGCCTCTTTTTCTCTCTCTGTCTCTTTCTCTGTCTCTGTGTGTGTATGTATGTCTGTCTCTGTTTCTGTGTGTCTGTCTGTCTGTCTGTCTGTCTCTCTCTCTGTCTCCCTGCTCCCCCACCCCCACCACTGTCTTTCCTCCTTCTGTCTTCATTTGCTGCAGTCAGGGTTCCTACACGGCTACACTGACAGCTACACAGTGTTCCCTTGGGACCCTGGACTGTACACCCATTCTCAGGGTCCCTATTGTATGGGAGAGCACAGCCACCAATGAAAGCTTCCTCAGGCCTCCCCACACCTGAAAATCCCTGTTCTTCTCTGCTCCCACCCAGGCCATAAAACCAGGTCACATCCATAGCAAACTCTGCTTGAAACGCAGTCATTATGAAACAGAATATTTAACATCTCAGTTTGCATTCCACCACTTACAGTTCTTCCAGGGCTCTTCCCAGACAAGCAGGTGGTGTTTGCCTTATTCCTATAAAGGACCTGTCCCAGTGATTTTATTAAAATGAGAGGAGAAGAGGTTGGGTACCGTGGCTCATGCCTGTAATTTCAGCACCTTGGGAGGCCAAGGTGGGAAGATCCCATGAGACCAGGAGTTTGAGATCAGCCTGGGCAATATGGTGAGACCACCATCTCTACAAAACTAAATAAATAAATTAGTCAGGTGTAGTGGGTCATGCCTGTAGTCCCAGCTAGTTGGGAGGGCAAGGTGGAAGGATCATTTGAACCCAGAAGCTTGAGGCTGCAGAGAGCTATGATCTCACCACTGCATTCCATGCTGGGTGACAGAGCAAGGCTGTCTCAAAACAAAAACAAAAACAGAAAACTTAAAAATGAAATAAAATAAGGGGTGTGCTTCAAGTTCACATGTGTCTACACCCCTAAAATTAACATGATTTCTAGAAAACAACTATCCCCAACTGAGCTTCATTAGGTCGGAAAAAAAAAAAAGACCCTCTTATTCAGATAACCTGCTACAATATTTTAAAACTGATTATTGCCATTATAGAAAAAAGCTGGCTGGGGCACAGTGGCTCACGCCTGTAATCCCAGCGCTTTGGGAGGCCAAGACGGGTGGATCATGAGGTCAGGAGATCGAGACCAGCCTGACCAGCATGGTGAAACCCCATCTCTACTAAAAATACAAAAATTAGCCAGGCATGGTGGTGCGCACCTGTAATCCCAGCTACTCAGGAGGCTGAGGCAGGAGAATCGCTTGAACCCAGGAGGCAGAGGTTGCAGTGAGCCGAGATCGTGCCATTGCAAAAAAAAAAGAAGAAGAAGAAAGCTTTAAATTTTTATTATTTTGTATCTGACATCTTACTAAACTTTTTTTTTTAAGAGACAGGGTCTCTTCCTGCAGTGTAAAAAAAAAATTAATTAAAAAAAAAATAGAGACAGTCTTGCTCTGTGACCCAGGCTGGTCTCCAACTCCTGGCCTCAAGTGATCCTCCCACCTCAACCTCCTGAATAATATGCACCACCATGCCCAGCTAACTTCTTTTCATTTTTATAGAGATGGGGTCTCACCGTGTTGCCCAGGCTGGCCTCTAACTCCTGGCCTCAAATGATCCTCTCACCTGGGCCTCCCAAAGTGCTGGGATTACAGGCATGAGCCACCAGGCCTGGCCTAAACTTTTCATTTGCTATAATTAATTGTTTTTAGTTACTTTCATTGAGTTTTCTAGTTATAAAATTGTGTCTCTGGCACATGATGACAGTTTTCCCATAAATTTTGAAATTGTGTTTTTTGTCTTATCACATCAGCTGTGATGTGTGTTCTTTGCTGTGATTAAATGTGTTAAGCTTTTGAGCGGCTATAGGGGAAGAAGATGTATTGGCAAGGAAAGAGGCTAGTGACTAAGTAGCTAAAAAAAAAAAAAAAACTATGGTAGTAGTTTGAGTGTGGATTGATGGGACAAGGCCTGGCCCAGGATCATGGCTGCAAAGGAAGAACTACAGAGAAGAGAAATTCTAGATGATGAATCAGCAATGAGGGCAGGAAATTGAACACAACTCCAGGTTGGCACATCTGAAACCCAGTGGTCTACCTGAGCAACCAGGAATAGTAGGCATCCTGGTGGGCTCCCAGCACCCATTTCACCTGCCTCTGGTACCACAGTGATTCTTTCAGTGATGGGCACTTTATGCAGAACTAAGGCCTGGCATTCCCCCCGCTCCTGACCCAAGTTAGACCCATCAGAAGTGCAGCTCAGGAATTGTGCTGAATTTTTGGCCAAGGAGAAGCCTCTCTCTCTCTCCCAGGATTTAGAGGGAAAAGCCTAGGAGAAGCAAGCCTGAGCCTGAGTAACAAACTCTGGATCAAATCCCCTTTGAAGTTCGTCTTACCTATTGATATGGTTTGGCCGTGTCCCCACCCAAAACTTTTTTTTTTTTTTTTTTTTTTTGAGACAGAGTTTCCCTCTTATTGTCCAGGCTGGAGTGCAATGGCATAATCTCAGCTCACTACAACCTCTGCCTCCCTGGTTCAGGTGATTCTCCTGCCTCAGCCCCCCAAGTAGCTGGGATTACAGGCATACGCCACCACACCTGGCTAATTTTTGTATTTTTAATAGAGGTGGCATTTCACCATGGTGGCCAGGCTGGTCTTGAACTCCTGACCTCAAGTGATCCACCCACCTCAGCCTCCCAAAGTGCTGGGATTACAGGCGTGAGCTACCACGCCCGGCTCTTCTTTTTTTTTTTTTTTTTTGAGACAGAGTGTCACTCTGTCACCCAGGCTGGAGTGCAAAGGCATGATCTCAGCTCACTGCAACCTCTGCCTCCCAGGTTCACACAATTATCCCGCCTCAGCCTCCCGAGTAGCTGGGACTACAGGCATGTGCCACCACACCTGGCTAATTTTTTTGTATTTTTAGTAGAGACGGGGTTTCACTATGTTGGCCAGGCTGGTCTCGAATTCCTGACCTCGTAATTCACCCGCCTCAGCCTCCCAAAGTGCTGGGATTACAGGCGTGAGCCACCGCGCCCCGCCTCCAAAATTCGTTTCTAATTGTAATCCCTGTGTGTCAATTACGAACTGGTGGGAGGTGATTGGATTACAGGGGTGGTTTCCCCCATGCTGTTCTCATGATAGTGAGGGAGTTCTCACCAGATCTGATGGTTTAAAAGTGGCAGTTTCCCCTGCTCATTCTCTCTCTCACTCTGTCTCCCACTCTCCCACTCTCCCAGTCTCCCCATCTCTCTCCCTCTCTCCCCCTTGATCCCTCCCACTCTCTCTCCCTCTGCCTCTCCTTCTCTTTACCTCCCTGTCTCTCTCCCTCTCTCTCTCCCTCCCCTCTTCCCTCTCTCCTCTCTCTCTCTCCTTCCCCCTCCTGCCATCTTGTGAAAAGGGTACTTGCTTCTCCTTCACCTTCCGCCATGATTGTAAGTCTCCTGAGGCCTCCCCAGCCATGCAGAACTGTAAGTCAATTAAACCTCTTTTGTTTATAAATTACCCAGTCTCAGGTAGTATCTTTACAGCAGTGTGAAAAAAGACTAATACACCCCCAGACTTCCAAATCACACGGACCACACATTCCTTTTACTGGTTAATCCAAGTTGCAGTGGATCTCCTGTTCCTTTCCCTGTAAGGAGTCCCAACTGATACACTGGGATTGGCAATATTTTTAACAGATACTATAATTCTCTTACAATGTATTCATCTGAAAAGAGGTGTGAAGGAGAAAAGTAATTAGAATTCTCAGTTTATAAACATTTCCTAAAATGTGAATTCAAGAGAAAAATTAGCAGATATTTTAATTGTCTGTTCTATCTCCACATTCTCACACTTAATCTACCTACTCTCTAAATGTATTAATTAACATTTTCATAAACACTCTTCCAGCTTACAACGCAACTTCACACATCTCGACTCACTTGGTTCCCATAACAAACAGGAGAGATGGGCGGTAACAGTGAGCCCTCATTTTGTGCAGTATGCTAGTTTGTAAGACCCTTTCTCTTACGTGATTTCATGTGATACTCGAATGTCAAGCTCTTGCAAGTTCTGGACTCCAGAAAAACTGATGTAGTTGTTCTCTTGGCCCACAGAGAACTGTTTTGAATTTCTGTGTCTTCACTGGTATCACTCGGTCAATACTGTTCTTCCTGACCTTGTTCACCAGGTGAATTCCCTATTCGTACTTAAAAGCCCATTTCAGACAGGGCACAACTGTGTCTCTTTCCCCAGGGAGGTGTGGGCAGGCAGTGAGGTCTTCAAGAAGTGTTTTGCCTTTGCCAGATGTCAAGGTCAGCCAGCCAGCTGTACAGATAAATGGTCGGGGGGGAAGGGGGGCTTTGGCCAACTTTTTGTGGTCTGGAATAAACAAAATCCATCATCAAACGAAAAACACCAGCTACTCCACCAGCCCCCTGGCCACAAGAACCTACTTCAAGCTTAGCCAGATTCACTCTTTGTTGTATGAAGGGAGAAGGGTCAGTGCCAGCCTTGGCCTTCGGCCATCCATATTAGTTTTGTGCTACTGGCCCTTGGGCCAACCCAGACAGTCTGTAGGCCTTCAAACAGGCCTCAAAGAGAGGAACTCAGACAGGTTCTCAGATTGCTCTCAGAGAGACCATCACCTGGGTTGTCTGACACACCTTGGATGGACTTTGACAGGAATGGATCGGCACAGACCTGAATTAGGAAGCCCTTCTTCCTCTGACCATAGATGTTCCCTCAAAGACACCCTCCTGAGTGACACACACCCCGAGGGAGTCGAAGCAGAGCAGGAGTTCCATTAGTACTGGCACCCACTGGCCATGCCCCTGCTGGAGGTCAGCCCGGGGCCCACAGTCTGCACGACTCTGGGAGTGTATTTTCAGGTCTGAAGGCCTGACTGGGGAGGACTAAGGATGCTGGCGGTGGCCATGGCAACCAGCTCAATCTCCTGACATTGGGCAGGTGATGCCCTTGGCCTCCTCCATCTTTTTGCCACTCTGGGGGTTCCTGTAACCAGAGTGGTCCTTCCCATAGAATGAAAGGTCAGAGGACAGAAAGGGTGGGGAGAACGCTGCCCCACTGGGGGACAGAAAGGGCCAGTGTGGGAAGGAAAGAGATGGAGGGAACAAAAGAGGTGGCCTGAGCCCTTTGCCCCGAAGCTGGGAGGCCTGTATTCCTGGGAGGCTCCTGGGGCTGGCGGGAGTCCTAGGGGGCTGTGGCACCATATCCCTCCCTATATTTATGGGATCTAGTTGTCACTGCCAGTCTGAAATCTCCTTCCTATATCCTTAGCACAGTTGGGTCTATATTGGGGGGCTGCTGATGTTGCCACAACTGAACCCCTCCACTTTCCCAACCTGCTCCTCCTCCAGGCTCTCCAGCTCAGAGAAAGGCCCCACCATCATCCCTGCCTTCCCTCCCCACCCCCAGCAGCCACAGTTCACCTTAACCAACCAGCCTGAAGTACTCAGCTCAGCCTGCAGGGATGCCAGCACACCTGGCGGGACTCTCCTTTCCCTCCCACCAGCCTCCAGAGTCAGTGTCCCTGAAGCCACCTGGAATCACATCACCTTGCTCTGAGCCTGCAGCAAGTCCCCATTGCCCTGAGATGAAGTCAAAGCAACCTGCCACTCTTCACAAGCCAGCCCCGACTGGTCTCTCCAGACTCATCTTCTTACCCCTACTTCCTTCCAGGCCAGATTCAGCCACCTCAATTTCTCAGCTCCCTCCCCACCCCGCCCTTGCCCGGACTGCCTCTTCTCCAGCCCTGTTCACTCTGCCCTTGCCAGTTCCACAGAGCCATTCTCTCCCTGCAGCGCCACCCAGGCATGCCCCTGCTCCTCAGATCTCCTGTGGTATCTTCACCATTTCTACCCCAAACACACCCTATGCCGGGTGACACCCACCCTGAGGGAGTCACAGCAGAGCAGGATTTCCATTAGTATTGTTTGCCGGAATGAAGTCATTCATCCAGGTATCCAGCATCTATGCAGCACTTGCCACACTCCTGGTGCGGTCTGGGCCCTGGGGCATAGCCATGATGAAGATGAGGCCCTCGTGAGTAGGACTCAGATTGCGTCAGAGGATAACTATCCGAATGAATGCTGGCCCTGGCAGAGGCCTTAGCTACTTCCTAATGCTTCTCCAGACAACAGTGTCCAGGACCCCAGGGCTCCAAGGCAGCCTCCCCCGCCCCTCCACATTCTCAGCCCCCACTATCGCCTGCCATCTGAATGTGCAAGGTAGATGTGCACACCAACCCCTGGGCATGGGTCCTGGGGGTAGAGCTGGGTGGGGAGCTGAGGCTGGCATCCCTGTATGTGCTAGTGCCCGACCTGGGTGCACACAGCTGCCAGGGAGTGGGGGGAGCCTCCACAACTGCCTCACCCGCGCACCTCCCCAGCCTCTGCTGGAACTGCTCCTGGCTCCTGGCGCACCGCGCTCCTGTTGTTTAGTTTTTCTGAACACCGAGTCTCAACCCCATGTTAATTGGTTTTACTCCACTCTTTTGTGCCACCCATTAAATGAGGAAATGCCACCCATAAAATTTTAATTTTAAAAGCCAACTTGTTTGTTTTATATTGAAATTCCCCGGGCAGCTCCAGCAGAGGGAAACAGACACATTTTCGTTTCATTAAAGCAACTTGAATGAAGATGAAAAAGAAGCTGAAAAATTAGATTTAAAAACAGAGAGTGAGAAGCATTTAAAGAAAATGAATGAAAGTGAGCTGCCACAGAAGGCGGTGGGGACCACAGCTCCATCTCTGCCTTCCCAGAGCCTCCTGCAGGGAGACAGTGGAGCAGAAGTGGGAAGCTGGGAGTGGAAGGGGACACTCTGGGTGCCCCCAGAAGGCTGGACCATGCACTCTCCTCTCACTAAAGCTGGCCCCCTGGATATCCTAGAGGAAGGAGGGTAGAGCATCCTGGACCCTGGGACCAGAAGCATCCTTCCTCCCTGGGGACAAACTGCATGGCGATGAGGCTTGCTGGCTTGGAAGCTGAGCCGTCTGGATGGTCCTGGCTCTGCCACTTACCAGCTCTGTCAAGGTGGGCAAGTGGCCTGTTTTGCTCTTCGTAGTGATGATCTGTAAAACAACCCAGCTTATAGGGTTGGTATGAAGATTAAATAGAATAGTACCTTGAAAACACTTTAAATAGAGCCCGGTATGCAGTAGGTCCATAACAAATGTTAACTTTGACTAATGACATCCGGCTGCCTCCCTTCCATTGCATACTCCTTACACATTGCCCCTGCTGAGTGCACCTCCCTCCTTCCCTTGCCCACACATCCCCCTCCCCCATACCCGCCACCCACTTCCTTTTTTTAGGAGGCAGGGTTTAGCTCTGTCACCCAGGCCGGAGTGCAGTGGCACAATCAAAGCTGACTGCAACCTCGACCTCCTGGCCTCAAGGGATTCTCCCACCTCAGCACCCCTCCCCAAGTAGCTGGGATCACAGGCATATGCCACCATGCCCAGCTAGTTTTTTTTGTTTTTTTGTAGAGACAAGGTCTCGTTATGTTGCCCAGGCTGGTCTAGAACTCCCAGGCTCAAGCAATCCTCCCACCTCAGCCTCCCAAAGTGCTGGGATTACAGGTGTGAGCCACCTCTCCGGCCTTTTTGGGTTTTTGTTTTGTTTTGTGTTTTGTTTGGTTTTGACGGAGTCTCCCTCTATCACTCAGGCTGGAGTGTCATGGCTCACTACAGCCTCAAACTCCTGGGCTCAAGCAATTCTCCCACTTCAGCCTCCTGAGTAGCTGAGACTATAGGCACGTGCCAACACGCCCAGGTAATTTTTAAATATTTTTGTGGAGACAGGTTCTTTCTCTGTCGCCTAGGCTGGAGTGCAGTGGCACGATTCCGGCTCACTTCAACCTCTGCCTCCCAGACTCAGGTGATCCTCCCACCTTAGCCTCCAAAGTAGTAGCTGGGACCACAGGCTCGCGCCACCACGCCTGGCTAATTTTTAAAATTTTTTTTAGTAGAGAAAGGATTTCACCTTGTTGCCCAAGCTGCAAAGTTCCTTTTAATGATGTCCCTGAGCTGAAGACAGCTACAAGAGACTGCGGACGGTCTGATGAAAGGCTTGGGAAGCCTCATTCCTTCGCAATTCAATTCTTGTGGGCCAAACCAATTAAAATGTTCGTATAATCCTTCCAAGGAAAGCCAGCCTCCCTGGGTTCAAATCCCAGCTCTACCACTCACCACCTGTGTGTTCTTGGGCCAGTTTCTTCTGGGCCTCAGTGTCTCTATCAATAAAATGAGACTCACAGCTGTCATGAAGGTCACAAAAAACAAGCTCTGTGGAGTGCTGGGCAGGTAACCGGCCAGTGAGTGGCGGCTTTTACTTTCAGCATCAGTTGGAGACACAGCAGCAGGAGAGGGTGTGGGGGTCTGAAGCTGCGGAGGGGGAGGGCAGGGCAGGGGTTCCATCACAGAATGACCTCGTGGGGGTTCTCAGCTATTGCCCTAGGGTAACTTTTTTTTTTTTTTTTTTTGAGATGGAATCTCGCTCTGTTGCCCAGGCTGGAGTGCAGTGGCACGATCTTGGCTCACCACAACCTCTGCCTCCCGGATTCAAGCGATTCTCCTGCCTCAGCCTCCTGAGTAGCTGGGACTACAGGTGCACACCACGATGCCAGCTTTTTTTCTTGTCACCCAGGCTGGAGTGCAGTGGCACCATCTTGGCTCACTGCAACCTCTGCCTCCTGGGTTTAAGCGATTCTCCTGCCTCAGCCTCCCGAGTAGCTGGGATTACAGGCACCCGCCACCACATCAGGCTAATTTTTTGGTAGAGATGGGGTTTCATCATGTTGGCCAGGCTGGTCTCAAACTCCTGACCTCAGGTGATCCACCCGCCTCGGCCTCCCAAAGTGCAGGGATTACAGGCGTGAGCCACCAGCCTAATTTTTGTATTTTTAGTAGAGATGGGGTTTCACTATGTTGGCCAGGCTGGTCTCGAACTGCTGACCTCTGGATCCACCTGCCTCAGCCTCCCAAAGTGCTGGGATTACAGGCGTGAGCCTCCGCGCCCGGCCGCCCTAGGGTAACTTTTAATGACACTCCCTTTCATTCCCAAACGTATCCTAATCTGGATGACTAATTATATGGTCATCCTACTCCAAATCCCCCACGCCCAAGATGGGGCCTGGGAGCTGGCCCATGGTGTTGGGAAAGGGTTCTACTCCTGACCTGTTTTCCTTTCCAGACCCTTGGGATTGCCTAAGCCCTGGGTCCCAGCCCCAGCCCTAGCCCACTCTCAGGCCAAGGAAACTCATTCCCTCAATTAGCATTATAAAGCGGCAGGGAGGGGAAAGGCCTCGAAGGCGGGTGCCCGGAAGGTGCTGGGAATGGGAGTCTGTTGGGATTCCGGGCCTTACCTCTGATCCTGACGGCAATTCCTCATATCCTTAACTTCCTCTTTCCTGCAGGGAAATTATTAACAGTACTATCTCTGATTTGCAAAGATCAAATCACACAAGGACTGGCGGTGAAAGTGTTGTGTGGTCCGATGAGTGGCATTAGGAGGGCAGTGACTTCTGCTTCGGCCACCAAGGCAGAATTCCCAGATCCTGTTTCTCCGGTGATTGTGGGGGAGACAGAGATGGAGCATAAAGGGTCACAAAGGGTCCACAGATGGCTGGGGGTGAGGTGTCTACCCAGTGCCTCGGCCTATAGAAGTCTTCTCACTCACAGCCCCTAGCCCACTTCCACCAGGCCCGGAAGGACACCTCCAATGCCTGTCCAGGGCCCCCTGGCCCTGCTCAGAGATGCCTCCTCCAGGCAGAGGCAGCTGCTACCCTCAAGCTCCAGGTGACTGCTGCCAGGCTCAGAAGCTACTCAGGGTAGGTGGTGAGCCCGCTGCCTCCAGGGCTGCTTCTCAGAAAAGCTCAGAGAAGACATCTTAGCGGCTAAGTGGCACTCATTTTATTTGAGGCAGAATTCTTGTCCGGTGGTCCCCAAACTGCACACCTAGGAACCCCAAGAGCTTAATGACAGATGAGAGTTCTGAGGGAGTGGGACCAAGTGGGCAGGACTCCAGGGGCATTGAAGGGCTTCCTCCTCTCCTCTCCCCTCCCCTCCCCTCATCTCTCCCCTCCCCTCCCCTCTCCTCTTCCCTCCCCTGTCCTCTCTCTCCCCTCTCCCTCTCCTCTCTGCTGTCTGTCCTTTCCCATTCTCTTCTCTTTCTCCCTCTCTTTCACTCTTTCTTCAACCAGAGCAGCTCCATTTAGTATTCTGTCCAAAATTTTTCTCGCACAAAAATGTCCACAGTTAAAATAATTTTTCAAAAACAGAGTTCTGTTCCTCCTCTCTCCTTTCCTTCCTCAACAATTCAGTCCTAAAACTATTATGTGCAGCAGAGCAAGGGAATGGGGGAACCATGGATGAACACAGCAGGATTCCTAGCAGAGTGAGGAGGGGGACCACTGGGGAAGGCAGGCTGGCCCAGGGGTGTCAGAGTACAAATCAGTGAGGGGCTGTCACCCCTATGGGGTCAGCCTGATATGGGTGTCAGAGCCCAGGCAGACAAAGCAAGGCAGCCATGCAGGGGATGGTTCCAGTGTGGGAAGCCAGAGCCAGCCAGAAGTGGGGTGTCAGAGCCTACAGCTGAGTTAGGAGGGTGTCTCAATGGGGGAAAGGGGTAGCCCTGTGCAGAAAGTCAGAGTGCCCAGGTCACCCATCCATCAAGACTTGGGGCTCTGCCTCCCCTACGTCTGCCCCAATCCTTTCTAAAGCCAGGCTTAGCTGGACCAAGGAAGACCCTGGGCCTCTTCTCAGTTGAAGCCACTGAGCACCAGGACATGCCAGGCAAGATTAGATGTGCCAGGTGCTGGAGTTAGAGCCAGGCTGGAGCAAGACAGTCAGGTCTCAGCCGGTGTGGAGCCCACAGTCCAGCAGGGAGGATGGACACAGAGGCTGCCATCACAGAACATGAGCTCAGCAGCAGGACGGGAGCTCGTGGAGGGCAAGCAACGTGACCTTGCACAGGGACCAGGCAGTGTCCGCAGAGGAGGCAAGCCAATGAGTCAGGAAGATGAGTTTACCAGGCGGGGGAGGATGGGGGTGGCAATGCCTCTGGGCCTCAGTCTCTCCCCCTGCCCGTCCTCACCATCCCATCCACAAAAGTCCCAGCCACCAGGAGCCTCTCAAGAGGCCTTTCCATCCTGAGACCCCCATAGACTACAACCTAGTCCCAGGCCCCTCCAGATGGACAGTGTTGAGGGCCATCTCACCCGCCTGGCCTGGACCCCACCTCACTGGAGGCTGCCCTCAGTGGGAAGGTTCCTTTGCTCCCCTTTCTGAGGTCTGACATCCCCCATCATTGAGAAGTCCCGCCTTGTGTTTAACTCACATCTCTCTTGCTTTCTCTAATCTTCAGAGAAATGGCTAACTGAAGGCCTTTCACCAATTACAGGGAAACGCTGATAAAACCGGTCCCAGGAGGGCAGTGGGTTGGAGCTGCCCCAAAACTTTACCTTCAGGCTGAAGCTTCCTACCTTCTTTTTTTTTTTTTTTTTTTTTTTGAGATGGAGTCTTGCTCAGTAGCCCAGGCTGAAGTGCGGTGGCGCGATCTCGGCTCACTGCAAGCTCCGCCTCCCAGATTCACGCCATTCTCCTGCCTCAGCCTCCCTAGTAGCTGGGACTACAGGAGCCCGCCACCATACCTGGCTAACTTTTTGTATTTTTAGTAGAGACGGGGTTTCACCATGTTAGCCAGGATGGTCTCGATCTCCTGACCTCGTGATCCACCTGCCTTGGCCTCCCAAAGTGCTGGGATTACAGACGTGAGCCACCGTGCCCAGCTCCTACCTTCATTTTTTCATCTGCAAACACTGACCTGTGGGGTCCCTCTGATCTTCCCACACCCAGGTGAGAGCCCACACACATGCACCCCATCCTCACCACAGCCCTACTCCCTGAAGGGCCCTTGTCCATAGAAGGCCTGCATAGGGCTCATTCCAGGGGCCCCTCCATTTGGGGCTTATGATGGACTGGCCTAGCAGAGAAAAATAACTGCTTGGACTCCATATGACTTTATTTTCTGGGGTGGAGGAGAAAGCGAGCCACCTCAGCTGCCTCATCATGCAAAAGGTAGAGATTAGACCCCAGGAAGGACTTCCTTTGGCTTAGGGCATCCTTCTCCCTGCAGTCACCAGCAGGGGGCGCCACAGGCCAGCCTGTGGGACCCACTATCTGAGAACGGGGTTGTCACCCAGGAGTGAGTGAAGGTCTGGCCAGCACTGAGGGCTCTGGGGTGCAGAGAAGTTAGGAGATCCATCAAAGCAGCCAGACCACCTGGTGGGAGGCGGCACACACTCTGCCAGTCCGGACACGGGTTAGGGAGTGGCATCACATTCCGCCGAGTCATTGCCTGCGAAGACTAACGTCACCTCTGATGTCAGGGCTCCAAGGGGCTTCGTTCCAGCTCCAGGCTCCAGGAAAGGGCGTCGCAGGGCCCAGAGGTTACACAACTTCCCCCAAGATCGCTGTGGAAATGACTGGCAGAGCAGGGATTCAAACCCAGGTCCCTGTGGGTGCCTCTGCCCAGCCGCCTGCAGGGTCTGCAGGTGGCCATGTCCCACGTGTCACCTTTACAGACCCACGGCTGAGAGCCGGCCCAGCCTTGGCCTGGCTTCCTTCTTTCTCATCTCTAAAAATGCCTTTCATTCTAAGATCTCCTTGGCAGCTTCATAATAAAAAGAAGGCTTCTGAAACCGCAAATGTTTTTAAATGAATTCAAGCCCCAAGTTTCTGCAGGGGGGTGAGGGATGCAGGATGAAGGTAAGTTTTTGAGTATGAAAGTTACATGCATGATGCGAGAGCCCTCCACTGACCTCCAAAACTCGCGCTGCCGGGGATACGAGGGCCCCTGGCGAGTCTCCCGAAGTGTCTCCTTTTGAAAGCTCACCGGTCCTTGTACTCTGAGTGCTTTCAGTTGGGTCCATTATGAGAAATCTCCTTTTGAGCATGGATGTATTCAAATCCAGATGTTGTCCCCGCAGAACAAAAAGCTCCCTCCAAATTCTCTTTATGAAGAAGTAGGTTCTCACCCTTTGAAGGAATAAACATCTCTTGATAAGTGGAATTTTTTTCCCCCAGCCAAGAACCTGCTGCTCCGAATTTGCTAAAAACTGGTTTAATAGCCGGTCTCCATTCTATTTCAGAGGCCAAGATGGCGGCGACAAGGTGGAATGTCAGCAGAAGATGTATTCAATAGATTGAGTGTGGCTTCACTAAGAAGGCTGGATTTTTAAAATATTTGTTATTTATTTAGATACTTTGTTTTTAAATTCAAGACATACATTCTAATGACAAAAGTGAAAAACAGATTGAAAGATGAAAAACAGAGTGTCAGAAAAACCTGCTCAATCATATACTTCATTTTGATTCAAATAACAACTTTTCAGGAAGGAAGGATACAGTAAACCTACGCATTGATTGTAAATTAGTCCCAATTTCTATAATATTCATTTTCTTAAAGTATGCTGGGCGTGGTGACTCATACCTGTAATCCCAGCACTTCGGGAGGCCAAGGCAGGTGGATTGCTTGAGCCCAAGAGCTTGAGATCAGCCTGGGCAACATGGCGAAACTTCGTCTCTACAAAAAATACAAAAATTAGCCAGGTGTGTAGTGGCAGGAGCCTGTAGTCCCAGCTACTCAGGAGGCTGAGGTGGGAGAATGGCTTAAACCGGGAGGTAGAGGCTGCTGTGAGCCAAGATCCTGCACTACACTTTAGCCTGCGTGACAGAGTGAGACCCTGTCTCAAAAATAAAATAAAATAAACCTTAAAATAGGGGAAATATGGATTACATATTTGTTAACTATATGTGTATATATAGCCAACAGAAATTTTTATCAGTAGGGTCTAGTTTTTTTGCTGTTGATAAAACCATCTGAGAGCTGGAAACAGGAATCCTTTCCTCACTCTGCTTGCATACCATTGGTGATGGGGAGCTCACCACCTCTGAAGGCACTCTGATTCACTGTGGGAAAGTTCTGATAGCCACAGAGCTGGTTCTCAGGCCCCTGTTATCTCCATGGGTGCCAGTTCTGCCCTTGGAGCCAGGCAGGGTTATACCACTGTTCCTGCCTCTGCCCTTTTGAGTCTTCTCTTCTGCAAGATCAGTATCCCCAGTTCCTCACTAACCTTTACCCTCCACAAACTGGACTCTGGTCTCTCCCTGTCTCCTCAAATGTACGACAACCAGAGTTGAGCACAACCCTCCAGCTATCACCTCCCTCATCGTCAACCTGTACCTCTACAGACTCAGCCTGAGACCACAATCATTTGGGGCAACCATCTCAATGTGCAATGAACCTTCAGCCAAAATCTCTTTCATGCAAAAAATTTTAATTTTACATCCATCCGTAGAGGGGTTAGTCCATCATCTCATCCGCTTTAGGGGATTTTGGGCTCTTGTTTGGTCATTTAAAATACCAGCCACTGCATCTAGTTTTGGGTCACCTGCAAATCGAATAAGCATGTCTTCTGCACCTTTAACCCAGCTGTTGATAGGAATGAGTGGTGATCTTGCCCCAGCCGGCCAGTGTCTCTGGGACCCTGGTTTCTCCATCCAATAATGAACAAGGGTGAGATGATGACCTGCATCAAGACATCCCATGGACTACATGTCAGACACTATCCTAAGCCCTTTACAAACACCAAGACATTGAATTCTTCACACCAATTCGATGAGGGAGGTATTGTTAGCATCTTCTCCATTCTGCAGATGAGGAAAACAGGTTTTGCAGGATTTGACCTCAATTCTGACTGCACCCAATCCGATGCTTTAGCCAGCATGGGTTATTCTCGGGAAGATCTCTGATGTGACCTAGAATAGAGCCGGCAGACCCACCAACAGAGCTGTCCTCACAAGCAGGAGTGCTACATGGCACTCCTTGGGCCCCTCGTAGATCCCCAAGTCCCATGCACGGCTCAGAAGCAGTGGAGGGCTGAAGATATGAGGCCACCTTCAGAAAGGGACATTAGATGCCTCAGCCATGATCGGGATGAACAGACAACCAAGGGACAACAAATCTTTCCCCTCACTCCCAGGTCTTGACTCTGCTTCAGAGCAAGGTGCACTTAAAACTTCAAGAGTGACTCAAAGGAGCGTGTTTGCCAGCTCAGTGAAAGTGGGGGCTTGGCGTCAAAACTTCAGGTAGGTTGTGGCATGTAAAGGAAGTGATGTTCCTAATTAAAAGGAAGCATGGGGTCGGGCACAGTGGCTCATGCTTGTAATCCCAGCACTTTGGGAGGCCGAGGCGGGCGGATCACCTGAGGTCAGGAGTTTGAGACCAGCCTGGCCAACACGGTGAAACCCCGTCTCTACTAAAAATACAAAAATCAGCTGGGTATGGTGGCAGGTGCCTGTAATCCCAGCTACTTGGGAGGCTGTGGCAGGAGAATCACATAAACCTGGGAAGTGGAGATTGCAGTGAGCCGAGACTGCGCCACTACGCTCCAGCCTGGGTGACAGAGAAAGACTCTGTCTCAAAAAAAAAAAAAAAAAAAAAACAGAAGCATGTGGTTGGGGGGAGTGATGTTCCCTGCACACCTGAGTTTGTAGTCTGGGAATGGACTCACCACACTCATACTAGATGCCAGATACTTAAGACACATTCCGTACTCCCCAGGGCCCTATTAAGTAGATACCATGATCAAAGGTGGGTTTTCAGTGATGCTGAGGACATTTAAACCTTCAGGTCCTCTCACTTGCAGGGGCCCTTCCCAGACCCTGCAGGGGAAGTGTTTCCCTTTTGGAATTTGTAAGAGAGCCCTCCAAACTACAGAAGCTTGAGGCCTTACAAAAGCTTCCCGTTATTACCCCCATTTTAAAACTGAAGGGAAATGTGACACAGGTGAAGCAAGTTACTCAAGGTGGCAGCACTGGGAGGTAGCGTGGTTAGGACTCAACCCCTTAGATCAGGGGTGTCCAATCTTTTGGCTTCCCTGGGCCACACTGGGAGAACTGGATTGTCTTGGGCCACACATAAAATACATTAACACTAATGATAGCTGATGAGCTAAACACACGCACACATGCACACACACACACAAGTCTCATAATGTTTTAAGAAAATTTACAAATTTGTGTTGGGCTGCATTCAAAGCTGTCCTGGGCCAAGCTTGTTGGACAAGCTTGCCTTAGATGAAGCCCAACGTTTTCAAAGAGTTTTCCCATGGAATACATGTCTTTTTTTTTTTTTTTTTGAGATGGAGTCTTGCTCTGTCACCCAGGCTGGAGTGCAGTGGCACGATCTCGGCTCACTGCAAGCTCTGCCTCTGCCTCCTGGGTTCATGCCATTTTCCTGCCTCAGCCTCCCAAGTAGCTGGGACTACAGGCACCCACCACCAAGCCAGGCTAATTTTTCTGTATTTTCAGTAGAGATGGCGTTTCACCATGTTAGCCAGGATGGTCTCGATCTCCTGACCTCATGATCCACCCGCCTCGGCTTCCCAAAGTGCTGGGATTACAGCAGGTGAGAGCCACCATGCCCAGCCTTTTTTTTTTTTTAAGACAGAGTCTCACTCTGTCACCCAGGCTGGGGTGCAGTGGTCAGATCTCGGCTCACTGCAACCTCTGCCTCCCAGGCACAAGCAATTCTCATGCCACAACCTCCCAAGTAGCTGGGACTACAGGCGCCCACCACCATGCCTGGCTAATTTTTGTATTTTTAGTAGAGACGAGGTTTCACCGTGTTAGCCAGAATGGTCTCAATCTCCTGACCTTGTCATCCACCCGCCTCGGCCTCCCAAAGTGCTGGGATTACAGGCATGAGCCCCTGCGCCCAGCCAGGTTCCTACCTTTTACCTTATGCCAAAATAAATTTCAGTGGGTCAAAATTACACATAAAAATGAAACCGTAAGTGCATTTAACAAAATAAGAGAATATGTATCATAATCATAGAGAAGACCTTCTGTTTTGTTCATCGTTTGTTTGTTTTGAGATGGAGATTTGCGTTTGTTGCCCAGGCTAAAGTGCAATGGTGTGATCTCAGCTTACCGCAACCTCCACCTCCCGGGTTCAAGTGATTCTCCTGCCTCAGCCTCCCGAGTAGCAGGGATTACAGGCATATGCCACCACACACAGCTAATTTTGTATTTTAGTAGAGACGGGGTTTCTCCATGTTGGTCAGGCTGGTCTTGAACTCCTGACCTCAGGTGATCCACTCGCCTTGGCCTCCCAAAGTGTTGAGATTACAGGTGTGAGCCACCGTGCCCGGCAAGAAAAGACCTTATTAAATATCACAGAAAAGCCCAAAACCATAAAAGAAAATGATGTTTGTATACAAAAAAATTGAACATTTTTTCCTGGTTAAAAAAAAAAACAAAAGGTGAGAATGATGGTTTACACCTGTAATTCCAGCACTTTGGGAGGCCGAGGTGGGCAGATTGCTTGAGCCCAGGAGTTTGAGACCAGCCTGGACAACATGATGAAACCCCATCTCTACAAACAATACAAAAATTAGCTGGGCCTAGTGGTGTGTGCCTATAGTCCCAGCTACTTGGGAGGCTGAGGTGGGAGGATCGCTTGAGCCAGGAAATTGAGGCTGCAGTGAGCTGGAACCACACCATTGCACTCCAGCCTGGGCAACAGAGCAAGACCCTGTCTCCAAAAAAAAAGGAAAAAGAAAAAAGAAATTCTTATACAAAGTCAAATAACAATTGACTAACAGGAAAAGAAACATCGGAAACATATCACAGACAGCTAATTTCTTTTACACTTAAAGAGCTTCTACAAATCAATAAGGATAAAAGACCAATAATTTAATGGAAAAATAAGCAAATGAGACCAAACACAGTGGCTCACGCCTGTTATCCCAGCACTCTGGGAGGCGGAGGGAGGCAGATCATGAGGTCAGGTGTTCGAGACCAGTCTGGCCAACATAGGGAAACGCCATCTCTACTAAAAATACAAAAAATTAGCTGGGAGTGTCAGTGGGCACCTGTAATCTCAGCTACTCGGGAGGCTGAGGCAGGAGAATTGCTTGAACCCAGGAGGCGGAGGTTGCAGTGAGCCAAGATCACGCCATTGCACTCCAGACTAGGCGACAGAGCGAGACTACATCTCGAAAAAAAAAAGAAAAAAGAAAGAAAGAAAAAGAAGCAAATGATGTAAACAACTGGATGCAAAAACAAGGCAAATTGGTCTTAAATATATAAGAGAACTCTCATCCACACTTATAAATGGAATGCACGTTGGAATACAATGAGACACCATTTTCCACCTACCAGCCTGGCAAAAATCAAAATGTGTGATGGCCCACTGTGTTGGCAAGGCTGTTGGGAAGGTAACAGTACAATTTCTTTCTTCTTGGTCTCACTCTGTCACTCAGCCTGCCGTGCAGTGGTGTGATCATGGTTCACTACAGCCTCCGCCTCCCAGGCTCAATCGATCCTTCCACCTCAGCCTCCCAAGTAGCTGGGACTACAGATGTACATCACCGCACCCAGCTTTTTTTTTTTTCTTTTTTCGTAGAGACAGGGTTTCACCATGTTGCCCAGGCTGGTCTTGAACTCACAGGCTCAAGCAATCTGCACACCTCAGCCACCCAAAGTGCTAGGATTGCAGGCGTAAGCCACTGCACCCAGCCGATGGTACAATTTCTATGAAGAGGGTATTTAGCAATATTTTTCTAAAAGTAAATGGTTATATACCCTTTGTTATAGGCTGAATTGCATCCCCAAAAATTCGTATGTTCAGGTCCTATGCCCCAGTACCTCAGAATGTGACCTTATTTAGAAATAGGGTCATTGCAGATGTAATTCATTCAGATGAGGTCATACAATATGACGAGTCCTTATGAGAACAAGAAATTTGGACATAGACATATACACAGGAAAAACACCATGTGAACATCAAGGTAAACATTGGGGTGATGTTTCTCCAAGCCAAAGAATGCCAACGAATGCCAGCAAACCACCAGAAGCCGTGGGAGAGGCATGGAACAGGTTCTTCCTTACAGCCCTCGGAAGGAACCAATTCTGCTGACATCTTGACCTTGGGTTCCCAGCCTCCAGAACTGAGACAATAGATTTGTTGCTTAAGCCACCCAGTTTGTACTTTGTGATGGCAGCCCTACCAAATCAACAAACTCTAACTCAGCAAGAGGAATTTACCCTGCTACGTATTTGCACAGTTGCAAAGTGATACACAGACGGAGGCATACATTGCAGTATTGTTTGTGATAGTAAAGACTGGAAAAAACCTAAATGTTTATCAGCCAAAAACTGCCTAAATAAACTATAGTACATCCTTCCAGTGGAATATTTTTCAGCTGTTAACAGTAACGAGAAGCTGGGTGTGGTGGCTCACGCCTGTAATCCTAACAGTTTGGGAGGCCAAGGCAGGAGGATCACTTGAGCCCAAAAGTTGGAGACCAGCCTGGGCAACATGGCGAAACCCTGTCTCAACAAAAAATACAAAAATTAGCCAGGGCTGGGAGCGGTGGCTTATGCCTGTAATCCTAACACTTTGGAAGGCTGAGGCAAGTGGATCACTTGAGATCAGGAGTTCAAGACCAGCCTGGCCAATATGGTGAAATCCTGTCTTTACTAAAAATACAAAAATTAGCAGGGTGTGGTGGTGGGCACCTGTAATACCAGCTACTCAGGAGGCTGAGACAGGAGAATCACTTGAACTAGGGAGGCGGAGGTTGCAGTGAGCCGAGATCGTTCCATGGCACTCCGGCCTGGGCAACTGAGCAAGACTCTATCTAAAAAAAAAAAAAAAAATTATTAGCTGGGCATGGTGGTGCATGCCTGTAGTCCCAGCTACTCGGGAGGCTGAGGTGGGAGAATGGCTTGAGCCTGGGAGGTTAGGCTGCAGTGAGCCAAGATCACACCACTGCACTCCAGCCTGGGCGACAGAAGACCCTATCTCAAAAAAAAAAAAAAAAAAAAAAGAGTGGAATAAAACAAAATGTTTAATCAGTCAAAACCTGCCTAAATAAATTATGGTACATTCTTCCAATGGAATGTTTGTCAGCTATTAACAGTAACGAGGCAGCTTAACATGTACTGATTGGAATTATCTCAAAGGTTTATTTTTAAGTGAGAAAAGCAAGGTGCAGCTGGTTATAGAAAGAGCTTCGTTTATATAAAAATAAAGAGCAACACCTCAGAAATAAGAACAAAAAAGGAAAAGAGAGAAAAAAATCTGGAGCAAGATATCCTCAGAAATAAGAAAAAGAAAGAAACAAAGCCAAATATATATGTGCAAACATTTGCTCCTGGACGCATAGATTCCATCTGAGAAGAGACATAAGAAACTGCTAACTTTGCTTGTTCCTAGATAGCAGAGCCACTTCCCAGGACCAGGACCAGGGGAAAGGGATCCTGTTTCTACCATAAATATCCCTGCACCTTTTGAACCTCTACCTTGTTAATGGATCACCTGTTCAAAAAAATTTTTTTAAACCAACTTTTTTTTTTTTTTTTTTTTTTTTTTGAGATGGAGTTTCACTCTTGTTGCCCAGGCTGGAGTGCAGTGGCACGATCTCAGCTCACTGCAACCTCCGCCTCCCAGGTTCAAGCGATTCTCCTGCCTCAGCCTCCCAAGTAGCTGGGATTACAGGCATGTGCCACCTGGCTAATTTTGTATTTTTAGTAGAGACGGGGTTTCTTCATGTTGGTCAGGCTGGTCTTGAACTCCCGACCTCAGGTGATCTGCACACCTCAGCCTCCCAAAGTGCTGGGATTACAGGAATGAGCCACCGCACCCGACCAAAAAAAAAATCTAGAACTTCAAAAATGAACATTTTAAGAGAAAATGTAGTCATTTTAGCTTTTCATCTTTTGGAAATAACAGCTATTCATAGCTGAAATGGGTTGTTTGAGGAGGTGATATCTTCTCTCTTATCTCTTCATTTAGAAACCAAGCACAAAGTTTGTTTTTAAAACAACTAAATAAATCACAAGAATGAAGTATAAGATGCAAACGTTCTAAACCACCATGAATTGCAAGTATATTTATTTTTGTTTTTGTTTGTTTGTTTTTTGAGACGGAGTCTTGCTCTGTTACCCAGGTTAGAGTGCAGTGGCACAATCTCAGCTCACTGCAACCTCCGCCTCCCGGGTTCAAGTGATTCTCCTCAGCCTCCCGAGTAGCTGGGATTACAGGCATGTGCCACGACGCCCAGCTAGTTTTTGTATTTTTAGTAGAGATGGGGTTTCACCATGTTGGCCAGGCTGGTCTCAAACTCCTGACCTCAAGTGATCCACCTGCCTCAGGCTCCCAAAGTGCTGGGATTACAAGCGTGAGCCACCACACCTGGCCTGAAAGTATATTTATTTTTGTAATTCATAGCATGTAGTTAAATTTCGATCTACAATAATAATTTCAGTAAACATTCAGTTCCCAAATCAAGCCTGACAACTTATTTTTAATTTATTTGTCTGTAAACCTTGCTTTTCCTCGTAAAATTTAATTCTTTCTTCCCTAAAACTCTCCTGACAGATATAAATTCTATTAAACAGTAGGCATCCCTTTATTAAGTAGAAAATCATCAAAAGTAGCCTTTAAAAATAATGCATCTTTTTACATATACACTTTCTAATACAATCCTTGGGATCAGACTGATCTAAAATAAAATAAATTTTCTCAACATATCTTCTATAGCTTGTAAAAATGATGAAATGAATTTATTTTTAAAAAGGGTTTGTAAGGTCATTCATTGATTGCTGTGAAAATGATCTGAATGTCCAAACATTGAGAAAGGCAACCTAGGCCTGCCGTGTACAGTTGTGCAAGCTGTGAACTGCACAACTCCAGAGGCGCCATACAGATCAGAATCCAAAATTGTTCAGTGCAACACCTGTGCAGCCAAACACATCAGCCCTGTGGCTGCTGAAAAGGTTAGGGAGCCATAGAAGGCTTTGGGGGCAGGAGAGGGTAGGTGTCAGAGCTGGGGTCACAGGGATTGTAAGGCCAGAAACCCATGCATACAGCCTCCCATCTCTCTAGGTTGGCCTCCCTTTTGGAGGCTCTGGCAATAGAAATATCCTATTTTCTCTGAGCCTCATAACCTTGGTTTTCCTAAGGATGGGGGGAAGGACTTATCTCTCAAGGCCCATAATCACTTCTTTGGCCTGTACAAGGCAATGTCCTCTTTAATCACTTGTCCACTAAGAAGCAAGGCCAGGAAAGGTCCCCACCCTATCCCTAATCTTTACTCCTGCTCTCATGGAAGCAGAAGTGGCTGGCATAAGGGGTGGGGTGGAGGGGCTGAACCCTAAATGGCATTCAGCACATGTGGCTCCTAGGACCAGCTTCACCACTACCCTGCTGTAATCTTTGGCAAATCCTTAAGCCTCTCTGGGTTTCTACCTCCCTGTTTACAAAATAAAGACAAATATTAACATTCCTTCTCTGCCTCTTGGAAAGATAGGCAAGACAAGAGAGAAAACATGTAGTGATGATTTCACTGGGAATGCACAGAAATTCAAGTATTCTAATTACCATTAAACATTAAGAATTAGGCTAGGCATGGTGGCTCACGCCTGTAATCCCAGCACTTTGGGAGGCTGAGGCAGGTGGCTCACTTGAGTCCAGGAGTTCGAGACCAGCCTGGACAACATGGTGAAACTCCATCTCTACAAAAAAATATAAAATTTAGCTGGGCAGGGTGGCACACGCTTCTTATCCCAGCTACACAGGAGGCTGAGGCAAGAGAATCGCTTGAACCTGGGAGGCGGAGGTTGCAGTGAGCCAGGAGGCGGAGGTTGCAGTGAGCCAAGATCACGCCACTGCACTACGGCCTGGGTAACAGAGTGAGACCCTGTCTCAAAAAAAGAAAAGAAAAACAATTAAGAATTAGTGGACTGTGGATCAGGAGGCCCTGCTAAGCAGCTGTAAAACCTTGAACAAGTCTCATGACCTCTCTAGGTCTTATATTTGTCATGTGTGAGGTAGCTGAGCTTGAGCTGATTCAGCATTCTGCTGACCTTTTCACTATGAGTGTTTTACTATTGCCAAACAGATCTCATATTTTCTAAGATTTTATCTCCTAAGCTGTATTTAGGTAATTATTATATACTTAGTAATTAAGTAATTATTATTACCATTAAAAGGGATATCTTTGGTTGTGACAGAACTTGTGGGCTTAGATAACCAACAAGCCTAGAACCAGGGGTAGCTTTAAGTAAGGCTTGATCCAGCAGCTGTTACCAAGAACCTATTTTCTTTCAGTCTCTTGGCTCTGTCTCCTATGATGTGTCACAAGGTGGCTGCCAGAAGCTCCTGGCAATACTTGCTTTTCTCCTTTGTAATTAGCAAGAAGTAGTTGGTTTCCCAGTTAGCTCAAAGAAAAGACTCAGAATTGAGACCCATTCACTCTGGTTGGCCTGATTTGGGACCTATACCTTTTTCTGACCAATTGCTGTAGCCTGAAGGATGAAATATTCTGATTTGGCTGGGTGCAGCGGCTTATGCCTGTAATCCCAGGCACTTTGAGAGGCCGAGACAGCTGGATTGCCTGAGCTCAGGAGTTCAAGACCAGCCTGGGCAACATGGGGAAACCCCATCTCTACTAAAAATACAAAAAATGGCCGGCTGTGGTGGCATGCACCTGTGATCCCAGCTACTCAGGAGGCTGAGGTGGGAGGATCACTTGAGCCTGGGAGGCAGAGGCTGCAGTGAGGCGAGATCATGCTACTGCACTCCAGCCTGGGTGACACAGTGAGATCCCATCTCACTAAAAAAAAAAAACTAAGAAACATTCTGATTTGCAGTCCAGGCACAGTGGCTCACGCCTGTAATCCCAGCACTTTGGGAGGCTCAGGCAGGTGGGATCATGAGATCAGGAATTCGAGACCAATCTGGCCAGGAGACCAGCCTGGCTAATATGGTGAAACCCCATCTCTACTAAAAATATAAAAATTAGCTGGGCCTGGTGGCAGGTGCCTGTAATCCCAGCTACTCGGGAGGCTGAGGCAGGAAAATTGCTTGAACCCGGGAGGTGGAGGTTGCAGTAAGCCGAGATAGAGTCATTGCACTCCAGCCTGGGCAACAGAGTGAGACTCCAACTCAAAGAAAAAAAAAGAAAAGAAAAAGAAAGAAATATTCTGATTTGCTTAAGGCAGTTAGGCCCCACCGCTAGAATAGGGTCCCTTCTGACCAGATTACATGGCTGAGAAATTTCCAATACCATTAGGAATGGGGAATCCAGCAAAGGCGGCGGGAGAGACAACCAGCACCAGCAAGTCTCCTACGGCATGTTTATTGGCCAGTGGTATCTCTAACTGCCATCAGAACAGATGACCACCATGTGAACTGTGCATTAGTGATCCCCATATCTTGTGAGGTGCTCACTATGACCACCCCATCTGTGGGTGGCCACACTGACCCCATGAGCTGACGTCAGCCCAGCCACTGCAAGCTCCTGACTCCGGTTAGATCTGCCCTGGTCGCAAGTTCATCTATGTTCAGCTTCTAGTTCCCCACTCCCATCTGAACCTTCACAGATGGCTCAGCTAGAGACCCTAGGTAAGCCTTGAGCTCCCTTCCAGCCGAGTTCCCCGTGACTGCTTTTTTCAGATGCAAGGGGAGGTCCACGAGCTGGACATGGTAAAGACGGTACAACAGACATGTACACAGCAAAACATAACTGGAACCACTTCAGCTCATGCGTGCATTGACTCAGCAAACATTTACCAACATCCGTCCCAGGTCCTGTGCTGGGAATGCAGAGGACAGTGAGACTCAGGGCCGTCCTCAAGGAGCCACAGTCAGGTGGGGAGACAATGGTGGCACAGACCATCCCAGTTCATTATGGAAACACAGCAAGGGAGGCACTTCCCCCTCCTAGGCCAGAAGGGATGAATGTCCACGTAGCAGCCTCAGCGGCAGGGCCACCTCAGCCCCATCTCCTACTCTCTAGGCTTCAGGAAAGGCTATGGGGGCTCTCCAGCAGCTCTGAGTTTATCACCAGAGTGGTGTCCCCAGTGCACATTAGGGAGTGTTCAACCCCAAAACTGGGGACCCAACCCCTCTTCACATGCTAAGGGCTTTGCAGAATCTTCTCTGGCCCCTTTACTGCAATAGCTCTGGGGGCAGAAGTAGGGGGCAGAGACAGACTCAATCTTTTATCCACTTTCAGGCCATGCCTCTTCCTGGACCTTCAAAACTGGTGAGATTCACCTGGTAAGGGCGTGCACAGTGAGATCAAAGCAGAAATTTCCACTCTAAACTATTCTTTCCAACTAATACTTGGGATTCAGCCCTTCCTTTGAATTTAGCATTGCCCTAATCAGGTCCCCAAGTGAATCAACAATACTTCAGAGCTGTGTGGGTCTGACCCACATCTCTGTGGCAAATGGGGCCAGAGATCCCGGGACAGAGAAAGCCTGGCTAGTCCCATTCTTGGCTCTGTCCAAATTAACTTGGCACGTGGCCGGGGGCAAGTCCCTTTCCTCTTTCTCTCCCAGTCTCCTCATCTATGAAACAAAATTCAAGGCCAGGTGTGGTGGCTCATGTTTGTAATCCCAGCACTTTGGGAGGTGGAGGCCAGCGGATCACTTGAGGTCAGGAGTTTGAGACCAGCCTGACCAACATAGTGAAACCCCGTCTCTACTAAAAAAAAAATACAAAAATTAGCCAGGTGTGGTGGCACACATCTGTAATACCAGCTATGTGGGAAGCTGAGGCAGGAGAATTGCTTGACCCCGGGAGGCGGAGCTTGCAGTGAGCTGAGATCATGCCACTGCATTCCAGCTTGGGCAACAGAGTGAGACTCCATCTCAAAAAAAAAAAAAAAAGAAACAAAGGATTTAGGCTAATCAATCTCTATGAGACCTCCTAGCTCTAGCAGTCTGATTTGAGGGTTCAGAAACAGGGAGGAGGGGTAGCAGCATGGGGGTTGGTTGAGAGAGAAGAGAGACAGGAGCTGGCCAGGGCTCCATAGCCAAAAAGGCTGCAAGTTTGGACTTCAGATGCTATCTCCAGATAGGATTGTACTCAGTCACAGGATGCAGACCAATAGAACTGAAAAGAGATGGGTGACCTATCACCAAAACACACCATCTGTAAGGCCCATAAAATTATATATATGGTAAATATATATATATATATCTTCTGAATTTTGGAATTAACTTTAGGTTTGCAGAAGAGTTGCGAAGATAGTACAGAGAGTTCCCGAATACCTGACCTCCAGTTTCAGTTTCCCCTAACGTTATCTTACACCACCCTGGTACATTTCTCTTGGTAACTAAATATATATATATATATATATATATATATATATATATACACACACACACATATATATAGTTACCAAATAAACTTCTGAATTTGGGGTTTTTGGGGTTTTTTTGTTTGTTTTTTGTTTGTTTGTTTTTTGCTTGAGACGGAATCTCGCTCTGTTGCCCAGGCTGGAGTGCAGTGGTGCGATCTCAGCTCACTACAATCCCTGCCTCCCTGGTTCAAGTGATTCTCCTGCCTCAGCCTCCCAAGTAGTTGGGATTACAGGTGTCCACTACCATGCCCGGCTAATTTGTGTATTTTTAGTAGAGACGGGGTTTCACCATGTTGGTCAGGCTGGTCTCCTGACCTCAGGTGATGTGACTGCCTCAGCCTAACTTCTGAATTTTGGAATTAACTTTAGGTTTACAGAAGAGTTGCAAAGATAGTACAGACAGTTCCAGAATACCCAACCTCCAGTTTCAGTTTCCCCTAATGTTATCTTACACCACCCTGGTACATTTCTCAAAACTCAAAAATCCCACATTGGTCCATCATTAGTAACATAACTGCAGACCTTATTTGGATTTCACCAGCCTCTCTGTTCCTGCTCTCTCTGCTCCACGACATGACCTAGAGTGGCATCCTGCATCTAGGCAGCATGTCCGGTGTCCTCTGGTCCGTGGCTGTTGCTGTCTTTCTATGCTTTTGATTTTTTCTTTTTCACAATGCTTTAATTATTTCTGTGCTTCTTACAACCTTGACAGTTTTGAGGAGTCCTAGTCAGGTATTTTGCAGAATGACCTTTAATTTGGGTTTGTCTGACCTTTTTCTCCAGGGTTATGGAGTTTTAGAAAGAATATGACAGAGGTGAAGTATCCTTCTGGTCATATAGCATGGTGTGGAGGGGGCAGGGTTAGCTACATGATAGCCACTAGACTTATCACTGGTGATGTTAACCTTGAGCCCTTGGTTAAAGTGGTGTCTGCAGGTTTCTCCATTGTATAGTTACTATTCTTCTCTTTCCCTACTCTATTATTTAGAAGCAAGTCCTGAGTCCAGTGTACAGGAAAGGGAAGGGAAAGGAATAATTAAGCTCCACCTCCTAGAGGAGAAACAATCTGCATTCATTATTGGAAATTCTTCTGTAAGGAAGACTTGCCTCTTCTCCCCCAGTAGGTTATTGATTCAACAATTTATTTATATCAGGGCTGGGTATGGTGGCTCATGCCTTTAATCCCAGCACTTTGGGGGACCAAGGTGGAGGACTATTTCCGGCCAGGAGTTCAAGACCAGCTTGGGCAACATAGCGAGATCCCCATCTCTACAAAAAAAATTTTTTTAATTTGCCAGGCGTGGTGGTGCACAACTGTAGTCCTAGCTACTCAGGAGGCTGAAGCAGGAGGATCGTTTAAGCCCAGGAGTTCAAGGTTACAGTGAGCTATGATCACGGCACTGCACTCAAGCCTGGGCGACAGAGCAAGACCCTGGCTCTGAAAACAAAAAAATTATTTATATCAGTATAAATATTTATTTTATACTTTAGGTTATAATTCAATATTATCCTATTATTTATTCCCTTGCTCAGTTGCTCCAGCTTTGGCCATAGGGAGCTCTTCTGGCTCCTGGATCCCTTTGACGCACTCCCATCCTTTTGTGTTTTGAGCGCTTCCTAAATCCCTGGCACCACAGCACACTGCCGGCTCATCCTTTCCCTGTCCCAGCCCTAAAATCAGCCATCTCTCCAAGGAAATAATGTATTTTTAATACAAGTTCTCCAATTATCTTGTCAATAGTCCAAATATATTGCACCGCATTTGAATGCATGATTTAAAAAAAAAAGAGTTAATTTGTTCAGTTACCGTTTAAAACATACATTGATTTTTGTAGCCCTGCTGTGACATGTCTTTTTGAAATATACCAGGAGTCTGGCCGGGAGCAGTGGCTCATGCCTGTAATCCCAGCACTTTGGGAGGCCAAGGCGGGCGGATCACGAGGTCAAGAGATCGAGACCATCCTGGCTAACACGGTGAAACCCCGTTTCTACTAAAAACACAAAAAAATTATCCAGGTGTGTTGGCAGGCACCTGTAGTCCCAGCTACTGGTAGTCCCAGCTACTCGGGAGGCTGAGGCAGGAGAATGGCATGAACCTGGGAGGCGGAGCTTGCAGTGAGCTGAGATCGCGCCACTGCACTCCAGCCTGGGCGACAGAGCCAGACTCCATCTCGAAAATAAAAAATAAAAAGAAATATACCAGGAGTCTCAAACATGGGAGGGATCTGGTCCTTTCTTCACTTCTAGGAGGCCTTGTTGAATTTAAACATCACCTCAGCAGCCACTCCCTTAAGGCTTGAGGGCAGCCTGCCCAGCCTTTCTACAGAGGTAGCCCAGTTCCCGGGTCCTCCCCAGGCTGAGCTGCCCAGTGAAGCAACTGAAAGCCAAGGTCATTCCTGGGACCTTTCCCTCTCCAACCTCATCTCCCAACCCCCCACCACCCTCAGGCAGTGACCAGTCCACAAGCTTTGCAGACCCCACCTACGCTGGCTGGGCACAGGCAGATAGATGGTGGGAGGCCAGGCAGGCTCCAAGAAGGAAATTAGCCAGCCCAGCTGCCAAGACAGGCATACGAGAGGCAGAGGGGTTTGTGTGGGCTCGGCTTCAGAGAACTCCTGGGGATTAGGGCCAAAGTTTGCAAAATCCAGCTGTAAACGGAGCAGGGGTTCCCCAAAGAAGCCGTGGGTTCTGTAGAGGAGAGTCGGCTTCTTGGGAAGTAGCATGAGCCGGAAGACAGCGAGACTGTGGCTCTCTCTGGGAGGGCAGGGAGCAGCATGACTCATCGCCTAGTCCTGCTGGCTCCTACTGGCACAGGGCTGGGCAGCAGAGGGTCTGGGAGCAGGAGCAGAGTCTGGTCTTGTTGCAGCTCCAGAGGAGGTCTCAGGCTGGCAAAGACAATCTAACACGTTGGGACATAGGCAGGGTGTTGTGGGGACACTTAGGAGGGTACAACCAGCATCAAAGGAGTCTTGGCTGGCCTCACAGAGGAGGTGACATCATCCAAAAGATGAATGGAACTGGCTAGGAAGCAGCTGGGTGGGAGAGAGGGAAGGGCACTCCAAGCCAAGGAAGAAGCAGAGCAGAGGCCCGAAAGTGTCTGCAAGGCGCTAGCTGGTGCCTGCCACCCAGTGAGCACTCTATAAATGGGAGGCATTATCTCTATGATTGATTAGTATTGTCATTATCATTATTAACCTGGACACATCACTTAATGTTTTTACTATCTTAAAGGTAGTTGCTATAGCGAATAAATGCTTAACATAACTGAGCTCTTCTCATCTGTAAAAGGGACTGTTGTGAGGTTAGGGGTGCCGCCGGCACCGCACTCAGCTGGAGTGACAGCAAGCATGTGAGGTGCCCAGCATGGGATGTGAGCTGGCATGCAGCAGGGGGCCTTGTGTTTCCTCTCTCCTTGGGTTGCCAAGCCCCTGGAGCTGCTGTGCCTGGGGAGCAGAGAAGGGGACACTTTGGGGTCTTCAAAGATGACCAGGCAACAAAGCAGGAACACCGCTAGGTAAGAGCAAGCAAGCCCAGAGGAACAGCCTCAGGGTCCAGATAGAGACGTACACGCCTGCCTCCCTGGGGTCTTTGGTGGCCTCCCGAACAAGCAGGTGTGGATGGGGAGATGGACTGCCTTGGAGAGAGCTACATGAGTTCCAGCTCCACCAGCCCCCAGAGCCTGAGCAGGTGACTTCACCTTTCTGAATCTCTGAACATCCATTTCCTCCACTGTACAATTTCATTAAGATACATACAAGAATATCCAAAGCACAGTCTTTGTAATAGAAAAAAAATCCTAGAAACAACATCCAACAGCAGGTGACTGAATAAGTAACCAGTGGTATATTCATAAAATGGGACACTATTCAGTAGTAAAATAAATTACAGGTATGCAGGCAATCAAAATGGATTTTTAAAAATATAATGCTGTATGAAAAAGGAAGTCACATAATTATGGAATGACTCCGTTTACACAAAGTAAAAAATAGCAAAACTATACAATATCCCACTTAGGGATGCATACAGAGGTGGTAAAACTACAAGAAAAAGCAAGAGAATGACTAGCACAATTAAAGTTCAGGAAACTAGTTCTTCAGGATGTGGGCAGGAGGCTGTGATGGGGGCACCCAGAGGGCCTCAAGGTACTGGCACTGGTCTATTTTTTAAGTTAGGTGATGGATACATGGCTTTTTTATTATTACTATTATTCTTTAAGCTGTACATGTACAGTTGTGTCTATGGTGTCTTTTACAATAAACAAGTATTTATTATAACACTAGCACTTATAGGATACATGCCTATGATGAGGTAGAGAGAATGTAACAAAGGACTGGCACATAGTAAGCACTGGTGGCATGTGGCTCTGTCCTCCAGCGTGTGGGCTCTGTGTTTTCTCTCTCTCTCTCTCACTCACACACACGCACGCACACACACACACACACATAGGAAGCCAGGCTCCCCTCTGCCCTCAGTCACTCGTGGTTCACAAAAATGGCAAATAATAGGAGCACTAGAATAGGAGCTCTCCATCCTGGTTCGAGTCTTTCCAGCTGGGGCAGTTTAGCCTTTGCAGAATTTCTCAAGGGTAACATCAGCATAATGACCTCTGTCTGTAAGCCCGTGAGTGTAAGCCTGTAAAGTGCTGTGCTCATGCGAGGGATCAGGTCTGACCTGGGAAACTAAAAGCATCTTCATGGAGCAAGGGTGCTCCTCCAGTGGGGGCGCTCAGTGAGTTCTGCGGTATGGGTGACAGTATTCTTGTGTGGACAGTATTCATGTGGTGATTGGGGTAAATGGCCCTCTTTTGCCTGGTTTTCTGCCTCGGTCATTGTGCATCTGCTGACTGAACCTGCCTTTTGGTCCTAGTAAAGTACAGATTTCAGGAAAAGTGTACCTGGCCCCGGGGGTGGCCAACCTCTGTGTGACGGCTTTAAGCACAGTGTGTCTTGAGGGGGCCTGACTCCATCTGAAAAGTGCCTGTCTGGATGTACCTGTCTATAACCATGGACCTGCCTCCAAGGTGCGTGGACCAACCTCCGCGTACCTGATTCACTCGATGCGCACCTGGCCGTACGTAGCTTCATCAGGCAGGGTGTACCTGTCAAGTTCTTAGGTCCGAGTGTTCGCGGCTTTACCTGTCCTGGTACCGCCGTCCGCACCTCGGTCAGTGCGTCCCCGGCAGGTGCGTGTACCTGATTCAGTCCGTGCTTATCTTGCGCATACGGGCCGTTCAGTGTCCCGCTCGGAGCTCGTCGCCGCCGCAGCCTTGAGGCTCCGACCCCCGCTTGGGCCCCGTCCGGCGCGCAGCGGCCGCGGGGGCGGGGCCGCGACGCGAGGAGCGGAGCAGGAAGGGGCGAGGCAGCCCCGCCCCCGGGGCGGTCTCCCGGGACGGCCCCGCCCCTTGCCCGCTTCCGCGTCAGTGCCTCACCACCACCTGCCCGCGCGCCGCCCCATATAAAGGCGCCGCCGTCCTTACCCCCAGGACTCGGCCCCATGGAGACGCCGCCGGCCGCCGCTGGCGCATGGCGGGGTGAGGCGCGGCGGGGAGGGTGCGGGCCTCGGCGGGGAAGCGGCAGGGAGCGCTCCGGCGGGGTCCGAGCCGAGCCGAGGGGAGGGGACGGGAGGGGACGGGAGGGGTGGAGAGGGGAGGGGACGGAAGGGTCGGGGTCCTGTTCCCCGGCCCGCCGGGCCTCAGGACCCCTCCAACTTTGCCCAAGTTGGGAGAGCCGGGGAAGAGCACCAGGTTCCTGATCGGGATCGCGGGCCGAGCAAGCGCGGGTCTCGGGCCGGGACAGCCTCGGCGTCACCAGCTCCCGGCAGCCAACCAAAGTTTTCCAGCAACTTTTCTCCCCACGGGTCACCCCAGAAACTTGCCCTCCCCGGCTCCGGGAGTCCGGCCATGGGCCTTGCGCTGCCTGGGCCTGAGCTCTGAGTGCCGGACGGGTGGGCGAAAGTGGTGGCCTCAGTGGGGAAGCCTTGGGCCCCGCAACGCACTTCCAGCCCCAGGATTCCATCTGAGAGCCCCGTCCCTGCCTTCTGGGTCCCCTGGGTTGGCGTGGGGGTTCGAGGCTTTACAGCTGGGGTAGTTCCAGTCTTAGTTCAGACTAAGTTCCGATCTTCGAGCCACCAGCTAACAGCTGGATGACCTTGAGCACGTTTTTAATGTCTGTGCCTCAGTTTCTCCCTTTATAGAATGGGAATGGGAATGCCTAGCTGGGAGAGCTTTTGAGAGGACAACCTGAACTAATAACACGATGCAGTGTGTAGTGCCACCAATCCCTCATCCTGCTGGATGTGGTTTTGGGAGGGAGGTTAGGAGAGAGCGCTATTCACCGTCCCTAACCCTGTTGGTTGTTCAGTAGGAGCTGTGGCGCGGGGCCTTCCAGGAGTCTGAGCTATGAGTGGCCCCTGTGGAGAGAAGCCTGTCCTGGAAGCCAGCCCCACCATGAGTCTGTGGGAATTTGAGGACAGCCACAGCCGTCAGGGCACCCCAAGGCCGGGTCAAGAGCTGGCCGCTGAGGAGGCCTCGGCCCTGGAACTGCAGATGAAGGTGGACTTCTTCCGGAAGCTGGGCTATTCATCCACGGAGATCCACAGCGTCCTGCAGAAGCTGGGCGTCCAGGCAGACACCAACACGGTGCTGGGTGAGCTGGTGAAACACGGGACAGCCACCGAGCGGGAGCGCCAGACCTCACCGGACCCCTGCCCTCAGCTCCCTCTAGTCCCGCGGGGTGGTGGCACCCCTAAGGCTCCCAACCTGGAGCCTCCACTCCCAGAAGAGGAAAAGGAGGGCAGCGACCTGAGACCAGTGGTCATCGATGGGAGCAACGTGGCCATGAGGTAAGTGTCACTTCTGTGGCCAGGACACATGAGGTTCGCATCTCTCCTGTGGCCAGGACACATGGAAGGATGACTGTCTCTGCAGCTCTGGTGGGCTGGAAGAAGTGACTTCCTTCTTAGGGACTGGTCTAGAGGGAGGGAAAGCCTTTTATGAGGCTAGGGTCGCGCTACTGGTAAGTGACAGAGGCAGGGTTCCAGCCCAGGTCCCTCTGTCCGCAGAGCTTACCTTATGCTGTGGGTCCCTCCCTGAGGCCAGCACTGTGTCTCCACTCCTCTCCTGTAATGTGAGGCAGGGCTGTAAAGGGGACCAGCCCGTGGGCAGCTGCTCACTCACCCCTCGGAACCTGATCTCAGGTGGGTGTTGTGAGGAGGGAGTGTGCGGATCCCGGAGAGGAGCAAGCGTTCAGGAACCATAGTAGTGGTAGTAGGCAGTGGTAGTAGCAGTTGTTGTTGTTATTTCAGGGGCTGGGCTTCTGAGGCCTTCTTGTCTCAGACCTGGGCTCCCACGAAAACAGGTCCAGTGACTGTGTCCAAGAGTGACCTCAAGGCTGGGTCCAGCTTTACATGGGTTGTGGGCAGGTGGCCTGATGCTCTGGCCTCAGGCGAGCTGCAACTTGGATCCCTACTGACTCAGCTGAAGCAGCCTGGGCTGGACCAGTCTCTGGAGGTTCCCCGGGGCCAGAGCCAGGACTCAGCCCCCAGTGACTCCCACCCCCATCCCCCAGCACAGGAATGGGGTGGGGAGGTAGGGGCAGAGAGGGAAGCCAGGGCTGCTGCTGACCTTGGGAAACCCAGACTTCTCCCGTCAATCCAGGCTCCACCCTCTGGCCCCACTTTTTTCCCAGTTCCCTCCAAGGCAGGCTGATGAGTCAGTGCTGGGTGGATGGCTCACAGGGAAAAGTTCCTGTTGGCATGGACGGGGAGACCCCAGACACAGGGTTGAGAAGGGATGATTTTCTGGCTGCCCTGAGGGAGCTCCTAGGTGGGCTGCCCAAGGCTGGCATGACATCAGCCTCTGCCCTCCCTAATTTGTGGCCCCTGTGGGACAAGTTCACTGTCCAGCTGGCCCTGGCCCAGCTCAGCAGGCATGCAGCTGAGTGCTCTTCCCTCCTTCTGTCACCTTCAGGCCAGTCTTCCTCTCTCTGACTTGGGCTGAGCCTGGATGGGAGGCTGAGAAAATCCAGTTTCCATGCCAAGAGGCAGCAGGTCACAGCCCATGCTTCGAGATTAGAAGGGGTCCCTCTCAGTGTCCAGCCTCATGTAGCTGGGCTAGGAGCTAGGTTGGATCTGTGTGACTCCTTCCTCTGGAGGTATGGGCCAGGAGCGGCTGAGCCCTGGGAGCAGCCATATGCAGTATGTGTTTGTATCCAGAAGGAGGAGGGACATGGGAGGAGGGGCTGTGATGAGGGGTGCTCAGAGGAGCCTGCTCCTGAGAAGCAGAGCCACGCACCCACCTCGGGGGTTTCTGAGCTGGGGTAGTGGCAGGAGGGGAATTCCAGCCTCAAACTTCCTGTCTCAGCTGCTACTCGGTTCCTGCCCGGCCACCCCCCCTCCCCAGGGGCAGGCGGGCTAGCCCCCCCATCATATGCAAATCATGGGGAAATTCACCTCTGTTTCCTTCTAAGGGAATTTTTTTCCACTCGCCAGGCCCAGCCCAGGCATATCTTTTCACCTGGGGAGGCTGGCCCAGCCCTGCCTTCTGTCCTGGGGCAGGAGCAGCCTAGCTGGAGTCTTCTACACACACATCCTATCAGTGTCTGCTTAGCCCGGCTGGGGGACCCTGACCTTACAGGCAAAGAGAACTGGAATGGGGGCAGGGATGTCTGGTTTTCCTGTGCCAGCAGCGCTTCCTCCAGTGCAGTGAAAGAGACTAAAGCTAGCTGTAGGGGGGCACTCCAGGCCTCATGTGCTCTACCAGGAGGAGGGCTCTGATAGCGCCCACTGATCAGTTTTTCCATCTGCTGAGGGAATATTCAGGTGCTAGGGCTGCTGAGAACCGACTTGTCCCAGCCAAGATTTTCAGTGCCCACAGGCAGTGCACTGCCCTGAGAGCCCTGGCATCCCATTAGTTCCCAGTGCTCCAAGATACTAGCCTAGGATCATGTGCCCGGAGGGAGGCAGGTGGGCGGATACATGCGCACACTGCATACCTGAGACAAGGAGCCAGGCCTGGGATGACCCAGCTGCCATGGTTTTGAGAGGCAGGCCAGAAGGCCCAAGGAAGGGGGGTGATGTGATGGGGGAAGCACTGGGCATTGTGAAGACACAGACCAGGGACCTGACCTATTGTGGCAGGTCAGGGAAGGCTTCTCAGAGGCAGTGACATCTCACAAGGGTTCTGAAGGAAGAGCAGGAGTTTGCCAGCAGCATTGTTTCTCCCGTTCGCCACCTGTCTCTCATAACACACTTTGTTCAAACTCAATTTTGGGAGCTTTGTTCTCCCAAATAAATTCTGGATCTTCTGTTAGAGACAGGAAGGCAACCGAGTGGCCCAGACCTGGGTTCGAGTTCTGACTGTCTCTTACCACTAGCCAGGTGACCTTCCTTTCCTTCACGGTAGCAAGCCCTATAAGAATGAAGCCATATATCTGGCCACCAGCGGGAGCTCAGTGCCTGCGAATCCCTGCTCATTCCCTGCGATCAGGGTCTGTGCCTGCCTTCGTACCTGCCTGAGCATTGACGTACAGGGTAGTGATAAGCATAGGCCCTGGGCTTGCGTCTCTCTTCCACCGTTAACTGCTGTGTGACCCTGGTGACTAAGCTGCCTTCTCTGGACCACAGTTTTCATCTGAAAAACAGGGAAGGAGTTGATGATGGTATAGTGCCCTCCTCACAAGCTTGCTGATGATTCAGTGTTAGACACTTATAACAGGGCCTGGTTCACAGCTCTCAGCAAATGGGAACTTTTATTATAAGCAGGCTGGCAGATGTGGCAGAGGGACCGGGAAGGATGAGTGCTGCCCTGGGCTGGACTTTGTCTCCCCTACAATTTAGAGACCTTCAGACCCTGGTGCCCCAGTCTTGCCCCCAAATAGCCTCCATGGCCCCCAGCTGCCCCACCTCCCTCCCTAGCTTCTCTTAGGGCTCCAGCTATCACCCCTTACCTCCCCCACTCCCATTAAAGACACCCACAGGATGTGGTTGGCCCTGGACTTGCCTCTTTTGCGTAACATTTATTCTGTTTTATTTGCCAAATACGAGAGTCTAAGCTGTTCACTGAGGGGGCAGTGAGACGTGGGGCTGCTGGTCCTAGGAGCTCTTCCATGACACCTAGTGTTACCTGGGAGCCCCAAGCCCCAGTCCCCCATCCCTCAGGAAATCCAGTTGGAACCCCTACTTTGCAGGGCCATCTTTGGCCTGAAGCCACCAGGAAAGCTGTCCCACTGACTGACCCCTCTTAAGGAAGCTGCAGACTGCTGGGCCCATTTTCAGATAGAGGAACGGAGAGCTGCGGCAGCCCAGGAGCCCTGCCAGGCTTCCTTCTGGGTGCAGCCACCTGTGGGTGGGGCGCGGCCTCGTCTGAGACCAAGGCAGGGCCCATGCCTTACTCAGCTGTCCTTGCTAAGAGTCCCCTAGCATCTTCCTGATGGTCTTTCTGCCTTGGGGTGAAGAGGCATTTGGGGGAATTGCCATCTTGGGAGGAAAAGCAGTATCCTTTCACTTTCAGACTGAAAGGCTCCTGGGGAACTTGCTTCACTCCGGCGCTTTCTGTCCCATGCTGAAGGCTGGAGTCGCCAGCCCCTTCCCCTTTGCCTTTCTCAGGCCCCAGTCCCTGAGGTGTGTGTGAGGACTGAACTTTAATCCGGAACAATCTGGTTTCTCCTCGGTCAGCCCAGCCGGTGCTTCCCCCGCCCCCACCCACGCTGCAAGAGGCGAGGGAGGGGTGGTGACTCAGTGTGCATGTGTACATCTGTCCCTGTGGTCCCGGCAGCTCGCCGGGTGGGGCAGGAACCAGAAGTCTCGCGGCACCTTTCCCCCACCCCCAGGTGTGTTGCAAGTGGCCTGGCCCTCCCCCACCGTGGGGAGCAGTGCTGCCAGCTTCCTGGGCGCTTCCTCACTTTCAGGAGATGGAGCCTCAGGGAAAGTCCCAGCGGGGCCTGGCCATCCTGGAGCTGTGGGAACTGGCACTGGGAATGGAGGCCTTGGCCTTGGGCCCCACCTGCAGAGGGCCAGGGCCTGAGCCCTGGGGAAAGGGGAAGGGGCTGGTGACTCCAAAGGGGAAGGGACTGCTCACTACCACCACCAAAGCCAGGGCAGGGGTGGGGTGTGACCACCTCCCTCCTCCTGCTCAGGCCTAGGGGGTGGCAGGCTGGCCATCAGTGTGGGCTAACCCTGTCCTCTCCCTCCCAGCCATGGGAACAAGGAGGTCTTCTCCTGCCGGGGCATCCTGCTGGCAGTGAACTGGTTTCTGGAGCGGGGCCACACAGACATCACAGTGTTTGTGCCATCCTGGAGGAAGGAGCAGCCTCGGCCCGACGTGCCCATCACAGGTGAGTGGTGCCTCTGGAGGTGGGATGGTCTTACTGCCCCAGCAGCCCTGGTTCTCCCCAAGAGAGACCCTCTGGGAGTGACCTACAACTTCTAGAACTCAAGCAGGGACCAGCATTTCTTTTCTCAGTTTTTTCTGTCCTTAGCAACCTGCTCTGAATGGTGGTCATTGGAGGTCACCTTGTCCAGTCTTCTGCCTCAGATCTGGAGCCCCTCCCTCATCCTACTGGTGGGCAGGTCGCTCTTTCAACATCCCCAGTGGCAGAAGCGCAGTATCACATAGTGGTTAAGCCTGTGGGCTCTGAGTCGAGACAGCCAGAGTTGGAATCCTGGCTCTGTCCCCTCTTGGCGCCCTGGCCTGGACAGGGACCCCTCTTAGCCCTGCTCTGAGCCACATGCTCCTCATCTGAAACATGGGGTCGGTGTCAGCAGGGGGTGTTGACAGCATTGCCTTCCTCGTGAGGTCATATAAGTTAACACACGGTAAGTGCTGAGAAGAGTACCTGGCACATGGTAGATGCTCAGTGTATGTTAGCTGTTACCACTGTTCTTGCAAGAGCCCCCAGCCTTTGGAGGTAAAAACTGAATCAGTTTCTCTAGAAGTCTTGAGATCTGGGGGCAGCCTGTCTGGGACTGTAGGCTCCAGGAAGAGGGGCCCTTTCCACTTGCACACTTCTGTGTCCCTGTGGTCCCAGCAGCTCCCCAGGTGGGGCATGGTGAGTGGCCTGACCTTTTCCCACCATGGGATTTAGCGACCTTGTCCTGGCAATGCAAGGGACAGAGCCAAGATACTTCTCCCACCCCAGAGCAAGCTGCGGCTCATTCACGGACCCCTCAGAACAGGCTGGATGAAAGCCAAAGCCAAGACCACATCTGGCTTGAACAGGCCTGATGTCCAGAAGGAGAAAAGGAACAAGGCCAGCTCTGTGCTTGGAGCCTCTGCCATGCAGGCCCTGCCGCCTGTGTTCAGATGTTCTTGGTCTTCAGGCAGCAAACTGTGCCACGCCAAGGGAGGGGCTGGGGCATGGAAGAGGCCTCAGCAGAGTTAGTTCTTGCCCCGGTGACCTTGGCGTTAACCACTCCTGTGTGTGGCCATCAGCAGGTTAGGGAGCCCTGTAGGCCTGGCTCTAGGTCCCGCTGGGCCCTGACCTGTGTGCACCCGTCACCTCCCAGACCAGCACATCCTGCGGGAACTGGAGAAGAAGAAGATCCTGGTGTTCACACCATCACGACGCGTGGGTGGCAAGCGGGTGGTGTGCTATGACGACAGATTCATTGTGAAGCTGGCCTACGAGTCTGACGGGATCGTGGTTTCCAACGACACATACCGTGACCTCCAAGGCGAGCGGCAGGAGTGGAAGCGCTTCATCGAGGAGCGGCTGCTCATGTACTCCTTCGTCAATGACAAGTATGTTCCCTCCCAGAGGCCCTGACAGACTTGGGGTCCACAGGGGAAGCCAGAGGTGCCCTTGGCAAGGGTGGAGCTGGGGGCTGGGCTCTGCGGGGCCCTGTGGCCATGGGAGGTTGCGGGTCTTGGCTCCAGGCAGCTTTGAGAGTGAGACGGATAGCTCACCACATAGGAGAAATCAGACCGGGACCAGGCAGGCTGTGGGGTGGAGAGAGTGGCTAATTTGGGAGATAGAGCCGTAGCACTTATGAGGGGATGTATGTGGTTGATGGTTCCAGGTGGCCTCTCTACGAACCAACATGGCATCTCTCGAGCAGAGGCCATGGGCCAGTGGGTGCGGGCTGCCATCCCCCGACGACCTCAGAGAGGGAGTTCCCCTAAAGGTGCCCATGGGCTGTGGCCCTCTAGACCGGGGATCCCTTTCTCCTCCCTTGGTATGATCCCACCCATAGAGCAGTTTTGCGGGGTCCTGGACAGGCCCCAGTTTTAGGTGTCACTCTCCTATTCTTCCCAGCAAGGCTTGCCATCGGCCCCTTCTCAGCAATTAGAAGTCCCTGCATGGCTCCCACCTCCAGAGAGTTCTTTGCACCCTCTGCAGGTTTATGCCCCCTGATGACCCACTGGGCCGGCACGGGCCCAGCCTGGACAACTTCCTGCGTAAGAAGCCACTCACTTTGGAGCACAGGAAGCAGCCGTGTCCCTATGGTATGGAACCCAGCCTGCCCTCCCCGGCCCTCCTCACTCCTGCCCTTCCTCTCACCTGTCTGCCTGTGCCCTGTTTTCCTCTTGGGGACCTCCACCATTGGACCACCCAACCCCGTTTCCTGTGCCACCCCTTCCCTGCTCTCATCCCTGGTTCTGAAGTGCCCCTGCTTAGAGTCCCTCTTGATTCCTCTTCCAGGAAGGAAATGCACCTATGGGATCAAGTGCCGATTCTTCCACCCAGAGCGGCCAAGCTGCCCCCAGCGCTCTGTGGCAGATGAGCTCCGTGCCAATGCTCTCCTCTCACCCCCCAGAGCCCCAAGCAAGGACAAAAATGGCCGGCGGCCTTCACCTTCATCCCAGTCCAGCTCTCTGCTAACAGAGAGTGAGCAGTGCAGCCTGGATGGGAAGAAGCTGGGGGCCCAGGCATCCCCAGGGTCCCGCCAAGAGGGTCTAACACAGACCTATGCCCCATCAGGCAGGAGCCTCGCACCTAGCGGGGGCAGTGGCAGCAGCTTTGGGCCCACAGACTGGCTCCCACAGACGCTGGACTCACTCCCGTACGTCTCCCAGGATTGCCTGGACTCGGGCATTGGCTCCCTGGAGAGCCAGATGTCGGAACTTTGGGGGGTTCGAGGAGGAGGCCCTGGTGAGCCGGGCCCACCCCGAGCCCCTTACACGGGCTACAGTCCCTATGGATCTGAGCTCCCAGCCACCGCAGCCTTCTCTGCCTTTGGCCGGGCCATGGGTGCTGGCCACTTCAGTGTCCCTGCCGACTACCCACCCGCGCCCCCTGCCTTTCCACCTCGAGAGTACTGGTCTGAACCATACCCACTGCCCCCACCCACATCAGTCCTTCAGGAGCCCCCAGTGCAGAGCCCAGGGGCTGGCAGGAGCCCGTGGGGCAGGGCAGGCAGCCTGGCCAAGGAGCAGGCCAGCGTGTATACTAAGCTGTGTGGTGTGTTTCCCCCGCACCTGGTGGAGGCTGTGATGGGGCGCTTCCCACAGCTCCTGGACCCCCAGCAGCTGGCTGCCGAGATCCTCTCCTACAAGTCCCAGCACCCCAGTGAGTAAGCTGCCTGTGGCTGGCAAGGGCAGCACCCCCAGCCTCCAAGGGCCGTCAGGCTGGGCTTTGGGCCATTGAGCAGCCCATTCCCAGCCCTGAGGCCCACCCCAGAGGCTGGACAGAGGGAGGATTCAAGTCGGGAAGGAAACCCACAAACCAAAGATACTGTAGGATTGGTTCTGGCCCATGCAGCACCTCTAGCTGTCTGCCTCAGTGGGTCAGAAGCGATCACCCTGTTGATACACATTGTATCTCTGTAGTTTAAGGAGACGCTGCCGGTAACGGCGTCGGTCCGTGGCTGAGGCCCAAACCGTCTTTTCTCTCAGAGGGTGGGGAGGGAGGTGGGGGCAGCAGAGGCCTGGGCTGGGTGCCCTGTGCACGCCACCCCACTTCCGCCCTACCCCTGGGACGTTGGCCTTGGCTGGCTAGTTGGGCACCGTGTGCCTGCCCTCCAAGGGCCTCCTCTACGCCAATGAGGCCTCATCTGTGCTCTCGCTGGGCACGTGGCTTCATGTCAGTAAGCAAGATGCTTCTTAATAACCCACCTTCTGCCCCACTCTATTCCTTATCCTGCTGCCCCTGTAGGGGTCAAGGGCCCTCCGTCTACACCCTCTTCTTCTCCTCCATCCTTTATTCAGAGTCATCTCGCCCTTCCCCATGGGTGGGGGAACCTGTGTTTGTTTGTGTGCACATGTAAATTTTAAATATTTTAAGCAGAAAGTCCTTACCTCCTGTAACACATCAATAAAGTACAATCATTGTGAGCCCTTTCAAGAGGTGATTGTCTTTGTTATGCTCAGGGCTTTGGGCTGGCCTCTGGGTGAGGAAAGGCCAGCAGGTATGCACCCCGACCTCCTTCACCCCAGGAGGAAGCCCCTCCACACCAGCTCCCTGACCCTTCTCTGGAAGGAAGATTTCTAACAAACATTCACCAGGAATGCATAGCTCCTTGGGGATGGGGCATCTTTCCCGAGGCCTTGGTCTGGGCCTTGTTAGGAGGTGCCCATGGACGCACGAGCGGGCAGGGGGCTGGAGGGGGCAGTTAGGCAGCAAAAGTGTAAAAGGATTTGGAGTCCAGTTTTATCTGCAAAAAGAAATCTTACTTACAATATACTTGGGCTTCTGTTTGTTTTTGTGGGACAGGAAGCTAAAATACCAGACTGTCCAGTTCATTATCAGCCACTTGGCAATGCTGAATGACTTGCCCAAGGTCCCGCAGAGGAAGGACAGACTGGGGCAGGGCCTTGAGTCCTGGTTCTGGTCCCCAAACCAGGGGGGCAGGAGGGGTGGGCCTGGACACTAGTTTGCAGCAACTCAGGGCCCTGCAGGGATGGGGGAGGTGAAGGTACCCTCAGCCCCACACCTCACAACTCTCCTAGGTTTCAACATCCACATAGGAATCCTTCCAGGCCAGGCATGCTGGCTCACGCCTGTAATCCCAACACTTGGAAGGCCAAGGTGGGCAGATTGCTTGAGCTCAGGAGTTCGAGACCAGCCTGGCCAACATAGGGAAAGCCTATCTCTACAAAAAATACAAAATTGGCTGGGTGTGGTGGCATACACCTGTACCTGTAGTCCCAGCTACTTGGGCTACGGTAGGAGGATCACCTGAACCTCAGGAGGTGGAGACTGCAGTGAGCCATGATTGCACCATTGTGCTCCAGCCTGGGTGACAAAGTGAGACCCTGTCTCAAAAAAAAAAAAAAGGAATCCCTCCAGCATGGCAGCTGAAAGGACCACCCTACCCACCTGGTCAGCAGCAGATGCCCAGCAACCCCACCTGCCAAGCCCCCGCTGTCTCTGCACACCACAGTGGAGCCTTGAGGCTGCCTGGAAAAAATAGGGAATGTTCTCACCCCTCTTCCCATCCCAGCTGCCAGCTGGCCACAGCCTTGGGAGTTCATACTTGCTTACTTGCTTCTTGACCAGAGCTGAACTCTAAGCCATTTGCTGCTTCTGCTGTGTGTGGGGAGGGATGGGCAGTGGGCAGCAGGTCCTGACTGGCTGTGCCGTGTCTGGAGGCCAAGTCTGGCCCTGCTGGTTCACTGATAAGCCCCGGCAAGGGTGGCAGAGCTCATGTGGCAGGTGCCTGAGGGGCTGGGATCTAGGGAGGACTGGTCAGTTCCATGCCCCGCTGGCCTGAGCTTGCATCCTGTGCTTTCCAGGCAGGCTTAGATGCCCCTTCAGGCCTCTTTCTCAGTCTGCCAGGCAGAGTGACTCCGAGGCTACCAGGCCCAGTGCCCCAGCTGTGTTTCTTTCCCACGAATTGGGCTTTAACTCCAAAGTTCTCCCCATCACCTCCTGCTCCACTGCCCATTCAAGCAGCTTAGGTAGGTGGTATTTGCTCACAGGGCCTCAGTCTCCCCACCTGTAAAAGGGACACAATGGTCCTTGCCTCTTTCTAGATTTGAGAGAATAACTCAGTTCCTGTGAAAGGAGGAGAGGGAGGGGTCCTGGATTCAAGCCCCCATCACTAGCGATGCAGCCCTGGGCAACCCACTTCCCTCTCAGAGCCTCAGCTTCCTGCCTCTTCAGAGGCAGCTTCCCTCTGAGAGGGGGACAGGGATGGAATGTGACTCCTGCATGCTGGAAAAGATCAAATTCTGGGGAGCTGCCCCAGTTGCTCTTTCCTCCTCTTGTTTTCCTGGTTCCAGGAGCCAGAAGCTGATGAGGAAACCAGTAAGTATGCAAATTCTGGCACTATTGGGAAATGATCCTGGGGAGCTCACAGAGGACAGCCTCCCACCTGCCCTCCCCCACCCCCCCACAGGCCCCCCAACCTTGCCCTTGGGCTCTCACCAGCAGGGGCCGAACCCTGAGTTTTATTGCGAGTTCTGTCTCGCACACATGGGTTAACCCCTCTTGGAGTGAAGCCAGGGTGACTATGGCCAATCTGTCCTCAGAAAACCTCCAGCCTCCCTAGCAGAGAGCAAACGAGCCCACAATGGGATGAAAGATCCCTGCTCTGGATGTCTCAGCCCAGTCCCCATCCCACTTCTCTAGAGTGGGGGAAACTCAGGAGTCCCCAAAGACCTGGGACCTAAGCTAGGAGCAGAACTTTAGAGGTCCGGGGGAGCAGCTCTCCAATCCCCCCATCCCCGCCAGTGCTGCTCACACCCCCCTCGTTGTAGTCTCCTGCAGGGGGGGACAGGTGGTGTCTGGGAAGGGGCCAGTACTCCTCACCGCAGCTGCCACTTCCCTCATCTTCCCCCAGCAAAGCTCTCAGCCCTCCCTTCCCCATGCCTCCTGGAAAAGCCAGCATTTGTCTTCTGTACACAGAAGGGAAAGACCCTAGCCCTGAGGGAGGTGCTGGGCAGGCCTCTACCAAGACAAGAGTGAGTGAGCAGCAGAGAAAGTGGGACTTGGGGGGCACATATCTCTAGGAGCTGCAGGGAAGGAAGTGGTGCAATCAGCCTCAGCCCTGGGCCCAGCTGGTCCCTAGAGGACGCTTCCCCAAAAGAAGGCAGCCCAAGGACCCTAGCACTTTTGTCCCAGGGCTTCTCAAACTTCTGGCTTTTTTTTTTTCTTGGACCATAGCAGAGTGGGTGGAGTAGAGGGTGGCAAGGGCCTGTTCTGGGGACCTCCCAGTTCATGGGAAGGGTGTGGGAGATTTGCCTGAAAGAGGCAGGAAGTAGGGCCCTACAACTAAGGAAACCCAAGCCATCCCAGGCCATGGCATGTAAATCCTTCCAGCTAGTTCCTGAAGGGGAAGAGGCCCTAGGCTGTCATCCTGAGGTGTGGCCTTGTTAAGCTCCTCTCAAGGCAGCTGCTCGTGATCTTCAACTGCTCATCCATTTAAGAGATGTCAGCAAAACGAGGTGGGAGGAAAGGATCAGGCGCCCCACCCCACACTAAGTTGGGCACATTGCTGGGAGGTCAAGTCACTGGGAATGGTGCAAAGGCTCTAATTCTGGCTGCTCGTGGGCTGCTTGTGGGGCCGTGCCTGCCACCTGCCGGTGCTTCCTGGTACTGCTACCCATGGAGCAGGGGCCTGCCCACCAGCTCTGGCCTGGAAATGAAGGGCCTAGACACAAAGATCTTCCAGCAGGATCTGAAAACAATAATTTAAGGAGAATAACATGGGAAGTAAAGTGCTAAGCCAAAAACAGGGAATTCTTAATGGCATTTGCAGCTCCGCCCTGGAAAGAAACACCAGAGGTCACTGTCATGCCTTCTACAAAGTCTAAAGCTCTAGAAACTTTCAACTGTTCCAGGTAACAAATATCCCAAGAAAAACTCTCAGGAACTGAAGGAATAAAAAGGAAAGGAGAAAAAAATATAAACATTCTTTTTTTTTCGAGACAGGGCCTTACTCCGTCTTCCGGGCTGGAGTGCAGTGGCACAATCACAGCTCACTGCAGCCTCAACTTCCCGGGCTCAGGTGATTCCCCCACCTCAGCCTCCCGAGTAGCTGGCACTACAGGCATGTGCCACTATGCCTGGGTAATTTTTTGGTATTTTTGTAGAGATGGGGTTTCACCAAGTTACTCAGGCTGGTCTTGAACTCCTGGGTTCAAAGCAAATCCAACCACCACAGCCTCCCAAGGTGCTGGGATTTTATAGTCATGAGCCAACACACCCAGCTATTTTTTTATGTTTGTTGTTTTTTTCAAGGAATCTTTTTTTAGAGACAAAGTCACTCTGTCACCCAGACTGGAGTGCAGTGGCATGACCACAGCTAACTGCTGCCTCGACTTCCAGGGCTTAAGTGATCCTCCCACACCACAACACCTGGCTAATTTATTTTTTGTAGAAACAGGGTCTTACTTTGTTGCCCAGGCTAGTCTTGAACTCCTGGGCTCAAGCGATCCTCCCATCATGGCCTCCCACCATCCTCCTGCCTTGGCCTCCCAAAGTGCTGGGATTACAGGCATGAGCCAGCATGCCTGGCCTCACTGCTGAGAATTTACCCTACAAGTACTCTTACTTGCAAAATTATGCATCTAGGGCTATTTAATCTGACAGTGTCTGAAACAGCAAAAGATGGGAAACAATATTAATGCAATCAACAGAGGACTGATTAAGTAAACTTTGGTATACACACGCAACAGAATATAAAGTAGCCAATAAAAATAACGAGGCAGTTGTACACATGGAATGTTTTCTGTGCTAGACTGCTAGATGAAAAAAGCAAGGAGAGAACAGTATACACAGTATGCTACCATTTCTGTGAACAGACACATGCATGTGTGCCTACTGCTCATACACGTACAAAGGTCCTCAGGAAGGACATAATGGAACTCTGGGGTTGCCTCTGGGAAAGGAAACTGATAGCTGAGGGACAGGAGCACTTCCTTTACCCTGAATATACTTCAGTGCCATTTGAGCACATGCTATTTGCATGTTGCTACAGTCTGAATGTTTATGTATCCCCAAAATTCATAGGTTGAAATACTAACCCCCAAAGTGATGGAATTAAGAGAAGTGGCCTTGGGGTGCTTAAATTATGAGGACAGAATGCTCATAAATGGGATTAGTGTCCTTATAAAAGAGGCCTGAGGAGTCAGGTGTGGTGGCTCACGCCTGTAATCCCAGCACTTTGGGAGGCTGAGGCAGAAGGATGGCTTGAGCCCAGGAGTTTGAGACCAGACTGGGCAACAAAGTGAGACCCTGTCTCTAAAAAAATAAAAATAAATAAAAGAGCCCTGAGGCCTGGCATGATGGCTCACATCCAGAATCCCAGCACTTTGGGAGGCCAAGGCAAGGAGGGTCACTTCAGCCGAGTTCAAAACCAGACTTGGCAACATACCAAGACCCTGCCTACAAAACATTAAAAAAAAAACTAGCCAGGTGTGAGGGCACATACCTGTAGTCCCAGCTAATTGGGAGGCTGAGGTGAGAGGGTCACTTGAGCCTGGGAAGTTGAGGCTGCAGTGACCTGTGATTGCACCACTGCACCCTAGCCTGGGCAACAAAGTGAGATCACGTCTCAAAAAATTTTTTAAAAAGAGGCCTAAGGGAGCTTGTTCTTCCACCATGTGAGGACACAGCTAGAAGGCACCATCTGTGAACCAGAAAGCACACCTTCACCAGATACTGGATGTTGCTGGTGGCTTGATCTTGGACTTCCTAATCTCCAGAACTATAAGAAATGTTTGTTGTTTATAAGCCATTTAGTTAATATTTTTGTTATAGCAGCTCAAACAGACTAAGACACATGTATTCAAATTAATTAAATATTTTAAAGTCCTCCCATCCCCACACCCAGGATACAGAAATAAGTTATCAGGGTGGGGGTTGGGAGCTGAGGAGGGGGCTAGGGGTCTCCAAAGTTTATTTTCTGTACACAAACAGTAAAAACTTGAAGCATATACACCTCCAACATGTATATGCTGTTAAACTATGATAACTGCCACTTTTACAGATCAAAAACAATTATCAGCAGTTTATTGTGGTTCAACCTTTTATTTATAAATTAATGACCTACATGTACTAATGAACTAATATTGATGTATATTTGATGTATATATATAAAATACATCCAAAGTGAGAAACTAAATAAGGCTGAGCCTCAAAATGAATATAAATCAAAGGCCTAATCTTTTCTTCCCACCCCCACCCAGCCATCCTGTGTGCCCTCTTCCCCTTGGAGGCCACTGCCCTAAGTGAGGATCAGCATCGACTCCACCACAGCCCACTTTAGTGGTGACAACTTTTAATCCACGGAAGCAGTTTTTCAAAGTGAAAACTGTTTCAAATCACGAAGCTTACCACTTAGACAATTCAGACAAGGTAATGCTCATTTAGACTGACACAGGTATGAAAATTCCAATCCCTTCTTTTCACTATCATTGTATCTGACACACACATCACCTTCCTAGGCACTATGACACTATCCTGGGAGAAGCAAATGTGTACAAAGAAGCACAATCCTGCTCTCTCCCCACACTTCACATAAACCAGTATAGTCCCCCTGTAGTCAAGGCTTCAGATGTCAATTTTCTGTTGGAGACAGCGTCTTGCTACGTTACTCAGGCTGAAGTGCAGTGGCCATTCACAGAAATGATCATAGCATACTGTAGCCTTGAACTTCTGGCTTCAAGCGATCCTGCTGCCTCTAAGCCTCCCAAGCAGCTGGGACTAAAGGTGCATATCACCATGCCCAGCTTGATGTGAATTTTTAAGCAATAATGCCTCATTAGGCCGGGTGCAGTGGCTCACGCCTGTAATCCTAGCACTTTGGGAGGCTGAGGCAGGTGGATTACGAAGTCAGGAGTTTGAGTCCAGCCTGGCCAATATGGTGAAACCCGGTCTCTATTGAAAATAAAAAAAAACTAGCTGGGTGTGGTAGCACGCGCCTGTAGTCTCAGCTACTCGAGAGGCTGAGGCGGAATAATTGCTTGAACCCTGGAGGCGGAGGTAGCAGTGAGCCAAGATTGTGCCACTGCACTCCAGCCTGGACGACAGAGCAAGACTCTGTCTCAAAAAAATAAATAAATAAAATAATGCCTCATTAATTTGGAGTAAGGTTGGGGGGCATAGAAGACAGAATAAATGCAAAAACTAAGTCACAGAGTGTTTCAAGCTTAGGCTCTTTAACTTTCAAGCTTAGACTATTTATCGCTCATTTTAATTATCTTCTTTACTGCACAGGTCAAGATGTCAAGAATACTCTATATTGCCAGGTGCCAGGGCTCATGCCTGTAATCCCAGCACTTTGGGAGGCTGAGGTGGGTGGATTACCTGAGGTCAGGAGTTCGAGACCAGCCTGCCCATCATGGCAAAACCCCATCTCCACTAAAAATACAAAACTTAGATGGGCATGGTGGTGCATGCCTGTAGTCCCAGCTACTGGGGAGGCTGAGGCAGGAGAATTGCTTGATACCTATAATCCCAGCACTTTGGGAGGCCAAGGCAGAAGGACTGCTTGAGGCCAGGAGGACTGCTTGAGGCCAGCCTGGGCAACATAGCAAGAAGCCATCATTACAAAATAAAAATGTTTTAAATTAGCTGGGAATGGTGGCATGCACCTATAGTCCCAGGTACTAGTAAGGCTGAAGCAGGAAGATGGCTTGACCCCAGAAGTTCGAGGCTGCACTGAGCTTTGATCAGGCCGCTGCACTCCAGCCTGGGTGACAGAGCAAGATCCTGTCAATAAATAAATAAATAAATAAATAAATAAATAAAATATATAAATACTTAAATAATCTTTTTAAGAGCAGTACTATTCTGTCTCCAGCAATGTCAAACTATGAGAGTCAAAAATATTTTAAGGTCTGCTGTGTGCTTTCCTCAGAGGGAAGGAAACTAGGCATCCCACTGCAGTTTCATAAATACGTAAATAATCTTTTTAAGAGCAGTACTATTCTTTCTTTTTTTTTTTTTTTTTGACAGAGTCTCGCTCTGTCGCCCAGGCTGCTGGAGTGCAGTGGCGCAACAGAGCAGTACTATTCCATCTCTAGCAATCTCAAACTGTTAAGAGTCAAAAATATTTTTTTTTTTTGAGATGGAGTCTCGCTCTGTCGCCCAGGCTGGAGTGCAGTGGCACTATCTCAGCTCACTGTAAGCTCCGCCTCCCAGGTTCATGCCATTCTCCTGCCTCAGCCTCCCGAGTAGCTGGGACTACCGGCACCCGCCACCACGCTCAGCTAATTTTTTGCATTTTTAGTAGAGATGGGGTTTCACTGTGTTCGCCAGGATGGTCTCGATCTCCTGACCTCGTGATCCGCCCGCTTCGGCCTCCCAAAGTGCTGGGATTACAGGTGTGAGCCACCGCACCCAGCCCAAGAGTCAAAAATATTTTAAGGTCTGCTGTGTGCTTTCCCCAAAAGGAAGGAAACTGTAGGCATCCCACTCCTCCCTCCCAGCAAAGGAGACCAACAGACAAAAAATACAGAATGCTTCTAGGATTTTTTTTTTTAAGGAATAATCTAAATATAAGAAACTATTTCCTTAAAAATCCTGACACTGGAGTTCTGCTACCAAAGACACAGTCAAAGATCTAAATAGCCAGAGTCAAAAAAAAAAAAAAAAAAAAACCCACAAAAGTTTATTTGAGAACAAGAGTGAAAGCTTTTGCACATCTGACAAGGTAGACTTGTTTTACAGTAGATGCCATCCATATTCAGCCCTACCAATACTATCACAAATGAAACATACTATTTCTTACAAAGATATAGGCATAAGTCAAGGACTATGACTAACTAGAGTGAAAGGAAAGGTTAGACCCCAAATCTTATCCCTTAGACCAATCATAACATAGGATGTAAATTAAACCATTCAGTCTTCTAATGTAGTGGTTCTCAACCTGGCTTCTTATCAGAATCCCAGGAACTCTTTTAAAGAAATTCCCAATAACTAGGCTGTACCCCAGTCTCTAGGGATGGGATCCAGGCATGAGTATTTTAAAGCTTCTCAGGTGATTCCAATGTGCAGCCAGACCCTGTCGCAAGTTCACCACAGCACTAGAGGCAGGTAACGATTACTAGCAGATTCCTCAGCCCCAACAAGCCCTCCAAGAAAGGGAGACCTGGTGGGCAACACTGGCTCTCACTGATGCTATCCTTTCACTCCACTTAAGAACGACATAAGTTATCACTTTTGGTATAATTTTGAGACTTTCCATATGCCATGGTGATTTTTAGAGCAATATTTAATCAGGTGAATACCAGCAAAGAGAGAAAATACAGAAAAAGAAATTTCCATAAGGCATGATATGAATAAATAAGTGAAAAAACAATCTCGGGTTTAAAAGTAAAGCATGAGAATTTGAAGCCTGTGAAATTTTATTTATACAAAAGAATAAAAAGTTATTTAAAAAGAACTGATTTAAACTTATGTTTTTCCATTTTTCCTGTTCCTTGAACATGAATCTACTACCAACTCAGAAAGATTTAAGATAGGTAATTACTAAACACTCTTTACCTCCCCTTGCAAAAAACAGAGGCAAGTTTCCCATTTTACTTATGATAAACCAGATTATTTTCAGTTATGAATATTGGCAACTGCATGAAAGAGATGATCAGATATGTCAGCAGGAAAGTATGAGCTGTACAAAGGCATTACAAAAAAACCCCAAAGAAAATAAGATAAAAACAACAAGAGAAAAACAAGAAAACATAAAACAATATAAGAAAATGCCAGATATTTACAGCCTCCATCTGAAATGTGACTTGTGTTCTACTTTCAGCATAAAACAAAACCAGAGAACATTTCTTGAAGGGTATCACAGATGAAGCTGGTGCCAGCCAGTTTTGGGGGAGACATTCATTCTAAGAAGGGAGAAACGCACAGTTAGCAACTTGCTGGGATTACAACATTGTCTTCATCTTCCTGCAGTTCTGTTACTAAAAATGACATAAAGTAAGACCCAATGTCTTACAGAAATGACTTGTTTGTCACCACATTTAGAACAAACTACTCAAAGTCACAGGCACTGGGTCTGGGAGAGCAGAGGTGGATGGCCACGAACTCAGGTGAAGGATGTTTATCTTTGTGAGGTCAGAGAAGGGAAGCAGGGCTCTACAGCCTGGAAGCTTCTGCACTAATGTGTCTTCTAATAGTCCTAAAGAAAGAAAAACAAAAGTCCCAACTTACTCTCGGCAGAACAGTTGTTTGACCCTAAAGGAAAAAAAAAATCTCATAAACAACTCTACTAGGGGACTGCTCTATAGCTAAAGATTATATTTCAGGCCAGGCACAGTGGCTCACACCTGTAATCCCAGCACTTTGGGAAGCCGAGGCAGGGAGATCACGAGGTCAGGAGTTCGAGACCAGCCTGGCCAGCATAGTGAAACCCCGTCTCTACTAAAAATACAAAACATTGGCCAGACATGGTGGTGGGCACCTGTAATTCCAGCTACTCAGGAGGCTGAGGTGGGAGAATCGCTTGAACCTGGAAGGCGGAGGTTGCAGTGAGCCAAGATCGCGCCATTGCACTCCAGCCTGGGTGACAAGAGTGAAACTCTGTTTCAAAAAAAAAAAAAAAAAAAAAGATTGTATTTCAGGCCAGGCGTGGTGGCTCAGGCCTATAATCCCAGCACTTAGGGAGGCCCAGGCGGGCAGATCACTTGAGGTCAGGAGCTCGAGACCAGCCTGGGTAACAAATTAAGACCATGTCTCTACAAAAAACACAAAAATTAGCCAGGTGTGGTGGCTCATGCCTGTGGTCTCAGCTACCCAGGAGTCTGAGGTGGGAGGACGGCTTGAGCCTGGGAGGCAGAGGTTGCAGTGAGCCAAGATCACACCATTGCACTCTAGCCTGGGTGACAGAGCCAGACCCTGTCACACACACAAAAAAAAAATTTAAAAAAAGATTCTATTCCAAATATAATGTACAATATTTCACATCTGAAAATGGTCTGCCTTCTGAGTCCATAAAGGGATTGAAACATCAATTTTGCTCTTATTAGAGCACCTGAATTCACCAGTCCAAAAAAAAAAAGAGCTAGTATTAACAATTTATTATTTAATTAAAGGGAATTTTTCATCATTAAAAATGTATGTGACCGGCCGGGTGCGGTGGCTCACGCCTGTAATCCCAGCACTTTGGGAGGCTGAGGCGGGTGGATCACGAGGTCAGGAGTTTGAGACCAGCATGACCAACATGGTGAAACCCTGTCTCTACTAAAATACAAAAACTAGCTGGGCATGGTGGCACGCACTGTAATCCCAGCTACTCAGGAGGCTGAAGCAGGAGAATCACTTGAACCTGGGAGGCGGAGGTTGCAGTGAGCCAAGATTGCACCACTGCACTCCAGCCTGGGCAACAGAGCAAGACTCCGTCTCAAAAAATAAATAAATAAATAAATAAATAAATAAATAAATAAATAAATAAAGTATGTGACCTCTTTCTCTCCTTAAAATACAAAAACCATAGGCCAGGCACGTTGGCTCACACCTGTAATCCCAACACTTTGGGAGGCTGGGGTAGGAGGATTGCTTAAGTCCAGGAGTTCCAGACTGGACATCATGGTGAAACCCCATATCTACAAAAAATACAAAAATTAGCCAGGCAAGGTGGCATGTACCTGTATTCCCAGCTACTCGGGAGGCCAAGCACAGGAGGTCAAGGCCACAGTGAACTGTGACTGTGATGATACTGCACTCTAGCCTAGGTGAAAGAGCAAGAAACTGTCTCTCAAAAAAAAAAAACAAAAAACAAAAAAAAAAAAAAACAAAAAAACCACCTAAAAGTTGAAGTATATCCAGATGGACACCCCAGACTTTAAATCAAGAGTTATGACTCCAGGTTAGGAACACTCAAGCTCTGAAGACAAATACATTTTTCTAATCATCTACAAAATTGCCAGCCTCTCTGAAGTGGTCCGGCTGATACTTACAGCTCGTGGTTTTTTGTTTAACTTCAGATCAATCCTGTGACAGAAAAGATAAAAGATATTTCCATTTTAATTTACAGAAAATGGGTCCCACAATCAGCTACTGCATAGGGCATAAGCTATAACAAAGACTATTTGGTTAAGAAAAATCCACATTCTTCATTAGACTATGTCATATTTAGTTGTTTACCCAGATATTATCAAGCAAGTATTAAAAATTATGAGCACACATTTTTGCCCTAAGGCAAACTTAGCTGACTCTAAAAAGAAATGTATACAGCAGCTACAAAAGCCATATAATTTTAAAACAATTCCAAAACTACATGTTAAAAAGACTGAAGTAAGAGGGCATGCTCTATGTTAATGTGTTAGTTCTGTAACTATATCACTGAAAATTACTGAGACACATGGTGATTAACAACAGGAAAGAGACTAGGAGTTTGTATTTCTGAACACGAAACACAAAATAAATTAAATTAATTTCAATTTTTAAATCTTTCCAAAGCAAAATATCAAGATCTTAAGCTATTATTCTCCTTATGAAGCAAAGCCAGAAAATCAATTTAAATATGAGTTAAAGTAAAGGTTATCTATTTTAAAAGAAATTAAAATGCATAAAAGTGAAGTTTACTTAATTTTGCTTAAGTTATTAAATAAAATGTTACCTCCATCACGTTTTTCTGTTTTTAAAAAAAACTTCCCAGCCTAACCTAATATACATACCTACAATTAAACAGATAAACTATGGGTTAGAAAGGTCTCAAAAAGGCATACTGGTGTCTACACACTAAACACAGCACAAATACTAATTCAAATCAAACTTACTCAAAGTCATAATCAAACATGCCAGACGGGCTGAGGGGCAGCATTTGAAAGGAAGAAAGCAATAGAAATTAATATACTAATTGAATAAATTAGTCGATTAGCCACCCTAGCAAGAATTGTAGAAACAAAATCAGCTTTAAGAATCTTAAGCAACAAAGTATCAAACATCAAAGCACCAAAGATTTTGTGGTCAGAAGATTCCCTTCCTTCAATGGATTTCATATCAGAAGACTAGACTATGAAAGAAAAAGTTATTTCATTAGAAAACTCAGACACCTGGAGCCCTTTTATTAGCTGCCAAATTCGGAGTTAGAACTTTTAAAATATTTAATTGTATTGAAAAATATAATTAGGGCATTAGAAGAAACAGAGAAAGAAAGGTTTAGTTATATAATGAAAGGCACTTTGAAGAGAGTGCTAACAACTCAGCATAATATACTTTCACTAAAATAAAAAACTACAACACAGTCTAAACTTTAAAAAAGGAAAACATTTCACAAATTTTTACTCAAGTTATATGGGTTTGTTTGTTTGTTTGTTTGTTTGTTTGAAACGGAGTCTCGCTCTGGCACCCAGGCTGGAGTGCAGGGGCGGCGATCTTGGCTCACTGCAAGCTCTGCCTCCCGGGTTCACGCCATTCTCCTGCCTCAGCCTCCCTCAAGTTATATGTTCTAAACATGTCCAGGGAACACCATGCTCCTTTTCTACAGCATTCATCCTAAAAGCCCAAAGTTGAATGAATAAACTTCAGTGGTGGAACCTTGTTCCAGAAAATGAAGAACAGTATTGCTCTGCCACCTAAGTAGGTGATGGCAATTAACTGTCTATATCAGGGCTATAATTAAGAAACACAAAAGTCTGCAGCACCCGTATTTATTTATTTATTTATTTATTTATTTTTTGAGACAGAGTTTTGCTCTTGTCACCCAGGCTGGAGTGCAATGGCGCAATCTTGGCTCACTGTAACCTCCGCCTCCTGGGTTCAAACGATTCTCCTGTCTCAGCCTCCCTAGCAGCTGGGATTACAGGCGCCTGCCACTAGGTCCAGCTAATTTTTGTATTTTTAGTAGAGACAGGGTTTCACCATGTTGGCCAAGCTGGTCTCGAACTCCTGACCTCAGGTGATCCATCTGCCTCGGCCCCCTAAAGTGCTGGGATTACAGGCATGAGCCACTGCACCCAGCCTGCAGCACCCCTATTAAAACAAGGGAAAGCTGCCATCCACAAGCACCCAAGTCTCAGGGATCTGGAAGGAGCAGTACAGAGAAGGAGACCATTTTGTGCCATCACCACTAGCAGGCCATGATCTGGGCAGGCCTCCAAAGCAAACATTAACCTGGAGCATGACACCTGCTCCTTCACCGGCTCCAACACCTTCCAGACTAAAACAATAAGCAAATGGCTACATTTAGGTGCTAAAACAATATGCAAATGGCTACATTTCCTCCTAGACAATGTTTGCAAGAGTAAAGCTGGAAGAAAGCTTAATGTCAATATCTCTCACAAAATAGTTTCACTTTAGACATTTGGGAGAGTATACAGTAGGTGTATGAAACTAGGAATTATCAAATATTTCACTTTCAGCCTGACTTGACTTTGTTCACAAATCAAAATAGACTGTATCTAGTTAATCAAAACTTTACAGACTATCTAAAGTAATTTTTTATAGTAACAGAAACTTATAAGAGTAGCTATGTTATTTTTTATTATTATTATTATTATTATTATTATTATTATTACTATTACTGAGACAGGGTCTTCCTCTGTCACCCAGGATGAAGTGCAGTAGCTCACTGAAGCTTCAACCTCCTGGGCTCAAGCAATCCTCCAGCCTCATCTCATCTTTCCAAGTAGCTGAGACTACAGGCATGCCATCACGTCCAGTTAATTACTGTGTTTTTTTGTAGAGACGGGAGTCTCGCCATGTTGCCCCCGGCTGGTCTCGAACTCCTAGACTCAAGTGATCCCTCCACCTCAGCCTCCCAAATTGCTGGAATTACAGGTATGAGCCACAGCACCTGGCCACTATATGGTATTATTTCAACTTTTTCTTTAAAGATACCAGGAATGACATACTGTTCAGGTATCATGTAAAATATAAGAATTCAGAACAATGTGATCACTTATGGATGCTAAAAATTATTTGATAAATTTTTATATTCTGGCGGGGTGTGGTGTGGTTCATGCCTGTAAACCCAGCACTTTGGGAGGCCGAGGCAGGAGGATCAAGCCTAGGAGTTCAAGACCAGCCTGTGCAGCATGGCAAAACCCCATCTCTACAAAACAATACAGAAACTAGCTAGGCATGGTGGCACATGCCTGTACTCCCAGCTACTTAGGAGGATGAGGTGGGAGGATTGCCTGAGCCCAGGAGGTCAAAGCTGCAATGACCCATGATCTCACCACTGCACTCCAGCCTGGGCAATCCAGCAAGACCTTGTTTCAAGAAAAAAAAAAATTTCATATTCCTGAAGAGGGCAAATTCAAGTTATTTCCTTTTGCTTAAGTGCCATATTTATTTCCACCTTTGCTCACCACTAAACAGTGTCTGGCACACAGTAAGTACTCAAACATTTGCTGAAATAATTTATTATTGACTCATCTCACTATATGGGGTATGGCACACTGGAGGATAAACATGTACTATACTGGGTACAAACTTAACAATGTACATAGACACCATGCTCTGTCCCCACCCCAATCTGCCAGCCCTACTGAGATATCAGTCAGCAGTAGTAAGGGACTTGGAGCAGACACAATTCCTGACTAAAGATGGCAGGAGTCCAAGAGCCTTAACTGACCGCTCGTGTGCCATTCAGGCACACTGAATTTTGCTTCCCTAGAAAGGAAACAAATCAGCTTCACTCTCCTTTCTTGGGGCAGATGAGTGCCTAAGGCCAAGGGAGATCAGCCAGATATTAAATCAGAGGGAAGACAAAAGGACAGCAATAAAAAGCAGGATTCTGCTTTCCAAACAGAAAACACTATTTGCGAAGCAGTAACTAATATCGAAGATTTTTACAACTACTACTATTTTTCTGGAAGGAGATAGCTCCTAGGATAGGAAGAAGTATTGTTCCTATGGAAATGTGCTAGAAACTTGCAAGAAGAAAATGAAGTTTAGCTCCTCTTTAACTCCTTTTTATCAGTCACCAGCTAATAACATCATTAGTGGAAATGAAGAACTACCTGAAATAAACAGCTATCTACAGACTATTAATCAGTAATGGGAAAAAGTCCCCGAAACTTTCAAAGAGTTTCCTCCCTACTCTAGACACTATGAAATAAGAAAATAATCACTACTTTAAAATGACACTAGGCCAGACACCGTGGCTCATGCCAGTAATCCCAGCACTTTGGGAGGCCGAGGCAGGTGGATCACCTGAGGCCAGTAGTTCACACCAACACAGTGAAACGTGTCTCTACTAAAAATACAAAAATTAGCTGGGCACAGTGGTGCACGCCTGTAATCCCAGCTACTCAGGAGGCTGAGGCAGGAGAATCGTTTGAACCCAGGAAGCAGAGGCTGCAGGGGCTGAGATCGTGCCACTGCACTCCAGCCTGGGTGACAGAGCAAGACTGTCTGAAAAAAATAAAAAATTAAAAAAAAATGACACTGGAGTAAATTTAATAAAAGCAATACAGAGCATGACATTTAATTATCTTGACAATTAAAAAAATTTTTAAGAATATATTTCTCTGTTATTCGTGATAAGCTAGCACCAGTCTTACTACAGTTGGTCAAATAACCTATAGCCTTTCAAAAATATATGAAGAGGTAGATATACAATTTTTGCTAATTCTTACTACAGTTATGCGATTAGGATGGTGACTTCTGGTTTGCAGAAAAATGTTAAGCAGCAGTCCTCAGTCATTATTTGAAGGAAATACTATTTCTGCAGTCTAGAAAACACCATTACCATCAACAAGAAAAACTCTTAAAATAATTGAAGAACCAGCTGACGCCAATCAAGGAGGTTCAAATCAGGTAGAGTTAATCCTACATTACCCCCAGGCACTGTCATATCCATGAAGCTAACAAGTTTAATACCTTGGGTGCATGAAGGAATACCCTACAGATTTGTAAACCAAATCCAGAAGCAAACTGGAGAACAGGGAATGCCACCCATCCCTTGCATTGCCCCCTTTCACCTGCTCAGCACGCAGTCTTCCAGGAGGAGTAGAACGAATGTACAGTTTCTAGAATGAGAACTCTTACCCTGGCTTCGGAACTTCTAGGAGGCATGGAAACAGGTATGTATAGGGTCTCCATTTCTCCTGGAAGGCTTGAGGCCAGCAAAACTCCTTACTCTAGAAACCGGACATTATACTCTTTAGGTCAAGCTGCATAATTTCCAATTATCTGAGTTAACAATCCCCAGCATGATCATACAAACCCCAGGCAGAGTGAATGCTGAAACCCTCTCTGGGTGACACCTGGCCTCTCTGTCCACTGACGTCATTCCTATCTCATTATGTACTGCAAAAAAACATGGTGCACCAATGTTACACGTTACCTATGAAGACACTCTCATATTTTACAGGCTTTATACTGTTCCTCCAGTATCTGAAGTCAGCATATTGCTGAGAAATACAGAAACAGAAAAATCACAAGCAATAAAAAAAACTTGTATTTAAAGAGAAAAAAAGGCATGTCAAATCAGTTCTCTCCATCCACAAAGAAATAAGAGTAGGCAAAGATCAGAATTACCAGCAGAAGACTTTATCCCACTTTACAGCTTCCCAATAAGTACCAGTGGCATTTTTCAAATACTATTACACAGATTCCATTTCTATTTCTCCTTTTCCTCTTCTAAAAGTATTCCATATTCACCATATGAAACAAGGTTTTTATGGAATAAAACTATTCTACACTAGAAACAGTGAGAAGAATGTCCTGGAGTCTTCCTTGAGGGTTACTCTAATGCCCACCAATTCCTCCCTTTGAGCAAATTAGCCCGTTCACTTGGACCTAATGACTTTCTTGCCATCAGCAACAGAAAGAGTCTGCAGCAATCCTAAAGAGTTTTTATTCTAGGCAATTCCCTTCACAGCAATGGTCATGGGAGCTGCGGGGGTGGGATCCCTGCCACTGACCTGTGCCGGTTTTTATTCTTTCGCTTTTTATGGCTGCTGTGGTGACTCCCTGAGGAAGTAGAAGAAGCAGCCTTCTGAGGTTTCACTCCCTGCACAGATCCATCCAGATCCTCAGGGTCCTCCTGGCTGGGCTCATTTTCCTGATTGTGGAAGTCTGGAGAAGTGTCACTTTCCGTCCCACTTCCTGGCTCCCCTGAAGGAAATAAAACACAAGTTTCCAAATGCATCATCAGTACTCCTCAGGCAATCTGTCCATCAACATGAACACTAATAGGTAGAAAAAAACCATTCCCTATCCTCTAATTGACAGAGAAGATACATGTTGACAGAGAAGATACATGTTGACAGAGAAGATACATACAAAGGATCCAAGTGACCAAAGGTCCTGAAAAAGCATGTAATCTGAAACAATGTAACCAGAGAGAACAGCTCTAAGGGCAGTTTTTGTTTTTATAGAGATGAGAGTCTGGCTGTGTTGTCCAAGCTGGTCTTGAACACTTGGCCTCAAACCATCCTCCTGCCTCAGCCTCCCAGAGCACTGGGATCACAGGCATGAGATACTGTGCCTGATCTATAGTCTTAAAAATATATATGTTTACACAAGTTGTTATTGAGTTTGCTTTTATTAAATGTAATCTACAGTGATGTACAAAAAAAACTACAGTGACTGTACAAAAAAAAAGGGGGGGCCAAAGAGGGAGAAGACAGCCCATTCCTGAATTACTCTGATAAGTTTTCCATTGTTTTTTCTTGTTTTTTTTTTGTTTGTTTGTTTAACCTTTAAGCTCTGTTGAACTTGAACCTCGTAAGTCTTTTTTTTTTTTTTTTTTTTAAGACAGGGTCTCACTCTGTCACCTAGGCTGGAGTGCAGTGGTGGAATCTCTGTTCACAGCAGCCTTCAGTTCCTGGGCTCAGATGATCCTTACACCTCAGCCTCCCAAGTAGCTGGGACTGCAGGTGCCCATAAGCATAAGCCCTGCTAATTTTTCTATTTTTTGTAGAGATGTGGTTTTGCCATGTTGCCCAGGCTGGTCTTGAACTCCTAGGCTCAAGAGATCCACCTGCCTCAGCCTTCCAAAGTGCTGAGATTACAGGCATGAGCCACCACACCCAGCCTGGTAAGTTTTATTTTATTTCATTTTATTTCGAGACAAGATCTCACTCTGTCACCCAGGCTAGAGTGCACTGGTGTGAACTGGTGTGATCATAGCTCATGGCAGCCTCAAACTCCTGGGTTCAAATTATCCTCCCATCTCAGCCTCCCCAGTAGCTGGAACTACCGGCACATGCCACCACACTTGGATACTTTTTTTTTTAAAGATGGGGTCTTACTATGTTGCCCAGGCTGGTCTCAAACTCCTGGGCTTAAGCAGTCCTCCTGCTTCAACCTCCCAAACTGCTGAGATTACAGGCATGAGCCACGCATTCTGCTAAGAATACTTTTAAAATGCAGTAATAATCTTCAGCTGACACATATTCTCAATTTTAAAACATCACTGTAGATTACCTTAATAAAAGCAAGCTCAATAACAACTTGTATAAACATATATATTTTTAAGACTATAGATTAGGCACAGTATCTCATGCCTGCAATCCCAGTGCTCTGGGAGGCTGAGGCAGGAGGATGGCTTGAGGCCAAATGTTCAAGACCAGCTTGGACAACACAGCCAGACCCTCATCTCTATAAAAACAAAAATTAAAAATTAGCCAGACATGGTGGCACATGCCTGGAGTCTCAGCTGTTCAGGAAGCTGAGGTGGGAGGATCACTTCAGCCCATAAGTTTGAGGCTGCAGTGAGCTATGATCTTACCACTGCAATGCACTCTAGCCTGGGCAACAGAGCAAGACTGTCTCAAAAAAAAAAAAAAAAAAAAAAAGGCTGCACACAGTGGCTCATGCCTGTAATCCCAGCACTTTGGGAGGCCGAGGTGGGTGGATCACCTGAGGTCAGGAGTTCAAGACCAGCCTGGTCAGCACGGCAAAACCTCATCTCTACTAACACAAAAATTAACCAGGTGTGGCGGCAGGCGCCTGTAATCCCAGCTATTCAAGGCTGAGGCAGGGAGAATTGCTTGAACCCAGGAAGTGGAGATTGCATGAGCCAAGATTGCATAAGCCGAGATCGCTCTGGGTGACAGAACGAGACTCCATCTCAAAAAAAAGAATATAGTTATTGGTATGGTTTGGCTCTGTGTCCCTACCTAAATCTCAACTCGAATTGTAATCCTCACATGTTGAGGGAGAGAGCTGGTGGGAGGTGACTGGATCATGGGGGTGGTTTTCCCCATGCTATTCCTGTGATAGTGAGGGAGTTCTCACAAGAACTGATGGTTTTAGAAGTGTTTAGAAGTTCTTCCTTCATGCGTGTTCTCTCTCCTACTGCCTTGTGAAGAAGGTGCTTGCTTCCCCTTCACCTTCCTCCATGATTGTAAGTTTCCTGAGGCCTCCCCAGCCATGTAGAACTGTGAGTCAATTAAACATCTTTCCTTTATAAATTACCCAGTCTCAGATATTTCTTTATAGCAGTGTGAAAACAGATTAATACAGGTATATTTGTATTTCCTTTATATATATACTTATTTTTCCTGAAAGGAATTTCTTTAAACTTTTAATAGGTAAGGATGAGTGAGGGAAGACTTTCACTTTACTCAACTGTTGAAGGATCCTAAATATATACATTATCTGGCCGAGCACAGTGGCTCATGTCTGTAATCCCAGCACTCTGGAAAGCCGACACAAGTGGATCATCTGAGGTCAGGAGTCGGAGACCAGCCTGGCCAACATGGTAAGACCCCACCTCTACTAAAAATACAAAAAATTAGCCGGGCATGGTGGTGAGCACTTGTAATCCCAGCTACTTGGGAGGCTGAGACAGAAGAATCACTTGAACCCGGGAGGTGGAGGTTGCAGTGAGCCAAGATGGCGCCACTGCACTCCAGCCTGGGCAACAAGAGCAAGACTCCATCTCAAAAAAAAAAAAAAAAAAAAATTTATATACACACACACACACACACACACACACATTATCTATTTCTAAAACTTGTCAAAAAAGGTCATGTGGTAGCAGAACCAAGGGACCAGTTTTCTTCTTTTTTGAGACAGAGTCTTGCTGTGTCACGCCCAGGCTGGAGTACAGTGGCGCGATCTTGGCTCACTGCCATCTCCACCTCCCTGGTTCAAACGGTTCCCCTGCCTCAGCCTCCCAAGTAACTGGGATTACAGGCACCCACCACCATGCCCGGCTCATTTTTGTATTTTTAGTAAAGACGGGGTTTTGCCATGTTGGCCAGGCTAGTCTCAAACTCCTGACCTCAGGTGATCCACCCACCTTGGGCTCCCAAAGTTCTGGGATTATAGGCATGAGCCACCGTATCTGGCCCAGTTTTCTTCTTTCTATGGTCTTCATATTATAATCTGCTAGGAAGAGAATTTAAATTGAGTAGCATACGGGTACAAGAAGTAAAGGAAAGAGACAGTTCCAAAAAAGCAGAAGAGAGAAATAGCCAAATCTCAGAAAACATGAAACCCTAATTTGAACACATTTTAGGAAAGCAACAGAAAAGGAAACTCTAGAGCAAGCATGTCCCACCCAAGGCCCATGGGCCGCAAGCAGCCCAGGACGGCTTTGAATATGGCCCAACACAAATTTGTAAACTTTCTTAAAACACTGTGAGATTTTTTTGTGATTTTTTGTTCTTAGCTCATCAGCTATAGTGTTAGTATATTTTATGTGTGGCCCTAGAAAATTCTTCTTCCAATGTGGCCCAGAGAAACCAAAAGATTGGACTCCCTGCCTAGAGCTATGAAGCTATTATACAAAAAGTATACTGGCCAATACTGCCCTTCTGATGTTCAAGAAAACTGATTTCACACTAAAAAAACAACATGCTACACAAAGCTGCAGTAATCAACACTGTGTGGTACTGGTATCAACGTATAAATCAGGGGACTAGAATTCAGAGTCCCAGGATGAACCCTTATATTTACAGTCAACTGATTTTCAACAAGGGTGACAAGACAATTCAATGAAGAAAGAAAGTCTTTTCAACAAATGGTGCTGGAACAACTAGATATTCACATGCAAAACAATGAAGCTGTACCCCCATCTCACAACATACACAAAAATTAACTCAAAATGGATCACAGACATAAATGTAAGAGCTAAAACTAAAAATCTTAGATGCCTGGCCGGGCGCAGTGGCTCAAGCCTGTAATCCCAGCACTTTGGGAGGCCAAGGTGGGCGGATCACGAGGTCAGGAGTTCAAGACCAGCCTGGCTAACAGAGTGAAACCCATTCTCTACTAAAAATACAAAAATTAGCTGGGCATGGTGGCGCGTGCCTGTCGTCCCAGCTACTCGAGAGGCTGAGGCAAGAGAATCTCTTGAACCCAGGAGGTGGAGGTTGTGGTGAGCCAAGATAGTGCCACTGCACTCCAGCCTGGGCAATAAAGCGAGACTCCGTCTCAAAAAAAAAAAAACTTAGATGCCACTAGGTTAGGCAATGGTTTCTCAGATATGACCAAAAAAGAAAATCTAACAAAAACAAATATATAAATTGGACTATAATTTTTTTAATTTTTATTTTTTTGAGATAGGGTCTTACTGTCGCCCAGGCTAGAGTACAGAGCAGTGGCACAATCACTGCAGCCTTGACCTCCTGGGTTCAAGTGATCCTTCTCCCTCAGCCTCCTGAATCACTGGGGCTACAGGTGTGTGCCACCACGTCCAGCTACTTTTGTTTTGTTTTGTTTTGTTTTTGGTAGAGATAGGGTCCACTATGTTCCCTAGTCTGGTCTTGAACTCCAGGGCTCAAGAGATCCTCTCACCTCGGCCTCCCAAAGTGCTGGAATTTTAAGTGTGAGCCATCTCGCCAGCCTTTTCAGGTTTTTGTTTTGTTTTGTTTTGACAAGGTCTCACTCTGTCACTCAGGCTGGAGTGTCATGGCTCACTACAGCCTTGAACTCCTGGGCTCAAGCAATCCTCCCATCTCAGCCTCCTGAGTAGCTGGGACTATTGGCTTCCCAAAAGTATGAGCCAGCCACTGCACTCAGCCAAAAATCTTTAATACATAAGTGTTTGTCTTAGCCAAGCTTCTGAAAGCAGTAACTTGAGTCTTTCCCTGACAAGTACCTGGGTGCAGCTTATTCTTGCAGGTAGACAGGTAAACAGCCATATACTGAATGATCAGCTAAGCCAGGGCAAGATTACAGGCTCATGTGAAAACTAAGTCAGGGCCGGGCCCTGTGGCTCACGCCTGTAATCCCAGCAATTTGGGAGGCAAAGGCAGATGGATCACCTGAGGTCAGGAGTTCAAGATCAGCCTGGCCAACATTGTGAGACCCCATCTCTGCCAATAATACAAAAATTAGCTGGGCATGGTGATGCACACCTGTAATCCCAGCTACTTGGGAGGCTGAGGCAGGAGAATTGCTTGAACTTGGGAGGCGGAGGTGGCAGTGAGCCGAGATCACGCCATTGCACTCCAGCCTGGGTAACAAAAGCAAAACTCTGCCTCAAAAAAAAAAAAAAGAAAGAAAACTAAGTCAGATATCATTCCATCTCAACTCACAGGAGTGAGGTCCAGGGTGTTCCTTAACCAGTTTAGCTCTACATTCTAGAGTGGCATTAATTAAAAAGAAGTAAGATTTAAAAAAAAAAAAAAAAGATTTAGTGGAGAGTCATAGTAAAAGAAAAATCAAAAGGACTTGGTATAATTGATGAGGCTGGCAGAAAGGAGTCAAAGACGTCTACAGAGTTCTGAATAAGGGAGAAGTGAAGTACCATCACAAAAAATCTGTGAAGACAAATTCTGAAGGAAACAGAACAATTCTGTTTTAGATCAAATATTTGAGTGATTATGAGTGGAAATGTCTAGAAGGAAATGCAGGATTCAGGCCGGGCGCAGTGGCTCATGCCTGTAATCCCAGCACTTTGGGAGGCCCCTAGAAAGCGGAGGTTGCAGTGAGTCAAAATCGTGCCACTGCACTCCAGCCTAGGCAACAGAGCGAGACTCCGTCTTAAAAAAAAAAAAAAAGACGAAATGCAGAAGTAAAGCCAGGAAAGAGGTTAAGGGCAGAGAAACAAATTTAGAAATCTGTACATAGAGATAATAATTAAATACTTCTAATTCCCAAACTACTAAAATCCCTTTTCCTCATATCATTGTACCAATGCCAACAAAAGAACTAGATCCAACAACAAGATATACCTTCTGAAAGAAGTACACAGTAATACCGAGAACAGGTCGTATTTCAAGGTGATGAAATACACAGAGAGAACATCCAATATGGTTACACTGAGTCTGACTCAGAAAGATAAATGCACAAATCTATAACCCATCCCTGGAAATTAGACTGTATGGCTTATGTATAAAAAATAAGATATAATTCGTTTACAGAGTAAATAGCACTATTTTCCATTTTATACTTAAGAACATACAGGTACATCCTATTTACAGGATGAGCATTTCTTTTTTTTTTTTTTTTTTTTTTTTTTGGCATGGTCTCACTTTGTCACCCAGGCTGGAGCAGTGACACGATCATGGCTCATTGCAGCCTCAACTTCCTGGGCTAAAGTGATCCTCTCACCTCAGCCTCTCTAATAGCTGGGACTACAGGCATATGCCACCAAGCCTGGCTAATTTTTTAATTTTTTGTAGAGACAGAGTCTTGCTTTGTTGACTAGGCTGGTCTTGAACTTGAACTTGTGGGCTCAAGCAATCCTCCCACCTCTCCATTCCAAAGTGCAGGGATTACAGGTGTGAGCCACTGCACTGGGCCAAGATGAACATTTTCTAAGAATTATTAAATTGGGTACATGGGGATTTATAAGATATATTTGAAATTTTCCATAAAAGTTATTGTTTTAACTTTAATTCCCTAAGAATTTATAAGATTTATCAGTAATGAAATATATCTTTGTCTCTTTGAGATGCTAAAGCCAATCTTCATGTGACAGAAGAGGCAAGAAGAGTACAGTAATTTCTTCCTCAAAAGGAAAAAATACGATTGTTCACAAATGGTGGCTCACACCTCTACTCCCAACACTTTGGGAGGCTCAAGTGGGAGGATTATTTGATGCCAGGAATTATGGACTAGCCTGGGCAACATAGTGAGACTCTGTCTCTTTAAAAAATTTAAAAATTAGCCAGGTGTGGTGACAGATGCCTGTGGTCCTAGCTACTTGGGAGGCCGAGGCAGGAGGACTGCTTGAGCCTAGGAGTTTGAGGCTGCAGCGAACTATGATCATGCCACTGTACTCCAGCTTGGGCTATAGTGAGACCTTGTCTGGGTCGGGGAGTGGAGAAAAACATGATTAAGGATACCCTAAAAGTTTCAAAACTTCCAGGAAGAAGAGGGAAAAGGGAAGAGCATAAGAAATGCAGTCCTCAGATACACAATTGGATGAATTAAGTGTAAGGGTGATGGTAGCTTAAAAATAAACTGATGAGAAACATAAAAACATCAACTTACTCTTTTCAATGAGCTGGTCCTGAACTCCTGCCAATGCACTTACTGCCTAAAAGAAAAGCCACCAGTTACTAGAAAAGTGACCACAGACCTCAGAAGAGCACTCCCAGAGGAAGGTAAAGAAAAAACACATTCCCCAACAACAGGCCAAAGAAAGATTCCCCCACCACCACTACTTACAGCTGCTGAGGTAACCGAGGATTTACTGAAGAGCCGCTCAGCTTCCTTAAACTTCCGGTTCCTTCGATCATTTTTGCTATTGGAGTTTCTAAAACACAGAAGAAACTCATTATGAGCACCAAGCTATGTCTATGGCTCAAGCTGGGGATGCCCCAGGACTCATGTTCCATGCAGGAAGCTTCCATGTCACTCAGACTGGCCCAAACGACCTTTATGCTGAACACAGAAAGCAACGTTTTCCAATATATGGTACATGTCCCACTGTGAGACATGAGATTTAGTTGCTTCACATGTTCATTTTTTAAATTTATTTATTTATTTACTTATTTATTTATTTATTGAGACGGAGTCTTGCTCTGTCGCCTACGCTGGAGTGCAATGGCAGAATCTCAGCTCATTGCAACCTCTGCCCCTTGGGTTGAAGCGATTCTCCTGCCTCAGCCTCCCAAGTAGCCAGGATTACAGGTGCCCACCACCATACCTGGCAAATTTTTGTATTTTTAGTAGAGACGGGGTTTTGCCATGTTGGTCAGGCTGGTCTTGAACTCCTGACCTCAGGTGATCTACCCACATCAGCCTCCTAAAATGCTGGGATTACAGGCATGAGCCACCGCGCCCAGACATTTTTTTTTTTTTTTTTTGAGACGCAGTCTCGCCCTGTCACCCAGGCTGCAGTACAATGGGAAATCTCAGCTCGCTGCAACCTCTACCTCCCAGGTTCAGACGATTCTCCTGCCTCAGCCTCCAGAGTAGCCTGGGATTACAGGCACGTGCCACCACACCCAGCTAATTCTTTTTTTGTATCTTTAGTAGAGACGGGATTTCACCAAATTGGCCTGGCTGGTCTCGAACTCCTGACCTCATGATCTGCCCACCTCAGCCTACCAAAGTGCTGGGATTACAGGCATGAGCCACTGCACCTAGCCATTTTTTTTTTTTTTTTTTTTTTGAGAGTCTCACTCTGTCTCCCAGACTGGAGTGCAGTGGTGCGATCCAGGGTCACTGCAATCTCCACCTTCTGCGTTCAAGTGATTATCCTGCCTCAGCCTCTGAAGTAGCTGGGACTACAGGCGCACCCCACCATGCCCGGCTAATTTTTGTATTTTTAGTAGAGACAGGGTTTCACCATATTGGCCAGGCTGGTCTCAAACTCCAGACCTCAAGTGATACACTCACCTTGGCCTTCCAAAGTGCTGGGATTACAGGTGTGAGCCACTGTGCCTGGCCACACTTTCATTTTAATACGTATCTATTTTACCTTATTTACTTATTTATATATTTTTTTGAGACGGAGTTTCACTCTTGTTGCCCAGGCTGGACTGCAATGGCGCGAGCTCGGCTCACTGCAACCTCTGCCTCCCGAGTTCAAGCGATTCTCCTGCCTCAGCCTCCCAAGTAGCTGGGATTACAGGCATGTGCCACCACGTCCGGCTAATTTTGTACTTTTAGTAGAGACAGTTTCTCCATGTTGGTCAGGCTAGTCTTGAACTCCCAACCTCAGGTGATCCACTCGCCTCGGCCTCCCAAAGTGCTGAGATTACAGGCGTGAGCCACTATGCCCGGCCAATATATATTTATTTTAATGCTTATTATTTAAAAAGTGGAGAACAGATTAGTGATATGAAGTGTCTCTTAAATAAACTTAATTCTCAAATTTAAAGAAAGAACCAGGGTTCCTTAGAGGAATGGCTGATACCAGGTCTGGGACAAAAAATGCAAAAGGTAAGTATGGGACATCTCTTAGGCCAGAAAGCAATGGAGTACTCCAAAAGTAATAGGGTCATGTTGAAACGACAAACAAGCCAGCTTGAGGAGGCTCCCTCTGACCACAGCTGGGACAAATGTGGGAGAATGAAAGAAACAGAAGTCAAAAAAGGAAGACTCTTTTTCAGAATGCCAGTAATAAATATAAAGGGAATAATACAATTAGAGAATCACTATTTTACAACTTCCAGTGTACTAACGGATTCAGATAAGAATCAACGGTGTATACTAAACAACTGAATACAAATTTAGAGGGAGCAGTATATTCATAATGTCTCAAAGCATAACATCCAAAATTACTTGTTAATCACAATGGGAAAAAATGAACTTTTATAGCAGATAAATCATATGATCAAACTTAGCAGCAACAAATAATAGGACAATGTGACATTATGTGCCTCCTGATAAACTAGAGATAGATAACAAAGGATACACCAATTGCCTATGTAAGATTTTTGCAAAAATGTTTAAAGGATCTTTCAGGACCCTTTTAATCAGTCATGAGTTTTGCCCTCAGAAAATCTCAGGAAACTGCAACATTCTACAAGGCAATGTCATGAATACCACCACAACCACCACCAAAAGGGTGACTCTCCTCAATCTTAAGACATAATAGCCAAATGCATGCATGAATGCTTACTGAATCCTGGATCAAAACAAATTAGCAAAGAATTTTTGGGGACAATTGAGGAAATTTTAATAAAGACTATGTATTAGATACTATTAATGCAGTATTGATTTTCTAGGTATAATAACTGGTTAGGTAGAAGAAATGGCCCTATACTCAGGAGGTAATTACTGACACATTTAGGTGCAAAGTGTCATTTACCTGCATCTAACTTTCAAACCGTTAAGTGGGAAAAAAAGGTAGGGGGACTGGGAGATATAACTACAAAGGAGTGGCATGAGGAAGATCTTTGTGGTAATGGAATAGTTCAGTAACTTCATTGTGGTTACATGAATCTACACACAAGATAAAGTGACACAGAACTATATATATACATTGTACCAATGTCAATTTTCTGGCTTTGATACTGTATTATAGCTACATAAAACACAACCATTGGGGAAAACCAGATGAAGGGTACAAGAGACCATTCTGCCAACTCCCTATGAATCTATAATTATTTCACAATTTAAAAATGTGAAATGTAAATATAGATGTGTGCTTATATTAATATATATTATAGAAAGTAAGAGAAAGCAAATGTCACAACACATTAACAATTTGTGAATATAGGTAGGAGGGTATCAAGTGTTCATATACTATTCTTCCCATTTTCCTATAATTTGAAGATTTTCTAAAAGTTTAGAAATTTTTTAAAAATAATATTACTAAGTAAGCAGTGGTACAGCTGGCACACAGGTATGGCAAAAATTGTGAGGGTCAGTTGGGCGTGGTGGCTCACCCCTTTAATTCCAACACTTTGAGAAGCTGAGGCAGGAGGACTGCTTGAAACCAGGAGTTCCAGGCCTGCCTGAGCAACAAAGTGAGATCCCACTTCTACAAAAAAAAGTTTTTAATTAGTCAGGTACAGTATGGTGTGCCTGTAGTCCCAGCTAATTGGGAGGCTGAGGTGGGAGGATCACTTCAGCCCAGGAGTCTGAGGCTGCAGTGAGCTAAGTTCGTGCTACTGCACTCCAGCCTGGACAACAGCGTGAGACCCTGTCTCTTAGAAAAAAGAAAAGTGGCCAGGCGTGGTGGCTCACACCTGTAATCCCAACACTTTGGGAGGCCAAGGCAGCAGATCACCTGAGGTCAGGAGTTCGAGACCAGCCAGGCCAACATGGAGAAACCTCGTCTCTACTAAAAATAAAAAAATTAGCCAGGCATGGTGGCACGCACCTGTAATCCCAGCTACTCAGGAGGAAAAAGAAAAAAAGAAAAGAAAAATACTGTGAGGGTAGAACTCATGACTGATTAAAATGTGTAAAAAATTTAATAGAATGCTATTGTATAAAGATACTGTATTTAAGCCTCACACAACCCTGTGCCATAGGCCCAACTTTCGCTATTTTACAGATGTGAGCCTTGTCTAAGATTATTCGGTGAGGCAGTGCCTGAGCCAGAGTCCAAGAGTTCAAGTCCAGATCACACCACTACTTTACTACTGCCTCCAGCAAAGTTGCCACTAAGAGCATACAGTCCTAAAAACAAACGTTACTAGGGCACAATAGGAACACTACAGGCTTTCGACACTCACTTTTGGTTGGTCAGATACCGATCCCAGCCACGAATAATATTGCCATACATCTGAGTGTCTTCCAGGTAGCTTCCCTCAAAAGCATAGATCTGTCGCTCCAAATTTGCCAATGTTTCCTGAGAGATGAAAAACAAGGACATGAATGATACCTTTTAAATGCAAACACTTAAGTCTGGCCAAAATGAAATCCTGATATTAGACTCGTAAACGCAAGCTTGCCCACACTAAACCACCCTGTGGAGAGATGGAAGATACGGGGAGGAGGAGCCGTTTAGGACTAAGACAGTCTAGACCTTTGGGGGTGATGGACCCCTGAATGTATAAAGCATGTCTCCAGAAAAATACACACACACGCGAAATTTTGCATATACTTTAGAGGATTCACGGAAACCATGAGTCAAGAGCCCAGGCTAACGCAGAACTTGGGCGATGTCCACTCCCACGCACAAAAGGTATCGCTACCAGGAGAGGGAAAGGTGAGCAGCCTTTCAGCGTCAACTCGCTCCCCTCCCCGCAGGCTCAAGAGAGGCCGCCGACACCGGGCTGCCAGTTGCTATGGAAACCTAGAAGGGCAGCTTCAGGTGAGAGGGGCCTCCCGGGTGCCCAAGCCGAGACGCGGGGGCAGGAAGAGCTTAGCCACCAGAGTGCATTGGGCCTTGGGTGCCTGTCACAATTCTGAATTCTCCGGAATGTGTTCTTCTCCCTCGCCTGTCACCTTCTAGATGTTCCCAAACACATCACAACCCTGTCTATCAAAAACCTCCATTCAACGGATCTACTCCCAGTACCAAAAAGAACACGCTCCCCACCAGCCTCCAAAGTCCAGACGGGGTGACTGGGTCCCCCTCCCACACTAGCCTCCTTCCCCACCCCCTCCCCGCAAAGATCACGGACTAGCCCGCCTCGCCCACCCCCGCGGCTCACTGACGCTCGCCCTTCCTAGCGCCCTCTCCCCGGGCCCCGGCACCGTCCTCCCTCCACGCCCCCTCCTGCGGCTGCCGCTTCCCCTCCCCCTCCCGCGCTCCCGGCTCTCTCCCGGCTCCGGATTCGCACAGCCGGGAAGCTGAACCGCCGGCGGGCCGCAGAATGCGCACCCGGCCTCAGGCCGCCGAGCACCCGGCCCGCCGCGCCGCGCCCCCGGAGTAACAAACGGCCTAGCGCGGCCGGGCTTGGGGCCTGGAGGCGGGGCGGGCGCGGAGCCCCATGCCGTGCAACCCCTGTCCTAGCCCCTCACCGCCAGCTCCTGCTTCCGCTTCACGAGCTCCGCCAGCTCCCGCCGGGTGTCCGGGATCTGCGGCGGCGCCGCCTTGTTGTGCATCGCCATGTTGGGCTGAGGCGGGCGGCGGCGGCGCGAGGTTGGGGGCGGTCCCTGCGCCGCCAGGGGGCGCCCCCCCGCTCTGCGCCTGCGCGCGCGGCTTCCGGAGACGCGTGCAGCGCCGTGCCGAGCTTCGCTAAGGCCGGGGCTCTCGAAGGTCCTTCTCGGAGAGCTCTAGAGATGCGGCTTCTGCTTTCTGCCGTTTCCTGCCCCTCGGCTGGCCGCCGGCTTTACAGACGCCACAAATCCACCGCGTCCAAAGCCTAGCTCGTCCTCAGGCCTCCGAGTCTCCTGTGCGCCCCGCTTCAGTCCACTTCAGTGAATGACTTTCACTATCCACCGAATTGCCTGCGTCAGAAACGCGGTTTTCCTCACTCTGCACCTGGAGTAAAACGCGATCCCAGGTCAAGCTCTATGGACTCGACTCCGGAAGAGCTCGCGAATCCATTTGCTTGTGCCTGCGCCTTCTGCCACCTCACTAGTTCATTCAGGCCCTCCCTGTTTGGGGCTACATTATTCCAGCGGCTTATTTCCACCTTTAGCCCCACTTAATCCACTATCCACAGTGGTGCCAGGATCTTCCAGAAACAAATGTTATCACTCCCCGGTTTAAAGTCTTTCAGTGGCTTCCCATTTTCCCAGTGCCCTTTGGAGAAACAAGTATGTGTAGTGGTTAAGGGCACAAAACTGGAGCGAGAACTACCTTGTTCAAAATCCTATCGCTACATCGATAAAGTGTGCTCCTTTGGGCAAATAACCAAATCTCAACTCCCTCATCTGTAAAATACAAGCAGTAATAGAATCTACCTAATACATTTGCTGTGAGGAGTAAATCACCTAATATGTGTAAGGGGTTTGGCAGGCGCCAATGACTGTGCAAGTACGAGTTCGCTTTTATCGTTAAGTCCAAGGTGTAAACGTTGTTTTCACTTGGCCCCTGTGGATTTCTCCGTCCTCAGCTCTCCATCTTTCACTGTTCTGCAGTTTCGCTATCATAAGTCTAAGTGGGATATTTTTTCTTCCTTTTGTTTTGTTTCTTGCTTGGAAGTCTTTGGATTTCTATAATATGTGGGTTGGTATCTTCCACCAGTTTTGGGAAATCGCAGTCATTTTTCTTCAGATGCCTGTCTCATTTCTCTCTCCTTCTGGAACTCGAACATAAGAAGCTTTTTAACCTACCGTCTATATTTTCCATCTTTTTGTCCCTCTGTGCTGCATTCTGAATAACTGGTTTCGTGTGCGGATCTTGTAACCTGCCATCTTGCTGAACTCCCTTACTAATTTTAGGGGGGGTTGTATAGATTCCTTGGAATTTTTACATAGATAATAATTTCATCTGCAAATAAATAGGGAGTTTTTTTTTTTCTAAGCTGAGTGCTTTTTCTTTTTCTTCCTTATTGTGCAGATTTCCAGTAGTCTGTTAAATAAAAGTGATAACATTAGACATCCTTGCCTTGTTCCCTGTTTTAAGGGGAATGCAGGCCGGGCGCGGTGGCTCACGCCTGTAATCCCAGCACTTTGGGAGGCCGAGGCGGGTGAATCACAAGGTCGGGAGATCAAGACCATCCTGGCTAACACAGTGAAACCTCGTCTTTATTAAAAAATACAAAAAAAATTAGCCGGGCGTGGTGGTGGGCGCCTGTAGTCGCAGCTACTCGGAAGGCTGAGGCAGGAGAATGGCGTGAACCCGGGAGGCGGAGCTTGCAGTGAGCCAAGATCCCGCCACTGCACTCCAGCCTGGGCAAGAGCGAGACTCCGTCTCAAAAAAAAAAAGGGGGGGTGGCGAATGCATTCAGTCTCTCACCATTAAGTATGACATTAGTTGTGGGAGTTTTGTAGATGCTGTTTTTCAAGGTGAGGAAGTACCTCTATATTCCTAGTGTAAACCAAAAAACAAACAAGTAAAAAAACTTTTAAGCCACTGGGTGCGGTGGCTAAATCCCACCACTTTGGGAGGCCGAGGCGGGCGGATCACGAGGTCAGGAGTTCAAGACCAGCCTGACCAACATGGTGAAACCCCATCTCTACTAAAAATACAAAAAATTAGCCAGGTGTGGTGGTGTGCGCCTATAATCCCGTCTACTCAGGAGGCTGAGGCAGGAGAATCGCTTGAACCGGGGAGGCAGAGGATACAGTGAGCCGAGATCGCCACTGCACTCCAGCCTGGGTGAGAGAGTGAGACTCTGTCTCAAAAACAAAACAAAACAAAACAAAAAGCTGGCTGGGCGAGGTGGCTCACGCCTATAATCCCAGCATTTTGGGAGGCCAAGACAGGTGGATCACCTGAGGTCAGGAGTTGGAGACCAGCCTGACTAACATGGTGAAACCCCGTCTCTACTAACAATATAAAAAATTAGCCGGGCGTGGTGACAGGCACCTGTAATCCCTGTACTCAGGAGGCTGAGGCATGAAAATAGCTTGAACCCGGGAAGTGGAGGTTGCAGTGAGCCGAGATTGCGCCATTGCACTCCAGCCTGGGCAACAAGAGTGAAACTCCATCTTAAAAAAAAAAAAGTTGGTGTGCTCCATCAATTCCCGGAGGCCCGACAAAGGTAGCCTGGGAATTCCAGATAAATGGAACAAATGATGACCTGCTAGAAACGCATGGGAAACAAAATAACTATTCACAGAACCACATAAAAGCCTTCCAATAGAAACTAAAAAAAAAAAAAATCATGGTTTTATATATATGAATACACACTTGATCTTAGCCAAAAGGCCAAGAAGCGATATATATATGCATACACAAGCAAGGCCCAGAGGAGAATAAACAGCAAACGAATGAAAATTAGAAACAAAAACAAATAAACAGGAAACCAACTCTAAATTTTTCCTACTCAATCTACCCTGGAGGCTACAGTGTTACCCAGAGCCCCCAAAACTCCACATAATATTTTATTCCTAATACACAATTCAATATCCTTAAGTCCACCAATATCACCATACATCCTGCAAAATCAAGAAATTCACTCTAGGCACATGACCAATAAGTACTCCAGTGCCAGCACTATCCATGCAAAACAGTAAACATAGTGTGAAGCAATACAAGCATGGATGTGAAATTTGGCTCCACACTAAATCCAGCTTTGTGCTTAACTATATTAAAAAAGAATTGCCAAACTGCCTATTCATTTCTTTACAATATTTATTTTTCTTTTTTTTTTTTTTTGAGACAGAATTTCTCTCTTGTCACGGAGTACAATGGCACAATCTCAGCTCACTGCAACCAGTACCCACCATTCAAAGTTCCCAACTTTTCTTTGTGTTCCTGTCTTCTGAGCCCTTCAAACTCTTCCAAACTCTCTCTGTTACCCAGTTCCAAAGCCGCTTCTGAGAGGTGACAGCGTGCTGGCAGTCCTCAGAGCCCTCGCTTGCTCTCGGCACCTCCCCCGCCTGGGCTCCCACTTTGGTGGCATTTGAGGAGCCCTTCAGCCCCCCACTGCACTGTGGGAGCCCCTTTCTGGGCTGGCCAAGGCCGGAGCCCACTCCCTCAGCTTGCAGGGAGGTGTGGAGGAAGAGGCACGAGCGGGAACCCGGGCTGCGTGCGGCGCTTGCGGGCCAGCTGGAGTTCCGGGTGGGCGTGGGCTTGGTGGGCCCCGCACTCGGCGCAGCCAGCCAGCCCTGCTGGCCCCGGGCAATGGGGGACTTAGCACCCGGGCCAGTGGCTGCAGAGGGTGTACTGAGTCCCCCAGCAGTGCTGGCCCACCGGCGCCGCGCTCGATTTCTCGCCGGGCCTTAGCTGCCTTCCCACGGGGCAGGGCTCGGGACCTGCAGCCCGCCATGCCTGAGCTTCCCACCCACTCCATAGGCTCCTGTGCGGCCCGAGCCTCCCTGACGAGCACCACCCCCTACTCCACGGTGCCCAGTCCCATCGACCACCCAAGGGCTGAGGAATGCGAGCGCATGGCGCAGGACTGGCAGGCAGCTCCACCTGCAGCCCCGGTGCGGGATCCACTAGGTGAAGCCAGCTGGGCTCCTGAGTCTGGTGGGGACGTGGAGAGTCTTTATATCTAGCTCAGGGATTGTAAATACACCAATCAGCACCCTGTGTTGAGCTCAAGGTTTGTGAGTGCACCAATCGACACTCTGTATCTAGCTGCTCTGGTGGGGCCTTGGAGAACCTGTGTGTCCAAACTCTGTATCTAACTAATCTGATGGGGACGTGGAGAACCTTTCTATCTAGCTCAGGGATTGTAAACGCACCAATCAGCGCCCTGACAAAACAGGCCACTGGGCTCTACCAATCAGCAGGATGTGGGTGGGGCCAGATAAGAGAATAAAAGCAGCCTGCCAGAAGGCGCATTGGCAACCTGCTGGGGTCTCCTTCCGCATTGTGGCTGCTTTGTTCTTTCGCTCTTTGCAGTAAATCTTGCTACTGCTCAGTCTTTGGGTCCACGCTGCTTTTATGAGCTGTAACACTCACCGCGAAGATCTGCAGTTTCACTCCTGAACCCAGCAAGACCACGAGCCCACCGGGAGAAACAAACAACTCCAGACGTGCTACCTTAAGAGCTGTAACACTCACCGTGAAGGTCTGCAGCTTCACTCCTGGAGCCAGTGAGCCCACGAGCCCACCGGGAGGAACGAAAGACTCCAGACGCGCTGCCTTAAGGGCTGTAACACTAACCGTGAAGGTCTGTAGCTTCACTCCTCAGCCAGCGAGACCACGAACCCACCAGAAGGAAGAAACTCCAAACACATCTGAACATCAGAAGGGGCAGACTCCAGACGCGCCACCTTAAGAGCTGTAACACTCACCGCGAGGGTCCGTGGCTTCATTCTTGAAGTCAGTGAGAGCAAGAACCCACCAATTCCGGACACACTTCCACATCTTCAGGTATCTTTATAGCAATCCCCCACTCCTCCATCCCAACTTCCTGTATTAGTTTGTTCTGCATTGCTATAAAGGAATACCTGAGACTGTTATAAAGAGATGTATTTGGCTCATAGTTGTGCAGGCTTCTAGGTGAGGGCCTCAGGAAGTTTACAACCATGGCCAATGGTGAAGGGGAGCCAGTGTGTCACATGGCAAGAGAGAGAAGAGAAAGTTCCAGGCTCTTTTTAACAACCAGCTCTTGCAGGAACTCATTACTGTGGGGAAAGCACCAAGCCCCTCATGAGGAATCCACCCCCATAACCTAAATCCCTCCCACCAGGCCCCACCTCCAACACTGGGGATCACTTTCAACATGAGATTTGGAGACAAAACATCCAAGCCATAACAAGGTAGTTTATAGTTTTCAAAGAATTGGTCCATTCATCTAAGTTAAATTAATGTGCATAGGCTGGGCACGGTGGTCCACACCTGTAATCCCAGTACTTTGGGAGGCTGAGGTGAGTGGATTACCTGAGATCAGGAGTTTGAGATCAGACCCGTCACCAGGGTGAAACCCTCTCTCTACTAAAAATACGAAAATTAGTAGGGCAGGGTCGTGGGCACCTGTAATCCCAGCTACTTGGGAGGCTGAGGCAGGAGAATCGCTTGAACCCAGGAGGTAAAGGTTGCAGTGAGCTGAGATTGCATCACTGCACTCCAGCCTGGGCGACAGAGAAAAAAAAAAGAGGCTAGGCGCGGTGGTTCGTGCCTGTAGCGCCTGTAATCCCAACACTTTGGGAGACCGAGGTAAGCAGATCACCTGATGTCAGTTCAAGACCAGCCTGGGCAACATGATGAAACTCCATCTCTACTAAAAATACAAAAATTAGCCGGTCGTGGTGGCGTGTGCCTGTAATCCCAGCTACACGGGACGCTAAGGTGGGAGAATCACTTGAACCTGGGAGGCGGAGGTTATGTAGTGAGCCAAGATTGCATCATTGCACTTCAGCCTGGGCAAAAAGAGCGAAACTCCGTTTCAAAAAAAAAAATGAGGCCAAGTGCAGTAGCTCACGCCTGTAATCCCAGCACTTTGGGAGGCTGAGGCGGGCGGATCACCTGAGGTCGGAAGTTCAAGACCAGCCTGGCCAACATGGAGAAACCCCGTCTCTACTAAAAATACAAAAATTAGCCGGGCGTGGTGGTGGGCGCCTGTAGTCCCAGCTACTCAGGAGGCTGAGGCAGGAGAATTGCTTGAACCCCGGGGGCGGAGGATGCAGTGAGCCAAGATCACGCCATTGCACTCCAGCCTGGGCAACAGAGAGAGATCCTGGGAGGCAGAGGTTGCGGTGAGTCGAGATCATGCCATTGCACTCCAGCCTGGGCAACAAGAGAGAAATTCTGCCTCAAAAAAAAAAATAATAATGTGGATAGATAATTTATTCTCATCCATTAGTTCTATTAGTTCACTAATTCTCCCTGAAGCTGCACTAATCTGCTGTTAAAGCCACCGATTGATGGGTTTAGTTATTATACTTTTCATTTCTGAAACTTCTACTTGGTCTTCTAAATAACTCCCATTTCACTTATTCCCGTAACTGTTACCTGTGGATATTTTCAAGTTCATTTATTTCTTTGACAATAGTAATATGGCCAACTGCTGGTGGTGCACACCTGTAATCCTAGCTACCCAGGAGGCTGCAGCAGGAGGATCATTGAGCCCAGGGGTTCAAATCTAGCCTGGGCAACATAGCAAAACCTCACCTCTAAACTTTTTTTAAATTAGAAAAATAGTAATCATGAACATTTTATACTGTCTTATATAATTCAAGAATCTGAAGTCTGTGTGTATCTGAAGCCTGTGTGATTTCTGCTGCTTCTTACCTATGGTGACTTGTTTTCTTATGTGCTTAAAAAATATAACTATCTTCAGAGGAAAAATGTAGAAATAATTAGAAAGGATTTTTTTTTTTTTTTTTTTTTTTTTTTTTTTTTTTTTTTGGAGACAGAGTTTTGTTCTCGTTGCCCAGGCTGGAGTGAAATGGCTTGATCTCGGCTCACCGCAACCTCCGCCTCCTGGGTTCAAGTGATTCTCCTGCCTCAGCCTCCCAAGTAGCTGGGATTACAGGTATACCCGCCACCACACCCAGCTAATTTTGTATTTTTAGTAGAGACGGGGTTTCTCCATGTTGGTCAGGCTGGTCTTGAACTCCCGACCTCAGGCGATCTGCCCACCTTGGCCTCCCAAAGTGCTGGGATTACAGACGTGAGCCACCACGCCTGGCCAGAAGGATATACATATATATATGTCATCCTCAAGAAAGTAATTGTATTAATTTTGTGAAAGTTGTCAGAATCAAAATGGAGTCACAAATGTTAAGAAAACCCTGATGAGTAGAGCCAGGGATGACTATGAAGAGAGTTTCACACTTGTATGCCTGATAATAAAAAAGACTCTACAAAAACTACAGTGTAGCCACAATGGGCATTGTAGTCTTCCACACATAAACATATTTCTGCAAAAAAATCTGCCCAGCAACTAATTTCCTGTCTAACCTCAGACTGGTGTCACCTTTGTTACTGATATTTGTAACCAGGATAACTGTTTCAAAACCATTATGTAATTCTTATTTTTTCCTTTAAAAAGGTTTGTCAGGAAGACCTGCTTGGGACCCCTCTCTGCAGCAGAGAGCTTTTCTCTTTCTTTCGCCTATTAAACCTCCGCTCTTGGCCAGGCACAGTGGCTCATGCCTGTAATCCCAGCACTTTGGGAGGCCAAGGAGGGCAGATCATGAGGTTAGGAGTTCGAGACCAGGTTGGCCAATATGGTGAGACCCTGTCTCTACTAAAAAAACAAAACTTACCCTGGCGTGGGGGTGTGCGCCTGTAATCCCAGCTACTCGGGAGCCTGAGGCAGGAGAATCACTGGAACCTGGGAGGCAGAGGTTGCAGTGAGCCAAGATCGTGCCACTGCACTCCAGCCCGGGTGACAGAGCAAGACTCTGTCAAAAAGAAAAAAAAGGCCAAGCGCAGTGGCTCACGCCTGTAATCCCAGCACTTTGGGAGGCTGAGTTGGGTGGATCACCTGAGGTCAGGAGTTCAAGACCAGCCTGGCCAACATGATGCAACACCACCTCTACTAAAAATACAAAAATTAGCTGAGCGTAGTGGCGTGCGCCTGTAGTCCCAGCTACTTGGGAAGCTGAGGCAGGGGAATCGCTTGAACCCGGGAGGTGGAGGTTGCAGTGAGCCGATCACGCCTCTGGACTCCAGCCTGGGAGACAGAGCAAGACTCCGTCACAGAAAAAAAATAAAGAAAAAGAAAAGAAAACCTCACTGTTAACCTCAAAAAAGATTTGTCTTTCATTATGTCCCTAAATACACACATCAGTTACTTGTAGCATGCATATTCCCATTTCAATGCTCTATTCACAAATAAACGTCTTTTCCTTTAGAAAGCATGTTTCTGTTTTTTATTTAAGTTGACATATATGGTGTCGGAAGTGAGATCTGAACAGTATCACTACAGGAAGGAATCAGCAATCTTTGGAACTGGTGTGCAGTATATATTTGAACTCTTTGAGATCTCTGCTTCAATAGCTCACCTTTTCTACCCTGGTGAGTCTTCTCTCAGGCTGAGTCTTTTTACTGTGGCACAGACTTTTGACATGGTTTAGGATCTGTTTTGGATAGGGCCACCTTAATAAAGGACCATAGGTTCCTCCTGGGATGATAAAAGACCTTTTTGTCTTTTTTGGTAAGTCCTTTCTGATATAAAGACAAGTGTCTTTCTGAATTGATTAATCTTGGTTTCTACAGAAATTTACCTTCTGTCTGTGAGGCATATCTTTTCTGGTTTGTGCACCTAATCTGATATTTTGTTTGATCTTCCAGCCTAGGTTAAAATTTTTGTGAATACACTTATCTTGGTTTCTTTTGATTTGGCTTGACTCTTTTCCCTTGCTTGCTTCTGAAAATCTTCTGGTGGCAAAAATAAACATTCTGGATGGTGGTTACAGGATGGCTAATTAAAAAGGGGATGCCCTGCCTATGGAGTAGCCATTCTTTTATTTTTTTACTTTAAAAAAAAAAATAGGCTAGGCGCAGTGGCTCACTCCTGTAATCCCAGCACTTTGGGAGGCCAAGGCAGGTGGATGACTTGAGGTCAGGAGTTTGAGACCAGCCTGACCACTATGGTAAAACCCTGTCTCTACAAAATACAGAAATTAGCTGGGCCTGGTGGCGCACACCTGTAATCCCAGCTACTCGGGAGGCTGAGGCAGGAGAATCACTTGAACCTGGGAGATAGAGGTTGCAGTGAGCCAAGATCGTGCCATTGTACTCCAGCCTGGGCAATAAGAGTGAAACTCAGTCTGAAATAAATAAATAAATAAATAAATGAAATAAAACAAAAACCCACTTTGGGCCAGGCATGACAGCTGATGCCTGTAATCCCAGCACTTTCAGAGGCTAAGACAGGAGGATAGCTTGAGGCCAGAAGCTCAAGACAAACCTGGGCAACATAGCAAGATCCCATCTCCCATTTTTTTCAAATGCTGGAGTGCAGTGGTGTGACCTCAGCTCACTGCAACCTCTGCCTCCCAGGTTCAAGCAATTCTGCCTCAGTCTCCCAAGCAGCTATTACAGGCACACACCACCACGCCCAGCTAATTTTTTTGTTTGTTGGTTGGTTTTTTTTTTGAGACGGAGTCTCGCTGTCACCCAGGCTGGAGTGCAGTGGTGCGATCTCAGCTCACTGCAGGCTCCGCCTCCTGGGTTCACGCCATTCTCCTGCCTCAGCCTCCCACGTGGTTGGGACTACAGGCACCCACCACCACGCCCGGCTAATTTTTTGTATTTTTACTAGCGATGGGGTTTCACCATGTTAGCCAGGATGGTCTCGATCTCCTGACCTCGTGATCTGCCCGCCTCGGCCTCCCAAAGTGCTAGGATTACAGGCGAGAGCTACCACGCCCGGCCTTGCCCGGCTAATTTTTGTATTTTGTAGAGACAGGGTTTCACCATGTTGACCAGGCTAGTCTCGAACTCCTGACCTCAAGTAATCCGCCCACCTCGGCCTTCCAAAGTGCTGGGATTACAGTCATGAGCCACTGTACCCGGCCAAAATTTTTTAAAAATTAGCTGGGAATGGTGCCACACACTTGTAGTCCTAGCTACTTAGGAGGCTGAGGCAGGAGGATTGCTTGAGCCTAGAAGTTAGAAGCTGCAATGAGCTATAATTACACCCCTGCAATCCATCCTAGGCAACTGAGACCTTCTGTAAAAAAAAAAAAAAAAAAAGGAAAGGAAAAGAAAAAAGAAAAGAAAGAAAAAGCCACTAGGGCAGTTGCCACCATGTAAAACACTGGTCTAAACTTCTGATAATCCCTGACAGGATTTACAGGATTTTCTTTGCTCTCCAGAGATTAATAAGAGATGAAATGAGATTCTAAAATATTAAAGCAAGCTAGGTTTTCAGGGACTCCAGCTGGCTATATATTATGGCCTGTTCTTACGCATATTTTTAAATGAATGGGCAATTACAGGAAGGAAAATTCAAAGCTCAAATGGTCATTATTTGAAAAACCTAGAACTATAGAGATAACATAGAGAATCTTCTAAGTTTTCTCTATTTTTTTCTGCCTACTTTTTTTTTTTTTCTTTTTGAGATGGAGTCTCGCTCTGTCGCCAGGCCGGAGTGCAGTGGTGCGATCTCGGCTCACTGCAACCTCTGCCTCCTGGGTTCAAGTGATTCTCCTGCCTCAGCCTCCCTAGTAGCTGGAACTACAGGTGCCCACCACCATGCCCAGCTAATTTTTTTTTTTTTTTTTGAGACAGAGTTTCGCTCTTGTTGCCCAGGCTGAGGTGCAATGGCACGATCTCGGCTCTTCACAACCTCTGCCTAACAGGTTCAAGCGATTCTCATGCCTCAGCCTCCCGAGTAGCTGGGATTACAGGAATTTACCACCACGCCTGGCTAAGTTTGAATTTTTAGTAGAGGCAGGGTTTCTCCATGTTGGTCAGGCTGGTCTCGAACTCCCAACCTCAGGTGATCCGCCTGCCTCGGCCTCCCAAAGTGCTGGGATTACAAGAATGTACCACCACACCTGGCTCAGTTTGAATTTTTAGTAGAGGCGGGGTTTCTCCATGTTGGTCAGGCTGGTCTCAAACTCCCGACCTCAGGTGATCCACTGCCTCAGCCTCCCAAAGTGCTGGGATTACAGGCGTGAGCCACCATGCCCAGGCTTTTCTGCCTAGTTTTAATCTGCTGACTTCTACTAGTGTTGAGAGAAAATTCACTGCTTACGGCATTCCAGCAATTTTTTTTTGAGACAGAGTCTTGCTCTGTCGCCCAGGCTGGAGTGCAGTGGCGCCATCTTGGCTCACTGCAACTTCCGCCTCACAGGTTCAAGTGATTCTCTCACCTCAGCCTCCTCAGTAGCTAGGATTATAGGCATGTGCCACCACACCCGGCTAATTTTTGTATTTTTAGTAGAGACGAGGTTTCACCATGTTGGCCTGGCTGGTCTCAAACTCCTGACCTCAAGTAATCCACCCGCCTCAGCCTCCCGAAGTGTTGGGATTACAGGTGTGAGCCACTGCACCCAGCCCAGATCGAGCTTTCATATTGAAAATATATTAATGCAAAACTAAAAAAAAATTTTTGGTTCCCTATGTTGAAACAACAAGGTTTTCTTAAAGTACTGATTTAATTTACTCTTGGTAAAATAGCAAGAGCTTTTGATTTTTAACTCTGAAATCTGGTTCTACAACAGCCATCTTCTAAACTACAGAGTTTCTATTTCTTCCTTACATCTAATTAATTTCCCAGGCCAGCTGTGGTGGCTCACACCTGTAATCCCAGCACTTTGAGAGGATCACTTGAGCCCAGTAGTTCAAGGCCAGCCCTGGGAACATAGGGAGAATCTGTCTTTACAAAACATAAATAAATTAGCTGAGTGTGGTGGTGCACGCCTGTCGTACCAGCAACTTGGGAGGCTCAGGTAGGAGGATAACTTGAGCCTGGGAGGTGGGGGTTGCCATGAATCATGGCTGCACCACTGCACTCCAGCCTGTGTGACAGAGCAAGACCCTATCTCAAAAAAATAAATAGGCCGGGCACAGTGGCTCATGCCTGTAATCCCAGCACTTTGGGAGGCCGAGGCGGGTGGATCACCTGAGGTCAGAAATTAGAGACAAGCCTCACCAATATGGGTGAAACCCCCTCTCTATTAACAATACAAAAAGTGGCTGGGTGTGGTGGTGGGCACCTGGATTCCCAGCTACTTGGGAGGCTGAGACAGGAGATGCTTGAACCTGGGAGGCAGAGATTGCAGTGAGCCGAGATCACGCCACTGCACTCCAGCCTGGGTGACAGGGCGAGACTCCATCTCAAAAAAATAAATAAATAGGCTGGGGGCAGTGGCTCATGCCTGTGATCCTAGCATTTTGAGAGGCCAAGGCAGGTGGATCCCTTGAGGTCAGGAGTTGGAGACCAGCCTGGCCAACATGATGAAACCCCGTCTCTACTAAAAATACAAAAAAAATTAGCCAGGCATGGTGGTGGGCGCTTGGATTCCCAGCTACTTGGGAGGCTGAGGCAGGAGAATCGCTTGAACATGGGAGGTGGAGGTTGCAGTGAGCTGAGATCACACAGCTGCAGTCCAGCCTGGGCGACAAGACTAAAACTCCATCTCAAAAATTTTTTTTAAATAATTAATTAAACTAATTTAAAAATTAATTTCCCTAGTTTCAGATTGAAAATGCTGTCTTTGCTTATGACCAGCCTGGGTGACATAGCAAGATCCTGTCTCTACTGATAAAAAGAACCAAAAAAAAAGAAAAAGAAAATGCTGTCTTTTTCATTCTGATTGGTAATTTTATTTCTTTATACATATATATGTATTTTATTTATTATTTATTTATTTATTTATTTATTTATTTAGAGATTGGTCTTGTTCTGTTGCCCAGGCCGAAATGCAGTGGCACAATCATAGCTCACTGCAGCCTTGAACTCCTAGGCTCAAGCAATCCTCCCACGTCAGTCTCCTAAGTAGCTAGGAGTACAGGCATGAGCTACCACACCCAGCTGTCTTAGGTAAAATTGTTCCTTTTGAGACTTCTCAGATTTATATTTCAGAAGCTCAACGTTTGCTGTACCGTACTGCATATGCTTTTCAGGTCATATATCACTGCCTTCTGTTTTTTCTCAACTTGCAAAGGTATAGCTTTATGTTTGGCTGAGGTGCTAACATCAACCTGTCAATTCCTGTAATTTTTTTTTTCTCCTAAGTCTGCTGTTATGGTCTGATGTTGAAATGTTTCTCTTGAAGGTCTAGAAAAGCAGGGTTTTCTTACGGTTTAACTGGATTCTGTACTCTTGGGTTTTCTTGATGTGTCTGAATTGTTCCATGTAACTAGGAAATGTCCCATGCTGATACTAAGAGCCCTGTACTCTCCTGCTTGTGGTATTACTTTTCTAGCTTACCTTCCTCTCATATACATTCCTCTAATAATATAATGTACACTTATAACACTGGACTCAGTCTTCCTGTGTCTAATTAAATTAAAGTGCCTCTTCCATCAGGTTTGACTTTCAGGGCATCTAAATGGGCTTCCCATATGGACATATGGAAAAGCATTTCCACTACAGGAAGTTTTTCTTTACCTTTCTGGTAACTGGCCTAAAAAAAAAATGACATTACATTTTATCAAGATAATTCCTGCATTGCCTTTTTTCTTCTTTTGAGATGGAGTCTCGCTCTGTCACCCAGACTGGAGTTCAGTGGTGCAATCTTGGCTCACCGCGACCTCCGCCTCCAGGGTTCAAGCAATTCTCCTGCCGCAGCCTCCCGAGTAGCCGGGGTAATTTTTGTATTTTTTTTTAGTAGAGATGGGTTTTTGCCATGTTGGCCAGGCTGGTCTCAAACTCCTGACCTCAAGTGATCCACCCATCTTGGCCTCCAAAAGTGCTGGGATTACAGGCGTTGAGCCACCGCACCCAGCCTCTGCATTGTCTTTATTAAGTTTTTGATTACTTTAGAAAACTGAGCTTTAAAAGGGTTAAGGTTTTTTACCATGTAACTTCTGTATTGCTTTTGAAGTATTTTGATTTCCATTCTGGTTAAATGAGTATTATTTTACAGTGACCTGTGATTCTGTTTTGATTAAGTATTTTTAACCTTTTGACATCTTTGGCAGGCTTTTTCAGGGTCAGATTAAGTTTTTTTGATGTCGAATTAACTTTGGGATTTTTCTAGTTGGACCCCTGGAGAACCTCAAAGAATGTAACACTCAACTTGTATAGATAATAAGTGATTAGATTTATTTGGTTAATTGCATGGGAGGAATTGTCAAATAAGTGATGCTGGATCTTTTTTTTTTTTTTATGGAATAAAAGAATGGCTACTACATAGGCAGAGCAACCTGGATCATCTTTAAGTTAAATTTATAAGTATGTTATTGATATTAGTGTTTCAAAATTATGTAAATGCATATAAATCTAATGCCATCAGGTATTATTTTGTCATGTTAAACCTTATCTAAAGTTATATCTGTATGGGTATGTTATTAATGTGAGTATTCTAAAGATTATATAACATTTATAAAAGTCTGATGATCCTCATGTGATGCTGTCATTCATGGCTCTGGCTGTTCTCTTAAATACTGCTTGTAATAAACATAACTACATTTTCCTGCCAACTGGGAACTTTCATCAGATTTTAACCAAGACTACTCTAAGTTGTTGTTATTCACAGCTATTGTTTTGAATTCTTCTCCAAAAGCATTTGTAATCAACTATAGACCAAGACCAAGATTGCTTTTCATGGAAGAGACTCTAACAAGTCTTTATTTTTTGAGATGGAGTTTCGCTCTTGTTGCCCAGGCTGGAGTGCAATGGCGTGATCTTGGCTCACCGCAACCTCTGCCTCCTGGGTTCAAGTGATTCTCCTGCCTCAGCCTCCCGAGTGGCTGGGATTACAGGCATGTGCCACCACACCCCGCTAATTTTGTATTTTTAGTAGAGACAGGGTTTCTCCATGTTGGTTAGGCTGGTCTCGAACTCCCAACCTCAGGTGATCCGCCCACCTAGGCCTCTCAAACTGCTGGGATTACATGCGTGGGCCACCGCGCCTAGCCTTTGTTTTTTGTTTGTTTGTTTTTTTGAGACGGAGTTTCACTCTTCTTGCCCAGGCTGGAGTGCAGTGGCATGATCTCAGCTCACTGCAACCTACGCCTCCCAGGTTCAAGCGATTCTCCTGCCTCAGCCTCCCAAGTAGCTGAGATTACAGGCACCCGCCACCATGACCAGCTAATTTTTGTATTTTTAGTAGACATAGGGTTTCACCAAATTGGCCAGGCTGGTCTCAAACTCCTAACCTCAGGTGATCCACCCACTTCAGCCTCCCAAAGTGCTGAGATTACAGGTGTGAGCCATAGGAGCCACAGCACCTGGCCTCTTTTTTTTTTTCTTTTCTTTTGAGACAGGCTCTTGCTTTGTCACCCAGGCCACAGTGCAATGACATTATCATGATTCACTGCAGCCTTGACCTCCTGGGTTCAGGCAATCCTCCTGCCTCAGCATCCCAAATAGCTGGAACCACAGATAAGGGCCACCATGCCCGGCTAATTTTTAAATTTTTTTGTAGAGATGGAGTCTCACTTTGTTGCCCAGGCTTGTTTTGAACTCCTGGCCTCAAGTGATCCTCTCACCTCAGCATCCCAAAGGTGAGATTATAGGCATGAGCCACCACACTCAGCCTACAAGTACTCTTGAACACAGAGTTCTGATAACTTTAAGATCAATGGACTAGGCCGGGCGCGGTGGCTCACGCCTGTAATCCCAGCACTTTGGGAGGCCGAGGTGAGCAGATCACAAGGTCAGGAGTTCAAGACCAGCCTGACCAACATGGTGAAACTCCATCTCTACTAAAAATACAAAAAAATTAGCCGGGCGTGTTGGAGCACACCTGTAATCCCAGTTACTTAGGAGGCTGAGGCAGGAGAATCACTTGAACCCGGGAGGCGGAGGTTGCATTGAGCCAAGATCACATCACTGCACTCTAGCCTGAGCGACAGAGCAAGATTCCGTCTCAAAAAAAAAAAGAAAAAGAAAAACAATGGACTAAACAAAAATTTCCAGAACACTAATAAGGAAATTGATGGGTTCATGTAATTGATTATCAAGATTCAAGCAAAACAAAAAATTAATTACAGGAAATAAAGTTATGAATGAAGATAGTGTTTTTATGGCTTTTATTTAAAACATTATAGGTTCTTTAAGTGTTTTCCAAATTTAAGGAATTTTTCTGTAAGCTATCTATAGTTTGCATTTGCTTTTCCTTCCTACTTGATTTCCCCAAATTTTGGAAACTAGTCATGAGTGTTCTTATTTTTATTTACACCAGTTCAATAAAAATCTGTACTCCCTGGATGACAGAAGAAAAAAAAATAATAAAATCTACTCTCTTTTTACAGGCAGGATACAGTTGGAAACATTGGTTATATTACTAAGGCTTTGACTGAAATGTTATATTTAAGAATATGCATACAATGCCTAGCTTCAAGAGTTCCTGGCCCTACACTAAGTGAGTCAAACTTGACATCTTTCAGCCAGGTGTGGTGGCTCATGCCTGTAATCCCAGCACTTTGGGAGGCCGAGGCGGGCGGATCACCTGAGGTCGGGAGTTCGAGACCAGCCTGGCCAACATGGTGAAACCCCATCTCTACTAAAAATACAAAAAGTAGCCAGGTGAGGTGGTGCGTGCCTGTAATCCTAGCTACTCGGGAGGCTGAAGCAGAAGAATCACTGGAACCTGGGAGGCGGAGGCTGCAGTGAGCCGAGACTGAGCCACTGCACTCCAGTCTGGGGGACAGAGTGAGACTCTGTCTCAAAAAAAACAAAAAAACAAACAACAACAACAACAACAAAAAGGACATCTTTCACATTTGTCCCTTTTGATCAAGATCTGGCAGATCCAAGAACCTTTAAACTGTAAGTATAGTCTAAAGTTTGCCTTGGTTTGGCTTCCTAGGCTCAAGAGCATCTTAAATCTGAGATTTGTATGTAATCAATGTAGAGAGAAAATGTTTTTGTTTTGGGATTTTTTTTTTTTGAGACAGAGTCTCACTCTGTCGCCTAGGCTGGACTACGGTTGTGCTATCACTGCTCACTGCAGCCAGGACTTCCTAGTCTCAGGGCGCTCCTCCTACCTTAGCTTCCTAAGTAGCTGGGACTACAGGTGCACGCCACCATGCCCAGCTAATTTTTTGTATTTTTAGCAGAGACGGGGTTTTGCCATGTTGCCCAGGCTGGTCTTAAGCTCCCGGGCTCAAGTGATTTGCCTGCCTTGGCCTCCCTAAGGGCTGGGATTACAGGCATGAGCCACTGCACCTAGCCAAAAGTTGTCTTCAAAAGAAAATCTATGACGTGTGGTGACTCACGCCTGTAATCCCAGCCTTTTGGGAGGCTGAGGTAGGAAGAAGACTAGGAGTTTGAGACCAGCCTGGGCAACATAGCAGAACCTTGTCTTTACAAATAATTTTAAAAATTAGGCCAGGTGCAGTGGCTCACACCTGTCATCTTAGCACTTTGGGAGGCTGCGGTGGGCGGATAACAAGGTCAGGAGATCGAGACCATCCTGGCTAACACGGTGGAACCCCGTCTCTACTAAAAATTCAAAAAATCAGCCAGGCATGGTGGCGGGCGCCTGTAGTCCCAGCTACTCAGGAGGCTGAGGCAGGAGAATGGCGTGAACCCAGGAGGCGGAGCTTGCAGTGAGCCGAGATCACGCCACTGCACTCCAGCCTGGGCGACAGAGCGAGACTCCATCTCAAAAAAAAAAAAAAAATTCCAGGGATGGTAGTGTGCTTATAGTCGCAGCTACACAGGAGGCTGAGGCAGGAGGATCACTTGAGCCCAAGAGTGTGAGGCTGCAGTGAACTATAATAGTGCCACTGTACTCTAGCATGGGCAACACAGTGAGACCCAATCTCTAAAAAAAATTGTTTAAGGTTTGGCACAGTGGTTCATGCCTATAATCCCAGCACTTTGGGAGGCTGAGGCAGGAGGATCACTTGAGCTTAGAAGTTCAAGACCAGCCTGGGCAACATAGTGAGAGACCTTGTCTCTACAGAAAAAAAAAAAAAAAAAAAGCCAGGCTGACAGTTGCAGCTGAGGTGGGAGGATTGTTTGAGCCCAAGAGGTCAAGGCTGCAATGAGCTGAGATCACACCACTGCACTCCAGCCTGGGTGACAGAGCAAGACCATGTCTAAAAACAAAAAAAAAAAAAGGAGGGGTGTGTGACCCACTTGTAATCCCAGCACTTTGGGAGGCTGAGGCAGGAGATCACTTAAGCCTAGGAGTTCAAGACCAGCCCTGTCAACACAGGGAGACCCCGTCTCTACAAAAACTTACAAAATTAGCCAGGCGTAGTGGTGTGTGCCTGTTGTCCCAGCTACTTGGGAGGCTGAGGTGCACAGATGACAAGCTCAGGAGATCGAGGCTGCAGTGAGTGGTGCTGTGCCACTGCACTCCAGCCTGGGTGACAAAGAGAGACCCTGTCTCAAAAACATAATAAATTGGCTGGGTGTGGTGGCTCACACTTGTAATCCCAGCACTTTGGGAGGCCGAGGCAGGCGGATCACGAGGTCAGGAGTTCGAGACCAGCCTAGCCAACATGGTGAAACCCTGTCTGTACTAAAAATACAAAAAATTAGCTGGGCGTGGTGGTGTGCACCTGTAATCCCAGCCACTCAGGAGGCTGAGGCACGAGAATCACTTGAACCCAGGAGGCAGAGGTTGCAGTGAGTGGGGATTGCACCACTGCACTCCAGCCTGGGTGACAAAGCAAAAAAAAAAAAAAAAAGAATGTGGCATCTAGAATCAGAGTGACTGGGTCTAAATTCCAGTCCTACCTACCACTGTGACCATAATGTCCCTGTGCCTCAGTTTTCTCATCTGCAAAATGGAACAACCGTTGAAGCCTGTCTTGTTGGGTTGTGAGGATTCAATGAGTTCATGAATGAAGTAGGACAAGTAAAATGCTTAGGACTGTGCCTGGTACATAGAAAGTGCTCAATATTGGCCAGTTTTATTATTGAAGTCTCAGTTTACATGTTCTTTGGCATCCCGTTACTGAATATTTTTCTATTTTTATGAACCAAGATGATGATTTCCAAGTAGCTCTAGCTGTGACTTGGTGAGGTGAGGATTTCCCTAAGCCACCCTCTACTGCAGAAAGTCCCACCTCCTGTGATTTCCTTGAACCCCCTAGTTATGAATTGGGCAGCCTAATGAATCAGTTGTCTTTTCCTTCCTTAACTCTCTGCTAAGCTCTGCAGGCAGGAACAATCCAGCAGGAAGATCACTGAGCCAGGACTGAGGTGATTTCTCATCCCAGGTTTACCACTGACGTGTCATGGGTCTTGAGGTAAACAACTTAATTTATAGGGTCTTATCCACAGTCCACTGCAGTCCTGCTAGTCCCTGGACTGCTCAGTCTGGCATGATGTCCTCCTTTACTACTGACTCCAAATCAAACTATTTTCTAAGGTATACCTCAACTGTCATCTCTTCCACAAGGTGCGGCCCATCTCCAAATTATTTGTTTTTCTTTTTTTTTAAAAGATGAGGTGTCACTATATCACCCAGGCTGGTCTTGAACTCCTGGGCTCAAGTGATCCTCCTGCCTCAGCCTCCCAAGTAGCTGGGACTACAGGCACATACCACCACACCTGGCTATTGCTCCCTTTCTAACTTAGCTGTAAACCAACTGCATAAACTTATGCAACTATTGCTGACTGGATTAATTCACTTTAGAGTAAATGTGAACAACTGTTTTTAGAATTGTTTCCCATTTGATAAATACACTGGAAATTTTACCCAAGAGACCAAATGAAGCTTTACATTCCAAAACTTTAATGTCAATTAAGCAGCCTTTTCACTTGATATAAACTCACATACCCAGGAACACTGTGGGCTCAGAACATTATTTCACAAGCAGGTATTGCTGGCACGTTGTTTGTGTCACGTTTAGATTCCGATTAAATGACATCATTTTGTTCCTCAGATCCTGACATACACAATGAAAGTATTTGAAAGTTACATAACCAGTTGCACTTAATGAGTCATCCTTTGTCAATATTAGAATGAGGGAACCAGGATATGACTAGGAAGAGACTCAAGGGGTAAAATCTGAAGATTCTGTCCCATACCTCTGCAGAATCATGGACCCCCACAGAGGACTTAGGGGAGGGGCTCAGAAGCAAAGGGCTGTTTTGAAAATAGTTTGATTTTGACACAATGATTTGCAGACAAGCCCAGCCACCGTGGAGAAAAGATAGAGAATGAAGAAGTTCCAAATGGCTAAGATGAACATGAACTTCTAAACAGAATGAAAGCTCTAGGATTATGTCCACTTTAAGAAGTCTGCTGGTGATATCTGGCTTTAGAGGCAGGTAATGTCTTTTGACACCCTTTCTTCAAAGAAAGGGGTAAGGGAAAACAAGACCAAAAAAAAAAAAAAACACCTTCTCAGGCCAGGCCTGGTGGCTAACACCTGTAATCCCAGCACTTTGGGAGGCTGAGAGGGGCGGATCACAAGGTCAGGAGTTCGAGACCAGCCTGGCCAATATGGTGAAACCCCATCTCTACTAAAAAAAAATAAAAAATAAAAATTATATATATAAATTAGCCAGGCTTGGTGACAGGTGCCTGTAGTCCCAGCTACTTGGGAGGCTGAGGCAGGAGAATCGCTTGAAACTGGGAGGCGGAGGTTGCAGTGAGCCAAGATGGTGCCACTGCACTCCAGCCTGGGCGACAGAGTGAGACGCCATCTCAAAACAAACAAACCAACAAAAAAACCCACCTTCTCAGATATGTGGCATAAAGAATTTCTTAATCCAGGACGTTATTCCTCTACTAAAATAAAAACTGACTAAACAATTAGGACTTCTTACTGAAAAATGTAGGCAAAGTGGTCATCTATCACAGTGCCCACCAGGATGAAGTTTGTAGCAAAACTCAAGGCTACCACAAAGTAGTGCTACTGCAGCACAGACTGAACAAGGAGATCCTAGAGTAAGATACCAGATTAGTGCTTAAACCCTCAAGAGAAAACCGTCAGTCTGGATCAAGAGAAAAGTTCATCCAAACAAACCTACTTTTCAGACAAGCACATATATATGATCTATGGCACATACCAAAATGAAGAAAATAGCAGTTACAGTGGCCAATGTAGAACACATTCTTCAACTTACCTTTTTTTTTTTTTTCTGAGACAGAGTCTCGCTGTCACCCAGGCTGGAGTGCAGTGGCACAATCTCAGCTCGCTGCAACCTCCACCTCCCGGGTTCAAGCGATTCTCCTGCCTCAGCCTCCCGAGTAGCTGGGATTAAAACAGGCATGTGCCACCACGCCCAGCTAATTTTTGTATTTTTAGTAGAGATGGGGTTTCACCATGTTGGCCAGGTTGGTCTTGAACTCCTGACCTCAGATGATCTGCCCACCTCAGCCTCCGAAAGTGTTGGGATTACAGGCATGAGCCACTGTGCCCATGCCCGGCCCAACTTACGTTTCATCTAATGACCTTATTAAGTGTTCACTTTTCAAAGGATCTTTTAACTTCTTCTGAATGAACATTAGTCAGCTGCCCCTCCCACTAGCCAATCTTTAGCCCTGAGCACACATGGGTATAAAAACAATGGAAAACAATCAAATTTAATAGTATCCTAAGTCTCAACCCAAGAGGAACAATTAGTAGTAACACTGATTGAGCTGCTTCACCACCTTTCCCCACAACCCACCTCCATGTCACCATCTGCTATTCCACTGACTTGGAGGCCAACGATATAACCTGCCCCACAACACTCTAAAACAGCTACCTACTTTTATCTCAAAAGTACTGACAGAAGGCTCCATTAGCAGCAAACAGACCTATGAACACAAGGTCCTCTACGCTAGGAAAGCATTACTCTTTGAAATGGGGCTATATTTACAAATTTTATTTTTTTATCCCAAAAATACATATAAATGAAAACCTGCTCTTCAAATGCAGGGAGGCCTTTGCCTAACATTGTCATATGAAAATCAGTATCAGCTCTTTAACACACAATTTACATATATACATACATACACACTATATGTAAGCAGCAAATACTTTGCTACTTACACATATTCCTCTGGTGGAAAACTAGGACACTGGGAAATTCCCCTGCTTTCCAACCTTGGGAAGGTAAATACAACCTCTCTCAACAACTTTTTAAAGGATGAAATGTGTAGAAACATGTAAACAACACAACCTGCTTTAGATCTATACATGTTATTAGAATAAAGAAAGAACGCTGTCACATCAGTGACAGTTTATTTCTCAAAGAAAAAAAGAGATAACATTTGAATAAAAATGCAAAACTGAAGTACAGTTAATATGATCAAAATTGTTGTGTACATGCTCCATGGAGAAATCAGGAATTCTTTCACAAAGAACAGATCCACAGCCAATTTCAGTCACTTGTGATGCTGAATCAGCACCCACTGGTAGCAACCAGGATCCTTCTGTACAGTCACGGGCTTGAGCAGGTGCCATAAAGCATCTGTTTAAGTTAAACAGTCAATAATGTTTACTGACTGCAGTACATTCCCACCCCCCAAAAAAATAAGTGCAAAATCAACTTCTAAGCTCAAGAGCTCAAACAAGTCAAAGCTTTGGTATATACTGGAGGTTGTTTTGGTGATAACCAAAGCCTAGTAAGATTCTCTGCTCAGGGGTTCGCCCCAAAAGAAAAACACCTGGTCCACAAAGCTTAACACCTATATAAATAAAGTAACTGTACAAAGAGAACAAGCCATGATTTCCCCTTAACCAAGGGTTTATAGTTTCCTAGGCAGCAGTTCTGAAAGCACCAACTAAAACCACAACACTTCTACTAAAACACGGTGTGTTGTAATTGGTGAGACTGTTCTGAAAACAAATGCCTGCAGGCATGTGGCCAAGGTGCCACAGAAAAAGTTTAACAAACATTAGTCAGTGTATTCAAATGGTAACACAATCTGGTCAGCAACAGAGGAAAGACTTAAGGCAGTAAGAGGCATTACAGAGAGCACCATAGTGCTGGACCCACCACCATAGTGCTCTCTGAGTCAATCAAAGACTTCCAAGAAGGAAACCGTGTATCAATAGTTTGGGTTCTTAGTTTGCTAGCTGTCAGACACTTCTTCCTCCTCCTCCTCATCCTCGTCATCTTTCCTGTCTATTTCAGAAGTGTCCGACGACTCATGGAGCAAGACGTATTCTCTGCTACTGAATCCAAATTTGAGTACATCCTTTTCTTTTAGTTCATAGTATCTCTGTGGCTCAATACGTTTGTTGTTTAAGAAGGTTCCATTGCCTGAGCCAAGGTCAATGATGTAGGGCTTCACTCTTCGGCCAACTGTGCCATCAGCACGGGTATATTCCACAAGCCTAGCAGAAAAAAAGGAGAAACCTGTGAGCAAACTTCTGCCTCAGATCATCCAGCTTCTCTAAAGCTCTTTGCTAAGATAGCCTAGATGACGTAAATAACCTGGCTTGAGCACAATTCAAGTTAAAATTCTAGGGAATCAAAGAAATCAAGGGGAAAGCATGGCCCTGGGAAGGAAAATTGGAAGTTTAAATATACTTAGAAAAGGTGAGAATGGACCGGGCGCGGTGGCTCACGCCTGTAATCCCAGCACTTTGGGAGGCCGAGACGGGCGGATCACGAGGTCAGGAGATGGAGACCATCCTGGCTAACATGGTGAAACCCCGTCTCTACTAAAAATACAAAAAAATTAGGCAGGTATGGTGGCGGGCGCCTGTGGAGCCAGCTACTTGGGAGGTTGAGGCACGAGAATGGCGTGAACCCAGGAGGCAGAGGTTGCAGTGAGCCGAGATCACGCCACTGCACTCCAGCCTGGGCAACAGAGCGAGACTCTGTCTCAAAAAAAAAAAAAAAAAAAAAGGTGAGAATGAGTTGCTGGAAGGTGGGGAGAATCCATGGTAGATCAAAAGGTGGAAATGCAGAATCCAATGTCTCTTGCTGTGGTTAAGAAAATACATTTTTTTCTGTTGTTTATAATCAACATAATGTTTCTTTAACCTATATTTCAATATATTTTAGTTCCTGTCCAAATGGGAAAAAACAGTGCACTTGGACTTCAGAGTCAAGGGAGCTATATTTGAGCCAGAGTTCTACTATGGCAGGGGTCCCCAGCTCCTGGGCCATGGACTGGTACCAGTCCGTGGCCTGTTAGGAACCGGACCACACAGCAAGAGGTGAGCAGCGGGCAAGCAGGCAAGCGAGCCAAACTTCATCTATATTTTCAGCTGCTCCCCATCACTTGAATTATCATTGCCTGAGCTCCGCCTCCTGTCAGATCAGCAGTGGCATTAGAGTCTCGTAGGAGCATGAACCCTATTGTGAACTGTGCACAGGTGGGATCTAGGTTGCGCGCTCCTTACGAGAATCTAATGCCTGATCTGTCACTGTCACCCATCACCCCCAGATGGGACCATCAAGCTGGAGGAAAACAAGCTCAGGGCTTCCACTGATTCTAGATTATGGTGAGTTGTATAATTATTACATTATATATTACAATGTGATAGTATTAGAAAATAAAGTGCACAATAAATGTAATGCACTTGAATTATCCCGAATTCCCCCGGTTCCATGGAAAAACTGTCTTCCATGAAACTGGTCCTTGGTGCCAAAAAGGTTGGGGACCACTGTACTATAGTGATCATTTGTTAGGCAAGTCACTTGGTTTTGCTGGGCTTCAGTCTTCTCATCTGTCAAATGGGGATACAAATACGTGTCCATTCGAAGTCAGGAGACCATGTTAAAAAACAAACAAACAAAACGGGCCAGCCGCAGTGGCTCACACCTGTAATCTCAGCACTTTGGAAGGCCAAGGCAGGCGGATCACGAGGTCAGGAGTTCGAGACCAGCCTGGCCAATACAATGAAACCCCGTCTCTACTAAAAATACAAAAATTAGCTGGGTGTGCTGGTGTGTGCCTGTACTCTCAGCTGCTCGGGAGGCTGAGGCAGGGGAATCACTTGAACCCGGGATGCAGAGGTTGCAGTGAGTTGAGATCGCGCCACTGCACTCCAGCCTGGGCACAGAACGAGACTCCGTCTCAAAAAACAAAAAATCTATCCTATCCTTCTCACAGGATTGTTGTGAGAATCATCACAGATGTCCCATGCAAGCTATCAAGATCCAGTTTCAAAATTAGCTGGGCACAGAGGCACACGCCTGTGGTCCCAGTTACTCAGGAGGCCGAGGCAGGAGACAATCATTTGAGCCCAGGAGGTTGCCGCTGGAGTGAGCTGTGTTTGCTCCACTGCACTCTAGACTGGGTGACAGAGTGAGACCTTGTCACAAAAAAATAAAAAATAGATTAAAAGTTTAATGTTCTTATAAATATGTAAGCAATTATTTAAAGGGCAGTTAGATTAACAATACTCTTTAGATAACATATGAGGGGTATGGGATTCTTCTGCATAAACATGAACAAAAATCTTAGTAATCCTAACTGAGTGATTGTTTCTGCTCACATTACAGTTTCTTCCTCCATGTTACTTACCGATATTGAAAGACCGCATGCTGCTTTGAACAAGACGGGTGATCAATTGGAATGTCTGCAATGCGGCGGTGTCGACCCAGTAGGTACGCACTCTGTCGATGTATGTACATGACTGGAAGCACCTCATCATTTTTAAATGGGTAGAGACGCCACCGTTTTTTGGGGATACGTGCTTCTGGGGGCTCACTATATTTAATGACTACACCCCGGAAAGTGTTGGTGTCCTCAAGAAGTGCCCCAGAAAGTTCAAAGCTTGGTTTTTCTTTAGCGGGCACCTCTTTTTCTTTGTTGTTGCCACCAGGCCGAGGAACCAACTCCTGAGACTCACTGCCGCCACCACCAACGTCATTCCTCTGGCGATGCTCCCGTCGCCTGGCATTATAAAACTCCCGCTCTTCTTCCTGAGCCTGCAGGTTCTGAGTGTCTCGATCCCGTCCCTGACCCTGCCCACTCCCAGGCCTCTCGTTAGACGTTCTCCTTTGGTGGGAATGGCCCCGGTGTCTGTCCCGGTCACTGTTCCTAGCTCTCCTGTGTTCCTGTTCTGATGGTTCCCTGTGCTGCCGATCCTCCCGTCCTCTCCGGGGATGATCCTCACGCTCCTAAAATTCAAACAGATTCTGTAATTTAAACGCAGTGCACAATCTAAAGGCAGCCCAAATCTTGTTCTTTTTGAACGAAGTGCATGCAAAAAGTCTTGTAATTTGGACTTTGGCATTTAGAACAACATTTCCCACAGAAATAAGATTATGTCTGGTGGTTATGTTCCCTCGCAAGGCCACAAAGATGATATCCCATGCTGCTATTCAACTATAGCCCTAATAGCACAAGTCCAGGTCCACAGCCCTAAAAACAAGAGACTATTTAGTCCAGAAAGGAGAAGGAAAAATAATTCCCTCCTTTTCAGAACAAAGGTAACTATGGGCAAACTTACAGGGAAGAATATACAGAAAATAGAACTAAGAGTTAAGTAGTCAGGTACAAGATATGTAAAGAAAGAAACTAGCTTTCTCTCATGCCAAAAGTGAAAATATAATAGTAAGTTTTTAAATCCTACTTCCATAGTTAAAAAAAAAATTCAATACCTAGAAATAAACTTAAGAAACATGAAAGACATATAAGAAGAAATCTGTAAAAATTCATTAAAATAAATGTTTTTTAAAGATGTGAAGAAATGGAGAAACATACCATGATTTCTTGAAAAAGATAGCAATGAAAATCAGCCTAGGCCAGGCATGGTGGCTCAAGCCTGTAATCCCAGCACTTTGGGAGACCGAGGCGGGTGGATCACCTGAGGTCAGGAGTTCCAGACCAGCCTGACCAACATGATGAAACCCTGTCTCTACTAAAAATACAAAATTAGCCAGGTGTGGTGGCACATGCCTGTAATCCTAGCTACTCAGGAGGCTAAGGCAGGAGAATCGCTTGAACCTGGGAGGCAGAGGTTGCAGTGAGCCGAGATCACGCCATTACACTCCAGCCTGGGCAACAAGAGTGAAACTCCTTCTCAAAAAAAAAAAAAAAAAAAATTCAGCCTGGTAGAAAATGTTTGCAACACAAACCATACAGTAGTCCCAGGGGGATACATTTTAAGTATGGTGGATGGCTGAAACCACGGATAGTACCGAACCTGACTGCCATCAAATGCAACACATTTCTGTTCATGTCTTCCACCCATAAATGTAATGCCTTTTCCATCTTAACTAAGCACTTGTGAACTGTGGCTATAACTTTTACAGTATGAGGTACAACAGCAAAACTAGCATGAATTTCTTTTTCCTTCTCCACAATTTCACAATAGAAGATTCATTCTTACTATCGATCTTAGCAACTTCAATATATGATTTGAAAAGTTTTTTTTTGTTTTAATTTCTTTAAGTTGAGAACTTTCAACTTTTCGTTTAAAGGAAGCACTTTACAGCTTCTCTTTAGCATTCCTAATTGCCAAAATCACTACTATTGCATTTTGGGGCCACTACTAAATAAAATAAAGGTTACTTGAATCCAAGCACTGCAAACTGCAACAGTTTTCTGAAAATCAGGATGGCTACTAAGTGATGGACAGGCAGGTAGCGCATACAGCACAGATACACCAGACAAAGGAAGGATTCACGTTCCTGGTGGGACAGCAGAAGTTTATACCAAGTGACTCAGGATAGTGACCAATTTAAATTTTATGAGTTGTTTTTTTCTGGAGTTTTCCATTTAATATTTTCAGATGCAGAAAGTGAAACCACAGATAAGGGGAGACTACTGCATATTAATATATCAATAAGAAATAATTCAACAGAGAAACTGATAAATGGTCAGGTGCCAGTGGCTCACACTTGTAATCCCAGCACTTTGGGAGGCCAAGGCGATGGATCGCTTGAGCCCAGGAATTTGAGACCAGCCTGGGCAACATGGCGAAACTCTGTCTCTACTAAAAATACAAAAATTAGCTGGGCACAGTGGTGCATGCCTGTAGTCCCAGCTACTCGGAAAGCTGAGGTGGGAGGATCGCTTGAGCCTGGGAGGCAGAGATTGCAGTAAGCCAAGATTCCACCACTGCACTACAGCCTGGATGACAGAGCAAGACTCTGTCTCAAAAATAAAAAAAGAACAGAAAAATGAACAATTTTCAGAAGAAATAAATGTCCAAGGGCCGGGCACAGTGGGTCACGCCTGTAATCCCAGCACTTTGGGAAGCCAAGGCAGGAGAACTGCTTAAGCTCAGGGCAACATGGCAAAACCCCATTTCTACAAAAAATACAAAAATTAGCCAGGCACGACAGCATGCACCTGTAATCTCAGCTATTTCGGAATTTGAGGTGGGATGATCACTTGAGCCCAGGAGGTCGAGGCTGAAGTGAGCTATGATCATACCACTGCAGTCCAGCCTTGGCAACAGAGACCCTGTCTTGAAAAAAAAAAAAAAAGAATTACATGTCCAATAAATACATGAAGATATGCTTACCCTAATAACCAAAGCATCAAATTCTAAAAGAAATATGAATTTTCTCTCCTTAATTAGTAAAATTAAAAAGATCAATAATATCTAGAGTCAAAAAAGAAGGTACAGGAAAAATGGGTATTTTCAGCCACTGCTGGTACAGGTATAAACTAGCATAGCCTATTTAGGTCAATTTGACATTATTTAATCAAAATCTCATCAACCACTAATGCCACTTATAGAAATCAATCCTACAGAAATACTAGCAGAAACGCACAAAGACATACATATGAATGTGTTTACTGTAATTTCGTAATTTAAAAAAAAAACTGGAAACAACCTAATGTCCTGCAATGGTAGAATGGTTAAATTATTATCTATTCATACAAAGGAATACTTCACAGCCATGAAAAAGAATGAGATAATGACATAGAAAGATATCTAATATATTGTTAAATGGGAGGGGAAAAAAGAGAAGGGGCAAGTTTCACAATAAGACCACATATTTCTATATATAGACTTGGCAGATGAGCTACTTGGAGAGATGTTCCCACTATAATTTAACTAGATACTTATTAAATTTTTAATGCACTGTTGGGCTTTCAATAAGCAAGGCAAAATCTCCAATGAGAAAAAAAATCTCCAAAGGGGGGTAAAAAAAAAAAAAAGATTTGAGCCCTAAGCATAAGCTCAAATACTAAAGAATACTAGACACACACAAGGAAATGGAAACAAGCCACTGAGCATGAGAGGCAGCAGAAACAAGTCTTATAGGCTGGGCATGGTGGCTCACGCCTGTAATCCCAGCACTTTGGGAGGGCAAGGGGGGGGGCAGGTCACTTGAGGTCGGTCAGGAGTTCAAGACCAGCCTGGTCAACATGGTGAAACCGTCTCTACTAAAAATGCAAAAATTAGCCAGGTGTGGTAGCGCATGCCTGTAATCCAGCTACTCGGGAGGCTGAGGCAGGAGAATCACTTGAACCCAGAAGTGGAGGTTGCAGTGAACAGAGATGGAGCCACTGCATTGTAGCCTGAACGACAAAGAGAGACTCCGTCTCAAAAAAAAAAAAGAAACAAGAGGCCGGGCGAAGTGGCTCACGCCTGCAATCCTAGCACTTTGGGAGGCTGAGGTGGGTGGATCACAAGGTCAGGAGTTCAAGACCAGCCTGGCCAAGATGGTGAAACCCTGTCTGTACTAAAAATACAAAAAATTAGAAGGGCGCGGTGGCAGGCGCCTGTAATCCCAGCTACTTGGGAGGCTGAGGCAGGAGAATCACTTGAACTCGGAGGGCGGAGGTTGCAGTGAGCCGAGATCACGCCACTGCACTCCAGCCTGGGTGGACAGAATGAGACTCTGTCTCAAAAAAAAAAAAAAAAAAAGAAAGAAAGAAACAAGTCTTATAGATGTAGATCCCCAAGGACTTCATTCATGTACAAAAATGTTGTTGTGTATTCTTGTTTCAAAAAGAAAAAAATGAGACGTTCTTTGCGGAAAGTCCCTGGAGTTTCCTGGTTCAACAGTGCTTGGACGGAACCAGGCACTCGTACCCCACTCCGGCTGGCCGCCCATAGCTAGCCCTCTGTTACCTCTTCACTGGGCCCTCTGACTGTCCCAAGGCCCCCGCCGCCACTCCAGCGCCGTGCAGCCACCGCCGCACAGCCACCGTGGCCACCACCATGACGACTGCGCGTCCCCCTCGCAGGTGCGCCAGAACTACCGCCATCAACCGCCAGATCAACGTGGAGCTCTATGCCTCCTACATCTACCTGTCCATGTCTTACTACTTTGACCACAATGATGTGGCTTTGAAGAACTTTGCCAAATACTTTCTTCACCAATCTCATGAGGAGAGGGAACATGCCAAGAAACTGATGAAGCTGCAGAACCAATGAGGTGGCTGAATCTTCTTCCTTCGGGACTTCAAGAAACCAGACCATGATGACTGGGAGAGCAGGCTGAATGCGATGGAGCATGCATTACATTTGGAAAAACTTGGGAATCAGTCACTACTGGAACTGCACAAACTGGCCACCGACAAAATTACCCCCATTTGTGTGACTTCACTGAAACACATTACCTGAATGAGCAGGGGAAATCCATCAAGAATTGGGTGACCATGTGACCAACTTGCGCAAGATGAGGGCACCCGAATCTGGCTTGGCAGAATATTTCTCTGACAAGCACACCCCGGGGAGACAGTGATAATGAAAGCTAAGCCTTAGGCTAATTTCCCCATAGCCATGGGGTGACTTCCCTGGTCACCAAGGCAGTGCATGCATGTTGGGGTCTCCTTTACCTTTTCTATAAGTTGTACCAAAACATCCACTTAAGCTGATTTGTACCATTCCTTCAAATAAAGAAATTTGGTACCCCCCGCCCCCACCAAAAAAAAAAAAAAAACAAAGAAAAAACTTCTTGTTATGGACTAGGTAAGGTACAAAAATGTTTACAGATAATTAAGGTTAAAAATTTTAAAGCAGAGAGCAGTAAGAGACTTTCAAAATGATTAGGGAGAAAATTAGAATGACACAAAAATTAGCATGGCCCCTAATTTAAAAAATACATAATAATAATAAAAATGATTAGGCAGGCAGGACGCAGTGGCTCCCACCTGTAATCCCAGCACTTTGGAAGGCCGAGGCGGGTGGATCACTTGCGTCCAGGAGTTCGAGACCAGCCTGGGTAACATAGTGAGACCCACCCGCCGCCCTCTCTAAAAATAATAATAAAAATAAAATTAAAAACTAAAAATTTAGGTGACTCCACACCCATTAGGATGGCTACTATCAAAAAACTGAAAATAACAAGTATTGGCAAAGATGTGGAAAAATCAGAACCCTTGTACACTGCTGGTGGGAATGTAAAATGGTATAGTTAGTGCGGAAAACAGTACAGTGGTTCCATAAAAAATTTAAAAATAGAATCGCCATATGATCCAGCAATCCCATTTCTGGATATCCCAAACAAATGAAAGCAGGGTCTCAAATAGATACTTGAGCATCCATGTTCATTGCAGCATTATTCGCAATACCCTAAAAGTGGAAGCACTGGGACTAAGACCCCCCCCCCCCCCGCTCCCTGCCATACACAGGGCTCAAGTGAGGGGCTGCTTGCTTAGAGTGGGACTCAGTTTTTCTAGACTTCCTAGCCTAGCACAGACATGCATCAAGAGAGAGCCTCAGACAACCACCCTTCCTACTCCAAAACATTTACAAGCTTGCCACTGCTATCTGCCTTGAGTTCACCAGGACTAATCTCATCATGTCCTTTATCCCTTATTAAGAGTCATTATAATAAGCCATAACGGCCGGGTGTGGTGGCTTATGTCTGTAATTCTAGCACTTTGGGAGGCTGAGGTGGGTGGATCACTTGAGGTCAGGGATTCAAGACCAGCCTGGCCAACATGGTGAAATCCCATCTCTACTAAAAATACAAAAATTAGCTGGATGTGGTGGCACGTGCCTACAGTCCCAGCTACTTGGGAGGCTGGGGCAGAAGAATCACTTGAACGCCAGAAGTGGAGGTTGCAGTGAGCCAAGATTGCACCACTGCACTCCAGCCTGGGTGACGGAGTGAGACTCTGTTTCAAAAAAAAAGAGAAAGAAAGAAAGAAAAAGTATTGTTTTTAAAAATTCAGTTCCCAATTCCTCTCCTCTGTCTTCCCTTGAACCCCTCCAATCAGGTCTCACCCTTATTACTCCACTAAAATTGCTGGTCAAGATCACCAGTGACCTCCATGTTGCTAAATCCAGTGGCCAATTCTCAGTCTTCATTTCACTTAACTATCAGCAGCATCTAACAGAGTTAATCACTCTATCCTCAACACACTTCCTTCTAATGGCTTCAAGTTACCAGATTCTCTTGCTTCTCTTTCTTTCCAGTCTTCTTTGCTGATGTCACTGCAATTTCTTCACACTGGATCGCCCCTGGATTCAGTCCTTTGTTGGTTGTTCTTCTATCTACAGTCATTTCCTTAGTAATTTTCATCTAATCCTAATACTTTACATACACCTATATGCAGGTGAGTCTCAAATGTTTATCTCTCCGTTATTTAGAAAGAGGGTCACTGCAGATGTAATAAATTAAGGTCATACTGAAGTAATATAGGTCATTAATCCCACGTGACTGGTGACCTTGGAAGAGAAGAGATAGAGAGATTCATGGGAGAAGGCCATGTGATGATGGACAGAGAGTCTATATCATAGTGATTACCTCTGGCAAGTGAGGTGGAGGTTTTTTGGTTGAGGAGGTGGTGCAATTTTGGGGACGAGAGAAGTAAACCATACTCTCATTTTATATTTTACATACCTCTGTATTATTACAATGAGCATGTAATCAATACATTTGTTTCGAAAATGGTGGTTCAGTTGGGTACGGTGGTTCATATCTGTAATCCCAGCACTTTGGGAGGCTGAGGCAGGTGGATCACTTGAGGTCAGGAGTTTGAGACCAGCCTGGCCAACATGGTGAAACCCCGTCTCTACTAAAAATACAAAAATTAGCCGGGCATGGTGGCACGTGCCTGTAATCCTAGCTACTGGGGAGGTTGAGGCACGAGAATCGCTTGAACCCAGGAGGCAAAGATTGCAGTGAGCCAAGATCACACTACTGCACTCTAGCCTGGGCAACAGAGCAACACTTCACCAAACAAACAACAACAACAACCAAAAAAAAACACAAAATGGTGGTTCAGAGGTTGAGAAAAGAATAAAGTAATCATTTGGTATCCTCAGGAGATTGGTTCCAGGATCCCCAGTGGATAAAAAAGATTATCTCAGGGCCAGGTGCAGTGACTCATGCCTGTAATCCCAGCACTTTGGGAGGCCAAGGCAGGTGGATTACGAGGTCAGGAGATGGAGACCATCCTGGCTAACATAGTGAAACCCTGTCTCTACTAAAAAAAAAATACAAAAAAATTAGCCAGGCATGGTGGCGGGCGCCTGTAGTCCCAGCTACTCAGGAGGCTGAGGCAGGAGAATGGCGTGAACCCCGGGAGGCGGAGCTTGCAGTAAGCCGAGATCGCACCACTGCACTCCAGCCTGGGCAACGCAGCGAGACTCCATATCAAAAAAAAAAAAAAAAAAAAAAAGATATCTTAGGATGCTCAAGTTCCTTATATAAAAATCTGTGAATATCCTTCTGTATACTTTAAATCATCACTAGGTTATTTATAATACCTAATACAACGTAAATGCTATATAAATAGTTGTTATACTGTTATTTGTCTTTTAAAATTTGCTTTTTTTTTTAAAACAGTCTTGCTCTGTCACCCAGGCTGGAGTGCAGTGGTGCGATCTTGGCTCACTGTAATCCCCGCCTCCCAGGTTCAAGTGATTCTCCTGCCTCAGCCTCCCAAGTAGCTGGGATTACACGCGCCCACCACCACACCCAGCTAATTTTTGTATTTTTAGTAGAGACGAAGTTTCACCATGTTGGCCAGGCTGGTCTCCTGACCTCAGGTGATCCACCCGCCTCGGCCTCCCAAAGTGCTGGGATTACAGGCATGAGCCACTGTGATCGGCCCAGACTCTAATCCCAGTTACTTGGGAGGCTGAGGCAGGAGAATCCCTTGAACCCAGGAGGCGGAGGCTGCAGTGAGCAGAGATTGCGCCACTCCAGCCTGGGCAACAGAACGAGACTCCGTCTCAAAAAAAAAAGAAAAAAAAAAAAAAAAGACGACTGAATTCTCATCCCTCAAAATTGAGAATAAGGCAAGAGTGTCTGCTCTCATTACTCTTTTATCTCTCCTTGCCTGACGCCATCCGTGTGATTTGCTCCTCCTTGCTTCCCACCATGATTGTGAGGCCTCTCCAGCCATGTGGAACTGTAAGTCCATTAAACCTCTTTCTTTTGTAAATCGCCGGGTCTCGGGTATGTCTTTATCAACAGCATGAAAACGGACTAATGCAAACAACAAAAGGAAATAAAATGCATTCAGATTGTAAAGGAAGAAATAAAACTGTCCCTATTTGTAGATATGATTGTCTACGTAGAAAATCCCAAGTAATCTTAAAAAAAAAAAAAAACTAGAATACATTAGTTCAGCAAGGATATAGGATGAAGATAAACACACAAAAATGAATTATATTTCTATATAGTAACAATGAACATTTGGACACTCATTTAAAATACCCTTTATAATCATTCCACAAAGAAATATGTATAGGATTTATAAGCTGAAAACTACAACCACTGATAAAAGATATCAAAGATGATCTAAATAAAAGGGGAGATACACAATGTTCATGGATTAGAAGATTTAACATAGTAAAAAGTCAATTATTGCCCCCAAACGCCAGTTTAACACAAATCCTATCAAAATCCTAGCAAGACTTTTCTTTCAGATCTCACTCTGTCGCCCAGGCTGGAGTGCAGTGGTATGATCACTGTTCACCGCAGCCTCAACCTCCTAGGCTCAAGTAATCCTCCCACTCAGGAGCTACTCAGCCTCCTGAGTAGCTGGGACCACAGGCATGCCACCACGCCCAACTAATTTTTGTATTTTTTGTACAGATGGGTTTCACCATGTTGCCCAGGCTGGTCTGGAGCTCCTGAGCTCAAGTGATCTGCCCACCTCAGCCTCCCAAAGTGTTGGGATTACAGGCATGAGTCGCTGTGACCGGCCCAGACTTTTTAAAAATAGAGGCAAGATTGTTCTAAAACTTACATGGATGAAAAAAGAAGCTGAATAGCTAAAGCAATTTTTATAAAGAAGACTACAATGGGAAAAATCAGTCCATACAATTTCAAGACTTATTATATAGCTATAGTAATCAAGACTGTGTGGTATTGGCAGAGTGACAGACACTGACAAATGAAACAGAACAGAGATTCCAGAAATAGACCCACACAAATATGCCCAACTGATTTTTGACAAAAGAGCAAAAGTAATTCATTGGAGGAAAGATGGTCTTTTCAACAAATGGTGTTGATGCAAGTGGACATTCATAGGCAAAAAAAACAAAAACAAAACAAAACAAAACAAAACAAAACAAAAACCCTGAAACCCTGAAAAGAAACTGAAAGCAGATCATGGACTTTTAAGAAAAAAAATTTAGGAGAAAATTTCAGAGATCTAGGGCTAGGCAAAAAGTTCTTAGCCATGACATCAAAAGCACAATCCATAAAAGGAAAAACAGATAAGCTGGACTTCATTGAAATTAAAAACTTTTGCTCTGAGATAAACCCTGTTAAGAAAATGAAGACAGCTACAGACTGGGAAAAAATATTTGTAAACCATTTATCCCCAAAGGGCTAGTATCCACAATATAAAAAGAATTCTTAAACACTAAACAGTAAAAAAGCAAATAATAGTATTAGAAAACAGGCAAAAGATAGCTGGGCATGGTGGCTCACTTTGCTGTAATCCCAGCACTTTGGGAGGCTGAGGCAGGTGAATCACCAGAGGTCAGGAGTTCAGGACCAGCCTGGTCAAAATGACGAAACCCCATCTCTACTAAAAATACAAAAATTAGCTGGGCATGGTGGCACGAGCCTGTAATCTCAGCTACTTGGGAGGCTGAGGCAGGAGAATCCCTTGAACCTGGGAGGCTGAGGTTGCAATGAGCTGAGATCGCGCCATTACACTCCAGCCTGGGCAACAAGAGTGAAACTCCGTCTCAAAAAATAAAAAATAAAAAATAAAAAATAAACAGGCAAAAGACATGAGACATTGCACCTGAGAAGATACATATAGATGGCAAATAAGCACATGAAAAGACGTCCAAGGCCAGGTGCAGTGGCTCACGCTTGTAATCCCAGCACTTCGGGAGGCCGAGGCAGGCAGATCACGAGGTCAGAAGTTTGAGACCAGCCTGGCCAACATAGTGAAACCCTTTCTGTACTAAAAATACAAAAAATTAGCTGGGCGTGGTGGTGGGCATCTGTAATCCCAGCTACTCAGGAGGCTGAGGCAGGAGAATCACTTGAACCTGGGAAGGGGAGATTGCAGTGAGCCAAGATCACGCCATTGCACTCCAGCCTGGGTGACACACACACACACACACACACACACACACACTGACACACAAAGAAAAGATGTCCAATATCATAAGCCATTAGGAAAATGCAAATTACGGGAAGCTGAGGCAGGAGAATCGTTTGAACTCAGAAGGCGGAGGTCGCAGTGAGCCGAGATCGTGCCACTGCACTCCAGCCTGGGTGACAGAGCCAGACTCTGTCTCAAAAAAAAAAAAAAAAGGAAAACGCAAATTAAAATCACAATGAAATACCACTACACGCCTATCAGAATGGCTAAAATAAAGTGATAACTTGAAATGCTGATAAAGATACAGGGAAACCGGATCATTCATACATTGCTGGTGGGAATATAAAATGATACAGCCACTATTACGGACTAAATTGTACCCTCCAAAATTAGCATGTTAAAGTACCAAACCCAAGTACCTCAGAATGTATTAATAACTTTTTGGAGATGAGGTCTTTAAAGAGCTGGTTAAGTTAAAATGAGGGTAGGGCCCTAATCCAATATGGCTGAGAAAAGACAACAGGACAGAAGAAAGATCATTTGAGGATATAGCAAAGAGGTAGCCATCTGCAATCCAAGGACAGAGGATTTTTTTTCAGGAGATTCCAAACCTGCTAACACCCTAATTTTTGACTTTTAGCCCCATAACTACAAGAAAATGAATTTCTGTTGTTTAAGCCACCTACTCTATGGTATTTCATTATGGTGGCCCTAGGTAAACTAATACAGCCACTCTGGAAAACAGTCTGGCAATTTCTTAAAAGAATTAAACCTGCAACTACCGTACAATCCAGCAATTGTACTCCTGAGCATTTATCCCAGAGAAATGAACTCTTAACGTTCACATAAAAACCTGTACACAAATGTCTATATAGCAGCTTTATGTGTAATAGCCAAAAAATGGAAACAACCCAGATGTTCTTTAATGAGTAAGTGGCTAAATCCATGCCATTTGGATACCACTCAGCAATGAAATGGAACAAACTACTGAGAGATGCAACCTGAATCAATCTCCAAAGGATTCTGCTGAGTGAGAAAAGACAATCCTAAAGGTTACATACTGTATGATTCCATTTACATAACATTCTTGAAATGACAAAATTATAGAAATGAAGAACAGATTAGAAGTTGACAGAAGTTAAGGAAGGATAAAAGTGGGAGATAAGTGGGTTTGGCTACAAAAGGACAACACGAGGTATTCCTTGCGGTGAAGGAAATGTTATCTTGACTATATCGATGTCAATATTCTGATGATGATATTGTACCACAGTTCTGTTATGAATAGATGTTACCACTGGGAGAAACCAGGAAGAGTATATCTCCCTGAATTATTTCTGACAACTGCATGTGAACCAATAATAATCTCAAAATAAAAAGTTTAATTTAAGCAAACAAGCAGAAAAAATAAATACAGCCAGTTTTCAGAAAAGCCCATCGGAGGTACAAGTAGAGATGTAGGCGAGCGTACGTGCACATGTGTGCACACACACAACACACACACACATTCCTCTTTAGCTGTGATAGGAAAAGGCTCTCAATTTGGACCCATCAAAACACCCCAATCCACTTACCTGCTTCACTTTGACTGTTGAGTGGTGAGGACTTCGGTTTCTCTTACTGCGAGGAGACTTGCTTCTTCTCCCTGAGGCCTTGTTTTTCTTTTTGGGTGGGGACCTATTCAGAGCATGGTACACAGGATTTTATCGCAATTTCCCTTCCCCCATAAAAATTAGCTTCCAGTATCAGGCTTACCTACTAACACAAACACCGCATTTGTGAAGGTCTCTGCCGGTCACATTAAAGGAGTCACGAGGTTCACTTTCCTAGCCCTAACATCTCCCTTGCATTCCATACTCACATAGACAACTGTCTACTGAACCTTCTCACTTAGGTAACATAACTCTTAATTCCCAACCCTTCAAAAACCTTTCCTCTCCTACTCCTTGCCATCTCGCTGATTGGCATCACCATCCGTAAGTCACCCTTGACTCTTTATCCTTCACTACCAACACCCCTACCATCAATAACAATCCCTCCATCCTGTGGTTCTACTTCCTCCCTGTGCCATCTCATTCCTACCACCCACCTTCTTGACCACTATAATCCACCGACACTGGCTTTTTCCCATTTCAATCATAATTCATTCTACTTCAGGTTCTTTGCAGATGTTGTTTCCTCTGCCTGGATCTTTAAGAGGTTGGATCATTCTTATCAGTCAGGTCTGGGCTCAAATGGCACCTCTTTAGAGAGTCCTCCTCCCTCTTCTCTCCAATCTCTCACTATCACATTACTGTTTTAATCTATCAATAATACTTGTTACTAACTGAAACTATTTTGTTTATTTTTTTATCATGTCTCAGGGTTAGAGCATAGCCAATTTGGCATCGGTGAAGATCATCTAACTGAATCACCCTTGCAGCCCCAATACCTAGGGCAGTCTTTAACACTTAATAGGCACTCAGTAAAACTATGGTGAATGAATGCATAAATAAATGAGTCTAGCAAGAAGTAACTTTTTTTTTTTCCCCAGTTTCTGTTAGGTAGCTCGCTTAGACCTCGATGTGAAAACCTTTCTGGCAGGTAACCGGAAAGACAACGCCCACACTCCATTTGTGGGAGGGATGGGGAAAATCTCAATCCAATTTAACAGATTATCAGTGCTATCTGTTGGGCCACACTCTTCGAAGTGCTAGGAACACAAGAATGAAGGAGTGGGATCCTGCCGGTTAGTCATTAGGCGTTGAACACCGAGCTATAATGCAAGTGACAGAGCAAGCATAACACAAGCACGACTGGATCACTCTCAACAGCCCCTCAGGATTAAGTCCGGGCTGCTGCGCCCACCATTCAAAACCTGTTTCGGACGCTAGCCCTGCCCGCCTTTCTGAATGAGCCCAACCCAATGTCCATCCTGGACTGCTCCCCCACTTACCGGCTAACTCCTCGGGCTCGGTTCCCGCGGTGGCCCGAGCGGGCCGGCTCGCTGGTCGGCGGAGACGGGCTACCACCGGAGTGGTCCGGACGGCGGTGGGCGGGAGGTGCGACTTCTGGGCTGAGACGCTCCTGCTTCACCACCACCCCCGCCGGCAGCACCACGTCCCCGTCCCGGTGTCTTCGCCGGCTCCCTCGCTCCCGTTCGCTCTTCACCGCCTTCATTCTGTGATTTTGGCTGGGCGAAAGAAAACAGATCAGTTGAGCTCCTCTAGCTGGAGGAAATGACGAGTTTAACTCCTGGACTTCCGCTTCCGGGGTGCCCAGGCTCCCAGAAATCCTCGCGGCAAAGGTTAAACACGTGACTACTCCCTAGTGGGTGTGGCCGCAGCGACAGGCTTGGGTGGCGGGAGTTTCAAGTTTCAAAAACAAACTTCTGGCTGGGAGTGGTGGCTCACGCCTGTAATCCCAGAACTTTGGGAGGCCGAGGCTGACGGATCACTGAGGTCAGGAGTTAGAGAACAGCCTGGCCAACATGGCAAAACCCCGTCTCTACTAAAAATACAAAAATTAGCCGGGTGTGGTGGCGCGCACCTGCAATCCCAGTTACTCGGGAGGCTGAGGCAAATGAATCACTTGAACTGGAGGCGCAGGTTGCAGTGAGCAGGGATCTCACCACTGCACTCCAGCCTGGGCAACAGAGCGAGATGTCTCAAAAACAAACAACAACAAAAACTGGGAAAAAGCAAACCTCTCAAGGCTGTTTGTTGCCACATTATTAGTAATTACAAAACGTGGAAACAATGTAAATACCAGCAGTAGGGAAGTTAGCCAAATTAATGGGTGTTATGTGGCCATTAGTAAACCATTTACAAACTTTAAAAACCCTGACTTGTTAACGATAAAGCAGGATACAAAATTGTGTGCAAACTATAATTACATTTACATTTGGAAATAGAAGGGAGGAAGAAATGGAAATGCAATCAGAGATGATAACCCATGGGCAAATCATTAGCTTTTCAAATCATTAGCTTTTCCTCTTCTATTTCCTGAACTTTCTGCAATGCTGTTGGGGCTCAGAAACCAAAACCCCAAAATACGGCTCACTGACAAGCTGAACTGAAGAAGCCTCAATGTTCCTTTCCAGTGCCCATCATCTCTCCCAAAGCACAGGTCTTTATCTGCCTAAGATCCAGACTACCAAAAGGAATAATTGTTTCTTTCTTCTCCACCCAAGAATGTAATCACACCTGACCAGAGACCCTTATACTGTCAAAAGTAGCTATTTACAGCCGAGCACGGTGGCTGCAGCCTGTAATTCCGGCGCTTTGGGAGGCCAAGGCAGGAAAATCGCTTGAAGCCAGGAGTTTGAGACCAAACTGCCTAACATAGCAAGACTGTCTCTACAAAAAAATTAAATTTGGCAGGGGCTAGTGGCTCGTGCCTGTGGTCCCAGCAGAGACAGGAGGATCGCTTGAGCCCAGGAGTTGGAGGCTGCAGTGAGCCGTGATGGCACCACTGCACTCCAGCCAGGGCTACAGAGTGAGACCCTGTCTTCAAAAAAACCAAACCAAAACAAAAAAAAAAACACAAAAAACTATTTACAAATTTATCTCTGTTCCCTTATTCATTCATTCTGCCTAGTAATCCCTGAACAGAATTCCTCCTTCTCCCACCCTCACAAACCTGTTTTACCAGGAGGGTATATAAGCTTCTGAACCCTTTTCGGGGTGGGTAATCATACTGTGATTCTCCCCGTGTATACATTTTAAATACATTTGTATGCCTTTTCTCCAATTAATCTGCCTTTTGTGAATTGATTTTTGAGCGAATCTTCAGGGGGCAAAGGGGAGGTTTCCCATTGGCTCCTACTTTGTCATTTCTCCATTTAATTAGAAAAATACTTCAGGCTGGGCGCGGTGGCTCACGCCTGTAATCCCAGCACTTTGGGAGGCCGAGGCAGGCGGACCACGAGGTCAGGAGTTCGAGACCAGCCTGGCCAACGTGGTGAAACCCCGTCTCTACTAAAAATACAAAATTTAGCCGGGCATGGGGGCACGCGCCTGTAGTCCCAGCTACTCAGAAGGCTGAAGCAGGAGAATCGTTTGAACCCGGGAGGCGGAGGTTGCAGTGAGCCGAGATCACGCCACTGCACTTCAGCCTGGGCAACAGAGAGAGACTCCGTCTCAATTTAAAAATCAAAACAAGCCCTTTCTTGCGGTGACGACCTACCCACGAGAACATGCCTCTCGCAAAGGATCTCCTTCATCCCTCCCCAGAAGAGGAGAAGAGGAAACACAAGAAGAAACGCCTGGTGCAGAGCCCCAATTCCTACTTCATGGATGTGAAATGCCCAGGATGCTATAAAATCACCACAGTCTTTAGCCATGCACAAACGGCAGTTTTGTGTGTTGGCTGCTCCACTGTCCTCTGCCAGCCTACAGGAGGAAAAGTAAGGCTTACAGAAGGATGTTCCTTCAGGAGGAAGCAGCACTAAAAGCACTCTGAATCAAGATGAGTGGGAAACAATCTCAATGAACACATTTTGGGAACAACTACAACAACAAAAAAAACCTTCAAAAAACCTAGGAACTCCAGATGACTTCCTTTGGGAATTGTCCCTTAACCCTTCATGAGAAGTCAGGAGATGACTCCTGTTTTTCAGGTGACAAAATTGGAGCATGGCAAAGGTGATCTGCCCACTTCAAATCGCTAGCTAGACGGAGCATAGGGACTCGAACTGCCGTTTTCCTCGCCTCCAAGAGTACAGGGACGAACCGGTGAGCAGAAGGCCTAAGAAGTCAGGCACAAGAGGTTTCTGCCCAGGAGGCACAGAATGAAACTTGCCGGCTGTTGGCCCCGCCCCACTTCGAAGCTCCGCCCAGGCCAAGAAGCGCGGGGGCGGGAGTGAGGGGGCGGTTTCCATGGTGACGGCAAACAAGGCCCACACTGGACAGGGCAGCTGCTGGGTTGCTACTCTCGCCTCCGCCATGATTCCGCCCGCAGACTCTTTGCTCAAGTACGACACCCCAGTGCTGGTGAGCCGGAACACGGAGAAACGGAGCCCCAAGGTAAAGACGGGGGCTCGGGAGACAAAGGAGCCTCGAAACTCCGATAGGGAAAGACACATTCCCGCATGGAGGGTCAGGAATCTCAAGGGACGGGGATTGCAGCGACTGGGAGTAAAGGGAATTGGGAAGTCAGAGAAGGAGGGTGAGAGGATTGTATAGGAAGCCCAGATGTTGGGTGTGACCCCAGAGGGCAGATTTAGGATGGGGAAGGAGGTCACAGGGAGATGGATGGGGCTCACTCTTCTTAATGGTACGCGGGTCCAAGAACAGATGACTAGGTAGTGATTTCCCCATCACCAGAGGTGTGAAAGCACATGCGCCAGAAACACCTGTTCAAGCATTGAGTTGGGGCCAGACTTCATGGCCTCCTTCAGCTCTGTGACATAATTTCTGCTGAGAAGACCGACCCAAAGTAGGCTAGGAAGAGGGGAGGGCTGTGCAGAAGACCTGGAGCAATATACAGGTTGGGGATGTGTGGAGCTGAGCTCCTGAACAATTTCCTGCCCTCACCTGTGCCTTCATCTCAGGCTCGGCTACTGAAAGTCAGCCCCCAGCAGCCTGGACCTTCAGGTTCAGCCCCACAGCCACCCAAGACCAAGCTCCCCTCAACTCCCTGTGTCCCAGATCCTACAAAGCAGGCAGAAGAAATCTTGAATGCCATACTACCCCCAAGGTAAGAAAGTAGGAGCAGTGGCTGGGAGAAGGCCTAAGCTTTTACATCGTGGATTTTGGGAGTGTGGGGGGAGGCACTCTGCCTCTGTTCCTGGCTGGGGTTTCCTCCCAGTATCACAGAGCTCCTAGAACTTACATATGGCTGGATCCTGGCAGGGTGGTGGGAGACCTCTTCTCAATCTACCCTCATTTCCTGCATGCTGTCACCCAATCTCATGGCTTTAGATACCACCTATGTGCTGATGGCTCCCAAATGTGTATTTCCAGCCCTGTCTTCTCCACTAAACTCCAGGACCATATAGTCTTCTGCTTCCTCATTATCTTCATGAAGATATCTAATAGACATCTCAAACTCAATATATTCAAACTAAATCACAATTTCTTCCTTCCCCAATCTGCTCATCCCCCGTATTCTCCTTTTTACTAGGGACTCAAACCACCTTTCATTCCTTTTGATCACTCTCACAGCATGTGTCCTATCCTTCGTCACATTCTTTTGGCTCCACCTTCAAATTCTTTCCCAAATCCAACCACTTTTCACCACCTCTGCTTCCACCATCTTGCTCCTAGTCACTGGTGGCCACTCGCACTGCTGCAGTGGCCTCCTATCTGAAAACACTGCTTCCACTCTGCTCCTAGAATCTATCCTCCATACAGCCCCTAAGTCATAAGTCAGATCATGCCAGTCTCTGCCAGAAACTCTTTTGTGGCTTCCCATCTCAGACTAAAATCAAAAATCCTTACAATGGCCTGGAAGATGTGGCATGATCTGGCCTACGATGTATCCCTGACCTTATCTCCTGTTATTCTGTTTCTTGTTCACTGTGCTGAATCCACAGGGACCTCACTTGCTATTTCTGAAATGCCTCATTCACTCTCCTACCACAGGGCCCTGACAGCTGGTGTTTTCACTGCCAAAGATGTTCTCCCCTTGATATTCTCCTGGTTCCTTTCATTTCTTCCAGGCCTTCCTTGAGAATTTGCTATAGCAGAGCACCCCTGCCCAACATGATCTCCTTTTCTTGCTTTTTTCTTCTGCAGCCACATTGATAAAAGGACATGCCTTTTCATCTATTTTTATGTAATAAGTTGACAGCACAGTTGGTAAGGCTATGAGGAAAAGGGAAATGGGGGCCTACGCAGGCACACACCTTCATGAACCTCTCCACCCCGATACACACATCTGCCTCTTTCTGGCTCGCACAAGGTTCATGATGTCCTGTGTTTCCCACCCCGTAAGTTGGTGGGTAGTTCCTACTGTTCACATCAAGCAACAACCATAAATCGGTCTTCAGCATGTTAGGAGGGTAAGATCTGGAACAGTGGGGAATGATTTCACAGAGGCCCGTTGCCAAGGTGGAAATTGTCTACCACCTACCCATTCCCAAGATCCCTGTGGAGGCAGCATAGTGGGTGTGGCTTTGGAGCCTCACACCCCAAGGGATGGAGGATTCTGGTGGGTTGGTGGCAAAGCTGCCCCTCACCACTACTCAGGCAGAGGGCTCAAAGGGCCCTCTGCTCATGTGCTAGGGACCTTCAAGTCAACGGGTTTTGCTCAGCCTCGCTGTGTCTGCCACAGGGAGTGGGTGGAAGACACGCAGCTATGGATCCAGCAGGTGTCCAGCACCCCTAGCACCAGGATGGACGTGGTGCACCTCCAGGAGCAGTTAGACTTAAAGCTGCAGCAGCGGCAGGCCAGGGAAACAGGCATCTGCCCTGTCCGCAGGGAACTCTACTCACAGTGTTTTGGTGAGTGAGCCAGGTGAGGGGTGGGCACTACACACCCTACTGCTCCCTTCCCTTCACCTTCAGCACAGATCCAAGCCTGAGCACCTTGGAGCTGGAGCCCATCTCATGCTGGAATCCCCTCTTCTCCCCCTGCCTGACCCACCCAGCAACAGCTAACTGCCCCCTTCCCCTTCCCAGCTGAAGGGGGCCAGCCCCTCCACACCTGTGGGTATTTCTCCTCAGGCAGGAGGAGAGACTAAGAAAAGAAATAAGACACAGACAAAGTATAGAGAAAGAAAGGTGGGCCCAGGGGACCGGCACTCAGCATACGGAGGACCCGCACCGGCACTGGTCTCTGAGTTTCCTCAGTATTTATTGATTACTATTTTCACTATCTCAGCAAGAGGAATGTGGCAGGAGAGCAGGGTGATAGTGGGGAGAAGATCAGCAAGAAAACACGTGAGCAAAGGAATCTGTGTCACGAATAAGTTCAAGGGAAGGTACTATGCCTGGATGTGCACGTAGGCCGGATTTATGCTTCTCTCTACCCAGACATCTCAGTGGAGTAAAGAGTAACAGAGCAGCATTGCTGCCAACATGTCTCGCCTCCCGCCACAGGGCGTTTTTTCTCCTATCTCAGAACAAACGTACAATCAGGTTTTATACTGAGACATTCAGTTCCCAGGGGCAGGCAGAAGACAGAGGCCTTTCTCTTATCTCAACGGCAAGGGGCCTTCCTCTTTTACTAATCCTCCTCAGCACAGACCCTTCACGGGTGTCAGGCTGAGGGACGGTCAGGTCTTTCCCATCCCACCAGGCCATATTTCAGGCTATCACGTGGGGAGAAACCTTGGACAATACCTGGCTTTCCAGGGCAGAGATCCCTGCGGCTTTCTGCAGTGCATTGTGCCCCTGGTTTATCGAGAATGGAGAATGGCGATGACTTTTACCAAGCATGCTGCCTGTAAACATTTTGTTAACAAGGCACATCCTGCACAGCCGTAGATCCCTTAAACCTTGATTCCATACATCACATGTTTCTGTGAGCTCAAGGTTGGGGCAAAGTTACAGATTAACGGCATCTTAGGGCAAAGCAATTGTTCAGGGTACAGGTCAAAATGGAGTTTCTTGTGTCTTTCTTTTCAACGTAGACACAGTAACAGTCTGATCTCTCCTTCTTTTCCCTACACCAGCCCCGCCTCTTCTACAAGTCCTCCAGCTGCCAACCACTATATTCTTGGCAACTTGAGTTCCTCACCCCTTAGCAGATGTTTGGAGTAAAACGATAACTTCCATCTGTTTTTTCAAAGATTTTCTATAATAAGCATGTGCTAATTTTTTAGTCAGAAAGATTAATGTTCAGTATTTACATCCATCCATCCATCCATCAATATTTGGCCCTTGGTCCAGAAAAATATTGTGATTTGTTGTTAACCCACAGACACGAGAGATTTAAGATGCACCTCCTTGAGTGCTGGTGTCAAATGGCTGTCTCCCAGCCCAGTCTCATTGGCTCTTATGGACGCCGATCTGCAAACCACCTCCAAACCCTCAGGCAGCTGCAGGGTCTAGCAGGCTTCCCTATCCGTGTGTTATTATGGTTTGCCCTCCAGGTCAGCATTTATGGGGAGATAGATGGGCAAGCTCTAGACCCTGCCATTTCCCTCAAACCAGTGCAGCCAAGGGGGCACACAGGATGTCCCAGCTGCTTTAAAACAGCTGCCATCTTTAAACAGAAAAAGTCAGGTTTTTTCGAGTAGTAACCAGTTTTTACCTAAGGCAGGAAGGGAGGGGACCCAGTGCTGTAAACAAACCAGAGCCTCTTGTCTCCTTTGCTCTGGCCAACCCAGTCTTGCTGACTGTGCTACTCACAAGTGCCAAGTTCAGAGGAGTGACTGCATGGCAAGGCTCTTTGGGCCACTGAAGGCACCCTCCCTGAGGCCCTTCTCTGAGGCCTTGCACTTTGTCTCCAAGCGAGAACACCCTAATGTCCTTCCCAAGAGGAAGGGTGTTTGCAGTAGACATACTGCAAGCCCCCTCCCCACGCCCTGTCTGATCTCATGGTGTGTGTGCATTGGAAGATGAGTTGATCCGGGAGGTCACCATCAACTGTGCGGAGAGGGGGCTGCTGCTGCTGCGAGTCCGGGACGAGATCCGCATGACCATCGCTGCCTACCAGACCCTGTACGAGAGCAGCGTGGCGTTTGGCATGAGGAAGGCACTGCAGGCTGAGCAGGGGAAGTCAGACATGGAGAGGAAAGTGAGTGGGGTTTACCGTGACCCTTGGTCCCATCTCTTCTGTAAACCTCAGGGCCACATGCTTATCATTCCAGCACTACATTCTGACCTCCTAAGGTGCTCTGCTGACAGTCACGACACCTGGACTTGCATCACCTCAGTGAGGGACCCCTGGTTGAGTATGATGGCCAGCCTGGTGGTCTTGGCAGAGTTGTTTCCGCTGTAGACGCTCCATGCCAGGCACTGACCTCCCACTGGGTGGCAGTATATACCCTGGCAATGTCATGTCCCATGTCCCTTCCACCCAGGCTCACACCATTCCATTCACCTGGCGACATCCCAGGATGACTGGGCATTCTCTCCTCAGATCGCAGAATTGGAGACGGAAAAGAGAGACCTGGAGAGGCAAGTGAACGAGCAGAAGGCAAAATGTGAAGCCACTGAGAAGCGGGAGAGCGAGAGGCGGCAGGTGGAGGAGAAGAAGCACAATGAGGAGATTCAGTTCCTGAAGCGAACAAATCAGCAGCTGAAGGTAATCAACGCGCAGGGTGGGGTGGAGGTGCCCCCTGCCCTGCGACCCAGCCCCACAGGCCAGGCATTCGGTTCCTTTTCCATGGCTTTTAAATGTTTGTCCACATGCACTGCCAAAGGATAAAGGAAGCTGACTTTGGTGGTGGGAGAAGGGGAGGGCTCCAGAGGGGGTCTCTACTCTCAACTCCAAATCTCTGAGGCGCCTCAGCCTGGCTCTCCAGTGGAGGATTCTTCTCCCTGGAAAAAAGTTGCCCATCCTCAAGGAAGAGGTGGATATGGCAAAAAGTGGAACTCCATTCCCCTGGAAGCTGGTATGTTGGAGCCTTTCTGGAGGGGGCTGGGCTCCAGGTGGCTTGCGTGGTAGTGCCATCCCATGGCTGTCTCCTCTGAGGCCCTGTTTCAGGGCATAACCAGGGAAGAAGTCAAAGGGCAGCAGGGCCCTTTGAGAGGAAGAACCATTTCAAATCAGAAACCTTCCCCAGAAATGTGGTCGGGGAACCCAGGCACAGGTGCTCTTCCTCGAAGTCCGATGCCAGCAGTGGTCTTTTATCCAGCTGAGGTGATAGGAGGGAGGGGGCTGGTGGACAAAGCTGGGCAGGAGGCCATGCTACAGGCACTGCAACTCCCAGCTGTTTGGTCCAAAGGTCTCAAAAGGTAGGCCCTAGATCAACATCGTCCTCACCTGGCAAAGCAAGACAAATTATTGGGCCCACCCCAGATCTACCAAATCAGAAAATTCGGGGTTGGGGTCCAGCAATGTGCTTTAACAAGGTCTCAGGTGATTCTAATGTTTGCAGAAGTTTGAGCATCACTGTTCTGGAAAGATGGCCTACTGACATTTAGTGGCCTTCTCCCATGGCCCTGGCCAAAGGACCCTGGATGGATCTCCCTCTCCTCCCTAGGCTCAGATAGAAACCTTACAATCTTGACATTGCAGGCTTGTTTGGTCTACACACCAGCAGGACTGGCCATTTGCGATAAAGAAGGCTTTCTGTTAACCACTACTGGAACTTTTCTTGTTGCACAAAGAAAAGCAAGAAACTTTCACAGCCAGAGATGAATCTGTTTCCTTAGCAGCCTCTGAGGCTGCTTTCCTTAACTGCCATATTCCTTTTTCATAAGCCTGAGTTCCTCAGTTCTTCCTGGATTAGCAACAAGAGCAAACCAAATACCTTAGCATGTTTCTAACATTTAAAAGCAATCTTGTAATCTCCAGGGTGAAAGATTCTTTAGAAGTTGGCATTTTTAAATTTTTTTTCTTTTGAGACGGAGTTTTGCTCTTGTTGCCCAGGCTGGAGTGCAATGGCACCATCTCAACTCATTGCAACCTCTACCTCCCGGGTTGAAGTGATTCTCTTGCCTCAGCCTCCTGAGTAGCTGGGATTACAGGCATGTGCCAGCACGCCCGGCAAATTTCTGTATTTTGAATAGAGATGGGGTTTCACCATGTTGGCCAGGCTGGTCATGAACTCCTGACCTCACATGATCTGCCCACCTTGGCCTCCCAAAGTGCTGGAATTACAGGCTTGTAATACAGGAAGTGAGCTATTTTTATTGGCTCAAAACTGCATTGCAAATAAAGCAGCTTTGCTGTCCCCAGGATAGACCTACCTAAAGATCTGTCCAGTATTATTTTATTGGCTACCAGAGGAACATAGTAAATAACTCCCAAGTGTCTTAAGCTTTACATAAAGAGGGACAGCTCTCGGCTGGGTGTGGTAGCTCACACCTGTAATCCCAGCACTTTGGGAGGCCGAGGCAGGTGGATCACATGAGGTCAGGAGTTTGAGACCAGCCTGGCCAACGTGGTGAAACCCATTTCTACTAAAAATACAAAAAGTAGCTGGGCGTGGTGATGTGCATCTGTAATCCAAGCTACTCAGGAGGCTGAGGCAGGAGAATCACTTGAACCCGGGAGGTAGAGGTTGCAGTGAACCGATATCACACCATCACACTCCAGCCTGGGTGACAAGAGCAAAACTCCATTCCCCACCCCCACCCCCCAACAAAGAGGGACAGCTCTGTATTCACTGGCAGCATTTCTCTAATTGTGTGCCAAGTTGTCTCAGTGGCTGAAAATTCACTGTTTCCCAAACCTCTGGTCCCAGCAGAACTCCCAGGATCCTAAACCAGAGAGCCAATATTTTTTTTTTTTTGAGACGGAGTCTCCCTCTGTCACCCAGGCTGGAGTGCAGTGGCACGATCTTGGCTCACTGCAAGCCCCGCCTCCCAGGTTCATGCTATTCTCCTGCCTCAGCCTCTGGAGTAGCTGGGACTACAGACGCCTGCCACCACGCCCAACTAATTTTTGTATTTTTAGTAGAGACGGGGTTTCACCGTGTTATCCAGGATGGTCTGGATCTCCTGACCTCACGATCCGCCCGCCTCAGCCTCCCAAAGTGCTGGGATTACAGGAATGAGCCACTGCGCCCGGCCAGAGAGCCAAATGTTTAACTTAGCAGACATATTCTGGCCTGAAACCTGAGCCATGAAAAGCCCTTACAACAATGCATTCAATATCCTTTTCAATGCTTTATATCATACCCGGAGCCATTATTGTGTTGAAACCAGGACAGCTCTGGCTTCTCCTCATATACTAAAGACTGTATGCCAAGCTAGAAACTAGCTAATCTAGAAAATATGGATTTGGGGATCAAGGGGAAAAAGAACCCTTGGAGTGACAGCATGTGGATTCTTCTTCCCAGAGATTTGATCACCTCTCAGCTATTTGTATCAGGCTGCAAGTTTCAAGTATTAATGGAGCTTGTTTTTGTTTTTCAGGCCCAACTGGAAGGCATTATTGCACCAAAGAAGTGATAATTTCCACATGATTAATTTCCAACAAGACACTTGGGAGTTATTTACTGTGTTCCTCTGGCAGCCAATAAAATCATCATAAGCCCTTTGTAATAAAAAGCTAGTTTCCTGAGTGAACAAGCCATAACCTCCCCTAAACACCACCTAGGTATTTGTTAGAAGTCACACTATTACTCCAATGTCATCAGACACCTAAGGTCTGCCAGCCAGGCTCCTGGCTGGGCAATGGAAGATGGTGTGGCCCTGTTAGTCTCCGTGTGTGGCTTACTAGCCAGCCTTGGGAACTGCCAACTCAAATTCTAAGAAAGCCACTGCTTTCTCATCATCACTCTATACCAATACTTATTTCTGGCCAAATGAATCTGCTTCTCTGCCCCTCAAACTTTTAGTTCACAATTCATCTTCTACCTTAACTTGGGCTTCTTGGGCCTCTGGCCTTCCTTACTTAATGTCTTCTTTTCCCTACTCTAATGCATTTCTAACTCACTTTGGAGCTTTGGTTTTCTAATGTATTATCCCCACTTGCCAGTCAACTGGACCCCTTCCTCCTCGGTTTCAGACTGCCTACATTAGGAAACAATGGCAGTCAAACCCATGGCTTTGGAGAAAGTAAATGTTTGCCAGAAAGGAATACTAGTCACAGTGGCCTTTGTGAGTTGTCTGCAACTCAGCTCTTCCCCCAGCACAGATCTGTTCCCCTTATCCTGCAGAAAATCAAGCCCTGACTCTGCACTCCCCGAAGTAGTGATGTTAATTAACAACTGAAGAGGTAACTAAATCTCACATGCAGGTCTAATGACTAATAATTGGAGTACGGCTGCTAGACAACTGCATTTTAGTATTTCTCTTCCATTCTCCTGGTTTTGTAGACCCAGAAGATTGAATGAGTGACATAAATCTTTAGTTCGGGGCAAGCCAGGGTGGGCTAGGGTGGTAAGCTGGAGGACTTCATCCTTCAGTTAGGCTGCACAAGTAACATTACCTAAAAGGCACTAACATGCTCAGGTTCCCCAGAAAGAGGCGTAAGAAGGGCCTCTCCTTAGCAGAGCTTCCACCTGCCATCCGTCTTGGGTTCAGTGAGCTTCAAGGCTCACAATGGAAGCACTGTCATTTCCCCAGAAAAGCTGTGTTCCCTATGCTGAACACACCATACACATTCTCATCTGGAATCTAAGGAGCAGCTTTTACCCTGATCCAGTATCCTGAGGAATTTTAAGCCTCCACTCAAATGACCTGCCTGTGTTGTCATTTCCATGGGAAAGAACTCTTTCCACGAGATCTGCTAGTTCCAGGCCTCTAAGACAGGAACGTATGTGCCATAAGTGGGTCTACTTCACAGACTCAATGAGGCAGAAATTATTGTAGTTTTCTCCTATTTCTTCTGCACCCAACTTTCTCCTTGTATTTCAAAGGCCAGGCCATGTACACTAACGTCCTTGAAATTTGCAGTTCTGTATGCTTCTATTCCAAATCATTCATTACCAATAAAAACGAAATACCACCCTTTCCATTTTATAGACCTCATCCCCTATTTCTGTCAGACAGTTATATGACAGGGTGACTGTGGAACCTCTTAGTTCATCCAAAGTCTACCTGAAGTGCTAGACTTTCAGACTCTTATCACTGAAATCCTTAAGGTTGAGGAGGCTTTATTTCCCTAGCACTGGTGAAGGGCTTCAACTGTCAAACCTCAGAACAAATGCATTAGGGCCTTAGAAATGTCAATGGGGCAGGAAGAAAACACAATTTCTAACTGCCTGTTTTTGTATAATTTAATAAAAACCTTTTAAACATTACTGCTTTTGTCTGAATTTTTTGCGTTTGTGTTTCTGTCCCTCTGAGTCATTGGTCTTCTTTTTGTTCCTGTTCCTATTTTTCACGTTGTGTGTTTCATAGTAGCGCACACCAACTTTTTTCGGCCGTTGCTGTCGTACTGCTCGCCTCCGCTGTAAAAAATGGCAAGAAAAGATGAAGAAAAAAAACAACAAAACCCTGAAAGTCATTCACAAAACAGGAGTCTCTGCTTCTCATCTCTGTGTTCTATTTCCCGTGCTGCTTCCACAGCTACTGGAAGCAGTGCTAATGAGGGAGGGCTCCCCCGTAGACCTAAGGTTACTCTTCCATTGTGACTTATGCAACTCCAAGTTACAAATCCACATGTGATCCAACCCTTAGCCAGTGCAAGAATCTGTTCTGCATCACTCCTGACAAGTCCCCTGCAGCAAGGCTGAGTGCTGCTAACCACTCCCCTCCCCAGAGGGCCCACTCTAGCTCTGAACAGCTCAGCTCCAAAGCTGTCCTTCACAGAAGTCAGTGATCTGCCCAAAGCAGATCTGCTCATTGGGTCGTTTCCCTTGGGACTAGAAACTGACTCCTCTAGAGGATAGTCCACTCGTGTGGAGACGTTGATTAGAAACTCCTAAAACGTATGACATGGACTCAAGGACCTGCATCTAGTGGGCCAGACCCGACCCTATTTATCTGACCTCAACTAGGTCAACGAGGACTGGGGTTCTTGGGATTCAGCTCTGGACCATTTGTTTCAGTGGGTCTTGACAACTGGAGTTCTAGTTACTCTACTTGGGCCATACTTAAAACCTATGACACTTACTTCTTTTGATGTAAGCGCCCTGGGAGCTTTATTTGAATGTTCCTGTTCCTCTTCCCTTTGTGCCTTCCGCTTCTTTCCCTTTTTGGAAGGTGCTGGATACAAACAATACACAAACAGGAATTTTCTATTGAAAATTTGTCTATAAACCCAACGGTGGGAACAAGCTTGATGTATCAGGAGGAGGACACCCAATGTGGACAGAGCAGGTGAGCACAGTGGTGAGTAAAGCAGGCCAAGGGGAGGCTGCCAGGTAAAAGGATGCCCTAAGCCATGCTCTCAGTGTGAAAGCTGATGGTCAAATGGAGGAATGGATAAATGCAGGAAACACACCCCCCTCTTTGTCTGTGGACCCACCCTTGGATTCTAGGTTAATAATGAACCCTTTCTAGGAAGTTTCCTGAATTGCCAATTTAATCCTAAAAAATGTGCAGAATGAAAAGCAGATAATTCAATTTGCATAACACTATGTAAATTTAAAGTAATCTGCCAGATATGACAAACATTTATGTGGATGACTGAGATAATTTGGAGACTGAACTTAGGTTTCTCAAAACTCTAAATATGCAAATTACATCTAAATGATTGAAATAATTTAACTTCACCTCTGTCATCTACATCTTCTTCCAGTGTTTTTCTTTGTTCTTCAGGTTTTGCAAATATCTTTTCACTCAGTCCCTTGGATATTCTGAAACAGAAAAGCAAAGTAACATTCCTCCTCTCACTCGCCCGAATCACATACTGACCTGGAGACCTGCGACAAACTCACAGACTAAAGAAACCCCACTCCTATCCAAGTAGTTATCACCAGTGGAAGAAGTCAACATCCAACATGTTTGTACCTCCCTGGGTGTTTCTAAAGCTTCTCATACTGCAGGCAGCTGAATTTTACAAAATTTACAGTTCACTTTTTAAAAATGGCAATAACAGCCAAGTGTGGTGGTGCACACCTGTAGTCACAGCTACTTAGGAGGCTGAGATGACAGCATTGCTTGAACCCAGGAGAGTGAGGCCAGTCTAGGCAACATAGCGAGACGCCGTCTCAAAAAACAAACAAACAAAAAACCCAACCGAACAAACAAATGGCAATAACCCCATGTAAAAATATGGCTCTGGTACTCATGGCAAATTTTTGGGAAAGGAATGAAAATCTGCAATTTGTGAGAAGATGAAAATATTACCTGACTGCTGAAAACTTTTTGGCTTTGGCTTTGTCTAGAAACTTCTGATATTTGGCAATCTTCTCATCCAGTGCTTTAATAACGGCTTTGGTGTCGTTTCCCACATTTTCCTCCTCAGGCTCCGAGGAAGACTCTTCCGCATCATCTCTTTGTTGCTCCTGTTCCTCCTCCTCTTCATCAGAAAAGCTCTCAAGCTCTTCCTCAAGATCTGACACCTCCACAGGAACCAGGTCATCCCCAGAAAACTGAGGCACCACGTTGATTTTACCAAAGTTCTGCCGAACTCGTGTGAGAATCTGCTGCATCTCTGTGTTAGCATCACAGTGACTGTTCTCTTCTGTTTCTTCCTTAATGATGGATTCTGACCCTTCACCTGCAGTTTCTGTGACTTCCTCCCCTGGATTGTTCTGGGCTGCTTCTGGGACAACTTCCAAAGATGAGGAGGGTAGAAGCTATTAAGGGGTGGAAATGGGGGAAATAAATAGAATCAGAAAATGAAAAATGGAATTTCTGAACTCATATCTTGCTCTTAAACAGTCCTCTTCTCAGGACTAAGGGAAGGTATTGAAAACACCCAAATTTGAGTCATTTCATTAATGTATTTTTAAACCAATGTACATTAAGCCCAGAGATCAGTACTAGGATCAAAGGAATACATGTGTAGTTCCACAGGATGAACCAACTAAGACTATTTAAACCATTAAAACCAACCAATGATTTATCATAGAAAAGCAAGGCTCCCTAGACCTTCCCTAGGGGGCTGCTGATATAAGCACATGCAAAATCAGCACACACAACTACATAAAAATGAAGGCCAGGCTGGATGTTACAGATGAGAACAGTACTAAGAGAGGCATTTGAGGAGGTCCTCTGATTTAAATGTGTCCCCCAAAATTCATATGTTGGAAACTGGTATGGTTTGGCTGTGTCCAAATCTCATCTTGATTTGTAGCTCCCATAATCCCCATGTGTTGTGGGAAGGACCGGGTGGGAGGTAATTGAATTATGGGGGCAGGTCTTTCCCATGCCGCTCCTATGATGAATTAAGTCTCACGAGAGCTGATGGTTTTATAAAGGGCAGTTTCCCTGGACACACACTCTTGCCTGATGCCATGTAAGACATGCCTTTGTTCCTCCTTCACCTTCCGCCATGATTGTGAAACCTCCCCAGCCATGTGGAACTGTGAGTCCATTAAACCTCTTTTTCTTTATAAACTAACCAGTCTCATGTATTTCTTCATAGCAGTATGAAAATGGACTGATACAGAAACTTAATCCCCAATGCAGCAAGTGTTGGTAGGTAAGGCCTAATAAGAGGTAATTAGATCATGAGGGCTCCATCCCCATGAATGGACTAATGGATCTCGGGGATGGGTTCGTTTTTAAGAGTGAGTCTGTTGGCCGGATGTGGTGGCTCACGTCTGTAATCCCAGCACTTTGGGAGGCCAAGGTGGGCAGATCACAAGGTCAGGAGTTCAAGACCAGCTTGGCCAACATGGTGAAACCCCATCTCTACTAAAAATACAAAAATTAGCTGGGCCTGGTGGCATATGCCTGTAGTCCCAGCTACTCAGGAGGCTGAGGCAGGAGAATCACTTGAACCCAGGAAGCAGAGGTTGCAATGAGCCGAGATCGTGCCACTGCACTCCAGCCTGGGCAACAGAGCAAGACTCCGTCTCAAAAAAAAAAAAAAAAAGAGTGAGTTTGTTATAAAAGCAAGTTTGACCCTCTCTTGCTTGCTCTTGTCCTCCCACTTTCCACGATGGGATGACCCTTGTCAGATGCTGGTGCCTTGATACTGGACTTCCCAGCCTCCAGAAACATGAGCCAAAACAATTTCTGTTCATTATAATTACCCAATCTGTAGTATTCTGTTGCATCATCACAAAACAGACTAAGATAGGAGGCATCCTGAAGCAAGAGTATAAGGTAAGGAGGGGGAATTCTGTGATTGAAGAGAGTTCATTAGAGAACTAAGTCTGGGGACCCTGAAATGACTGGCCTGTTTTAGGTAACCGCAAAGATAAGTATGTGCCAAGCTTTCTACTGGTGTTTCACATGTATAATATCATTTTATCCTTGCAACAAAAACTCAGAGAACTTAAAAGTGATGTTCTAAAGTCAAGAGTGGCCGGGCAAATCACTAAATAAGTACAGAACTATAAAATTCAGGAAACCACACACAAAATTTATACATACATTTTTCTAGGAAGGGCAATTTTTGGCTTTCAGTTTCTGAAGGGGTTTCTGCTCTTAACCAAAAAAGAAAAACAGAATCACAGAGTAAGGCATATGAGAGTGAAACTGCCTCCAAAGGGTTGACAAGAAGTATCTGCCAAGTTCTGGACAGAAATACAATTATAATTAAGCACTAATTAGGGGGCACTTTGGCCCATATCCTTGTTGCTAAAAGTTCCTGAACACTAGGTACTGACCATTTGCATCCCCACTGTCCCTATAGATAGGATTTCTGACATTTGGGTCATAAGACTATGTAAGAATTGATATGCACCCCCATTGTTCCTATAGGCAAGATCTCTGACATTAGAATCATAAGGTTTTTGTTTAAGGATTGCTTAAAATGTCTTTTCAGATCCCTAATTCCAGCAACCAGTTTGAAGATCCCCAGAGAAACGGGATCTGCATGAGAACACAGCTTCTTCATCTCCCTGTCCGTGACTTCACCCTGCACTCTTCACCCAACCAATGACCCTCACTCCAGCCCACTCCAAAACCCTTAAAACCCTAACCCCAAACTCCTCGTGGAAATGATTTCAGGATTCCTCCCATCTCCTCCTTTGGTGACCCTACGGTTAAACTTCTTTCTCTGCTGCAACCTGGTGGTGTCTCAGCATATTGACTTGCTGTGTGCATTGGGCAACAAATCTATTATGGTTACAATAGTTCTTAAGAATTATCTGAACTACTTATCTACACTTACTGACTACATACGGAGGAAGGGCTGAAGACAATGCCAGTGTTTCCACACAGGGTCCCAAGACAGCAGTGATACGGACATCCAGAATGACCCTAGAATCCAGCTGCTAACTCAAAACCTCCAATGGCTTCCCACCATGACACCCTCTCCTGGCCCACGACATTCCAGCCACAGTGACCTCCTTTCAGCATCAGGACACACAGAGCATACTCCTGCCCCAGCTGCTCTGGATGTGCTGTTCCCCTTGCCTGGAACATTCTCCCTAGATACTAGCATGGCTCCTGTCTCATATTAAGGGCTCTGCTGAAGTGCCACTGCCTCAGAGGCCTTCCCCGACCACCCCAAAGTACTCCTCATCTCCCCCAAACCCCTTAGCCTGGTTTAGTTTTCCTCACAGCACGCAAGACTTCCTGACATTATATGTTTATCTGCCTACTGTCTCCCTGTGATATAAATGTCACACTTCCTGGCACAGAGCTCCTAAGACCCTTGGAATTTCCCAAGCGATGGGTATCTTTTTTATTGATTACAAGCCCCTTTCCACCACACCTGAGTTTATGCTAATGTGGTGACTCATGGTAGACCCCTAGATAGCTTCAGGATGGGGGATGCGCTGGTCACCAGAAAGACAAAGCACTTGACCACATGGTTGGTGCTTTCAGCCACTCAGAGGAGAGAAGGGAGACCAGAAATTGAGTCTATCACCAACTGCCACAGATTTCATCAGTCATGTCTATGTAATGAAACCTCCATAAAAACCCCTACATGATGGGGTTTGGAAAGCTCTGGGTTGCTGAACACATCAATGTGTGGAGAGGGCATGGAAGCTCTGTGCCTCTCCCCCATACCTTACCCTGTGCACCTCTTCCACTGGCTGTGACTGAGTTTCATCCTTTATCATAAACCGTTAATTGTAAACACAGCACTTTCCTGGGTTCTGGGAGTCCTTCTGGCAAATTATCAAACCCCAGAACCCCTGAATTTGTAGTTAGCCGGGCGTAAGTGTGGATAGCCTGAAGCTGCCATCTGAAGCAGGGGACCTAGTCCTTAACTTGTGGGGTCTGTGCTAACTCCGGGAGTTAGTGTCACAACTGAATTAAATTGTTGGGACACTCAGCTGGTATCTGAGAACTGCAGAACTGATATGGAAAAAAATTATGTATTTGGTGTCAGAAGAAACCACACACTCCCCTGCTGGAATATATGTGCAGGAGAGCAGCAGCTTGTCAGTTTCTCACCACAGCACCACCAGTACCCAGAAGAGTCTGTGGCCAACAGGAGACACTCAATATGGGATTGCTGGGTGAATGTATCAGTGAATTAATGAATGAAAGATGCAATACACATGAAGAGGGAGAGAAATTTTTGTTTGGTTGTTTGATGGTTTGGGCAGGGAGAAGGGAGAATGTCAATTAACATCAGTTTCAGGCTAACTTTCAAATGCTGCAGAATACATTCAACTGAAAATACCTAGCTGCAACTGCAACTTGGAATGGGGTCAGGTGAGAGGAAACCAGCACTGTATGGACCCAACGACACTAGCAAGCATAGATGCACAATTTGAAGCCACCATTTCAAGAGACTTGGCTGGGTTCTGAAAAAGGTCCTAGAACCAGAAAGGCAAAACGTTAACGTTGAGCCTTGTGGCGGCCCACTGCCAGGGTGAGGGAAATGGGGATAGTAGGAGAGCTTCTGGCCCCAGCCTTCAGTCTTCTTTCTCCGACTATCAGTAGTACCACTCTCCTTTCCCACTGGATCACAGGTTTTTTGAGGGCCAGGGCTGTTTTTCGTTCCTATATTCCCTGTGCCTGGCACATAGTCGATGCTAATAAATGTTTGTTAAACAAATGTTATCTTAGCAATGATTCTGTTTCGTAAGCATAAGAAAAGATACAGGTACCAGAAGATCACTTACATTTAATGAGCCCTCTTTTTCCAAGGCCCTAAAGGCTAGTATCTAAGTTTGGTCTTCTCTCATATGTCTACTTATTAGTCTCCAAATGCACCCCCTAGCAAGGCCATGGCACTGGCACTCTAGAATGAGAGAGGGTGGAGTGATCGCCATGGGCCAGCAGTGGCTCCCAACAGTGCTTCACCCTCAAAAAAATTTTTTTTTATTTTTTTGAGATGGAGTCTCCCTCTATTGCCCAGGCTAGAGTGCAGTGGCACGATCTCGGCTCACTGCAACTTGTCTCCTGGGTTCAAGCAATTCTCTTGCCTCAGCCTCCCGAGTAGCTGGGACTACAGGAGCGTGCCATCATGCTAGGTTAATTTTTGTATTTTTAGTAGAGACAGGGTTTCACCATATTGGTCAGGCTGGTCTTGAACTCCTGACCTTGTGATCCACCTACCTCGGCCTCCCAAAGTGCTGGGATTACAGGCGTGAGCCACCCATGCCCGGCCCCAAAAATATTTTTATATATTTAAAAAAATAATAAAATGAGAGACACCGCAGCTGAATGAATACACGCTCTATGAAGAGAGACAATCACAAGCTACACCAAATCTAGGTCAGGACCCATGCTCCCCAGAGGTGGGCCCACCCTGCTCTTACCTGGGGGGCCACAAGTGGCTCTGCATTGGGTGGCTTGACAAAGAAAGGAATCCGGCCCCTCTGCCAGTCATTGAGGACCATCTTACCCACAGTCTGCAAGTCGGGCTCTCCACCCTGAAAGGTCACAAAGAGATTCCCAATTAAATTCAAAGGACCAAAACCACCTACCACTTTGGGGGTATTTCAGTTGTCCCAGGGGTTCATCATCACTTAAGTGACAAGTTTCACACTGCTCATACATGCATACCAAAAAAAGGCCCATATCATATACATACATGCTTGTGACAAGTATCAGTCTAAATTCTCACAAACGCCGGGTCACCTTTAGTAACTTCCCAGTCCGGAAAGCGAGCTTCTCAAGAAAGTCCTCAGCATTCTCCCAAGAATCAATCTTGTATGTTTTGCTGATATATTCTGGCTTTGCTCGTTCAAGTACAGCACCAATGTGGTCTTCAGGACTCTTAATTTTTTCTACTTGAACCTAAATGTTAATAGGAAATCTCTCACTTACAAACTTTGTTGTGGAAGCAGTGAAGTTCCCAGTGTCCTTTGCAGCACTATTTGAAAATAGACTTCAACATCACAAAGCTCGTGGAGATTGGCAGGAGCCTGTCTCTGACGGGGCTAGACATGGTCAGCTGCAAGGAGCACTGCTGAAAGCTGACCATAGCCACGGAGCCCAGAACTCAGCTTTAATCCCCACTCACCACAAACTAACTGTGTGGCTGCCACAGTTTAAACTTGGAATGCTTCATGTTACTCACTTGCAGAAATGGTTAAAAGCCTGCCCATCCCAGGACACAAAAATAATGGAATAGTTTAAGAAAGGAGAGGAGGAATGTGTACAGGATGTATAGCCAGAAGCATGGTCAAGGTTAAGTGGAACCATTTACAGTTTTTCAGTCGTATTCAGAAACAAGTGAGGAAATGACTGGGTTCCAAAATGACTCAACCCATAAACCCACGAAGACGAATTATCGCTAAGCATAAACAGGCCCTGCTTCCCTTTGGATCCTGTGTGTAAACTACAAACTCTTTTGTGGGATGATATTGACCAGATATGCCCATGGTTCCACTAATTCCTCAAACAGCTTATGCTGAGAGGCTGCTGTTCAGCATCATGTTCCTAAAGTTTGGTCAGACAGGCTGACCCCAAACTGCCTTCTTAATAAGTAAAAAGGAAAGGTATCCAGGGTTCCCTATAGAACACTCCCCCGCAAACACAAACAGCCTATCAGGGCCAAATACTCACAACTCCTTTTAGCACAATGTCTGTCTCGGAGTCCTCAGAGGGGTAAACCACACCTGGACAGTCAATCAGGAATATCCGACGCATCAAAGTAATATACTGCCAGACCTGAAGTCAGAAAAAAGTCAGAGATGTCCTGTATCAAACACTAAGAGTCTAATTTCACAAACCCCTGATGCTCATGTATGAAGCTGGAAAGGAGGAAGGGGTGAGTCAAAGAAAAGCAACGCGCTAAGTAATTAAGCTACTAACTCTCTCATCTGTGCCGTGCACAAGATACTTCCACTAAGTGTAAACTATAGTTTCCATCAGCTAAGAGTCTAAAAACAACACAGAGACAGGATTTCCATCTCGTATTGTGCAATTATACCCGGTGAACCTTTCCTGAGTTTTAGAAGTACTCTTGAGAGCTTAGTACTGCTTGACCTCATTGCCTTTAAGCAAAACCATGCTGTTCCCCACTATGTGTTCTAGGATATGACCCCCAACTTTCAGAACCTACCTTAAGTTTGAGGCTTCTTAACCCAGGCATCAAATATTCTTGGGTTAGTTTTGTTTATCAAAATAAAAGGCTGGAGTGATAATTTAAAACAGATCTAAATATGAATCACATTAACTAACACAGGCCAAAGCCACACGGGGGCATATAAAATACTCTCAGTCTTATCAAAGTGGGCAGAAACAACTCTGATACGTTCCAAACTATTATATGGTGAGCTAAACTCCTAGTGGTGGTCTGCATTCAAGAGAAGCAGAGAGAAATCAACAAGTCCTAAACAATCACTCTCTATGAAAAGAAAATATGCAAAAGTAAGGTCACCCTGCGCCCAACGTACCTTTGTTTCACCTGCAATGGGAGCCACGTTGCAAACTTTCTTAGAACGCAATGTATTTATCACAGAGCTCTTGCCAACATTTGGATAGCCAATGAACCCAACACTGATCTGTTTCTTGTCAGTGTGCAACTGTTCAAAGAGAGAATACACAGCACATACATGCAGTCATATATATCCCTTTGGACAAGTAGGTTGTATTACTTTGTTAATATCAAGAATACAGTGCAAAACTGTTGATACAACTTGATCTGAAGCCTAGATACACACCACCTACATAATCTGAGTAAGCTGGATACATATGCTTATTAATAAATCAGAGGTGAGTCATTTCCTCAGTCATGCAAGTGAAATTATCCTTGTATGTGTTAAGGTTAAAAGTATGTAGGTCAAGAAATAAAAGAAGGCTCGGCACAGTGGCTCACGCCTGTAATCCCAGCACTTTGGGAGGCCAAGGAGAGCGGATCACCTGAGGTCAGGGGTTCGAGACCAGCCTGGCCAACATGATGAAACCCTGTCTCTACTAAAAATACAAAAATTAGCCAGGCATGGTGGCGCAAGCCTGTAATCCCAGCTACTTGGGAGGCTGAGGCAGGAGAATCGCTTGAACCTGGGAGGCCGAAGTTGCAGGGAACCAAGATCATGCACTGCACTATAGCCTGGGTGACAGAGACTCCAGTCTCAAAAAAAAAAAAAAGAAACAAAAGAAGAAAAACAGCTTGTTAGTCACTGATTTAGAACAATGCCATCTATTGATAAAACATCTTCGGGAAAAAGAATATGAACAGGTTCATCAACTGGACAATCCCACAACTCACCCCCCCTTTTCTTTGCATAATACATCTGCATTTCCACTGCCAAAAATAAATAACAAAAGAAAAAAAGCAACCTTGAAAGTTACGACTACAGGGTGAAAGTCTCAAAAAGGCAGAGCTTGCTATCAAGAAGAGGGCCTACAAACGAATGGAGGCTTCCGATTAAAGATGGTGGACTGAACATACATGCTAACCCCGTTCCCTCACCAACTCCACTAGAATGACAGCAGTGGACATTAACACTTTTAAACCAATAGAACCAAACATACTGAACCAGAGAATGAGATGGAGATGAGACAACAAAAACTAAAGTGATGTTAAACAAAATACTAGATGCTTAAAAGTAGTATCAAACTTGGCCCATTACAAAATATAAAAGCTAAGTGGTTGTAAAGATAGAAAAACTAAAGATCCAGCAATAATAATGACAATGAATCACAGAGATTCATTGGGAATCACTGGGAATTGGTGGTAGATCCCTCTTAAGATAGGGCTGAAAACAAGGACCAGCAGATAGTCTGCCAAAGCAGCCACACTTCTCCATCCCCTCCCTCATTCAGGGTGGGCACACAACTTCTCTACTCTCAAAGAAATCCAGGGCCTATGAAAGTGGCTTTTGGATTTTTTGAAATGTCACATGTTTGAAAGTATCTGTAATCTTCAGACTTGAAAGGGATCCTGGATTTAGAGATAATAACAGTATTCCCAGAATGATTAATTGAAAATCTAAGTATTCAATAGTGAGATGCCCAGTCTACTATTCCCACTGAGTTCCCAGAACTCTAGCAGCCAGGATTCTATACCCCTAGAGCTAGAGATTGAAAGATTCTCTTCTGGGGAAACTCACAAGCCCAAGAAAAAAGACCTACAGACACTGGTATCTACAGGATGTCCTCCCAACAAAAAATTTGGGTCCCAGTCAGGCACAGTGGCTCATGCCTGTAATCCCAGAACTCTGGGAGGCTGAGGTGGGCAGATCACTTGAGGTCAGGAGTTTGAGACCAGCTTGGCCAACATGGTGAAACCCCAACTCTACTCAAAATACAAAAATTAACCAGGTCTGGTGGTGCTTGCCTGTACTCCCAGCTACTTGGGAGGCTGAAGCAGGAGAATTGCTTGAACCCAGGAGGCGGAGATTGCAGTGAGCCTAAATCAGGCCACTCCACTCCAACCTGGGCAATAGAGCAAGACTCTGTCTCAAAAAAAAAAAAAAAATTAAATTAAATTAGAGTCCCTATTTAATCACCTTACAATGAAGTCTATCAGTCAACAAGGCCACTCCATGGAGAAAAAAAAGAACCTATCAGCTTTTTAATGCCTTACTCTTTTTTTTTTTGAAACAGGGTCTTCCCTTGTCAACCAGGCTGAAGTACAGCGACACAATCACAGCTCTCTGCGGCCTCTGTCTCCTGGGCTCAAGCAATCCTCCTGCCTCAGCCTCCTGGGTAGCTGGAACCATAAGTGTGCACCACTATGCCTTGCTAATTTTTTTCTATCTTTTGTAGAGATGGAGTTTTGCCATATTGCCCAGGCTCGTCTAGAACTCCTGAGCTCAAGCGATCTGCCTGCCTCATCCTCCCAAAGTGGTGGGATTATAGGCATGAGCCACTCTACCTGGCCTAATGCCTTACTCTTAAATATAAATAGAGAACCAAGAATAAACATTTAAGTTGACTCTACTTGCGGGTCGAGGCTGCAGTGAGCCATGATCGCACCACTGCACTTCAGCCTGGGTTAAGACAGAACAAGACCCTGTCTCAAAAAAATTTTTAAAGTAAAAGAAAAAATTTTTAAGCGTGACTGTAGCAGAAAACACAAAAAAACCCACAAAAATTTGGAGGTAACAGAATCAATGCAGACAGGAAAATTTCAAAACGTCATTAATGATACTGTGACTGTGAAATAAGATGTAAAAGGAGGCAGAGCAAATCAGAATTCAACAAGAGCTCTCAGAAATTAAAAATTAAAAGCAATTGGCAAAATAAATTTTGTGACTGGGCAGCTGGATGATCAAAACAAGGAAAGTGGCCGGGAGCAGTGGCTCACGTCTGTAATCCCAGCACTCTGGGAGGCCGAGGGGGGCGGATCACCTGAGGTCGGAAGTTTGAGACCAGCCTGACCAACACGGAGAAGCCCCGTCTCTACTAAAGATACAAAATTAGCCAAGTGTGGTGGCACATGCCTGTAATCCCAGCTACTCGGGAGGCTGAGGCAGGAGAATTGCTTGAACCTGGGAGGAGGAGGTTGCAGTGAGCCGAGATCGCGCCATTGCACTCTAGCCTGGGCAACAAGAGCAAAACTCTGTCTCACAAAAAAAAAAAAGTACCCAGAAAATAGAGGAAAATGTCATATATGTACCAAAAGAAAAAATATATAGGCCAGGTGCAGTGGCTCATGCCTGTAATCCCAACACTTTGGGAGGCTGAGGCGGGCGGATCACGAGGTCAAGAGATCAAGACCATCCTGGCTAACATGGTGAAAACCCGTCTCTACTAAAAATACAAAAATTAGCTGCGCGTTGTGGCGTGTGCCTGCAGTCCCAGCTACTCGGGAGGCTGAGGCAGGAGAATCGCTTAAACCCGGGAGGCGGAGGCTGCAGTGAGCCGAGATCACACCACTGCACTCCAGCCTGGTGACAAGAGTGAGACTCTGCCTCAAAAAAAAAAAAAAAAAAAAAGAAAGCAAATATAAATCAAGAATTAAACCAGGAGGTAAAAGCAAATTTCTGAACAAGAATACAGACAACTGAGGGAGGAAAGAAAATTTCAAAGAAATAATGTAAGACAATATCAGACTAAAGTCTCATCAAACGCCAAGCTCACTGAGCAATAAAAGGCCCACTTCAAGACACACCACTGTGAAATTTTAGAACAAGAGAAATTTTAAATTTTAGAATAAGAAAAGATTGGCTGGGCGTGGTGGCACACACCTGTAATCCCAGCACTTCAGGAGGCCAAAACGAGGCAGGAGGATCGCTTGGGCCTAGGAGTTTGAGGTTACAGTGAGCTGTGGTTGTGCCACCACACTCCAGCCTGGGTGACAAAGCAAGACCCTGTCTCAAAACAAGAAATCACAGCCACACAAAGTATGAGGGGTCAGAATGGCCTCAGATTCCTCAGAATTCAGAAGACAGTGCAGTGGTAACCTCAGTATTCTGAGGAAAAACAGCATAAAGGGTAGAATAAAGATCTTAATAAAGATATTTTCAGAACGCAAGGCGTATCTCAAAAAAATGTTCTTTCCAAGTATTCCTTCTCAGGAAACTTTTGGAAAATATGTCCCATGGAAAGAAAGGAGTAAACCAGAAAAGAAGAAAAGAGGTCCTATAAATAAGAGGTCCCATACAGGAAAACAGCCATGGGAATTCTCTGGATGACAGTGAAAGGAAATCCCAGAAAGACGACGCTGCAGCAGCCTGGAGAGCGGCCAGCCCTGCGGAGGACGGAGTGCTGGCCACCGAAGGGAACTACCTGTGCTGCCTGGAAGCTCTGACAGTTCCCACTGTATCAGAGAATTTGGTAGTATGATAGTGACAGATACAAATAGAACACAGCAAAGTAACACTAGCGAAAATAAAAGCTTCGATCAGAAAGGAATTATACTCATAGCACACCATGTGGATCAGCTGTGACTAATATTTTACAGTCATGACAATGTAAAGACTGAATGGCCAAGACTACTCTTCCCAGCCTGTTAGAGTGGCCACCCTGCAGGCTGCAACCCTTTATGAGAAATAAAGCTCTCCTTTCCAAGTTAAAACAACAACAACAACCAACCAACACTGAATGAATAATACTGTAACCCAACATTGGCATCTAACAATACAGGGGGAAGTACATACAGAGAGAGGATGGCTATAAGATAGCAAATCCTCATTTTCCATAGTAAGAAATTAATAAGCATCTTAAACTGGGGGTGAGGGGTGGGCACAGATCAAGAAAATCATAAGCATGTACTAAAAATATGGAGGAAAATAACAGAACTAATGGCTATTGGAAGCATTTGCTTCTGTAAAGTGGGGAAGGGTGGGACAGCAGACATGTGTCTTTTGTTAGAAGCCAGGTAGAATTAACTAAATAGACAAATTCAAAATGACAGGTACAGAACATGAAGCTTTAAGAATTTGATAGGGTAGTCTGGTTCCACGGCTTCCCTCAGGAGCTGACGTCTGACCAGGGATCTGAAGCTTGAATTTTGGCAGGGCCCTCTCCAACCAGAGGACATAGAAGCTGCATGGGCTCCATGGGCAGAGGATGCACAGCAGGCCTGGAAAGCCCAGCAGAGCGTGGAACGTCAGGTGCCAGGGCTGTGGCAGAAATGGAAGCAACACTGGTCACGGATGGGGGCAAAGGCTGAGCAAGAAAACACTTCAGAATCTCTTATAATCCTGATGCTCTGTGAGTTTTTACATCTCTGGAAGTTTTTACATCTTCTTCTTCTTTTTTTGAGAAGTCTCGCTCTGTCGCCCAGGCTGGGGTGCAGTGGCGCAATCTCGGCTCACGGCAAACTCCGCCTCCCAGGTTCAAGCGATTCTCCTGCCTCAGTCTCCCCAGTAGCTGGGACTACAGGCGTGTGCCACCATGCCTGGCCAATTTTTGTATTTTTAGTAGAGACGGGGTTTCACCATATTGGCCAGGCTGGTCTCAAACTCCTGACCTTGTGATCTGCCTGCCTCGGCCTCCCAAAGTGCTGGGATTACAGGTGTGAGCCACCGCGCCCGGCCACATCTTTTTTTTTTAGAGGCAGGGTTTTGCTCTGTTACCCAGGCTGGAGTGCAGTGGTGCCATCATAGCTCACTGTAGCCTTGATCTCCTGGGCTCCAGCAATCCTCCTGCCTCAGCGTCCTGAGTAGCTAGGACTACAGACCTGCGCAACCACGTCCGGCTAAGAAGTTGGCAACTTTCTGCTATGCCATGGCAAGACAGATTCTTATACCAACTCACAGCTACACAACTCCAGGAGAAACAGATCAGGGCTCAATACCTTTCCAAACTGCCGCAGAAGCTGAATGAATGCTCCCTTGCCAAACGGGTTAGTAAGGCTTGCATGGAAAGCAAGTGTTGGATAATCCTGGGAGAGGACAGCAACCCACCGTTTCTAGAAGGAGAGATGAAAACATTTTGGTAAACTGCAGTACATTTATTTACATTATGTGGAAGAATCAGAGCTTGAATTACAGAACTGTTTCAAATATACTGTTGTCTAAGGAAAATGTTAGCTATAATTCTTTGAAATGTTTTTTCCAAGTATAACAGTTAATGCTTTGTTCTTCTGTCTTATAAATACAAAACAATATTCCAAAAAATGTCTTCATTGTTACTAAATGCAATTAATGGAGCATAATGTGAAGCAGGCAGTGGCCTCAGAAGCCGTCTCCTGGTGCCTCTGCCCACTATCAATGAGCACACTTTCGTGTTTCCAATGAGAGCACTCCCATTACTACAATCTCAGCCGGACAACACTTTAGCCTAAAAGCCCTACAACTGACTTACTAACAGATGTCTTAATAGTCTATTCTGGTTTAGTAGTTGTACTTACTGTTGCCCAGGTTGGAACAAGGTCACATTTGTTAAGTACAAAAATGAGGTGTTTCCAAGGTTTTTCCTTCTTCAGGTAAGTTTCAATGTGAGGGGAACGAGTACCCATTGGATCTCTAGCATCAAGAACTTGAACTACAACATCTGATGAATCTATCACCTGAAAATTCAGAAAGGCAAAAATGGTTTGCTACAGTACAAATAAAAGAGGGATGACATTTAAGGGAGTCTGGGAAAAATAAAATAATAATATTTAGAGACAACTTCAAAACAGTCTCTGGGCAGAGTTCGTTGTGGCTAATCTCAAGGCCCAGTGATCAGAATTCAAAAGGTTTTTCATCCTGTGGCTTTTGAAACCTGCTGAATTTAAAACAGAAAAACTAGCTTAGATGAAACTCAACTTATTTCCTAACTACTATGGATTATTGAACTAAATCATTTACTTCTTAGACTTCTTTAAGTTTGTAATATTATCTTTAAGTTTGTAATATTATAGGTTTTGTGTATTTCACAAAAAACTACAAAGTTTAGCTTGCCTTCACGGTACTAGTTTCCTATCATGTTACTATTTAATTACGTGATTATACTTGAAAATTTTTCTTCTGAAGGTTATTATTAGTGCATGGACATAAACCTCTGCCGGTTAAAGATCACTGGATCAGAAATCAAGATATACAAAGCCTCCTTCACTAACAAGCTAGTCGAGCTAGGTACAGCATTAAACCTTTCTAGACAGGAGTCCTCATCGATAAAAGGAGAGGGGTGGACTAAATAACTTAAAATGTTGCATGTGACTTTAACTAGGCATGATAAATTTGGCAGGAAATCTTAAAAAATACTGACAGGTAATAAATATGTGATTGTATAATAAAAGATAGCTGTTACTCTTATACAAGTACTTTAAAAAATGCAGTTACCTAGATCAATGGTAGTACGCCTTCCGAGTTTCTTTGTAGGAGGAAGAGGATGGAACAGGCAGTGGTGCCTGTACTCTGCGCAACAGAGCTTCAATATATCAAAATTAGTTTTCTTCTACAAAATCATGAAAGCCCAAGGAACCACTCAATGGGAGAGAATTTAGGAGTCTTACCTTGTAGAGCTCACCCCATATTCTTTTGGACTGTCCCTTTTTATAGATCTCTTCTTGAGCTTCATTTCTAAATAAGAAAGCACCCCAAATGAGCAACTGAAGCACCATCAAGACTAAAAGGATGCTTTAGGGTAAAGTCAATGTACCAAAAAAAACAGTATCAAACCCAGTTGGAGATGGACCAGAAACAAACTGAATTTAAAAAGTGTGCCCAAATGTCTGTCAACAAATAAATGGATAAACACAATGTGGCACATATATACACAAGATAGCATTCAACTTTAAAAAAGAAGGAAATTCCAGCTGGCTCAGTGGCTCACACCTGTAATTCCAGCACTTTGGGAGGCCAAGGAGGGCAGACTGCTTGAGCCCAGGAGTTCGAGACCAGCCTGGGCAACATGGCAAAACCCCATCTCCACAAAAAATACAAAAATTAGCTGGGCATAGTGGTGCATGCCTGTAATCCCAGCTACTGGGGAGACTGGGGTGGGAGAACTCCTTGAGCCCAGGAGGTTGAGGCTGCAGTGAGCCATGAGCAGGCTACTGCTCCAGCCTGGGTGACAGAGCAAGACCCTGTCTCAAAAAATAATTAATTAAAAAAAAAAAAAAAAGAAGAAGAAAATTCTGACACCTGCTACAACACGAATGAACCTTGAAGACATTATGCTAAGTGAAATAAGCCAGACACAAAAGGACAAATACTGTATGATTCCACTTATATTAGGCACCTAAACCAGTCAAATTCATGAGAGAGAAAGTAGAATGTTGTTACCAGGGGCTGGGGGAGAGGGGAAACGGACCGTTAGTGTTAAATGGGTACAGGGTTTCAGTTTGGGATGATGAAAAAGTTCTGGAGATGGATAGCTGCAATGATTGCACAACAATGTAAATGAACTTAGTATCACTAAACTGTACACTTGAAAATGGTTAGAAGAGCTGGGCACAGTGGCTCACACTTGTAATCCCAGCACTTTGGGAGGCTGAGGCAGTGGATCATAAGGCCAGGAGTTCGAGACCAGCCTGACCAACATGGTGAAACCCTGTCTCTACTAAAAATACAAAAAAATTAGCCAGACGTGGTGGCGGGCACCTGTAATCCCAGCCACTCGGGAGGCTGAGGCTGGAGAATCGCTTGAACCCGGGAGGCAGAGATTGCAGTGAGCCGAGATCACATCAAATGGTTAGAAGAGTACTTTTTTTTTTTTTTTTTTGAGACGGAGTCTCGCTCTGTCGCCCAGGCTGGAATGAGTGGTGCGATCTTGGCTCACTGCAACCTCCGCCTCCCGGGTTTAAGCGATTCCCCAGCCTCAGCCTCCCAAGTAGCTGGTACTACAGGTGTGCGCCCCTGCGTCCAGCTAATTTGTGTATTTTTAGTAGGGACTGGGTTTCACCATGTTGGTCAGGCTGGTCTCAAACTACTGACCTCAGGTGATCCGCCCGCCTCAGCCTCCCAAAGTGCTAGCATTACAGGTGTGAGCCACTGCGTCTGGCCACATTTTTTGTTACATATATTTTACCACAATAAAACATTAAACTAAAAAAAAGCATGACTGAATTAGGCAGTATGTCACAGAGAATTACAAAATGGAATTGGCAGGACCTGAATCACAACCTATACTCCATAGCTCCCATATACAGCAGTATTTTTCTGATAAGGTTTAGAATCTGTTTATTTACTAGTCTCTAGGACATTTACCCAAGGTAAACAAAAATAGTTTTGTCTTTACTGCATTACCTACTATACCTGTTGCGGAAGGAAAAATTCAAATCGGCAGAATACAAAGCCAACGAAAGTTCAAATAATTCTAAGAACAAATAAATGAACTCACTGCCTCTTTTTGCTTGGCCTCAAATGGCTTGACATTTTATCTCTAGGTGGCCCAATGCTTGAAGATGGGCTGACAATAGCAATGAGGTAATAACACTGATGCAGTCAAAGGACAATGCCTCTTCACTAAGACAGCAAAACCTCCACTTCATTTAAGAGACATGAGATGGACGAGAATGAGAGCTTTCTAGCACTGCCCAAGGGAAATGAAATTAAACCCTTTCTCAAGAGCAATGTGGCAGCTGCCTATCAAAAAGCATGCATACCTTTTGATATCATGCTTTGCTCCGTAAGAACTTATCTTTGGGGAATAATTAAGGATGAAAAAGATGCGGTCACATTGATGCTTCATCCTTGTGTTGTTCACCATAAGGAAAAACTATACACAGTATAAATGTCCAACAATGAGACTGGCCATAACAAACAAAATACTACTCTGACAATAAATATTATATTATTGTTGATTATGTACTGACATAGAAATATATTCCTAATAATCACAGCTTACTGCAGCCTCAAATTCCTGGGCTCCAGTGATCCTCCCACCTCAGCCTTCTGAGTAGCTGGGACTCTATGCCCAGCCAATTTTTTATTTTTTGTAGAGACAAGGTCTCACTATGTTGCCCAGGCTGGTCTCAAACTCCTGTGCTCAAGCGATCTTCCTGCCTCAGCCTCCCAAAAAACTAGTATTACAGGTAAGCCACTGCAGCCAGCCGGTGACTGATTCTCCTTTTGAGTATGGATCCCTACGAGAATATGATTAAAATTATAGATACTTCCTCTCCTCCTCCTCCTCCCCAAAACAAAAACAAAAAACACAAAACCCTACTGCCTTTATGTAAGCTCACAAATTTTCCACATTTTCTTCAAAGAGTCAAAGAAACCTTACAGGCCATCCATTAACTCAGAGACCTCCAGTTAAGGAAGCCCCGATATTCACAGAGGCATTAACAATGCTTAATATCAGCAATGGGATCATGAGTTATGTTCTTTTTGTTGTATTTTCCAACTTAACTATATTTCCTAATTTGTCTATGACTGGTGTATTACTATTATAAATGAAAAAATGTTATTTATTTTGGGGATGAGGAGAGACCTTTGTCAATCAAGCCACCTTAGACATCTTCAGTCTAGCCCCAATTTCACCAACGTCTCCAGTCTGAGGGAAGAAGATAACTCCATATATGAGTTAAAGCACTGAGCTTCACACAGGCAAAATAAGTTGAAAGAAAATGTTTTGTTGCAGAAGAGCAAATGATGAGATTTGCATGAACTTCAAAACTGTACCTCGACCGGGTGCAGTGGCTCACACCTGTAATCCTAGCATTTTGGGAGGCCAAGGAGTGTGGATTGCCTGAGCTCACGAGTTCAAGACTAGCCTGGGCAACACGGTGAAACCTTGTCTCTACTAAAATACAAAAAATTAGCCAGGCATGGAGGCATCCACCTGTAGTCCCAGCTACTCAAAAGGCTGAGGCAGGAGAATTGCTTGAACCTGGGAAGCGGAGGTTGCAGTGGGCCAAGATCGCACCACTGCATTCCAGCCTGGGCGACAAAGCAAGACTCCATCTCAAAAAAAAAAAAACAAAAACAAAGAAGCAAAAAAAAAAATGTACCTCACACCAGTGTCTTCAGTTACCAAATCACGATCCTTGCCCTGGTCATAGCTCTCAGTGGACATTTCAGCATTTTCGATAAGAGACTGCATATCACTTGCAAATAAGTTTGGTCGTTTCCTCTGTGACTTAGGGCCAAATGTAGTTTCAAAACTTTCAGTATCAAGAATGTGCACCTTCAAGTTCTGAAGAGAAAGGAGAATAACAGGTAAAACTAAGAAAAGCACTGAGAAAAAGCAAAAAGCTCAACACCCACCTAGGAAAGACTTTCTGATTTTATTTTTCCAAGGTTCAACCCATACCCAAATCTGTAAGACATGGTTTCAGTCTGGTTTCAAATCAGAATTACTTGTTGAAATGGCACAAACACTGGTTCCCTTATTCTGAAGTTCTGTAAGCTTCCTTGGAGAAATACAAAAGTAATACAAATAATCAAAGTAAATATGAATAGTTGTACAAAAACTTGCCAAAAACTCTGCTTTATTTCATTTATCATAAATTTCAGTCAAATGTAATTAAGGCTACAGTGGTGAAAATTAATCTTTTCCACCATTTTTTATAGCTTTCAAACAAGAGCATAAAATTCGCCAAATTCATAGATTTTGTCAAGGACAATCATACTCAAATTTGTGAGTTTTTTTTAAACCAACTGTAAATGCCAACTTTTTCTTGGAAGTTAATTTCTTTCATGGCTAAAAGGAATTGCTTGTTTTGTAAGATGCATTTTAGTTTCAGATAACATTTTCCCTAATTTAGGTAACGTTTTTATTAAATGCACATGGCAAGTCTTCGGATGAAAAACATCTAGCAAAAGTCCAAAATAATAGTTTAGATGTGATAAAAGGAACCTGATACTAACTAGAACTTGATGTGCCTGTAAAGGAGTTACAGGCATAGGAATTTCTGAAGCAAGATAAAAGAGTTGGGATCTATCACATAACGGAATGTTAACAGCCTGCAGACAATTAAAAAAAAAAAAATCACCCTTTTCCCCCTAGTACAAGCTCCTCCGTAAGCACCACTACCAAAAGCTGTGAGGATGATGCAGCAGCCCCTGTGGTTTCTGAACTTTAACAGATCCCCTCTTCCAACTTCTAAAGATCCTTAAACTATTATCATTTTCTCAGATGCCCTAACCCACAACTCAGTTTAGTTTTAGTCACTACGTTCCACTCGGGAGCATCTCCAAACAGAAGCAGCTCATTTTACATGGGAAATAGGGTCTAATGTCACTGGGTAAAATCAAGTGTGACCAAAATTATCCTTCAAAATCTCTTAACCTGTAAGTTACAGTACCCAAGGCTTTATGTCTATAAACCTACACATTAGTAAGTATAACACACATTAGTAAGTATAACACAGTAATATACAGTATATAAAGCACATATGCAAAGTTACAGTACTCTTACTGTATTGCTACAGAAATACAGTAGTTCTAAAACACATATAGATGAATATGCGTATCTGATCTAACTCCACTGTGCAAAATAATCTCAGAATTAGATTTTATAAGTAATAGATATTACACTAAAATAAAATAGTTAAGGTTTTTCAAGGCCAAAGCAGAAAACTCATCAATTACTCTGAGCAGCTTTCTGCATCAACAAAGAAGCTGACTGGTGCAACTGCAGACCCTTCATTCTACATACCAGATATTTAAACACTGAATTTTAGAAGCACTGACAACAAGTACAGGCAACGAAGCAATAAATCCATCACAGAACCTCTCTGTTCTTCTCATAAACAGGATTCAATAGTTGCTTAAAAGATGGCTTTAGGGAGAACAGACAAAGAGAACAAGGGAAATGAGCAACTTGTCTGTGGTTCATGAATTACACTCATGTGTTCCCCTGAAAGAAAACAGTCATTCTACTAATAGGTGCCATTCTTCTAGTGCATCATAAAACAAAACATAACTGACAAAACCTGAGGCAATAACCAGGCCTTGGTTTTTATTTTGTTCTGCAAGTAAACAGTTTTCTTTGAACTATTTTATTTTTATTTATTTATTTGAGACGGAGTCTTGCTCTGTCGCCTGGGCTGGCACGCAGTGGCGCAATCTCGGCTCACTGCAAGCTCTGCCTCCCGGGTTCATATCATTCTCCTGCCTCAGCCTCCTGAGTAGCTGGGACTACAGGTGCCCGCCACCACGCCCGGCTAATTTTTTTTTGTATTTTTAGTAGAGACGGGATTTCACGTGTTAGCCAGGATGGTCTCAATCTCCTGACCTTGTGATCCACCCGCCTTGGCTTCCCAAAGTGCTGGGATTCAGGCGTGAGCCACCGCGCCCAGCCTGAACTATTTAACCCACGTATGCATGTCAATGTTTTTCTCCCCTCCTCATACTGGAACTGAAGCTTACGTACTGGCTACATTTCTGGGAATTTATTATTCAATGCAAGTAAAAATAAGCAGACAAACAACAGATTCTTTCTTTGTTCTGTGTGAAACTCATTCCACTCAACCCAGATTGAATCCTTACTGCACTTCAAATTTTAGCAATTGACAACCAATGTGACCAGCACCCCTTCCTTCAGCTGAGAAAAAATCTCAAGGATCTCACAAAAGCTGAACGTACGCAACACCAAAGTTCTACCAACTCAATCCTAATTCTACGCTGTCCCAAAGTTTGATGGAATTACCACTTAAAACAAGTTTGCCTACCAAAATAAATAATATTACTAATAGCTGTTATCAATTTAGCTCTTATTAGGTGGTGTGCTATGTGCTCACTATGGGCCAAGTGCTTTACAGATGCTTCATCTGTAGCCAATAACCCAAGGAGGTCGGTTATCTATACTTTCTGTTTTTTTTAGACGGAGTTTCGCTCCTGTTGCCCAGGCTGGAGTGCAATGGCACGATCTTGGCTCACTGCAATCTCTGCCTCCCAGGTTCAAGCGATTCTCCTGCCTCAGCCTCTCCTGAGTAGCTGAGATTACAGGTATGCACCACCACGCCTGGCTAATTTTGTATTTTTAGTAGAGACAGGGTTTCTTCTTGTTGGTCAGGTTGGTCTCAAACTCCTGACCTCAGGTGATCCGCCTGCCTGAGCCTCCCAAGTGCTGGGATTACAGGCGTGAGCCACTGTGTCCGACCTATCTATACTTTCAAGGCAAAGAAGTTAAAGTTCATGGAGAAACCCAACTAAGGGCACAGGAAGGGATAGAGCAAGGATTAAAATTCAGGTCTCAACTCCAAAACCTGTGCTTTGATCCACTACACTACTGCACCTCATACTAAACATGAAAAGGTGAAAAGAGAGGTCTTAGAAAGTTCATCATTGCTACATTAAAGTCACTATTTTCTAAGGAAAAACAAAAGACAAATATGTTAGAGAGGGATCTGCATGGAGTTTGCCCAGGAAATTCCATCACCAGGGATATCCTACATCTTACATGAGGCCGGATTCGATCATGGAGAAGAGACATTGGTAACTTGCTTTGCTTCATGACAACTTTGTATGGATCCTTCATAACTGTATCCATTTCCTCTTGAAATTTTTGTAATGATGACTGCTTAATCACACGTGTGTTTCCTGTTTTACAAATAAAGAATGTTGCCACTTAGTTAATATTTGCGCATCCATCTTCCACTGACACGGTGAAAGGCAAGATTTTAAATTACCCTCACTTACCCAAGCACCTGATCCATCCATCCCTTGGAGCTGTTTTCAAACTTAAAAGAGGAAAAAACCAAAAAACTGCCTCTCCCGCACTTGCACACTATGAACTATTCCACAAATCCAGACCCACAAAGGGTTTCAATAGTTTTCCAAGTCCAGTTTCCTAACTAAATGAAACTGAGAAATAAATAGCGTGGAATGGAACTGAGATCTGTCAAATGTCCTACTACCTGCTAGATCTAGCAGAGAAACCTGGAGCCAATCACAGCTGATCAGTCAGTATAGACAGAGAATCTTGAAACACTGAAATTTGAGTCATAGTTAGCCACTTTTAGGGTTATGAGGATTCAAAGGGACTATTAACCAATGAGTCCATGCAAGGGAACAAGATAGAGCCCTGCACCACCACCTGGAAAACATCTTGTGAGGGAGACCCTGAAAAGCATTCAATTAAACAGCATGCTGCGGCATAAATGCAAAACAGCAAGGTGGTAATGACGGTAGCAAGTAATGCTTATATTATACTCACTATTTGCTAGGCGCTATTCTAAGCACTTTATATATATTTACTCTTTTTTTTTTTTTTTTTTTGAGATGGAGTCTCACTCTGTCACCCAGGCTGGAGTGCAGTGGCACAATCTCAGCTCACTGCAACCTCTGCCTCCTGGGCTCAAGGGATTCTCCTGCCCCAGCCTCCCAAGTAGCTGGGATTACAGGTGCCCACCACAACACCTGGCTAATTTTTGTATATTTAGTAGAGATGGGGGTTTCACTGTGTTGGCCAGGCTGGTCTCGAATGCCTGACCTCAAGTGATTCACCAGCCTTGGCCTCCCAAAGTGCTGGGATTACAGGCGTGAGCCACTGCGCCCTGCCTGTATTTACTCATTTGATTACCATGACAGTCTTATGAGATAGGTTTCATCTTATTCTCATGTTAGGGATGAGAAAACTGATGAACAGACAGACTTAATAACTTGCCCACTGGCACATAAATGACAGAACTAGAATTCAAACCCAGGCAGTCTAATCGAGTCACAGTACCCAGCAGCCATGCTAAATGCTTCTCTGCAGAGTTTTGACACCTTTCTGTGTTGCAGTTCTTAGGAAGTATCCCACTGAAAGTATAAGAGACTCAAAGATAGCTGCCACCTGCCCCCAAGGACAGAGGTCAAACACCAAGCAAACACTGGGGTCTGATCATCTAAAGTGCCCATACATTTACCAGTGGCTAAGGGCAAAGTTAAGAGCCCAGACTGAAATGAGACAGGGAGTTTTCCAAGGAAGAAGCTGTGATCACCCTGAGACTGAAGATACTCTATTCACTGTTGGACAGTTCAACAGTGAGACCCTTTAATTGTCACCCAAGTTCAAATAAAAACCCCATTAAGAAGTATTTCAGAGGAACTTCGGGCTAATGCACTTACCCTGAAGGATATATGCACAAAACCTACAAGGCCACCTCTCCAACAGTATCTCTTTAGGAAAGCAGAAAAGATTAAGATGAGCATTCTAAGGTCTGTGAATGCTAGTCATTAAGGATGGTCTTATCTGCTTAAGAGGGTTCAATTACAATTACTAATGGTGAGCGCTCTTCAAAAAGAAGTTATTTATTAAATTGACCACCACTACTTTTCCCAGTAATTCTTCTTATCCCTTTCTCAGATAATCCTTGCCGGTTTCACTCACCAAAAACTCCTGCTGTTTAGACATTTAAACATCCTAGCCGTTTCCACTCAGCATATATTTTGTAGAGCAAAGTAACAGGGGATAATACTCACCAAACCATTTAATATTTGGCTCTACTCTTGCCACTGTGCCAGAAGCCACCGTTGATTGATATTGCAGGGGTTTAATTATTTTACCACGACTGTTCCTAAATTGAGGAAAGAACAGATATTGGTTGACAACAGAAAAATGGCAACAGCGAAGTTTGATTTACAGAATATATTTTCCATCAAAAGGACTTCTTACTTTGGTTTTAAATGATCATGAAATACCAATTCCAGTAAACACAAAGTACTTCTACATTTGAAACAGATTGCCCAAAAGCCATTTAACCTCTTGCAACAGAGCACGTAATGATTTCTGCTAGATGAATAACAACTAATGGTGACGTTCTAAAAAATCTGGTTACTGTTTACTTTAAAAAAAAAACACATACATACTTGAGTTTTTTGGGTAATTATTCAAAGGCTGGTTTAAATGAATTTTTCACGTAGAGGGTGATTTACGCCGGAATTCCAAATTCTAAAACAAACTGCAAAGTAGATGACTACACATATTAAGTTCTTTGACATTTGTATTTTAGTCACATCTTTTAGGACAGACGGAGATGGAGAATCTAATTACCAAACAAATTAAGACCAGTTAGCGGAATGCCACACTCAGCAAATCCCTGTGGTAGAGGCTACCTCAGCAGAACTCGGAGTTTTGATGACTGTCCAAGTGCCACAATGTCATGATCTACATTTTGGCATTAAAAAACACATTTTCTGGTGGCTTTCCTAACTACAGTCCTGTAGGTTTTGTTATATCTGGCCATATTTAACTCTGAGATTTAATGCGCCATTTGTGGAGGTCAGGGCTGTGAGAAACAAGACCTCTACTTTTGAGTATTGTGAAACCATCACTATTTCACCGCCAGCTACCCATGTCCTTAACCAAAAGTTAACACTTTATCCTAACGACACTCACGTACAATTATATTTGAGAATATATAACTCCTATTTGGAGGAAGTGGGGGTGAGAACAGCAAAGGCTTCATCAGTCTCAGCTAGCAGTCAAGGGCATGAAGGAAAAGAGAAAGGATGACAGCACCCAGTGCTCACCTGCGCTCCTTTTGCCTATACATATTCAGGCGCCGGATGGTGGCCCGGTCCCTCATGTTTTGGCCTCCTGCTCCCTGCACTCGATCTACAAAAGGCAGAAGTACACAGTGCACTATTTGATAACCAACCAGTATAACCAACAAGTCATTGCTTAAAATGCAACAAGTAGTTCACCCAAATTAGGTAAGAAGCCACCAACCACAAAAATCTCTACTTTCTCCATATGTTGCTCCAATAATTAGTACTTGAAGCTACATGGTATGACAAAGCTGACCCAATCTTTGATCTTCGATAGGATTGTATTTGAGAAGAATAGCTAATATTTTTGAGCACTTATGATGGCACTGTGTTATCCAAATTATAGGCATCATCTGATTTAATCTATACAATAATCCTATAGATATATTATCCCCATGCTGCGGAGTGAGAAACTGAGGCACAGTGGTCAGACACCTTGCCCAAGGTCAAACCGTTACTAAATGGCAGAGCCAGAATTTGTACATGAGCATTTGATCACCATCTATGGTCTTAACCACGAAGATACCTACCTCTGTGTCTCAGTTTAACAAATATTGAGTGCCTGCTCCATGCAAGGCACCATGGAGACTATAATTTTGATATATGTGTTCTTACTTTCTTAATGTTTGATTTTTGTTTAATCAACACAGCAATTCTTGCCTTACATCTCAAAGAGAAAGAGAAGGACAAACGAATAGGGTAATACTAGCCTAGCTTCTCATTTTGGGAGCCCTTTATTTACCTATTTATTCATTTATTCATTATTATTATCTTTTTTTTGAGACAGAGTCGTGCTCTGTCACCCAGGCTGGAGTGCAGTGTCGCGATCTCAGCTCACTACAACCTCCACCTCCCCGGTTCATGCAATTCTTCCACCTCAGCCTCCCGAGTAGCTGGGATTACGGGCATCCGCCATCATGCCCGGCTAATCTTTGTATTTTTGTAGAGAGGGGGTTTCATCATGTTGGTCAGGCTGGTCTTGAACTCCTGACCTCGGGTGATCCGACCGCCTCGGCCTCCCAAAGTGCTGGGATTACAGGCGTGAGCCACCACACCTGGCCAGGAGCCCCTTAAATCACCTGTCTGGTCCTGAAGTGATACAGTAGAAGACAGGCTGAAACCACAGCCCATTGGCTCTCCTAACAGTCTCTAACAGTAGAAACTGGCGGCTCTACTACTACTCACTAACTGTTGCAATTATGACAGGCCACTTCCTGTATTTTGATTCAGTCTCTTCACCTGTAAAATCATAATCTCTAAGGGCCTTTTGGGGTCTAACATTCTGAGATTCCAGTTTGTGCAAAGTGAATAATTTATTATCAATCCGGAATAAACATTCAACTTGCATTAAAATTGTCAAAAATTCTAAACCATATTTTAAAACAAAGTTTTATTAATTAAACCTGAATGGAAGGAACTCTCCCATAGGATGTCTTGTTAATCGTACAGGTGGAACCTCGCCAAAACTTACACACATCTCCTAAACAGCCTTACTGCAATGATCATACTGACTTCTTTGTAGGGTTCTCTAAGCACTTTACCAGATAGAATAATTCCAAGGGCCAAAACTATAAGCCCTTTCTCATTTTAAAGGTCAAAGCTAAGGTGGCAGGCAAGTATGATCACGTGTAAAAGGCCCGAAGGGTCAACCTACACCATTTTTAATCTGACTTTCTCTGCATCTCTCAACTGGAGAGGACCCAAGGCTGTCAGCCTGAGTGTTCACTTTCCTTGACTTCAGACCAGTTGACTACACTTTGGCCTGCCAGGCGTGCACTGAGCCCTCCTCAGTTCCCCCCTGAGAAGAAACCACCACAAATATTGCTTTCCTTTTTCCCTTTTCATCCCCAACAGCCACCCCGCTCGTAGTCATTCTAAGCAATGCCACTCGAGTAACCCTCCTTCCCCTCCAGTGCTCCTCGGAGCCCTTCCCTATACTTCCTCCAAGCTCCACCCTCGATCAGCCCTGCCGCCTGTACCTGGGTTTGTGCTGGCCTTGGACGGGTTGATGGTGCTCCGTCCTTTGTACTTGGGCTTCACCATCTTGGCGACGAGACCGGGACCGGAGTGCGAGGTCCGGCTTACGTGGTGAAACAAACTTTTATGTTCCCAAGCCCGGCCGAAGACACCCGCCTGAACCACGCCGGACCACGTGTGCACGACGTACGTCACTTCCGCTCGCGTCCCTCTCGGCCTCAGAGCGACTTCCTGTGAACGCGCGGCGCGCGCCGTCACCCTCCTGGCTCCGCCCCCGCTCCAGCCGCCTAGGCGTCGCCCTGCGTGGAGCCCCAGCCCGCTCCAGCCCTAGCAACCGCCAAGCTGCCCGTTCATAGCAACCGCCTAGTTAACCTGAACGCGCGGCCAGAGCTCCCAGTTGGGTCCACCTCCGAATAAAGAAGCTTCTTCCCAGGCCAGTGGCACAAGCTTAAGTTTGTCTTCTGAATTTGTCTTCTAAGTCCTTCCAAAAGTTGCCGACCACACAGCAGCCAAATATCCGTTAGGAGGTGTCATTCTCTTCCTTACAACTCCAGTGGCTTATCATCACTCTTAGAATGAGAGGTAGGGGAAGGGAGAAGGGAGAAACAGACAGAGACAGAGATTGATTCAAACTTTTTGCCATCCCTACAGGATTCTGTGATCTGGCCCCTGCCTGCCTATTTATCTAATCTCATGTGTACGTCCCTCCCTCTGGTTATTCTGACATTTACACTGGATATTCTCTCTGCCTGAATCACTCTTTCCCAGAATCTTTGCATAGCTGTCATTCAATCCTAAGCTCAAATATCACCTATTGGTAGGCCTGCAAGAATTAGCAAATAGAAATACAGGACACCAAATTAAATTAGAATTTCAGAGAAAAAAAATGAATACTTTTCTTTAGTACACCTCCAACAGTGCCTGGAAAATACTTAGACTAAAAAAGTATTCATCGTTTGCCTGAAATTCAAATGTAACTGTACGTTCTGTATTTTATCTGGTGACCCTTCCTGCTGTGAGAACTCATTCCTGTCTAATTTGTCTAAATCAGCCACCTTTCACCCTTTCACAGTTATTCTGTTACAGTATTCTGTTTTATTTATTTCATGGCATTTATCACTAGTTGAATTTTTTTTACAAGTTTATTGGCTGCTTCCCCCAAACTAGAATGTAAGATTCTTAAAAGCAGGGACCTTGTTAATTTGTTCACTGCTGTGTCTTTAAGACTTGAATAGCATCTGAAACAAAGGACTCAAAAAATATTCATTAAGTGAAAGAATGAGTAGATGGGAATGTCTCTTGCCTTGAGGATGAAGGAAGGCATTAAGACCCAGTGATTTCTGTTTCTACTAGCCAGAATAAAGTGTCTAGATGCCAGTGTTTGAACCAAGAAGCCCTCTCTCTTTTTACAATTTATTTTTTGTTTGTTTGTTTTTGTTTTTGTTTTTTGAGACGGAGTCTCGCTCTTGTTGCCCAGGCTGGAGTGCAGTGGCCCGGTCTCGGTTCACTGCAACCTCCACCTCCCGGGTTCAAGCAATTCTCCTGCCTCAGCCTCCCAAGTAGCTGAGATTACAGGCGCATGGTATCATGCCCAGCTAATTTTTGTATTTTTAGTAGAGACGGGCTTTCACCACATTGGCCAGGCTGGTCTCAAACTCCTGACCTCAGGTGATCCACCTGCCTCAGCCTCCCAAAGTGCTGGGATTACAAGTGTGAGCCACCTCGCCTGGTCCCTCTCTCTTTTTTGGTACCTCAAATTGTCAGAAAATGGCCATCTTTGTACCCTCTGGATAGGCCAAAGAAGAGATGGTTAGGCAAGAGGAAGGGTGGATTCATGCAGTGTAGCTCATTTCATAAAAACAAACAATTTGTTATAAAGTGAGGTATTCTAATTGAGCAGGGGATGATTGAGTCTTTATTTCTCTGAGTTTGAAACAAACCCCAAAACATTCTCTTTAGAGCAAAAGCAGGCCATGTCATAGGCTAGAGCTGGAAATACCTTCTGTCCCTCAAGCTTCGCTTTTATTGCCCCAAGGGCAAGTATCATGAGATTAAATGCAGCTCTGCTGGGAAGGCCCTGACTGTGACCTGTGTTAGGGAAGCTCTGAGAGCTATTTGGAAAAAACTTCATGATCAGTGAAGATGCCCCCTTCCACCCCACACTGTCCCTCTGATCCCCAAAACAAGGATACCATAGCCTCCTCCCAGAGAGAAGATTCAGTTAATGTGTTTCTGATGCCTCAAGTTGGTGCAAACCAGAATAAACACGGATGGCAAAAATCAGCCTATGAGCTCATTCAGGCTTTGATCAGAGACATAATTTCATTATGAAATTTTGAATCAGGCTGTTGTGAAGTCTTGCCAAGGAGTTTCATTTTCCCAGATGATATGGTGGGTTGTTTCTCTCCTGTTCTCATACTCTGCTTGCATTTATCTTACAAACTTTCCATCTATTTTTATAATCTGACCCATCAATCCTTTTACAACAATATTTGCCGATCTCGACAACCAACTTCAATTCTACCAGCAGATAAAAAGCCTGATCAAGGTAAGTCAAGCTTAAGTTACTGGTTTGATTTGCCTGCCCTGCTTGCCGCATTGTAATGCAGTGACTATTTTTCACTCTCTTTTCTGATGTCATGCCAACTAGCAGAGGCAAGATACACCTCCAGGTCTACAGTTCCTCAGCTTTAAAACAGATGCAATAGCTTAACTACTCTGAAAGACTGCAATAAGATCATATGAGTTACAGTATATGAAAGCATCGCAGACATGGTACACATCATGCAGATGGGATGCTTTCTATTTTTCTTCTTTTTTTTTTTTTTTTTTTTGAGATGGAGTCTTGCCCTTTCACCAGGCTGGAGTGCAGTGGCATGATCTCAGCTCACTGCAAACTCTGCCTCCTAGATTCAAGCTATTCTCATGCCTCAGCCTCCCAAGTAGCTGGGATTACAGGCACGCACCACCATGCCCAGCTAATTTTTGTGTTTTTAGTAGAGACGGGGTTTCGCCATGTTGGCCAGGCTGGTCTCAATTTCCTGACCTCGAGATCTTCCCGCCTCGGTCTCCCAAAGTGCTGGGATTACAGGCATGAGCCACTGCACCGGCCAGGGATGCTTTCTATTTTTCTCAAAATCCAAGGTGAGCTACTCATCCCCTCAAATGTTGCTCCTGGTAACCACAGGTTTGTGTGAATGAGAAGACCTTAATGGATGGAGACTGGCTGGAAATGCCATGTTCTGGACTGGTGTCTTCACAGGAAGCAGACAATCCTGACCTTACTTTTTTTTTTTTTTTTTTTTTTTTCAGATAGAGTCTTGCTCTGTCACCCAGGCTGGAGTGCAATGGCACGATCTCAGCTCACTGCAACCTCTGCCTCATCAGTTCAAGCAATTCTCCTGCCTCAGCCTCCCGAGTAGCTGGGATTGCAGGCACCCACCAGGACACCCAGCTAATTGTTGTATTTTCAGTAGAGATGGGGTTTCGCCATGTTGGCCAGGCTGGTCTTGAACTCATGACCTCAGGTGATCCACTTGCCTCAGTCTCCCAAAGTGCTGGGATTATAGGCATGAGCCAGTGTGCCGGGCCCTGACCTCACTTTTATCTTCATTCTGTAAAAAGTTTATCACTGGGGTCTAATGGGCAAATAGCAGCAGCTTCTAAAGCAACATTTTTTAAAGTGTGGTCTGAGAACCACAAGCATCAGAATCACTTGGGGGATCTGTTTTAAAATGCTGGGCATGGTGGCTCATGCCTGGAATCCCAGCACTTTGGGAAGCAGAGGCAGGTGGATCGCTTGAGCGCAGGAGTTCGAGATCAGCCTGGGTGACATGGTAAAACTTTGTTTCTACAAAACATACAAAAATTAGCCAGGCGTGGTGGCTCAAACCTGTAGTCCCAGGTACTTGGGAGGCTGAAGCTGGAGAATCTCTTGAGCCTGGGAAGTGGAGCCTGCAGTGAGATCGTGCCACTGCACTCCAGCCTGGGTGACAGAGTGAGATCCTGTCTCAAAAATAAAATAAAATAAAACAAAAATGCAGATTTCTGGGTTTTATCCCAGAGCTTCCAAAATCAGACCATCTTGGGGGTGGGGCCAAGAGAATCTACATTTTAGCAAGCTCCTCAAGTGATTCTTGTATATACAAAAGTGAAGTCTTTTCCAAGAGTCACTCGGAGGCTTTCTGACCTGCTGACCAGAAGGCAGCCCTGGAAGATCAAGCTTCTTTCCTACCTATCTTAAATCATCTTGTTCTTCTTAGCAGAGCCAGGGTGAGGAAGGCTGCTGCAGTGTCTAATGCACTCTGAAAATATATATCTTGGCTCTGCCCCAAATGCCTTGATATTTATGCTGCAGCCGGAGGGTCGTTATCCTTTGGCAATGCTCATTTGTAAGGCCATTAGCTCTTAATTAGTGCCGGCTTGTTGAGTTGTACTTCCCAGTTGAACTGCTAGCAGAAGCTGCTCTTTTGGGGCCTCTTGTGTCTCTCCTCTGGCAAGCCCATGAAGCATTGACCCGTGCCTGCTGAGGCCAAGAGTTGGGCCCCTGGAATGGCCGCTGCCCAATGTGAAACAGTCCTAGTCCCCAAATGCTAGGTTCTGGGACTCTGGAAGAACAGAGAAAGGCTCAGAATATACATCTTCAGGATTTTGTTGTTTTGTTTCACTGATAGAAAACAAAAAAGTGAGTCCTTGGTTATACAACCTCAACAGTTTTACAAGCAAATTCAAGTATCAGAAAAGTAAAGTTCGGCCGGGCGTGGTGGCTCATGCCTGTAATCTCAGCACTTTGGGAGGCCAAGGCAGGCAGATCATCTGAGGTCAGGAGTTCAAGATCGGCCTGGCCAACATGGTGAAACCCCATCTCTACTAAAAATACAAAAATTAACCGGGCGTGGTGGCACACGCCTGTAAACCCAGCTACTAGGGAGGCTGAGGCACAAGAATTGCTTGAGCTTGAGAGGCAGAGGTTGCAGTGAGTCAAGATTTACACCAGTGCACTCCAGCCTGGGCGACACAGTGAGACCCTGCCACAAAAAAAAAAAAAAAAAAAAAAAAAGGAAAAGAAAAGAAAAGTGTATTAACTTAGAGCTTCATAGGCCAAGTTACCCTCAGTTTTCAGTCTAGGGTGTCTGGGAAATTCTTGGACAAGGATATAGCAAACTAGTGGGCTTGCTACCTGTAAAAATGGCTAGGAGACTCACCTCTGGGAACCCCAAGAAACTTTTCTTCATGGTCACCACTTCTAAGTGGGAAAAACAGTCGTATTAGTCTTGGCATGCATCTCACTGCTGGGTAGGAGCTCTTCAAAAAGATCCCCAGATTAAGCTTTGGAAAAATAACTAGAAGCATTTCGCTCCTTCCTATCACCAAATCCCTTGTGGTCTTCGGCATATTCTGCTCAAGAAAATCTGAGAAGCACTTTTATGAGATGCTATTAATGGCCTCTAATTTTCAGCATGGTTTAGATAACTCAAGACTGCTGGCCGTGTCCTGAGAAGTGGATCCAGAACACACATTGATGTGGGAATTTAAAGTATAATTCCAAATTGTAGGTAATTGTTTAAGCTCTGAGGAGGCTGGAGGGCCTATATTAAGTCATCTCCCCAGGATCAGTGTGTTTCCTATTACACTCAATATCTATCTGTCCAGGGATCCTTTTGATTTTGAAGCCGTTAGACCAAATCTTTGTGTAATTCTTTACTCCCTTCTCTCCTGCCTACCTCCCTCCTTTTTCTTTAAGAAAACACTTTTTAAAAACTTTATCCAGGTCCCTTGGTTTGTTTCCAGTAGAATAATGTCATGTTAAAGAATCTGAAAAGTTAACTTCCCATCTAAAACCAACAGATCAGTGGAGCTCTGTCTGTCAGAAGTTCAGTCTTGCCCTAAGGGCATCCTCTGCCCAGCAAGACACTGAGATTTTCCTTGACCTCCTCCATCCCTCTTGCTCTTCTGTCTAGACTAGGAACAAAATCTTATTTCTAAAATAGAGATTCAGGCAAAGGTATGGAAGAAAGTCAGGGTGAATATCTTCTCAAGCAGCAGAGGAAGAACTAGTCAAAACCTTTAGCTATGTTTCCTTTTTTAGAGCCCCAGTTAGAAAAAGATAAGTCTATCACTCCCTCATCTTTGGGAAAAGCAATCCTTCCTACTCACTTTTTAACCCAGTTTGGAGGAATCTTCTAGATGTTTTTGTTTTGTTTTGTTTTGTTTTGTTTTGAGACAGAGTCTGGCTCTGTCACCCAGGCTGCAGTGCAGTGGCACAATCTCGGCTCACTGCAACCTCGGCCTCCCGGGTTCACGCCATTCTCCTGCCTCAGCCTCCCGAGTAGCTGGGACTACAGGCGCCCGCCACTACGCCTGGCTAATTTTTTGTATTTTTAGTAGAGACGGGGTTTCACCATGTTAGCCAGGATGGTCTCGATCTCCTGACCTCGTGATCTGCCCACCTCGGCCTCCCAAAGTGCTGGGATTACAGGCATGAGCCACCACGCCCTGCCAGATGGTTTTTTGTTGTTGTCATTTGTTTGTTTGTTTGTTTTGAGACGGAGTCTCACTCTGTCATCCAGGCTGGAGCACAGTAATGCGATCTTGGCTCACTGCAACCTCTGCCTCCCAGGTTCAAGCAATTCTCCTGCCTCAGCCTCCTGAGTAGCTGGGATTACAGGTGCCTGTCACCATGCCCAGCTGATTTTTGTATTTTCCGTAGTGACAGGGTTTCACCATGTTGGCCAAGCTGGTCTCAAACTCCTGACCTCAAATGATCCACCTACCTCAGCTTCCCAAAGTGCTGGGATTACAGGCATGAACCACTGCACCTAGCCCCTTCTAGATGCTTTAAAAGTCTATCTGAGAGACTTTAAAGTTGTCAGTTTTGCTTCTAGCTAGAGCTAGGGAAATCCCCAAGATGCCCAGTCACTGTGCCCAGGACCTGGGGACTCAGGTTTTGCTGTGTCCTCCCCACTCTCCTACGTCAAGAAAAGGCATGAACCAAACCAAGTAGCTTATCTCTGAGTGCAGGGGTAGGCAAATTACAGCCCACAGGCCAAATCCCACCAGTTGCTGTTTTTATGTGGCCCAAAAGCTAAGAATGGTCTTTATGTTATTAAATGACCGACCAAATTCAAAATAAGAATAGTATTTTGTAACATGTGAAAATTATATGAAATTCAAACTTCTGGGTTCATAAATAAAGTTTTATTGGTTCACAGCCACACTATTTGTTTACATATGGTCTATGGCTGATTTTGCACTACAAAGGCAGAGATGAGTAGCCACGACAGACCACATATGGCCTGTGAAGCCTAAAATATTTACTACCTGGCCCTTTACAGAAAACACTTGCCTACAACCCCCTGTGCTAGGGCACTGGTATGTGTTCTGATCATTGAAGAGACAGGGAATTGACCATTCAATGACTATTTATTTGCCATTGCTCTCTGAGAGTGAACATTGCCCATCCCACTATAGAGGTATATTTCATTTTTTCTGCCCTGGGGATTCAAACGAGGGTCCACTCCTCACCTGATGTAGCTGATGCTTTCATAGACCAGCAGGGGGCTCTCTGCAGAGGTTTAAAATTCACGGAGAGAGAGCCGGTGCTAGAGGGCAAAAGCAAGTCTCAGGGGAGCAGCACTGACCTGTCAGTCCCCTAACTGAGCTCCAGGACTTTTTTTTTTTTTTTCCTGAGGCCAAAGGAGAAGGGAGCTTCAGGCAGAAATCCAAAGGGCTCCTTTGTCCGCAGTCTTTGTGAAAGCAACTTTGGTGACCTTGAAGCAAAGCACAACAGAAAGTAGAGGAGATGGTCCACTTGCCCGGCATGGTTCTGGTGCACCGTGGTCTCTAGGGGCTACACCCAGGGTGGGCAGCTTCAACTGTGTTGGAGGCAGCCCCTGCAGTGGGGCATGGGGGCACACACTGGCAGGTGGTCTTGAGTAGCTTTGTGAGCAATGCATGCTGATGAGGGGCTCAAGAGGCAAGGCAGGGGTGGATGGATGTCCTTGCAGGCCCTATAGCGTTATTTGTAAGCACATATGATCCAACCCTCAGAATCCCCTCCTGCCAATAAATGAGACACTCACCAGGCTGCATATCATGGTACTAAGGTATGGAAAAGCACATGGAAAATGCAGGTTTTCAAATAGCTAAGTGGTAGCTGAGCCAGACTACCTGCGGTCCAATTCTGACCTCATTTATTTATTAGCTGTGTGTCCTTGGTCACATCCTTTTACCTCTTTGTGTCTCAGTTTCCTCATCTGTAAAATCGGCCTAATAATGGTATCCACCTCACAGGGCTGTGTTGAGGGTTAAATGAAGCAATGCAAGTAAAAGGCTTAGAATAGTGTAAGCACTGTGTCGATGTGTAGTACTGTAAGCATTATGTGTATGCGCATAGTGTAAGCACTATGAGAGTATTTCCAACTGTACCCACAGCCTCAAGAGACTTGGGAAAGAACAGGAATGCAATAATACATCCCACAGTCTCTGCTCTCAGGAGCTAACCTTAGGCTATGGGACACAGACATGGATGTCATAAAGGTGAAATAGTCCATAGAAACATACAGGAGGAGCAGCTACTGGGGAGGGGCCTCCTTCACAGAGGAAGGGTAATTCCATCTAGGTATGAAATATGAGTAGAAGGTCTACAGATGAAAGCAGGGAGAAACACATTTTAGGTGGAGGGAACAGCATAGACGAAGGCATGGGAACTTGAATGTGTATTTGTATTGGGCACAGTGAGTAATTCTGAGTAGAAGAGTAGATGGGGCAGGGGATGGGGGTGGCAGGAGATGGGCCTGGAAATCTGGGTCGTCATCAACAGTTGTGGCCAAATGACAGAAAGATCGAGATTGCATTGCTTTTGGCCTGGTGCTCCACTGAACTTTGATGCTGGCCTCATTTTGCCTCCTAGAAGGAAAAATGAGTAAGCACCATCAATAATTATCATCTCCAGGGCTAATATAAGAACATACCCATCCAAGAGGGACCACTTCATTCATTCAATCAACAAACATCTAGCTTGTGATACCAAAAGACAAATGCAATTGGTCAAATATACAGGAAAAATATGGACTGGGCAAGCCATGGCTGTGAAGAACCTGTGGCTACACAGCCAAAGGAAAGCAAAAAAAAGGAAGAGAAAGGAGAGTGACCGATGGGGTGCTACAGGCCGTCTGGGAGAGCAGAGAAGCCAGTCAGCCAGCATGGAGAGAGATCAGGAGGATCAGAAGGGTGAAACAGGTTTGAAAAAAGTGGGAGAAAAAAAGAGGGAAACAGAAGGGTAAACCATGGGAATGCGATGAAAATGTGTTTGTGAAAAATTGAGGTGCAATGTCTGTGGACGTTTTGTTGGTTTGGTGGTGGGAAAAGAATTGTAACTATGTGTGGTAGGCAAATACCTCGTACAGTAAAATACCTTGTGAGAATGAATGTGCGGGCATGAGAGAAATCAAGCACAGTCTATCAGCAATGGTCCTGCCCTTGGGAGAAAGGCCAAGTATATATTCAAGGCAATTGTTGCCAGAGTCTGCAAGCCCCTGGGGCATATCCGAAGTCTGAGCCAGACGGGTTATGTGTATCTCAACCTGGAACAGGCAGCTTTTTATCAGACTTTTCTGTCCAAAGTAGGGAGGCGCTGCTGCACTCCTCCACGCTGAGCCCAGCCCTGGAGGTAGCTGGGCAGGCTGAGTTTCTACTCTGGGGCCCACAAAGAGGTGGCTCCAGCTTCAGGCCCAACCCAGGGCAGTGCTCACATTGGGCTTGCCGCGCCATTGGCTCCTGAGGCCCAAGGTGCGCCAAGGGCAGTCCAATACCCTTTAGGGTGTGGTTTCCTCATGCCCCAGGCAGCAAGGAGTGTAGCAACGAGACACTGGCTCAAATCGGGAACCATTATCCATATGTAAAGCCCTCAGAGATAAATCTGATGGGAACGATGATCAGATTAAAATGTTGAGTTCTGTCATCATGAGCCTGCTAGTCACTTGGCCTCAGCACCGAGTCCTCCCTCTTCAAGTCCTCCAAGATGAGACAGTGGAGTTCAACTGCCTGAATGGCCATCCTGACATCCCCATGGGGCAGGCTTGGGTCAGCAGGGCCACAGCTCACTGCCTCACCCACCCAACCGCCACAGCCTCTTCCCATCTCAGTGTCCTGCTCCAGTTCCAAATCCTTAGGAGAATACTTTCCATGGTCCCTGGGATTGTGACACCCTCATCGTCACACATTTGCCAAGCGAGCCTTCCAGGACTGGCCCAGGAAAGCCAGTTCCTTTGTTCCTTGCGCTGCCAGCTCATTTGACAGGCTTGGATCTGACCTGGCTGTTGCAGCATCACCTATCCCCCTCTTCTGCCCCCAAGTCCCTGTCCCTCCCCTACTCCCCGCTTCTGTTCCCCTGCCCTGAAGGCTGCCAGTTTATTCCTTTTGGAGATGAACTCATTGTTGACTTTAACTCACTTCGATGTTTCCCAGGGAAGCATTCTGGCGGGAGGCCCACCGCAGCTCCTTGAAGAAGACAGCCAGGCGAGGGCCAAGACTGGGTGCCAGGGGCCTTGGAACTGCCAAAATGCCTCCCATTTTATGGACAGGCCTGGCTCACCCTGAAGACATTCCAAGTATTTAATCAGCAGTCCATGGTACATATTGGGTTGCAGAGGGAGCCCTCAGAAGCTGGACTTTTAGGAGACAAAACTCAGCCAGAGGAAGGAGCTGGCCTTCTACATGGACCAGGCTGATGCTCAACAGATGGAAAAAGTGCATCCCAATAACAAGGATCAATAACCGAAGGCTGACAGCTGCAGAGACCTGGCCTGAGAGGCCCCTAAGGACTCAGTTCTGCCTCTTTCCCACACCAGACTGAGTCCAGCCAGGAATCCATCTCACCCACCTCCCTGCACCAAGCTCCGGGAGAGCGAACAAGCGAGGGAGGAACCATTTTTCACATACTTTCTCTTTCAAAATGTAGCCCTGTTTCGCAATTTCCTACTTAAGTTCTGGAAGGCTCTAGGGCAGAACCCAAGACACCTTCTCTAGCCACTGGCCTGGGTCTCTCGTCACCAAGAACCTGGTAGGCTAGCGGTGACGGAGAAAGGAAGGGGCCCAGATTTACGAACTCTCCCACTGTCCCCATCCATGCCAGCTCACCCAAGGGTCTATTTAGTGCAGGTCACTCTCTCTCTGTCTTTTTGTAGAGACAGGGTCTCAGTATGTTGCCCAGACTGGTCTTGAACTCCTGGCCTCAAGCTGTCCTCCTGCCTCAGCCTCCCAAAGTGCTGGGATTAGAGGCATGAGCCGCCACGCCCGGCCTCACATTCTTGATGCTAAAGGAGCTTCAACCAAGCCTCCAGCCAAAACCTGTTTATTGTTCCCCGTGTGTTGGCTTTCTCTTGGGAGAGCCAGAAGGTGCGCCACACCAAAGCAGGTGCACCCAACCCTGGTATGCTCACGTCTCAGCAACCCCTGAGGACCTAATCTTCAGATCTTCTCTACTCCCCTATAACTAGGCTTTTGTTCTGGCTCACTTTTACTGGCAGTACTAGACAGTATTCCAGACCTTTTGCAATGAATCCATTTAGTCCTTAAAAATGAAACCTGTTCCCTCTGATTGTTTTCCTCCCACCTTATCACTGTTCACTTGGGTTTCCACCTGTTGCCCATTTAAATCTGGTCTGGACCACAGCTGGAGAAGTGAGACGCGAAAAGCCAGCACCTGGGTTGCTGGCCCTGCATCAGGGACTTGTAATAGAGCCCAAGAAGCTGACCCTTTTCCTAAATTCCCTCTCAGTCCTCCTACACCAAACCAAACAAACCAGAAAGAAAAAAATCCCCACTTAAGTAAACAAATCCGGAAAACACAACCCCATCACCCAAAATATTGAAATGGAAAACAAATCTACACTCTGGAGATTTGATCTGAAACATACCAGAGCTGGAACTGTGTACGGTGGCCAGAAATGTGTTAGTCTGGGCAAATCTGTGGCCCCGTAGAGGAAAAAGCTAACATTTTCCAAATAACAATGTGGGCACGTAACAACTACATACAATCATGTGCTGTTGTTGCCTAAACCTGGGAATAGGGTTAGGCAGCTCCATATCTTGACATAGATTCCCTCTCTCCAGCACTCAGTCATCCTAAAAAGCACAAGGTGTGATGTCTGGACCAACTCTGGGCTGCTCTCAGCCCTTATGGTCTCTGCCTCAGGTGGGCTGCTTCTAGGGTTGTGAGCAGGTTTTGAAACACACACCCCTCTCCAGCTAAAGACAGGACAGAGTGAGACAGGAGTAGGTCCAGGTGGGGCTAATTGTTTTTTAGGAATGTACTGGGATCGCATCTGAAAGCACCCAGTGTATCAGTATCAGATGATCTTGCCAGTAATTCTGCAGATGTAGAAGCTCAAGTGTGGGGTGTACATCAGTGGATTCAGGACTTCCTGAAACCCATACTGTGTTCCTTATCTTAGCTGCCTAGGGCCTCAAGAGCAGCTTTAGGTGGCTCAAAGATGCGATGCAGAGAAGCGGGATGGCTCAGAGCATCACAGAGTTGATGGCAGGAGATACAGGAGGATCCAGCTCATTCTTTGATGTTGCTAAGATTCTGGATTTCTGCTTTGATGTTGGTGTAGAGGAAAGCTTATGACAGTGCTTCTCAAATTGTTAAATATCTGCACAAATTTACTAAGGGATCTTCTTACAAGGCAGAATCAGATTCTTTAGGTCTGGGTAAGGCCAGAGATTCTGTATTTTTAGCAGCTTCCAGATGAGGCCAAGATCGCTGGTCCATGGCCACACTTTGAGGAGCAAGAGCCTAAGGGTCAGGGACAAATCAGAGACAAAGACAGCCAAGACATACTGGGACTGAGGATTGATGCCCCAAAGTGAGAAACAGAAGGACAAAGAGAATCAATGGTGCACAAAAATAGAGTCAGAGGCTGAAGTGGGAACAGAGAAGGTCAGGGTGACAAAAAGAGGGACCGAGAAGACAGAGTTAGAGACGCAGAGAGGGGCAAAGGCAGAGGGAACACAGAGATGGAAGATGGATGGCACAGAGAGACTTGCAAAAACACAGCCAGGGTCAAGGAGAGGAGACAAGGTAAAGAGTGAGTGAAGAGGGGCTGGAGCTGGCTGTGGGCGGTCTGTGACTGGCAGTGAAGATCACAGGTGTAGACGGGACAAGACCTGCAGGTGCACAGACATGAAATCCCCCACCTTCCTCACCTCCCAGGCTTCCCGCACCTGCATCACTCTCTCCTTGCTCTTGCAGAGCCATCCCTCCCCATGGAACCTTCCACTACTGATTTCCCCTTCTCTTGCCTGTGTACTCAACTGCTTTCTCTTAAGTGCACCCCTCCCAGAAGGTTTTAAATACCATCAAGTCTTTCCCATCTAAAGAAAAAAGGTCTCTCTTGACTCATATTTCTTTCTAGCTCCTGTCCTATTTCTCTTCCTCTTTTTCACAGCTAAGGAATTGTCTGTTTCCATCACCCTCCCCAAACACTGCTGCTAAGCTTCTGTTGGCACACGTTGCTGAGTCCAATGGTCACTTTCCAGTCCTCTTTTGCTTGATCTCTCCCTCCTTCTTGCTAGCTTCTGGGACCTGATATTCCCCTGGGTTTCCTCTTGCCTGCTCCTTCTTTAACTCACCGTTTGTGATCTGATCTTTATATTTAGAGGGACTTTATATTAGAGCTGGGCCCAGACTCCTCTCTTCAACCAGTGCTGTCTTTTCAGTTGAGCTCTTCCAAACCCACAGCCTCAATTGCCTTCTGTACACCAGTTTACATTCCATCCCAAACTCCGCCTGTACAACTAAACTTGTGTTTATGTCTAAGCAATGTCTGCTCACCATCTTTACCAGGATGTCTCAGAGGTACTACAAACTCAACGTGGTCGAAAGCAGATTTATGTTCTTCCTTCTTCTCCCAAACTGGTCTTCCTCGCAGGTTTCCCACCTCAGAACACAGCACTGTCATCTGTCTGGGTGTTTGAGTCAGAAAAAGAGATTTCATCCTTGATAACTCCTCCCCGTCTCTCCCCTCTTCCACATCCAATGCATCACCAAATTCTGTCAACTTTATGCCCCAAATACCTTTTGATTTTGCTCACTTCTCTCCATTTCCACTGCCACCACCCTAGTTCAAATCTCCAACATCTCTCACCTAGATGACAGCAACAGCCTCCTAAGCAACCCCTCCCTAATCTGTCTTTCAAGCTACAGACAAAATGATCTTTGCAAAATGCAAATCTGCTTGTTTTGGCCTACTGCTTAAAACCCTTCAGTAGCCTCCTTTGGCTCTGAGAATAAAGGGCCAACTCCAGGCAATCTTTCTAGAATCATCTGAACTCATTTGCCCTCGAGACCTTCCAGCTATACTGGCTTTCTTTCAGTTCCTTGGCCAAACTATTTTCTGTCACAGGACAATTGCATATGCATGTCTGTAGAACTGTGCTGTCCAACATGGTAGCCGCTCACCACATGTGGTTATTGAGCACTTGAAATATGGCTAGTGCAACTGAAGAACTGAATTGCTAATGTTATTTAATTTTAATTGGCTAAATTTAAAATTTAAAAACATACATCATTCAGTTACAGAAAAACTGGTAAGTATTCTCAAAACAACTTGGGTATGTGTATCTTCTTTTTCAACTTTAGTTTTTATGCCATGTAATTACAGATCAGGTATTTCTGCTGAAAATTTAGCATCCAAATTAAGATATGCTGTGAGTGTAAAAATACACATGGAACATTGAACACTTAGTTTTAAAAAAGTAAAAGATCTCACTAATAATTTTTTACCTTGATTGCATGTTAAAAAGATAATACTTTGGGGCCAGATGCAGTGGCTCATGCCTATAATCCCAGCACTTTGGGAAGCCGAGGCAAGAGGATCGCTTCAGCCTAGGGGTTCAAGACCAGACTGGGCAGCATAGTGAGACCTCATCTCTATGAGGAAAAAAAAAAGATAATACTTTGCATATATATGGTTAAATAACAGATGTAATTAAAATTAATTTCACCTCATTCCTTTTTATACTGTGGCTACTAGAAAAACATTTTCTTTTTTTATTACTTAATTTTGTTTTGCACACCAGGCTGGTCTCAAACTCCTGGGCTCAAGTGATCCTCCTGTCTTTGCCTCCCAAAGTGTTGGGATTACAGGCGTGAGCCACCCTGCCTGGCATTTTTTTTTTTTTTTTTTTTTTTGAGACAGTCTCACTCTTTTGCCCAGGCTGGAGTGCAGTGGTGTGATCTCGGCTCACTGCAGCCTCCACCTCCCGGGTTCAAGTGATTCTCCTGCCTCAGCCTCCGAGTAGCTGGGATTACAGGTGCACACCACCACACCCGGCTAATTTTTGTATTTTTAGTAGAGACGGGGTTTCACCACGTTGGTCAGGCTGGTCTTGAACTCCTGACCTCGTGATCTGCCCACCTCAGCCTCCCAAAGTGCTAGGGTTACAGGCATGAGCCACCGCGCCCGGCCCAAAAATGTTAAATTAAATATGTGGCTCACATATTTCTACTGGACAGCAGCAGTCTGTCTTAAATCCTTCTACCCATCCTTCAGAGTTAGGCTCAAATATCACATCCTCTGAGACACCTCCCTGAGAGAAAGTATTTTATTTTTATTCTGCTTTATTCACTTTCATAGCTAAGCATAGATGCCAGTGGTCACCTGCCCTTGGCACCATCCTTTTGTAGTTATATATGTGTTTGTACAATTCCTTGGTGCATGCCTATTTTCTTCCCCACCAACCTCTAAGCTCCACAAGAGCAAGGCCCGTGTTTGGCTCCTCCCTGGAAACCTAGCACCTAGTCCAGAGCCTGGCACACACTTCAGAATGCCACAAGGAGTTATTCCATCCACTGCCCTGCCTTTGGGCAGGATTGTCCCCAACCATCACTGGAAGCCTACGCACTCCCTTCCCCTGGCAGTGCCACTAGCCCTTCAGTATATAGATTCTGCCTCTCCCAGATGGAAAGTCCTCCTTTATAGCTGACCAGAATCCCTCCTGCTGCAAGATGGCCGGGGCCCTTTCTCCCGTCCTTTAAGGGGAATTACAGCAGCACTTCTCAAATTTGGGTAACATGCCAATCATCAGGAATCTTAAAATTTAGACTCTGGCTCACCAGGTCTGGAATGAGACCTGAGATTCTCATTCCTAACAAGCTGCCCTGTGACAACACTGCTGCCGGGCCATGCTCTGAGTAACAAGGATATAGACAGCCTGTTTACCACCGTCAGAGCAGCCCCTAAGTTTTCTTCCTTGTCTGCATGACCCTCTACTGAGCAGGCTATTTGGGGTCTCTTGAAATTCCCTGTCCCTTCTTGCTCCTACGCATACCTCGCCAAACCCTCACACCCTGCAAAGGAATGTGGTGCCTGTGTCTACTGCTGTCGTTGATTTTTTTGTTTTAATTTGAAATAAACCTTTAAGCAGTTTTCAAAGTCAGGTTAACCCTGATATGTATCCTGGAAGGGTAACAATACTCTCCAACGATAAAGTCACACAGCTGGGAGTGCTGAACAGGATGGGAAGAAGGTTTCTTCCCAGGTCACCAGCAGTCCTCAAGCTTGGCTCCCATCTGCCACAGTGGCTGGTCCGATCCCAGCAGCTTCTCCAGAAGGCTCCCCTCTGCAGTTTGGTCTCAGATGCTGGGAAGTGTTGTCTCTGACATGTCCACTGGGAGCTCTGGAAACCAAGTGTGTACTGCTGGGCCCGAGGGATGGAAGTGTCTTCTGGTGGCCTCAGGTGTGTGTGTGTGTGTGTGTGTATGTGTGTGTGTGGTGTCTGTGTCTGCGTGTGTACATGAACACACATGTGCAAGTATGTATGGTTGTATATGTGGACAGGGGTTTGAGCGTGTGTGTCTTGTGTCTATGTATGCATGGATGGATTGGAGTGTGTGTGTATGCTTTGCCCCCGACGTTCCAGTTCAGGAAAGCTTGAATCACGCAGAGTAGCACTGAACTCTTTCTGCATGGGCCTGGAGGCTGGACAGTGTCCCTAGGCAGGCCCTGCAGATGTGAGTGGCCCCACTGTCCCTTGCTGCTGCTGCTGTTGCTGCCCCTTGCGTCTTCGAGAGCCAGCACCCGCCTCCTTGCTCTCCTTCCTGGCCAGGTTCCTGTTGGCATTCTCCCGCCGGCCCTGGCCTCCCTTCCTCCTCTTCTGCCCTGAAACAACCAAACAGCAGGAAGAATCAACAAAGGATGTGCAGGGAGGCCCTGGGCATGGCCACAGGCCCTAGGAGGGGAGTGTGAGGAAGCCGGAAGGGGAGGCAGGGAGGAGGCTGGAGATGCTGCCTCTAGGTAGTTGGGTCATCGTGACCTCCTCTGACAGCAGCCACTTCAGAGGACCCCGAGGCTTGAGTACTGGGAGGCAGCCCAAGAGCCCTTTCACTCCCCAACCCTCAAGGCACACAAGACATCATCCTCTTCCTCATGGATTCCTCAGACCTTGGATCCCAATGGACCAAGAGCACTTCCCAGGTATTCAGTGCAACTCTCAGAACAGGCAGGACTGCCCCCATCCCCTATCCGCCACCAGCCACCTCTGGGGCCAGGCAAGAGCAGCAGCCAACCCCTTGCCAACTGCAGGCTGTGTGACTTTGGTGGAATCACTACACCCCTCTGGGTCTTAGTGCCCCTTTTCACCCACCCATCCTGCCTCCGAGGGGCCTTCTAGTATGAACATCCACTAGCTCAGAAGAAATGGGGGAACCGGAAGGATGTTGACCACAGAAGCTTCCAGCTTCCACTATGCAGAGTTCTGAGGCCCTGTTCTCTGCCAGGACATGGCATCTGGATTGGACAGCATGAGGTCTTGAGTTGCGGGTGCCCCATCTGGCCTTGCCCTGAAGCTTCTTCCTGAGCCGTGGGCAGGAAGCAGAGGTGGCAGGACCTGTCATGGCTGGTGCCTGAGCCCTGACCCCAGGGAGGCAGAGGCTGCAGCTCACCCTCAGGACACGGCACTCTCCTCACTGTGCACCTCCGGGTCTCCTTGGTGTCAGAGCAGGCAGCATGGTCCCCCACAGGGGCATGTAGCACCCTGCGTGTCCGCTCCTCGGAGCCCCTCCGGAAACCACAGAGCTGCTGCTTCTTGGAGCAGGGCCCCCACGGAGACCACTCGCTCATTTCACATTGCGCTGGCAGGAAGAGAAGGGAAGGGAGAGAAGGACAAGGAGGAGGGGATCATGTCTCCTCCTCTGGCCCAGAATAGCCCAGGGGAGCATCTCCCACTTTCCTTCTGCCTGGACCTGAGGCTGCAGGTATCTTTAGTCCAGAGGGCAGAAAAGTCCTTGGAGACTCAGAAAGGAGTGGTAGGGTAAGCTCTCCCTGCACAGTGCCCCAGCCCACCCGCTCTCTTGCCAGACCCTTACCCGGCCCCTCCTTCTGGGGTCCTGGACCCTCTGCCCACAGTGCCTGCCATGGCTTACCAGGACTACTGCACTCCATGGTGCCATTGGCAGCTGAGGAGCCCTCGGGACAAGCTGGATAGCAGCGGCCCTTGTGCAGGTACAAGCCCTCCTTACACTTGGTGCAGAAGTTATGGCTGAAGCAGGCCTCACAGTGCTCGATCTTGCATTCTGAGGAGAGGACAGATTGGGGGCTTCTGGCCCAGCCTGGTGAGAATGTTTCCCCTCATCCCCAGCCCCAATACCCTCCCTTCTGTCCACACCCACCTACATGGAGGGCAGGACCCTGGCCTAGAGCTGCAGGTACTGCAGAGGAATCTTGGGAGGAAAGGGAAAGGAAGGGCAGTGGCAGGCCAGGGAAGAAGAAGCTGAAGCGGTTGCTCCTGAAGGCTGGCTGGGACTCTTGCCACCATCAGCCAACTCGATCATGAACCCAGTCTCAGTCCCTGCAGCCCAAGGTGAGGCTCAAGAGAGCAGTTTCAGAGGCGGAGGGTGGGGCCGTCTGGGCCTGGTGGGGGTGGGACAGGAGAGTTTCAGCATCTCACAGCATCCAGAGGGCCACCCTAAACAGAGTTGAACTGAGGGACAGAATGGCCCCCCAGAGAGTGGCTGCATGATCTCTTCTTCCCTCATTGCTGGGCATCTGCAATGTCCCAAACTGTGGTTCTCCTCCTGCCTGGCAGAAAGAATCAGCATGGAGGAGGGGTAAGCCATCCCAGGGCAAATGCCTCTGCCTCTGCAAGGCTGAGTTCCAGCAACAACCTTGGTAGGACTCCTGGGTCCCTCCCTGATTCCCTGCTGCCAGTTCTCTCCTCTGGGGGAATGGGGGCAGGGTGGGTCTTCCAGGGCTTGGCTGGAAGCAGGCAGGGTCTTTCACAATCTCTCCTTCCCAGAGTGCAGGCGGGGCTGACTTCCTCCCAGGCTCTGCCACCTGAAGCCCATGCTGCCAGTTTCCTAGGAGCTGGTGTAGCCAGGAGCTCCCGACTTTAAGGACCATGAGGACCAAGAGGGTAGCTCCCAGGGTCCCACCTCTGTCCTCACAAACTCCCACCATCCTCCAGGCTTATCTCAGCCTCACCTCTCTCCTTCCCTCCTTCCTTCCCTCCCTGGTGCTCTGATTCCTGGGTTTGGTTGCCAGTCAAATAAGAACAAAAATAAGAACAATAGCAGCTACCATTCATTGAGTGCCAGACACTAAGGGCTTTACATGCATGTCTCACAACAACCCTAGGGGGTAAAAACAAAGATGAGGCATTGAGGGGTTGAGATGTGCTCAAGGTCACACAATGAAGAAGTAGCAGAGTTGAGCTCAGAACCAACTCTGAGCTGGACTGGTCCAGTCTAGTCTTGGACCAGTCATTTACCCTCCGGGCCTGAATGTTGTCAGCCCTGAAAAGGGCACCATCAATTGTGTCCTGTCTCCCTCCCAGTGTTGTTGTGAGGCTCAACTGATATGAGACCTGCAAATGCATTCTAAATGGCAAGGCACTGAACAAGTGGTGGGGGCACTGGCATTGTCCCCCGAGTGTGTTCACACGTGTCCCCCAGCACATCACAGCTGCATCTACAGAGAAGGGATGGAGATATGGTAGCGTGTGCCTTGGAGCATGTGGAGCTGTAGCTGTTGTGGAAATGAGGAGTCAGAAGACCAGGGAGAGAAGAGAGTGGAAGAGCAGGCTGCCTGGGCTTGGATTCCCCTGCAGCCCATGTGGAGCTAGCAGTGGTTTTTAAGCAGAAGTGTGATGGGATAGGTTGTATGTCTCAGAAATGTGATGGGATAGGGATAGGTTCTGTGTCTCAGAAGTGTGATGAGATAGGTTGTGTGTCTCAGAAGTGTGATGGGGTAGGGTGTGTGTCTCAGAAGCGTCTTTCTGGCTGAAGTGCAGAAGATGGGTTTCAGGGAACCAGATGAAGGCTGGAGGACAGATGAACAGGCTATTGCAATGATCCCGGAGCAAGGTGCTGGGAGCCTGGGGAGGACAGTGGCAGTGTGGACATACAGGAGATGACAGGCAGGCTTTGGTGATTGGATGGATGGGGTGGGAGAGGTTGGCACTCAGGGCTGTGGCTTGGGTGACAGGTTGGGACATGGAGGGTGACCTCTGGGAATACAGGTAGGGGCAGGTGCGAAGGGAGGAGACAGGGTTCTGATATTTACACACCAAGGTGGAAGTGTGCGGCTGGATACTTGAATCGGAGCCTCATCTCCTCTCCTCAGAGCCCCCTCTGCTCCTCTTGCCAGCCACCAATGGTTCAAAGCACTCTCCCCCAGTCCAGAGCTTCTAATGCCCCCTGCCCCCGACAGCCCTGCCCACACTCACTGATGCACTTGTTCATGTCGGGGTTGCGGGCGTCGAAGTATCCAGGTGGGCAGGACGGCAAGCAGACGCCCACCTGGCGGATGTCGTTCCTCTCCAGCAGGATGAACAGCTTGGGTGAGCACTTGAGGCAGCCGTTGACTTCAGAGCAGAGCTCACAGCCTTTGGCACAGGCCTGGCTCCCCTCGGCACTGACTGCAAAGGTGGAGCAGGCATGAGAAGGCGGCTGTGGAGAGAACCTCACCTATCCAGATTCTGACAAGGATGGGAAGTGAATAGATCGATGTTTCCTTCCACAGAAGGAATATGCTTCTCAGAAAGCACCGGCCAGGCTGGCAGCTCTCTGCAAGGCTGCTTTATACACCTTCCCAGTAGCTTTTCTCCAGAGAGCTAGCACAGATGCTGACCCATGTGCTTCCCTAGCTCCAGACACGACACGAGTTCACTCTCTAGGCTGGCTCCACCATCCCCAGAGAAGCAACCCAAGCTGCAGCCTTCCTGGAATTTATCCACTCTCCCCAGAGCACAAAACAGTCAGCCTTAGTTGTAGAAGGAGGGTTTCTTAAATTTCTGAGAAAGTTTTAAGGGCAAGAGGGATAAATAGTGAAATAGAAAAGGACCACCTACCCAGAAACACAAAGACAATTGGAATAATCTATGCCTAGAACAGGGGTCTCAACCAGGGATGATTTTGCTCCCCAGGGGACATTTGACAATGCCTAGAAAGCTTTTTGGTGATCACACCTGGGGAAAGGGGTTGTTAGTGGCATCAAGTGGGTAGAGCCCAGGGATGCTGCTAATCATCCTACAATGCATCGGGCACAGCAAAGAATCATTTGGTCCAAAATGTTAATGACACTGAGGTTGAGAAACCCTGGCTCAGAACCATCCTTTGAAGTCGGGCGCGGTGACTCACGCCTGTAATCCCAGCACTTTGGGAGGCCAAGGCGGGCAGAACACCTGAGGTCAGGAGTTTGAGACCAGCCTGGCCAACATGGTGAAACCCCGTCTCTAATAAAATTACAAAAATTAGCCAGGCATGGTGGTGCATGCCTGTAATCCCAGCTACTTGAGAGGCTGAGACAGGAGAATAATCGTTTGAACCTGGGAGGCGGAGTTTGCAGTGAGCTGAGATTGTGCCATTGCACTCCAGCCCGGATGACAGAGCAAGACTCCATCTCAAAAAAAAAAAAAAAAAAAAAAAAAAAAGAGAGAACCATCTTTTGAGGCTTCATGGTTTTCCATCCCAGCATTGAGTCTCAAGATCTTTGATCTCACTTACTTGTTTAATCCTCATAGAGGCCCTTCCATGGACCTTGCGCAGTGTGAGCCCTGGGGACAGAGGTGTATAAGCCACTCTGTAGAGGAACTGATCTTTCAGTGGAGCAGACAGACCACAAATAGGTGAATGCTGACAGCCACAAGGCCAAGCAATAGTGGACCCAAAAGAAGGAGGGAAACAAGCCACAAAGGAGGTGTCACTGGGGACAAGTCTTAGATAATTTGTACAGATTTGTCCTTTAGGAAGTAGAATTAAGGGCACTCAGGGAGCAGGACCACAGAGGTGTAAAACTAGGGAAAGGCAGAATTGCAGATAACTTGGGGTGGAGATGGGAATGGGAGGGGACTGGTGAAAGATAAGGTTTTCTATCTTTATATCATGCTAAGGAACTTGAACTTGAGCCTGCCAGATGGCATTTCCCAAAAAGTATTCCTTACAACTTGATTCCCCCAACTATGAATAGGAGAATGTGGAGAAAGGCTACTGTGTCATGTAAGTCCAGGAACCAGTGGGTCAAACAAATCTAAACAGATTTCTTTACTGCAGGCCTAATGGAAGCTTTATTACTCTCCTGTGCACAGTGACTCTCTGAGGGGGGACAGAGTGAACTGCATTTCCCAAGCATTTTGGCCACAGAACACTTGTTTCAGGACCTTCTCAGACTGTTTAGACATCAGGGAACCATTAGAACATATTAAGCAGGGATGAGACCTGGCCCAATTTACATGTTGGGAAATTTTCTCTGGTAGCCAGGGTGGAGACCAGAGATGGAAGAACTGTTTGGGAGGAAGCTGACTAGATCATCCAGGTGAGAAAAGTGAGAAAGTCTCAAAATTATGTTCCACAGGGATAGAGGGAAAAAAGACAGATTTGAGAGATGCTTAGGAAATGCAACCAGTAGGCCATCGTGGCTGACAGGCAGAGAGGAAAGAGGCATGGGGAGGAGCCTGGGGTGATTCCCAGATGTTTGGCCTGGGGTGTGGGTGAGCTGTGGGGCCAGACGTGAAAAGAAGCCCATGGCAAGAGAAGCGAGTTGAGAGGGAAGGAGAGGAAGGAAAGTAGTTACATTGAGTGGAGATGGGAATGGGAGTGGAGTGGTGAAAGTTAAGGTATCCTGTCTTTGTATCATGCTAAGGAACTTGAACTTGATCAAGAAGGGCAACAAGAGCCAGGCAGCGGCCGGGTGCAGTAGCTCACGCCTAGAATCCCAGCACTTTGGGAGGCTGAGATGGGTGGATCACCTGAGGTCAGGAGTTCAAGACCAGCCTGGCTGACATGGCAAAACCCCATCTGTACTAAAGATACACAAAATTAGCTGGATGTGGTGGTGGGCACCTGTAATCCCAGCTACTCAGGTGGCTGAGGCAGGAGAATCACTTGAACCTGGGAGGCAGGGGCTGCAGTGAGCTGAGATCGTGCCACTGCACTCCAGCCTGAGTGACAGAGCAAGACTGTCTCAAAAGACAAAACAAAACAAACAAACAAAAGAGCCAGGGAGAGAGGAGCTGCAGATACAGGCAGAAGGCAGAGAGCTGGGAAAATCAGAATAGAGATGGTGGGAGGTGGTGCAGGGTAGTGGACCCAGAGCTCAGGCTTCAGAGTCATCAGGACCCAGAGCCAGATTCCCAGTCTGGGAAGCTGGGCAAAATCCTGGATGTCGTGTGCTTCCCTGAAAAGGGGAGATAAGGATGTCCACTCCGGACAACTGCTGGAGTGAGTCTATGCTGCAGGAATCATTCCTGGTTTCAGAACAGGAGAACATGGAGGAGTTAGGAAGGAGAGCAACCGAAGGAAGGAAGATGATAACAAACACCAAACCATCACAATAACACAGTAATAACCACAATGGCGGCAGTGTGTTACTAAATGTTGAGCACTTACTCTGTGGCAGGCAATGTTCTCAGTGCTTGACAAGTATTAACTCATTTAATCCTTACAACAACCCATGAGGTAGGTACTATTGTTATTTTTTTAAAATATATTATCCTTTTTTTTTTTTTCTTTTGAGACAGTCTCACTCAGTCACCCAGGCTGGAGTGCAGTGGCACAATCTCGGCTCACTGCAATCTCCGCCTCCCATGTACAAGCGATTCTCCTGCCTCAGCCTCCCGAGTAGCTGGGATTACAGGCACCTGCCACCATGCCTGTCTAAGTTTTTGTATTTTTAGTAGAGACGGGGTTTCACCATGTTGGTCAGGCTGGTCTCGAACTCTCGACCTCAGGTGATCCACCCGCCTGGGCCTCCCAAAGTGCTGAGATTACAGGCGTGAGCCACCCCTCTTGGCCTATTATGCACATTTTTATAGATGAGGGAATGGAAAGGTAAATTACTTGAATAAAATTTCTCAGCCAGTATGTGTTTCAGGCAGAGCAGACAAAGTATAGGGAGCCCAGGGTAGGACAATATGAGGTGGCATGGAAACTAAAAGTGTGGTTAGACTATATATTTTTGGAAAATGAAATTTATGGGCTGGGTGTGGTGGCTCATGCCTGTAATCCCAGCACTTCGGGAGGCTGAGGCGGGCAGATCGCTGCAGCCCAGGAGTTCAAGACCAGCCTGGGCAACATAGGGAGACCCTGTCTCTATTACAAAAAATAATAATAGACTGGCCAAGGTGGCTCACACTTGTAATCCCAGAACTTTGGGAAGCTGAGGTGAGGAGTTCGAGGCCAGCCTGGCCAATATGGTGAAACCCCACCTCTACTAAAAATACAAAAATTAGCTGGCCGTGGTGGCATGCACCTGTAATACCAGCTCCTCAGGAGGCTGAGGCATAAGAATCACTTGAACCCAGGAGGCAGAGGCTGCAGTGAGCCAAGATCACCTCTGCACTCCAGTCTAGGTGATGAGCGAGACTCTGTCTCAAAATAATAATAATAATAATAATAATAATAATATATGATAAAAATAAAAATCACGATCATTCTTATTGGTATAATCATTGTATGAGCAAAAATACTCCAAATGCGGCATTGAAGTTATGAGGGAGTCCTTTGGATTATTTTTCTATTCTGGGTCTTTATTCAGCTGTGTTACAAATTCACGAGTCATTATAGATTTTAGGCACCACTTCCACTTCAAAGATATTAAATTGTCTATGACTCACTGTTTTGATTTAATTCATTGTTGACATGAATGCGCCCTCTAGGTTTCTGCCTTAGTTTCAGTAATGGCAGTGATCCCGGCATCCCATTTGCAGCCCTCTCAAGCGATGCTGCCATACTCATTTATTCCTTCATTATCACCTGTGTTAAGAACAGGTTTGCAAAAGGCGCCCTTTCAGATCTGCTGCCCACCTTCCATTCCACTAGCAGCAAGTCCCTGTGTGCATTTTTCTTCAGCACCATCAATGGCACCGCAGAGAAAGTATGGCACACCCAGGGAAGGGAATCTGGAATCAGGTCAGCATGGTGGGAGCCTGGAGCGAGTGATGAGGCGGGAAGTTGGAGAGGGAAGCAGGGGCTGGATGAGGAAGGGTCTTAAGCCTGGATGAAGGAGTTCACACCCTATCCTGAAGGTCAGAAGGAATCAGTGGGAGGTTTACAACAGGAGACACAGTCAGGATTCTATTTTAGAAAGATCACTCCGTAGAGTGGTGAATGGATTTTCCGAGGGCAAGAGTGGAGACAGGAAGACTCCCAGGCTAGAACTCCAGTCCAGGAGAGCTGGGCTGAGCCAAAGAGAGGGGAGGGAGTAGACACACGTGAGATGGTCAGGCGGCAGGGTCAACAAGACAGGGTGATGCATTCAACAAGAGGGGGTGAGGGGCAGGGGCAAGGTGACCTCGAGATGCTGGGCTTGTGTAACAGCCCTTCCCTGGGAGAGGGACCACAGGAGGAGGAGGGGGTTCGGGTGGGAAAATGACGAGTAGCTAAGTATTAGACATGTTGAGTTTGCGGTTCCTGTGGAACATCCAGGGAATGATGTCTATTAGGCAATTGAACACATGGGTCTGGAACTCAAGAGAACTATTTTGGCTGGAGATTGAGACGCTGAGTTCTTTTTTCTTTTTTCTTTTTTCTTTTTTTTCTTTTAAGAGTTTTTTTTTTTTTTTAAGAGATGAGATCTCACTGTGTTGCCCAGGCTAGACTGCAGTGTCACAAACGTAGCTCACTGAAGCCTCAAACTCCTGGGCTCAGGTGATCCTCCTGCTTCAGCCTCCTGAGTAGCTACAACTACGGTCACATGCCACCGTGCTTGGCTAAGAAGAGGTGGAGTTCTTAACATCGAACAGTCATCAAAGGCATGCCAGTCCATGAGGTGGCAAGAAGAGTGGGTCTGGAGAGTGAGAAGAGGAACTGGACATTGAAGAGAAGGACGGAAAAGTCTTTAGTCCACTCAGAGGCAGAGGAGGAGCCAACAGACAGGCAGGAGACACTGAGAAGTATATAGCATCATGGGAGCCCAGAGAAGAGTACACTCAGAAGAGAGAGGCATCAACACGACAATTGCTTCTGAGATGTCATGTGAGCCCAACCTGGTGGTGGCGACCTGGTAAGTGTAGTTTTGGTGGGGTGGTGGGGTGGACAGCAGGAGGCAGTTGTTCGGCAGTGAAAGGAAGGTCAGGAAGTAGAGAGAGGAAATAGCGCCCCCTCTTTCAAGAAGTTGACTGTTGGCTGGCATGGCGGCTTGTGCCTGTAATCCAGCTGAGGCTGGAGGATTGACTGAGTCCAGGATTTCGAGGCTGCAGTGAGCTAAGATTGAGCCACTGCACTCCAGCCTGGATGACAGGGCAAGACCCTGACTCAAAAAAAAAGAACCTGATAGTTAGATCTGTGGGAACAGAAGAGCCTGGATGGTGCCTCAGGCAACACCTGCATTCAACAGCTAGGCAAGAGGAAGGGGAGCTTGGGAAAGAAGTGGAGAAGGATCCTTGGATAGCTGGGAGGAGACTGAGAGACAGAGGTGCCAGGAATAAGGTTGAAAAGGGAGAGATCTTCAGGGACCAGGGCTGGGAGGAGACAAGGCCAGTGAGCTCTGAAACAAATCTGCAAGACTTGACTCTCAGTGATCATTGATTAGGTGACCTTGAGAAGGGCAGTTTTGGTGGAGAGGTGGAGATGAGAGCCAAACCACAGTGGGCTTCGGAGTGAGTGGAAGGGAAGGAGTGGAGATAAAGCCAGGAGGGTGAGAGAGAAAATCAGAGATCACAGACAGAGAAGGGGAAAGCATGGCTGGGGATGGGGAATGTGATTACAAGACTCAGAGGCAGGGGACATTGATGGAGTAGAGACCCGAGGACACGAGGAAATGGGAGCATCAAGACACAGGGCTCAGATGCTAAAGCTGGCCTTGGTTAGGAGGAGGGACCAGGGGGTCAGGTAGCTGAGCTCCATGAGGGTTTGGGGGCTCAGAAGAGGAATGGGGGCTCAGTGACAGGCAGGGTCAGTTCAATAAGGAAAGGGGTGTTTATCAAGGGGGACAGGAAGCACAGGATGTTCTCAGCTCAGAGAGGCAGTGAGGGGATGGGGGGAGAGGAGAGGGGGCTCGACAGTAAGAATGTGCCCTTGAAGGAAGGGTCCAAGGAAGACGGTTCATATTTGGGGGAAATGCATAATGATTCAGAGCAGGAAAACTAAGTCTCATTTATTTCACAGATATTTACTGCACACCTCACAGGTGCTTAGGGCTACTAGGAGCTGGAACGTGGAGGTATAGCCACAAAAGCCCACCCGGGACGAGGGAGGCAGGGCTGGTTACATATCTGGATGTAGAGAGGCAGAGGGCACTCCCTGACCCAGAAGCCTAGGGGAGGAGGGTGTTCCACACAGGAGGAACAGCCAGTGCAAAGCCTCCGAGGCACTGAATATCCTGGATCGACCATGGCATGGAAAATAGGGCTTTATATAGCACGTGCCTGTAATTCCAGCTACTTGGGAGGCTGAGGCAGGATCCCTTGAGCCTAGGAGTTGCAGACCAGCTTGGGCAACATAGCAAGACCCCACCTCAAAAGGAAAAAAAAAAAGAACATAGAGCTTTATATATTCTCTCTCCCTCTCTTTTTTTTTTTTTTTGAAATGGTGTCTCACCCTGTTGGCCAGGCTGGAGTGCAATGGCGCAATCTTGGCTCACTGCAACCTCCGCCTCCTGGGTTCAAGCGATTCTCCTGCCTCAGCCTCCTGAGTAGCTGGGATTACAGGCATGCACCACCACACCCAGCTGATTTTTTTGTATCTTTAGTAGAGTTGGGGTTTCACCATGTTGGCCAGGCTGGTCTTAAACTCCTGACCTCGTGATCTGCCCACATCGGCCTCCCAAAGTTCTGGGATTACAGGCGTGAGCCACCAAGTCCGGCCGAGCTTTATATATTCTCTTGGTGAAGAAAGCGACCAATGGAAGGGCATCGTTGGGTTGGTAGTTTAGAAAGCTCTCCTCTAGCTGGGCACAGTGGCACATGCTGTAGTCCCAGCTACTCAGGAGGCTGAGGCAGGAGGATATCTTGAGCCCAGGAGTTTGAGACCAGCCTTGGCAACATAGTGAGATCAAGACCCTCTCTCTAAAAGAAAAGAAGGAACAAAAGCAAGAAATTTCCCTCCTGCTGCTGCCTGTTATGGGGGGTGTGCAGGGCAAGCGGCCTTGCAGGGCTGTAAGCCTGGCTGAGGAGGCCGGGTGGACTCAGCGAGGGCAAGGGGTGCTTGTGGGGGAGGGAGCCTCCTTCCTGACTTCTTCAGCACCCCCAGCTCTGCCCTCCCCACAAACCACCATCCCCCCCAACCCCACCTCCCTCAGCTCCCAAGCACCCTGCTCTCCAGCCCACTTCGCTGAGCTAGCAGAGCAAGGCTGTGCCCTCAATTCCCCCTCTTCTAGTCTCCTTCATCCTACGCAAAGCCCTTTTAAGTTGCTGTGGCTATGATGAGGCACTGCTCCAGGGCAGCTCAGCCCCACACCCCTTGAAGAATGGTTCTGGATCGCTGCCCCTCCCCGCTAGGGGCTTCACTTCTTCCAGTTCCCAATTTCTTCATCCCCAGGAATCTTTCTTAAACTAAAAATCTGATGGTTTTACACCCCATCCTATTATCTATCAATAGCTCCCTATCACCTACAGAATTAAGACCCAGCTCCTTGCCTGACCTTAAAAGCTTTTGTGGGCCCATCCCATCCACCTTACCCCTCAGCACCACTCCTAAGCAATATCAAACCATTTTTGTTTCTCTGGACATGTCGCACTATCTCACACCTGTGTGCTTTTGTTCAAGTTGGTCCTTCTGCCCAGAACACTCTCCACCTCCTCTTGAGCCTGACCAACTCCCTCAAGCCTCAGAACTAAAGTCACCTCCTCCAGGAAGTCTTCCTGATCTCACCTCCCTGCAAAGTCTCAATGGAGTATTTCTCTGTGTTACCACACCCCTAGTACTTGAATCTGTCATGGTGAACGTCACCTTATATTGTTATTATCTGCTAACATGTCTTTTTCTCTCACTAGAAAGAGCTTTGGCAGGCAGAGCCCATCACTTCTGAATGGGAGCTCAGTAAAGGATAAGGCTCCACAAGGGTATAAGGTTGAGGATATGGTGAATGAGACAGAGGCTTGAGATGAGGGGTGGTGTATGGATGGATCTTAATGAAAATTCACTACAGTGGAGGGACCAGGATGGAACATGGATGAGGGACTCAGGTGGGATGGGTTAGGGACAGTGGTGGGTGGAGAGAACTCACCGTGACCCAGAGAGTGATAATCTTGGTTTTGGGGTGGAATCTAGTCTTGGAGGAAATGGGTTTGGTAAGAGAGACCTGAGTTCAGTTGGCGAGGGTAGGAGGATAGGTAGTGGGGCCTCAGCCAGGAGACTGAGGAAGTGAGTAGGCCAGGGCCCCTCTCAGGCCACATGCTGTCCCAGGAGGTGGATCTATCCCTGTGGCTTCCTGGGACCTGCACATTCAGCAAGCCCTGGGCACGTCCCGCTGGTAGGCCCAGGATTCTTTTTTTTTTTTTTTGGAAACAAAGTCTTGCTCTGTCACCCAAGCTGGAGTGTAATGGCACAATCTCAGTTCACTGCAACCTCCGCCTCCCAGGTACAAGCGATTCTCCTGCCTCAGCCTCCCAAGTAGCCAGGACTACAGGTGCACATCACCACTCCTGGCTAATTTTTGTATTTTTAGTGGAGACAAGCTTTCGCCATGTTGGGCAGGCTGGTCTTGAACTCCTGACCTCAGGTGATCGCCCGCCTCAGCCTCCCAAAGTGCTGGGATTACAGGCGTGAGCCACCATGCCAAGCCAGACCCAGGATTCTTTAGCTCAACTGTGAGCTTACTTTAGATCCTCACTTTTTCTTACCTGGGCTGTTTGCTTCCCGCCTCAAGCCACCTCCCCCACCCTCTATGCAGCTGGGCTCTGGGCTCCTTGATGAAAGCCTCAGTAGCTCCTCACCCACTGTAGCTGGAGTCAGGCCAAGTCCAAACTCCTCAGCCTGGCAGGTGAGAAGAGCTTAATAACCCGACCTCTACCCTGCAGCATCTTCTCCCCGGACCCTCCCCTCAGCCCCAGACAGCTTCCTTGCTCGATCCCAGTAGGTTCTGGATGGCTTGTTTAGTGGCAAAACACTTCTTTCCAACAGAAAAAATATGAGCACAGCTTCTCCAGTGGAAATCCTAGGGCTCTCCAGAACCCCCTTGATAATTCATTTCCCCAGCTACTCCTAGCTGCACCCCACTTCCTAAAGGAACACTCTATGCCTCCTCCCAACTCCCCGGGGCTGTCCATGCCCTCGGGTTTTCTCCTGTGCGGCATTCCCGAACTGGATTGACATTTTGTCTTCCCCCACTCGCTTGCGGGCTCCTCGAGATTCATCTCTGTGATCAGGGCCAGCTTGCAGGATCTCAATGAACATTTGCAGAATGACCCAAGGAAGGACTGGGGATTCAGTGAGGGATGAGGGACTGTAAGGCTGTCAGTGCAGCAGGGGTAGAGGCTCCAGATGGAGGATGGGGCAGTGAGAAGAGGCACAAAGGGGGCTCCTGGCTTCTGGAGAAGTCAGGGCTCAATGAAGGAATGATGGCTTCCTGGGAGGCAGGACTGAGAGAGGGGGCCCAAGAATCAGAGAGGAGAAGGGGCTCAGGAAGGAGAATTACTCAGTGCGAGGGATGAGTGGGAATGAGGGCTCAGGAAGGTGCAGGGACCCCAGATCAGGGGTGAGGGCTAGCAAGAAGACAAGGGGCTTAGTGAACAGGAGTTCAGGGAGGGGCAGGGTCCTCAATGAGTGGAGGAGGGGAACTTCAAGGGGACTTCACCACTCACAGCTAAAGAGAAGTTCTTTGCTCAACTTTTCTCGCTCCATGCAGGCAGACCATCACTCAGACTCCGAAATCAGACATGGCTTCAAAACTAGTGTATAATAGCTCAGAATGAGATTTAGATTGAGTGGCTTCTGGTGGCCCTCCTACCCTGCAGCCGAGGACTGTCAGCCAGAGTCAACAACCCTGAGGCTCATACACAGCACACCTACCCCTGCCCCGAGGTCCACCCAGTGCCCTTCCACGCTTGTCTTATCGAGAGGCCAGGCACACACAGCTGTCTTGGTCTTCCTTCTTCCCTTCCCTACTCCCCCAGAATCAGTAAGGCAAAATGGTCTACACATTGTTTATATAACAATGATTTGCACCCAGAGTCTACACAGAACTTGATGTTTTACAAAGGTGTTAAAAATATATATCTATTGAGGTGGGTGGATCACCTGAGGTCAAGAGTTCAAGACCAGCCTGGCCAACATGACAAAACTTTGTCTCTACTAAAAATACAAAAATTAGCCAGGCATGGTGACACATGCCTGTAATCCCAGCTACTTGGGAGGCTGAGGCAGGAGAATCACTTGAACCCGGGAGGCGGAGGTTGCAGTAAGCCAAGATCGTGACACAGCACTCCAGCCTGGGTGACAGAGCAAGACTCCATCACAAAACAAAACAAAACAAAACAAAACAAAACAAAACAAAACAAAACTATATATATATACCTATTATCTCATGTAAGCCTTACTATCCTCCTATACATTGCATTTCAGCTTCCTGATTGCGATGACTATGGCTATTACATAACAAGTATTGACAAACAGCACAACCTTCATCCCTCCCTGCACCCCTGAGCCTGTCTCCACACCTCTCCCCACCCTTGCCTCTTACCATCAAGGATGTCTGTTACTCACATCACTTGGTAATGAAAACTGGCTCATGTGCTGCCACGGCTGTTAGATGTGGCCATATGAAAAGCGAGCAAGCACGTCAAAATTGGTGCAGGAGATTCGCCATCGCTAGGACCAGGCCCTTTCTGATGCCAAGTCTAGTACTTCTTTCCTTTTTAATACAACAGACTTGAACTCAGGTCCTGTGACCTCTGGTTTAGCCAGGCATGAGGCTCTGCATGGGTGAGGGTCAGCGTTAAGCACATGTACACATTGCATGAATGTGAATGGTTCCTCCCATTCTCTCTCTCTCTCTGTCTCTCTCTCTCTCTCATTTCGGAAATAGAGGAGACCGATTATAAACCGCTAAACCGCATCTGGCCCATGGAGTCCAAAATACTGGCCACAACAGATGAGAAGGGAGGAAAATCAAGGCCTTGCTGCTGATTAAACCTAACCGTCTCTAATTGTTTGTTAAGCCAGGGATTTTCAGCTTCACCAATTCTCTGAGCTTCTCTCCCTGGGCTGAGTCCTGGCCTTGGCTGCTCCCGTGGAGCCCCAGCAAAACCCCACTGCTTTTCAGCCTTCACTGGGGGGCCTCCGTCTGCAGGGAAACATGAAGCAAGAGGGAGCTGGGCTAGACTTCAGGAAGATCTCCTGCCTGTGGGTGTGGCATCTTCTCATGCGGGATGTCAAAAGACAGATGAGGACTTGGGACTCTGGAGTCCCCCACCATCTCCCTCGTGTGGGCCCCTCACACACAGTGGCCACCCCTACAGCACTGGGGCCCCATCACTGGAGACCTTAAGCAGAGGCTGAGGAGTGCCTATCAAGGGGCTAGGGACAGATTACCCTTGACCTCCATCAAATTCGGCTTTCAAGAAGACTGGGCCCACAGGCATTGGGAGACCTGGGTTCCAACATCAACTGTATCTCCTTAGACCTGTTTCTTCCCCTTTCTTAGCATCTGTACAATGATAGGATTTTGGTTTTCTTTTTAAGCTATGAGAACCCTCTCTTCCAACGACTTCTTATGTGGATGCTCATTACCAAAAGCAGGGAAAAGTGAGACTGCTCTGGTTTGAAGCGTGGTCGGGCCAGACCCCTGCCTGCTTGTCTCCCCTTCGATGCCACTGTAGCTCCCTGAATCCCACTAGGCATGGTTTAAAAGCCACAGCAGTGGACAGTCTCCTGACCCTCCCTACTCCACTGTTCCTGCCCTATGATCTGGGCAGGGGAAGCCCTGTTACCCAGTGCTAAGTTGTGCAGAGCTCCTAACCCAAAAGGGTTGATGGCTGCACTTTAGCCAAAAAAGGAGCCCCAGGGCAGGGGGATTGGGGAAGCATCTCCATGGATACCACACAAAGCTGGTGTTATGTCAAAGCACATAATCCACAAAGGCATAATCCACAAACTGGATCCTCACAAGAGAGGGGTTAATCTAGAAAGCAGAGTCTACAAAGGGGAAAACAGACAAAGTGAGTCATCTACAGAGTGGGTAATCTCAGCAAATTAATCCACCAATTGAATAATCCACAAACAGGATCATCTACTGAGTGATCTACAAAGCTATAATAGATAGAGTGGAACTCTGCAAGGGTCATCATGGAATAAAACTCCTGAAGACCCCTAGTTCCTGGGTGGCCCCCTCCCATTCCCAAGGCCAGCTGTGGCCCACCATGCTCCATTACTCACTCCGCCTCTGCCTTTTCCCCTTGATCCCCCGGCTGCTGATGGTGAGGTGCGTCCAGCTCAGAACCAGGGCCACCACACACAGCCCAAGCCGCATAGTCACGCGCCAGCTCCAGGCCCCTGGTCGGAGGGGTGGTCTCGGGGAGGGTGGATAGCACACGGCTCTTGCTAACACCTCTGGGGCTGGGTCAGCAGCAGGAGGCCCAGGCCTGGGCCGTAGCCCAAATCCACCATAATCTCAGCTGGGGACAGAGAGGGTGTGGGGAGCCCAGTTCTCCATCAGCTCAAAGGGAGGTCCTCAAAGAGAGACTTCCTCAAAGATACCTCGGAATATCATATGAGAGATCTTTTTGTCACGTCAGCAGGGACTACTCCAAAAACCAACCTGTCAGGGAAGGAGAAAGAAGGGTTAATTCTGTAGTACCATGAACACTCCCACTTATGCCTCCTGCCCTACCCAGAAGACTGGGAGCTCAAAATGTTTGGACATTACAAGTTACCTACCTAGCACCTTTCTAGAAGAAATCTGCTCCTTTTCCTGTCTTACAGAATTCCCTAACCTGGGACCGGAGCCGGCAACCTGTGTAGCCAGAATATGGCAGACATTCAAACCAAACTTGTGGATCACTGATGATTTCTCAATAACGGGAGCCAGCTGGTCCCACCCCTGCTTCATGTTGTCCAGCTCTAACTGGAAGTCCTTCCTTAAGTCTACCCTACAGACCTCATGCTGCAGTAGTATCCTGTCTCTTGAAGAGGAGCTCTCTCTCTCTCTCTGTCCTTGCATGAGTGACCCCTCAGCCTTTTCTTCCCGGGGCTGAGTCACCCATGTGCCTTTCACCTGTCCTGGAGTTAGAGCAGTGGCCCCCGGCAAGCTGGCAGACCCTGCCTGGCCCTCTGGGCTTGGCGGGAGAAAAGGAAGTAAGGCTTCCCCCGGCCACAGAAACTCTGACACAGCAGGCCCGGCGGGCCTGGCCTTTGTGAGAGGATAAAAGAGGCAGCAATGCCCGCCCTGGCCAGAGACACAGAGAATGGGGATAATCCCCCAGCCCAGCGAGAGCCAGGTCTCTGGACCCGCTGGCCGGCTGGGGTGATGGGGGCAGGGGAGCCGGTCCCTCCCCTGATCAGATGTGTCTGGGAAGTTGGACATCTGAGCCCAACCTGGGAGTGAGAATGAAAACCCTGCTTCCCCGTCACGGGATCACACACATGCTCTGATGCTCTCAAGGTTCTTCCACAGCAGCGGCCTGCCCACGCACACCCCACACTCCCCCACACACACCCACACCACAACAGAGCATGCAGGCCAATAGCACAGAGTCTCTGTAGATGCCAGGGAGCCATCACCTTCCCCTCCAGTGGCTAGATGCCTTCGAACAAGTCATGTAGCCTCACTGAACCTGTTTCACATCTATAAAATGGGGACAAGCATGACTATGTCACAGGCTAGCTGAGAGTCAGAGAGTTCAGGCTCAGGAATGAGAAATCTGAGGTGCTGGAGTGGAGGTGCCCCTCCCACCCCCTGTCCTAATCCTTTCCCCTCTAGGCTCTTCAGTGCCAGTCCACCCCCTCGCCTGTCAGGGAGGCCCCAGCAGAGCCCACCTGCACGGGAGATAAATCATTATCCCCTAAGGGAGTTCAGTACCTCCCTCCTTGGCCTCTCCCGCTGGCTTTGAAGGCCAGACACACTCAAGTGGTTAAGCTGCCTGTGAGAAGTGTTTACATGAGGCTGATGGATCCCACCTGGTGCTGTGGCCTGAGCCAGAGGAGATGCCCCCAGCTACCCCCAAATGCCCGTCAGCTGCCAACCCCTGCACGCCCCTCCAGTACTCCCTGCCTGATTTACCAAAGCCTTTCTATCCTCCCCAGCCCCCACTACACAATTCTCTCACCCACAGATTATAGATGTCCAGTTGAGTTTATCAAACTGGGGTCTTCTGGCCCAAGTCTGTAGTCTCAGAGGCTGGCTGTACAGCATGATAGTCACGGGCATAAACTTCAGAGTCAGACTGCCTGGATTTGAATATTGGTTCTGCTACTTATTAGCTATGTTACCTTGCTTAGCTGGTCTGAGCCTGTTTTCTTATCTGCATGAAGGTTATTGTTGTTTATAACTTAAATGAGTTAATACACAAAACTGCTTAGAATGGTGCTGGCACACAGTGATGACTCAATAATATTTGCTGTATTTGTTATGACCAAAGCTTCACTTTGTGTCTACATTCTAATAATCATTCAAAAGGCAATATGAACATGTTCTGTATCATCTGGATACTAACCTTAATACTGAGTACTGTTATGCAATTTCCATATTTGCATTTATCTTTATGGTTGATTGCCTCGACACCAAAGCGATCACTCAGAGTGATAGGATTTGCCTTTAATTGCAGCATTTCTCAAACTAAGGTCTGAGAATCCCTGGTAGATCTGTTCCATGAGTCCTTACAGTTGACAAACACTGCATTAGACAAACTTGGTGTTAACCCTGGATCTGAAAGACTTTGGACTCACTGCGTGATCAATATCCCTGGGGTTTTTTGGGGCACAAAATGTCCCCTATGCATCTCTGCATTCCTTGTGCCAACCTGTCATGGTGCCTGGCAATTGAGGGTGAGTGCTCGGCAAATGTTAGCTCCCTTCTTTTTCCTCCCTCTCCTCTCCCTCTAAATTCCTTCTCAATCCTCCCAGGTCCTAGTTTTCAGCTGACCCCTGCCACACTCACCCAGTCCTTGCCAGCGGTGATCTTCTGGCCCACTCCCACCTGAATCACCAGGAAACCACAATCTCAGCTGGAAAATCGTAAGGAGGATCCAGATGTAAATTTCACTGAAGCAAGTGACACTGGCCTCCCCCACCTCTGGGATGGGAAGAGTTGCAAGCACTTTTTGAAAATGTACATATAGAATCAACCCTGTAAAGGGGCTAAGAGTTCCTCTATACCAGGGGGTACAAATGACATATATGATTGAAGCTGGATGTGGAGGGGGTAAACTGGAGGGTAAATGCCCCATCTAAAGGGAGCATATGCCGTTCAGCTCTGACTGATTGTTGAAAGATCTTCTGATTTTCTAAAAGAGGAGTGGAAAATCCAGGATCTTACATGAAATCTGATTTGAAATGCTGGACAGGTCTCGGACTAGGAACCCTGCAGCACCAAGCCTCAGAGGGCCACAGGTCCCTGCCTCAGTGGCTCCACATTCCTGCATCTAGTCCCTGACCCCATATGCGCACACACAGGCATGCACTCTTGCAGACATGGACAGCATGGGCTAGGGCTGAGAGAGGAGATATGAGCTGATGACTCCCTTTTAAGCAGGCTGCTTCATTTCTTTTAGAGTCCTCTGTCTGATTTCCTTTGAGCCATGGGCTATATGGCACTGGCAGTTTATGTTTTTGAGGCTCACTCTACACAGATAGAATGGGGACTGCTGGCAGTGCCTCAGGTTATTGGTGGGGGTAAGAAAGGGCATTTCTCTCTGCCACTGTGGGGGTGAGGGATTCACACTTGTTAGATGCCTCCCTCCACCTGCCATGTGCCAGGTCTTCGTTTACTCCTCACAATGGAAGGAGGAAGGTAGAATTATTTCCATTTTACAGGGGAAGAGACCTGGCCCTGAATGGTTAAGTGTCCCAGGGGTTACAGACCCAGTTAGGGACCTGCCCTCAGGTTTGCTACCCAGGACTGGGTGTGGGGAGGGCGGGGCAACCCGCTGGGAGCTGCTGAGTGTGGGGCACAACCCAGCTTGGGGAGTGGACCTGCAAAGTGGGGACGGGGCTGGTGGCAGAGGCAGAGCTGAGAAGGGAGACCAAAGCGAGAGGCCACAAGGGCCTCGGAGGGGAGTATACAGGTCGGGGAGGGGGACACAGCTGGAGGTGGAGCTGAGGGCAGAAACTCAGCCCCGGGAGGGGGCTGGAATCACTTTCACCTTCTTGCCTGCAATACCGTCAGAATAAAGTGGTACTCCATCAGGGGCCCGATACAGACCCAAAAATGTAAACTATCTAGATAATTTCGCATTAGCCCTCCCCGGGCCGGGCTACAGGCTGGAGAGTTTTGGCCGCCCAGCAGGCTGGCAGGCGGGGGCAGAAGAATTGCGGGCGGGGGGCGGGACAAAGTATGTGCCTGTCCGACCTGTCGGGATTAGCCTGTCTGTCGGAGCCAAGCCAGGTGCTGGGGCCGTGCCCCCCCTCCAAAAGCAAGGGCAGCGGAGGATGGCTTCTTCACCCCTCCATCACCCCCGCAAGCGCGCACATTCTTCTTCCCTCCCCCACCATCCCGCAGAGGCCCCAACAGGTGCCGAGGGAGACGCGGACCTGAGGTTCCCCTGGCTGGCCCTCAAGAGCCAAGAGAGCTGTCCACGTCTGAGAGGCCAGTTTCACAAGAAAACTCCTGCCCCCAAGCACACTCACTCCAAGTCTGTCCCGGCCCTCCAGGGAGTCCCGGGCGAACATAGCCCCCACCTCTCCCCAACTAAGCGATACCATCGGTTCCTGAGCGCCAGACCCCGAGGGCCAGGGAGCCGCGCCACTTCGCTGCGCACCGGGGGCCGCAGCGCATGCCGCCTGCCACGTCGAACCCAGGCCCAGGCTGCGGACTGGGGTGGGGGTCACCAGAGACCGTGGGACTTGGGGGAATCCGAGCCAATGAGCCCCAGGATCAAGAACTTCTGGATTGGAGGCGGGGTATAAACAGGGCTGGTGGACTTGGGGAATTCAGGACTGCGAGTGAGGATGATCACCCGGGGCTGCGGGATGGAGGGGAGTTCGAGGGGAAGAGGCTGCCTGCTGGATTGAGGGCCGACGGGGGCGGCAGACTTGCAGGAAGGGTGCAGGAGGTGCCCTGTCCTGATCGCCGACCGGAGAGCGATCAGACTCCCCTTCCTTTCTGTCTCCCCCCACGCACCCAGCTAGAACCAGCCCCGACGGGAGGGCCCGCCGCGCCCCAGCTCCCGGGGAAGGGGGCGCTGGGGAGAAGGATGGGGCAGCTACGAGGGGACTCACCTTCGTGCTGCCAGTCGCGACGGGGGCAGGCCCGGGAGGGGCGAGGGCGCGGCCCGCTCACCCGCCCGCTGCGGGACTGTCCTGGGCGCCCGGCTCGCCTGCGCTCCGCCCGCCCGTTCCCAAGTTGCTCAATCTGCGGACGGCTCACGCCCTCGGGGCCAGCGCCCCACCCGGCGCATCGGTCCTCCGGGGCGGCTCGGAGCTGCCCTCGTTCTCCGCAGCACCCGAGCGGATGCCCTACTCTGGCCGGTCGCTCCGGGCTCTCTGCCCTGCGCTGGTGCTCTCCGTCGCGCCTCCGCTCGGCCGGAGCTCCCAGCCCGGAGAGGGGCCAGTCCTCTGCGAGCACCAGGGAGGGAATCCCCCCCTTCGCAGTCCCCCCCGCGAGCCGGCCCCCCTTCCAGGGATCCGCAAGAAAAAATGGACTGGAGCGCCGGCCCGGGAGTCCACACGTCCTTGCCCGAAGCTGGCGCTCTGCGCTCCGAGCGCGGGGCTGGCGGAGGGACAAGTCCCCAGGACCCTGGGGCAGACCTTCTGCTTTTGTCCCCTGCCCCTCCCCGCGCCCCGGGGATTCCACGCAGCCAGAGAACCCGCAACAACTCCGCTCATCTTGGCGTCAGAACGCGGCCGGAGACCCTCATGAAAACCCCAGTTTCCCCATCAGGAACCTGGAAAGTGACAAGGAACAGGCTCCACAGAGCCTGGTGGTCTTGACCACACCCTCTCCCCCTTCAGGGTCAAATCTTCTGTGCATCTTCCCAGTTCAGAAGAAATACCAAGGCTATCAGATCCTGGGCACCGAGGTGAGGACACCTCCAGAGGCAGCTGGTAGGTGAGAGTGAGGGAGATCATACAATAACACTTAGATTCATGTCTGGCTCTATCACTTACCAGCTGTGTGGTCATGCCTAGGTTACTGAACCTCTCTGAATCGCAAGGCTTCATCTGTTCTGAGGGTTCAATGAAATGAAGGCTACAAACTTCTGGTTAATGGTGGGAACCCCATACATGTTTGTGGAATGAGTCTTGAACGGCTACAGACACCTGCAGTGACCCAGATGATGTTGAAGTCAAGCCCGAAGAAGGGAGGGAAGGAGACTCACTTCTTAGAGTGACAAACAGCTGTTCTCCAGCTTCACTTCAGATTGGGAAAGGAAAATGGGCTAAAACTGTAGTTAGTGGGAGTTAAGCTAGAGCAGAAAAGATGTACTGATTGTGTGTGTGTATAGGGGGGGTGAGTAATCAAGACAGGCTGTGGAATCTCCCTCTTAGGAGAGAAGGGGGGAGCCCTGACTATTGAGTTAAGGGCACAGGGTCGTTTACAATGACAGGAGGATGGATGTAATGACCCCTAGAGTGTCCCAATGGCCAGGGAACAGGGATGGTGGATAGCCAGAGAAAGTGGAGCAGTTGGGTCCGAAATGCCCAGTGTCTGGGTTCATTCAGCCAGAGCATTGCCAAGTTTGCAGGAGGCAAACAGTCATTTCCGAGTTGGTCCAGGGGCCCCCTCCAACCTCCAACCCCCACTCAAGTCCCTCCTCTCTCACCTCTGCCCTGAGCCTTCCCTGCGTCTAACCGGCCCTTGGCTATGCTCTGTGTCTAATCAAACAGCCCCAAATGCCGAAAACTCAATGTTTATTTTATTTTATTTTTTTACACACTTGCATAACTCTCTGACAAGCCACGCCAGGCATTGGGCTTTTTGTTTGGTTTTATTTTGTTGCATTTAGGAAAAAAAAGAGGGAGAGAGAGAGAAAAGAGAAGAAATAACACAAACCACACAGCCCTAGAAGCTGTCCTAGGCCAGGCAGTGGGCTCGGGTTTCCTGCCTGAGGAAAAGTCTGTGGAAGTTGGGGGGCCTCGTTACTAGGCTCAGGAATGAGTGAGAAAGGGAAGAAAGCCACCTGGGTGACAGAAGATAACGAATTAGAACCATGTGACAATAATGGGTGAATAAGAAAGAATGTTTCTTGTGCACCTAATGTATGCCAAGCACTGTGTTTTGCACATATATTCTGTTACCTAATTTCGCAACTATTGTAGTTCCTTTCTTTTTTCCTTTTTTCCCATAAATGTAAATTCTGATCCTCAGAGACGCCAAGTCAATTGCTCAGAGACACACAGCCTGCAAGTGGCCAGCCCAGTTCAGGTTATGCCAAATGAGTTGTTTCCCTGGGAAAGCTGTGTTGCTCTAAATTTGCATATGCTGTTCATTCTGCTTAGAAATGTCTTTTTCTCGGCCAGGCGCAGTGGCTCACGCCTGTAATCCCAGCACTTTGGGAGGCTGAGGCAGTCGGATCACGAGGTCAGGAGATCGAGACCATCCTGGCTAACACGGTGAAACCCCGTCTCTACTAAAATTGCAAAAAATTAGCTGGGTGTGGTGGCGGGTGCCTGTAGTCCCAGCTATCGGGGAGGCTGAGGCAGGAGAATGGCATGAACCCGGGAGGCAGAGCTTGCAGCGAGCCGAGATCACGCCACTGCACTCTAGCCTGGGCAACAGAGCAAGACTCCGTCTCAAAAAAAGAAATGTCTTTTTCTCTAATCCTTTTTGTGTCATCCTTCAAAAGGCCTGTATGAAGTTTAGCCTGACCACCTCGAAAGTCAGCCTCCAAACCTTGTGTAGACCTGTACACCACCCATCATTGGCCAATGATGGTCTCTTCCACTGCAGTGAGTTCCTAAGGAACTGGGAGGATGTTCACAGACAAAAGCAGAACTCTGTCCGCACGGAAGAAGGGCTTTTGGATTGGAAACTACTGGCATCTGTGATCATTACTGTTACTCTAGAAAAAGCTGACTTTGTTACTGTCAATTTATAGGCTCCCCTGAAAACTCTAGTCTTCATAACCCTGCTGTTCTCTGAAATCTTTCATTCATTCATTCATTCTTTCTATTTTTTTATTTTTTTATTTTTTAGAAGAAGTCTTGCTCGGTTGCCCAGGCTGGAGTACAGTGATGCGATCTCGGCTCACTGCAACCTCAGCCTCCCAGGTTCAAGCGATTCTCCTGCCTCAGCCTCCCAAGTAGCTGAGATTACAGGCACGCCACCACGCCCAGCTAATTTTTTTTGTATTTTTAGTAGAGACTGGGTTTCACCATGTTGGTCAGGCTAGTCTCGAACTCCTGACCTCAAATGATCTGCCTGCCTCAGCCTCCCAGAATGTTAGGATTACAGGCGTAAGCCACTGCCCTGGCTAGATCTTGTCATCCTTTCTTTCATTGAGGCAATATAGCATAACAGCTAAGTGCATGGACACTAGTATCGGCCGAGTTTGAAGCCCATCTCTACCACTGACTAGCTTAATGTCCTTGGGCAAGTCACTTCACCTCCCTAAGCCTCAGTTTCCTCATCTGTTAAATACATATAGTAACAGTATTAACCCACCACAGTTCTTACAGGGATGACATAAGATAATGCATTTAAAGAGCTTGGCACAATGTTAGGAATTATAGTAAGTACTTAGTACATGCTGGCTCTTCTTATTAGCTATAATTTGGTCAGTGCCTTTATTAGATATCAACCAAGCACTATTGTATCCCAGGCACAGGGCTGGAAATGGAGGATAGAGAAATGAGTATCACACTGTCTTCCTAAGGAACTCCTGGTTTAGTGAGGAAGGCCGACTCAAGAGCCTGGTGAAAGGGTAAATGAGGTAGAGTGGTGGGACAAAATAAGGGGTGACTGTGACTCCTTGAGGGAATCTGAGAAGGCTTCTCCAGGGAAGAAATGCTTGAAAGATTTATTGGCATTTTCTAGGCACATGTGATCAAAAGGCATTCCAGGCAGAGGGAATGGCAGGTGCAAAGGCCCGGAGGCCTGCTGCATCGTGGTGCCCTTAGTGCTATAAGTAGTTCTGCTTCGTGGGGATTTCGGATGAGAGAGGTGAGGCGGGGAAGAGGGCAGCAGATGGGGTGCTTCCAAAAGGACCTTATGGTACCAGGCCAAAGAGCAGGAACTTTACCTTGAGGGCAAGGGCAGCCCCTGAGTGTTGATGAGGCAGAAAGGCAGGACCAGAGTTGTGCTTTAGGAGTGTCTTGCAGCTCTGGTGAAGGCTGAATTTGAAGAGGCGAGACTGAAGGGAGTGAGGAGCCCCAGTGAGCAATAATAAAGTAGATCATTCCCAAGAACACTGCCCAGCTCTTCCTTGTTCCTTTCTCTCCACTTTCCTCCCAGGGGGTCTGCTGTGTCCTCTGGAAGCCCCATACCAGCAGAAACACACTTCTCAGATTCTCTACCTTGTTGTGAGTGAGTTCAGGCTCCTTTAACACACACCAGGGACGCCATCCCCTTTGCCCAACAAAGTCTGGCAATACCACTCATTCTCCTGCACGAGGGTGTGGCATCTGCCTCATTCCACACCGCCCCCCTGCCCTCCCTTTTGTAACTGTTCCTCCTGTTCTACCTCCCTGCTCTCTTCACCTGAGTTATTTCCCCCATGCCCTGCTGTGCTTTCTTTGCTCACACAGGACCCTGGCATCTGTCTCGAGGTCCTCTTCTCTGTGGCAGACTCAAGCATCACGTTGGGGACCTCGTTCTCTATGTCAGTGCTACGCCCAACACCTCTGGGACCTCCTGGACCAGGTCGATACTCTTGTCCACTCCACTTTGGCCTCCCATTCACATGGCCACCCCCTCTTGACCTCACCCAAATTACTCCATCCCTGAAATCATAGGCTTCAAGATCCTCAGACCCCCCCACTCTAACCTTCTGCTCCCAATCTCTCATGCCCTTCCTTCTAATTCAGATTCTTGGCGTTTCACCTGCCCGATAACGATTTCTGCACTGGCCTTGCCTCAACATCTCAACTGCCCCACAAACCCCCTGCCAGTTCCTGCTGAGCTCCTCTGGACAGTCCCCCAGCTACCTGAGACAGTGCCACTGCAAATCCACAGCCAGCCTCCACTGGGGCTTCAGCAAGCCCACGGATGACCGTGCAGACTTCCCCTTCCAGCCTCTCCCAGCCTCTCACTCCGTCCCAGCCCCCATCATCAAGCAGCTAAGATGGCCAAGAGTGGCCCCTTCAACTCCCTGCTCCTAAAACTAAACTCTTGGGCCCTGCACAGAACCTCTTTCTCCCCAGTTTTTCTCCTTGGAAACAGCGATGAAACTGATAAAGCAAGAAACTGGGAGTTGTTTTGCATTCTTCTCTCTCACCTCCCACATCCACTCTACTGGCAAATTCTGTTGGATCTGCCCCCAGAAACTTTCCTGCTTTAAGCCAATTTTGCCGCTTACCTGGACAATTGTTAGTGTCCCTTCCAGGTTGCCCCACTCCCACTCTGTCCCCCACCAACACAGGCTTCACACAGTAGCCAGAGTAAATTAACAATTATAAAGCAGGTCCCATCATTTACTCCCCTGCTTAAACCTTCCAGTGATTTTCCATCACACTTAGAACCAAATTCAAACACCATCCCTTATAAGGCTACATCCCTCCAGCTTCATACATCGCCTCTCTCTTGGCTTCAGCCCTACCAGGCTTCTTTCAGTTCTTTGGTAATTCCAGACTCTTTCTCATCTCAGGGCCTTTGCACAGGTTCTCTGCCATCTTGCCCTTCCCATAGCTCTTCATATGGGGCATTTCTTTTCTTCCTTTTTTTTTTTTGGATTAAAAATTTTTTTTAATAGAGGCGGGGGTCTCACTATATTGCCCAGGCTGATCTCGAACTCCTGGGCTCAAGCAATCCTCTCATCTTGGCCTCCCAAAGTGCTGGGATTATAGGTGTGAGCCACTGTGCCTAGCCTCTTTTCTTCCTTCGAATCTCCACTTAAAAATTATTCTGTTAGAAGGGCCTTCCCTGACCTCTCCATCTGAGTAGCTCCCCCATTATTTCATATCACAGCTTCCTTTCTGTTGTAGTGTATGTTGTATTTGTTTGTTGGTTTTATTTTGGTTTTAGAGACAGGGTCTCACTCTGTTACTGAGGCTGGAGTGCAGCGGCACAATCATAGCTCATTCTTCCACCTCAGCCTCCCAAGTAGCTGAGACTACAGGTACGTGTCACAATGCCCAAAATGTAAAAAAAAAAATTTTACATTTTTTTTTTTTTGTAAAGATGGTGTCTTACTGTGTTGCTCAGGCTGGTCTTGAACTCCTGGCCTCAAGACCAATCCCACCTTGGCACTGGGATTACAGGCATGAGCCACCATGCCTGGCCCTATTTTGCGTTTTGTAGCCATTTATTTGCATGCTTCTGTACTAGACTCCAGTTCCCAATCCTTCCATGTGAAAGAGCCCCCTTCCTTGCCACAGTTCTCACTCTCCCTGCATGATCCATGGCTAAGGTCACCAAAAACCTCCTTATCACCGCATTCTGTGGTTCCTTTGTCTTCCTCCTTCTCTATCCCTCTGCAATTCTTGACACCTCCACCTTCTTGGAATGCTTCTCTCCACTGTCCTGGTTCCTGTTTCCTTGTATATCTGTCCACCTCCCCTCCTAGCCCTTAACTGTGGACAAACCCAGGGTGATTCCCCGCCATCTGCCTTTCTTGTCAACCATGAACTAATATAGCTAAAAAGCACAATGCCCAATAGTAAGAAAAGTAAGTGTCAAGTTGGCTAGGCCATGGGAAAAAAACATTATGCTTTTTGTTTCTCTGCAAGTATTTTTTCAATGGGATTAATACTGAAATCAGTAGACTTTGAGTAAAGCAGATTACCTTGCATAATGTGGGTGGGCCTTAACCAATCAGATGAAGGCCATAAGAGGAAAAGACTGAACTCCCCTGAGCAAGAAGAAATTCTGCCTTTGGACTTGAACTGCAACACCAGCTCTTCCCTGGGTCTCCAACCTGCCAACCTATCCCTGCAGATTTTGGACTTGCCAGCCTTTACACTCATGCGAGCCAATTCCTTAAAATTTAATCTCTCTTTCTCATTGGCTCTGTTTCTCTGGAGAACCCTGACTAATAGAGGAGGTGCTAAATAAATCTTAACTTAAAAAATCCCAAACTCTTTCCTTAGTGAAATCTTTCTCACAGATCCATATATGTTGGGTCTGAGAGTCAGGACACCCAAGTTCTAGTTCCAGGTCTGCCACTTGCTGGCTTGATGATCTTATCCAACTCCCCCGACATCTGTAAACCTGCTCCTCCCTCAGTCTTTCCCATCTCCATAAACAGCATCTCCAGCCATCCAGATAATCAGATTAAAACCCCAAGAAGTAATTCTTCTAGATTGCTATCTTTCCTTTATTCGCCATGCCTGATCATCAGCAAATTGTTTCGCTTCCACCTCCAGAATGGATCCATGTGTCAGACTCCATCACCTGGTCCAAGCACCACTGTCGCCTGCCTGGGTGATGCCTCAGACTCGTTGCTTATCTTCCAGCTTCCGTTTTGCCCCCACAATCCACAGCAGCCAGGGTGAATTTTTAGAAATATAGATCAGATCATAGCACTTGTACTGGTTTCCTATTGCTGCTATAACAAATTATAACATAGTTGCTCCAAATAACACAGGCTTATTATTTTACAGTTCTAGAGGCCAGAAGTCTAAAATAGGTTGTTAGGGCTGCATTCCTTCCAGATACCTTGGTAAGATGTTTCCTTGCCTTTTCCACCTTCTAGAAGCCACTTGCATTCCCTGGTTCACAGCCCCTTACTTGCATTCCTTTGACCTCCACTTCTGTCATCACATCTCCTCTGACTCTGACCCTCTTGTGCCCCTTTTATAAGGACCCTTGTGCTTCCACAGTGCCCACCCAGATAAGCCAAGATATTCTCCCCATCTCAAGCCTTAATAACATCTGCAAATCTCTTTGCCATGTGAGGTAACATATTCACAGGTTTGGGGGATTAGAAAGGAGACATCTTTGGAGGGCTGTCTACCACAGCACTCTTAAATCCTTCCAGTGGTTCCGCATTGCTCTTAGAATTAAAGCCAGACATCTCACCTGACTTATAAAACCCTCAGGAACCTATTCCTGCTACCCCATTCTGCTCACCTTGGCCTCCTTGCTGTTCCTTGAGTGCATCAAACCTAATCCTGCCCAAAACTCTTTCTTTTGCTTTTCCTTCTGCTCTGAGTGCCCCCCTCCCAGATCTGCATGTGGCCTGCCTGCTCCTTTTTGTCCTTTAGGTCTCAGCTCAAGGGTCACTCCTCAGAGAGGCTTTCTGTTGTCTAAAGTAGCTCTAGTAGATCATTTCATATTGTTTCCTTCATAGTGCCTTATCTCTGCTTGACGTTTTCTTGTTCACTGTAGATTGAGCATCTCTTATCCAGAATGCTTGGGACTAGAAGTGTTCCTGATTTCAGATTTGTATGGATTTTGGAATATTTGCATTTTGCTGGTTCAGAATTCCAAATCCAGAAATTGAAAATCCAAAATGCTCCATTGAGCATTTCCTTTGAACACCATGTCTGTGCTCAAAAAGTTTTGGATTTTGCAGCATTTTGGATTGCAGATTTTTGAATTTGTGATGCTCAACCTAAATTTGTTTGTTGTCTGCCTGCTGCATAGGAATGCAGGCATCTTCAAAGCTGGGACCTTGTCTCTCCTGAATCCCCAGCACTGGAATTTAGCCAGTATTTGCTGCTATGTCAACAAGCCCCAGTTTTCTCATTTTCCCAATGGGTATAATAATACCTTTTTTTCTCATCAGGTTTCTTTGAGGAGCAAATGAAATAATAATAGCTACAGTTTTTAGTTGCCAATGATGAGTTAAGCACTGCACCAGGAACTTTATGCTTAAGATGTGTTGTTCATGTCTTAGTTCAAGGCCATGTGGTTGCAAGGAACAGAAACCCTCTCAAGCCAGCTCAAGGAAAAGGAGGTTTATTGGAAGGTTATAACAGACAATCTGGTAAACATCCAAGGAGAGGGTAAAATGTGGGAGAGACAGGCTGCCTCTCACCTGCATCACTCCTTCCAGGGGCAGCACAGTTCCTTATCACCACTTCTCTCTGTGCAGCTGGGCTTTCTCTCTGAAGACTAGCTGCTTCTGCTTCCACATGGTCACTCATGGCTCCAAATGGCCTCAACTCTCTGTGAGCTTATGGCGTAGCTGCTTCGTAGCTACTGTTTCTCAGAGTCCTAAACCCCATTCCAGGGAGAGAGAGTCCAGTTGCCCTGGATTGAACACCTTGTCAACCCCTGGTGCCATCACCTGTGGACAAGATGACGAGGTCATGAGCCGTGTGTGGCTGCCCAGCCACATGCCCTCAGAAGGGACTGTGGATGGGACACAATCCCAAAGAAAGAACTATGACTGGGCAGGCACCCCAAAACATGTCCGTGGTAGTGCAAAGCACTGAACACACACTCCAGCTCTCAACTGACGTGAGTTCCATCTTTTCCAACCACCTTTTCATCTACTAGCTCAGAGTCCTCTGGCTCCATAATAAATACATCTCCAGCTTGGTTCTTATCTTCACACCAGTCAATACTTTAAGTTGCCTGCGGCATATTTCCAACACGTTTATCCTACTATTTCTTCAAATTCAACCTAGGAAAAGCTGGATTACTCTTCCTTCAGAAACTGGCTCCTTTCTGTCAAGTTCCTGCCTCTGACACAACCTGACTCTTCCAGGCAGCCTCATGCTGAGCCCTTGGATCTGTGATCGGCCATCTCAGGGCCTTGGGAAGAGGTCTTTGCCTCCCTGTCATCTGCCTCCACTGTTGGTCTCCATGTTAACACATGGCACAGCAGAGCAAGACAGCTGAGGTACTTTGGAGTCAGACAAACCTGGGTTTGATCCCCGCTCTGCCTCTTAATCTTGTTTTGGTTTTTGGTTTGTTTTTGTTTGTTTTGAGACTGGGTCTCACTCCGTCACACAGGCTGGAGGTTAGTGTCACCACCATGGCTCACTGCAGCCTTGATTTTCCGGGCTCAAATGATCCTCCCGCCTTGGCCTCCCAAGGAGCTGGGTCTACCGACACATGCCACCACATCTGGCTAATTTTTGTATTTTGTGTGTGTGTGTGTGAAGACAGGATCTCATATTGCCTAGGCTGGTCTTGAACTCCTGGGCTCAAGCAGTCCTCCCTCCTCAGCCTCCCAAAGTGCTGTGATTACAGGTCTGAGGCACCGTGCCCTGCTCCTTTTAATTTTGTGATCTTGGCAAATCTGTTTCTCTCTCTCTCTCTTTTTTTTTTTTTTTTTTTGAGACGGAGTCTTGCTCTGTCACCCAGGCTGGAGTATAGTGTCGTGATCTTGGCTCACTGCAACCTCCACCTCCCAGGTTCAAGCGATTCTCCTGCCTCAGCTTCCCAAGTAGCTGGGACAGGCATGCACCACCACGCCTGGCTAATTTTTTTGTGTGTATTTTTAGTAGACATAGGGTTTCCCCACATTGGCCAGGCTGTTCTCAAACTCCTGATCTCAGGTGATCCACCTGCCTCGGGCTCCCAAAGTGCTGAGATTATAGGCGTGAGCCACTACACCTGGCCAAATCTCTCGAACTTGATAGGTTAAGTGTCCCTGTATGTCCAGTGGTGATAATTATAGTTTCTGCCTTACAGGGTTGTCATAAGAACTGATAAAATGCATGTAAAGCCTGCAGATCCACATTTTCTCAGTGATTGATTAGTTTCCAGCAATGTGCCAAGAAAACAAAGATAAGTAAGATATGCTCCCTGGTTTTAATAAACCTGAAGTTTCTTGACAAGTCTGTGTCAAACATGGTAATACCTTTCTTACTCCCTGCCTGACGAGGCCCTTCTGGCAATACATTATTAAAATTAATGGTTAATTGTATTATATAACATTAATTATATGTAAGTATATATTATATGTAATATGTAAGTGTATATTATATATAATATATAATTATATATAACTAGTCTCTAGTTATAAGAGCAATTTGTGATTTTTTAGAAAACACAGGGGAGGGTTAGAATCACCCTAATTCCTCCATTGTGGTAGAATTCATTCCTTCCAGATATGCTGCTTGGCAACGATTATATCACACATCACATACGTCTGGATCAAGTGTTACTTTGCAAGTATTCAGCTATGGCATTAAAGATCCTTTCAAGAACCCTTTTGAATGGCTTCTCTAGGTGACACAGCAAATGGTGAGTAGCGACACACATTTATCCTCTCCCCCATTATTAGAGATGTGGGTGGGTTTTTCTCTCAGTGATAAATAATGCAAAATAAACATTATTATTCAGGGGTTCACTTTTTATTTATTTATTATTATTGTTATTTTAGACAGAGTCTTGCTCTGTCACCCAGGCTGGAGTGCAGTGGCACGATGTCGCTCACTGCAACCTCCACCTCCCGGGTTCAAGCCATTCTCCTGCCTCAGCCTCCCAAATAGCTGGAATTTCAGGCACCCACCACCATACCTGGCTAATTTTTGTATTTTTAATAGAGACGGGGTTTTACCATGTTGGCCCAGCTGGTCTCAAACTCCTGACTTCAGGTGATCCACCCGCCTCAGCCTCCCAGAGTGCTGGCATTACAGGCATGAGTCACCACACCTGGCCAAGAATTCACTTTAGTCCTAGCCTTTTATACTTGTTGTTTTACTTTGTGCTCACGACAACGCTGTGAGCATTGGGGTACATTATTATCCCCATTGTACAGACAAGGAGATAGAGGGCTTGGCCAATTAAGCAGCTCCCCTAAGGTGGCCCAGACTCCAGTGGCAGCCTCTGGGTTTGGATCCACATCTGTGTGAACTGTTTTTTGTTTTTTGTTTTTTTTTGAAATAGAGTCTCGCTCCATCTCCCAGGCTGGAGTGCAGTGGCGCGATCTCGGCTCACTGCAAGCTCCGCCTCCCGAGTTCACGCCATTGTCCTGCCTCAGCCTCCCGAGTAGCTGGGATTACAGGCACCTGCCACCACGCCCGGCTAATTTTTTGTATTTTTAGTAGAGACAGCGTTTCACCGTGTTAGCCAGGATGGTCTCGATCTCCTGTCATCGTGATCTGCCCACCTCGGCCTCCCAAAGTGCTGGCATTACAGGCGTGAGCCACTGCACCCGGCCTGTGTGAACTGTTAATACCACCCGGCTCAGCCTTGTCCATGGTTAGTGCCGTAAACTCGACTTCTTTTTGCAGTGCTGCTCTGAGTACTTTTCAAGGCTTTTTGTCCACACTGCAAACATGCTCTGCAGCCTCCGAAACAGTGTCCAGCCTGTAGTATGTGCCTGATAAATATCAAACTAATGACTGAAAACAGTGGCAGTATACGAGCTTGCCTTTTTCACTATGATAGTACCTACACTGGGGATTCTCGATAAAGAAAAAAGACAGAAATGTTATTGTTACTTTAATTTGCACTTCTGCCGGGTGTGGTGGCTCACGCCTGTAATCCCAGCACTTTGGGAGGCCAAGGTAGGGGGATCTCTTGAGGCTCGAAGTTCAAGACCACCCTGGCCAACATGGCAAAACTCTGTCTCTACTAAAAATACAAAAGTTAGCCGGGCATGGTGGTGGGTGCCTGAAATCCCAGCTACTCAGGAGGCTGAGGCAGGAGAATCACTTGAACCTGAGAGGCGGAGGTTGCAGTGAGCCGAGATTGTGCCACTGCACTCCAGCCTGGGCAACAGAGTGAGACTCTGTCTCAATAATAATAATAATAATAATAATAATAATAATAATAATAATAAAATAATAATTTGCACTTCTTTGATTATCGATGAGATGAAATATGTTTTACAAATACCCACCACTACATATGTATAATTTCTGGCTTGTAGATTTTGCTATCCATATTATTTGCCCTCATTGTCTATATCACGAGACCCCATTAATGTACTGGGGTCTCTGTGGGGTTTTTACCCCTTAAGTTGTGTAAGATTGTTATATGGCAAGAATATTAACTATTTGCTTGTCGTGTTAATTGTAACTATTTCCTCCAACCTGTTGTTTGCTTTTTATCTGAGATTACATTATTCCATCCCACAGGATTCCTAAGTATGCATCCATTCTCCCGGGTAAACCACGAGTCTCAAAAAGTAGGCAGCAGGCTGGACCCGGTGGCACACGCATGGAATCCCAGCGCTTTGGGAGGCCAAGGCAGGAAGTTGCTTGAGGCCAGGAGTGCAAAACCAACATGGCGAGACTCTGTCTGTATAAGAAATAAAATAAATTATCCAGGTGTGGTGGTGTGTACCTGTTGTTCCAGTTACTTGGGAGGCTGAGGTGGAAGGATCACTTGAACCTAGGAGGTGGAAGATCCATAGCCTGGGTGACAAAGCAAGACCCTGTCTCAAGAAAGAAAAAAAAAGTAGGTAGCAACTGTATCTTGGGCTTCTTCTCTTTCAGATCTTTGTCAGAGGTCTGACCACAAAGTCATGTCTTTTATTTTTTTGAGATGGAGTTTTGCTCTTGTTGCCCAGGCTGGAGTGCAATGGCACAATCTTGGCTCATTGCAACCTCTGCCTCACGGGTTCAAGCAATTCTCCTGCCTCAGCCTCCCGAGTAGCTGGGATTACAGGCATGTGCCACCATGCCCAGCTAATTTTGTATTTTTAGTAGAGACGGGGTTTCACCATGTTGGTTAGGCTGATCTCGAACTCCCGACCTCAGGTGATCCACCCGCCTTGGCCTCCCAAAGTGCTGGGATTACAGGTGTGAGCCACCATGCCCAGCTGTTTTGTTTTGATTTTTGAGACAGGGTCTCGCTCTGTCGCCAGGCTGGAATGCAGTGGTGTGATCACAGCTCACTGCAGCCTCAACCTTCCAGGCTCAAGCCATCCTCCCACCTCAGCCTCTCAAGTAGCTGGGACTACAGGCTCATAGTCCACCATATCCGGCTAATTTTATATTTTTTGTAGAGACAGGGTTTTGCCATGTTGCCCAGGCTGGTCTCGAACTCCTGGACTCAAGCAATCCTCCTGCCTCGGCCTCTCAAAGTTCTGGGACTATGGACATGAGCCACCTCACCCAGCCACAAAGTAGATTTCTAATAAAGTTTTCTCCAGGCTCACATAACAAAAGTGCACTTGATGGACACTGTCACTTCTTTTGAGCAAAGTCTCACCAAGATAGAAAGTATCACCATTTCCATTTTGCTGATGAGAAAACAGAGGCACATAGAGGCTAAGCGACTTGCCCGTGAGCACACTGATTGTAGTGGTCAAGCCTGGATTTATATCCTGTGCTTCCTCCATCATGTGGAGTTGCTGGGGGTAAAGCCCAGGTCAGTGACAGGCAGCTGGTACAAGTCTCAAGCCCCTTTTCCTTGCTAAGCTGTTGTTCTGCCCAGTGTCTAAGAGAGAGAGAGAGAGAGAATAAGTGTGTCTATGTGTTGCATAGGATGAGGGGAAGCAGTTGGACTGAGACTGCATTGTGGAAGGCCTTGGATGCTGAGCCAGAGTCAGACTTCATTCTATAGAATATGTAGAATAAGCATACTCAGATTCCCCACCACATCCCCTCCCCTTCCCAGAAAACAAGAACCAACTTCACCCTGACTGTGGAGCCCATAACTGGGAAGCCTCACACCCTGAGCACTTGAGGTGGCCGAGCTGGAAGGGCCTTGAGAAACACCTGACCATCAGCTCTCATCTACCTCAATGAGGAGGGACCCAGGCCCAGTGAGGGGTGGTGACTCAGCCAAAGTCACACTACAACTTAGGGATTAGAACCCAGGTGTCCAATGCCCAGCTGAAGACCCTATCTTCTAATCACCCAGCCCCTCTAAACACAACCAGGGTATCTGTGAGCTAGCATGGAAGCACTTATTCGCTCATCCGCTTATTTCATTTATTCAATTAATATTTCTTCCTTTTTTATCATCTCTGAGAAGCTGTGGCTATTCAGTTAATATTTATTGAGCACACTGAGGCACAAGAACACATGACAGTTTCTACTTGTAACCATGGGACTTGTGTAGTCACTGAGCCTCTAAGATGTGATACTCCCATGCCAGGACAGCTGCACACACACACACACACACACACACACACACACACACACGGAGTAGCTGTGGTCATCTGGGCCTGCTCAAGAGTGCAGTGGTCAGAGCAAGGGCTTTACAGCCAGACAGGCCCAGCTCTGCCACTTACCTGGCTGTGTGACATTGAGCAAGTCACTTAACCTCTCTGAGTCTCAGCTGAAAATCATGTAACATGGTGATAATAATTATACCTGCCTCATAGAGTTATGATGAGAATAACAGGTAGAAATTCATTTATTCCGCATATATTTATTGAGCTCTTACCATGTGCTAGGCACTAAGGTTACAGCAGTGAACAAAACAGAATAATCTCCGCCCTCATGGAGTTTACCTTCTGGTACATGCATGCTAACTTGTGGCCCTGATGCAGTGTCTGGCACACAGTAGATGCTCAATAAATGGTTATTTCTCACCTTCTCCTCCCACCCAGCAGTAGGTCGTGGGTGAGAAGCCAGGTGGGAGCCTCTTTCTTCTCTCCCGCTTCCATCTGCAGTTCTCGACTCCAGCCCCAGTACCTCACAGAAGCCTCTGGCTCCTCCTTCAAGAGTAGGAAGAGGGTGGGCAAAAAGCTGCAAACACTGTAGATGAGCAACAGGTAAAACGCAGTAGTAGCAGTGCTGCCCTTGGCCTTGGGGATTTGATAGGAAAACTGAAGGAGGCTGGTAAAGCAAGAGGGTGGTGTCTGGGATTCTGCCCCTCCTTGTGCAGGCAAGGCTTCCTCCCACTGAGGTGAAGGCCTAAAGAGGAGTGTTTGCCAGAGAAGGGAATTCCTGAGGTGCAGTCTGTCCTGGATTGGAGACAGGTTACCTGGCTCCAGGATCGAGTCAACCAGCCTGCACTGAGCACCTACCGCCAGGCCCTTTGGAGACCATGATGTAAACGGGTCTTCTCCATAAAGCCTATACCCTGCCCGCTTTGCAGGGAGCACATCCAAGCTGGGAGGGGCTACATGCTTTGCAGCAAATCACAGAACAGGTCAGCAGCTGAGAGGAGCTGAGCCCAAGTCTGTTCTGGCCAACTCTAAGGCCAGCAATGACTCTAAGACAGAGGAGAGAAGGAGGAGGAGGCCCCAGTTGGCCCAAGGCCCCAAGGCACCAGCAGTGGGAGGGAGGGGGCTGGGGAAGAGGGGAGCCTCCACAAGTGGGTCTCGGATTCAGGCCCCCAACACACAAAAGCTGAGCTGGCTCTGGTGGGGAAGGGGGTTTCCCAGTTGCTCTGGGCCTATTGGAATCTAACACAAGGACAATACTTCCTCCACCTGCTTTGGGGGTCTGGGTTGAGGGAGCAGGGACTGTGACTCCCAGACAGCTAGAGGGGCAGCTTGGGGGAAGTGGGAGGACGCATGGTGGATCCCATAGACCCCTTCTCCTGCCTTCTGTTTCTGAGTGTGCCTCAGCCTCACAGCAGTGCCTCAGCCTCACAGCAGTCCCTCACAGCAGTCCGCTACGATGCCCATACTGGAGGGCCAGGGGGCCTGGTGGAGAGGTCAGCTGAGCCTGCCTGGAAGGCCCCAGGCTGGAGAGGTCCTGGGCTGGTCTGACCAAAGCCACCCGTGGCTGGTGGAACTGGAGGAGGTGGGAGAGCAGTGAGAGAGGTGCTCTTGTTTCGAGGCTCATGGCCCAGATCTGGGGATTGGGGTCATAGACAGGAGGTGTCAATCAATGAACTCTAGATGGAGGAGTCATCACCCTGACCATTCACCCCACTGATTGCCACCCCCGCAGAGCCTCCCCTTCCACCTGCTGCTCCACAATTCCTCCAGAAGTGGGGTGACTAGAGTGCACATGGCAGTGCATTAGGAAAGGGGTTTACCATCGGCAGCTCTCCAGCCCAGGCCCACAGAGTCGGGTGGGGCTGGTCCGCACTGCAATAATGCACTTGGTCTGCCTAGGAGCCAGGGAATGGTTGACTTCCTCCCCCAGCCCCACCTCAGCAAGTCCAGCCTGGTCCCCATGAACTCAGGCCTCCCTCCACCCCTCCAATCCCCAGTCCCTCGGCTGGGCATTCCATGTGTGGAGCTGAGTGTGCATCTGTGAATGAGCTGAGATGAGCATGCAAGTGAGTGTACATGTCTGCAAGTGTGCAGGTGAGTGTGTGCATTAAGGAGTGTACATGTGCATTTGATTGCCCGCATGCATGTGTTAGACCAGGTTGCTGAGCACCCATGCATGTGCAGCTTGTACATCTGTGTGTGAGGGTCAAGAATCACAGAACCTCAAGGTTCCCTGGGACCCTGGAATCTTTCAATCCCCGCTGTAGGTGCAAATACATATGTGGGTGTGTGTCTGTACATAGGGGAAGGGGGAAATGCCACCAGGAGCTATGACAGACATTCTCAGAGTGCCAGCTCGCTGCCAGGCCAGGCGCCTAACACACAAGATTTTAACCAGCACAATAGCCCCCGGAGGTAGGGAAGGTGACAGCCCACTTTATAGTGTCTCAACTGGAATGCAAGACATGGTCCAGGTCCCCCACTGTAGGAACCCTCACCATGACCTAGTAATGGGGGTGTGAGGCCCTGAGAGGGGACAGGTGTAGGCGTGAGTGTGCACACCAGGCTGTGTGGGGGAAGCGAGGGTGGAGAGTGGGCATATCAGAGTCTCGGCACACACCTGGGAGCTGTGTGGAGCACAGCATGTGGTTGCAGTGAAAGTGAGTGAGGCTGTGAGTGTGGGTGAGGACAAGAGAGCGTGCTGCGAGGGTCTGGGGGACGGAGAGAGAGCGAGGGGATGTGTGAGTCTGTGTGCATCTGAGTGAGGGTGTGGGAAACGCATCGAGTTTTTTCCTTTTTTCTTTCTCTTCTCTGCCTTCAACCAGGAACAGATGTCTGAGCAGTCCGACGAATTGGAAACATCTGAAACAACTGTCCGAGCTGAAGTATAATAAATAGACCTTTCATCACATTCCCTAGAAGGTGGTCGCTGGGGACAGGCTCCAGGGGGCATTTAGAGGGGTTGGGGGTTGAGAGTGGCCCGAAGATGGGTGAGTGGAAGGACGGATAGACTGGTCTCCGCTTTCCTGGGAAGGGCAGACTACCCTGGGAGGAAGGGAAGATAGACCTGCCCTCAGCACCCCCTAGCATCCATAGGCCTTGGTTTTCGTATCTGTGTAGTAGGCTTGGTGTTCAGTCTGTGTAGCGGGCCTGGTCTGGGACCTGGCCCCTTAAGGAATAAGCATTTTTTTCTTTTTTTTTTTTTTAAGATGGAATCTCCTTCTGTTGCCCAGGCTGAAGTGCAATGGCCTGATCTCAGCTCACTGCAACCTCCACCTCCCAAGTTCAAGCAATTCTCCTGCCTCAGCCTCTTGAGTAGCTGGGGCTACAGGTGCGTGCCATCACGCCTGGCTTATTTTTGTATTTTTAGGGATGGGGTTTCACCATGTTGGCCAGGCTGGTCTTGAACTCCTGACTTCAGGAGATCTGCCCGCCTCGGCCCCCCAAAGTGCTGGGATTACAGGCGTGAGCCACCGCACCAGACCAGGAAGAAGCATTTTTAACTTGGAAACAAGCTGACAGTTAACCAGACAATGGGACTGAGGGTCAGAAACCAGGCTCTTGCCCCCTGCCCCTGCCTCTCCTTGGGCCTGGCCTCTGCACTACCCACCCCACCCCCACCCCCCACACCTCCCAATGCACACATGGGGCCTCCTAGATCCCCAGAGCTTATGTGCCTTAAACTTTCCAAAGCAAGATGCACTGTTCACCCCCCTCCCCCAGATGTGTTGGTTTGAAGGGTCTGGTGAGACTATTACAGCTGGGGCTGGTGGAAGCAGGCAGGGGCCTGGAGAAGGGAGCTCAGCCGTGTTGGACAGAGGGTGTTCTGCCAGGCCTCACCACCACCCTTATCACGTCCCAGGCCCACATCTGCCACTGCTGCAGAGGCACATTCCTAAGAACTACCCAGGAAGTGGAGACCCAGAGGCCTTATTCTCACAGGAGCCAGATGCAGTGCCCAGGGACCCCAGAGAGGGAGAGATGGGCAGAGGTGAGCCCAGGGAGCCAGGGTCCCTAGTCCAGGCCCCCGAGAGGCTGGTGTGGGAGGAGGGCAGACCACAGGGCTCAGGCTGGACAAAGGTCTTCCAGAAACTTGGGCTCCAGGGATTTTGATCTCAGAGACCCGAGGGGCTGTGCTTCAAAGGAAAGAGCCTTGGAAGGCTGTACCCAGCCTGCCAGTTCTTGCCTGGGTCTTTTCTGTTCAGTGGTTCTCTATAGTAGCAGCGAAGAAAACATTCCTCTGAACGCCCAAAGCAAGATGAGAGAAGGTAGACGGTCCTGACTTTACTACAGATCCAGGAGTTATGTGACCTTGGCCACCTCTGTAAGCTGCTGAGCATCACCTCTGTGAAATTGGTGTACATTAGCTCCCATCTTACCAGGTTGCTACAAAGATCCCATGTGATGAAATGCAGATGCTGGTAAGCAATCGATGCTCCAGTCAACAAATATTGACTGGTCTGGTATCGTGGCTGAGCTTATAATCCCAGCACTGTAGGAGGCTGAGGCAGGAGGATCGCTTGAGCCCAGGAGTTCCACAAGGCCAAACCCTGTCTCTACCAAAAATACAAAAATTAGCCAGGCGTGGTGGTGTGCACCTGCAGCCCCAGTTACTTGGGAGGCTGAGGTGGGAGGATGGTTTGAGTCCGGGAGGCAGAGGTTGCAGTGAGGTGAGATCATGCCATTACATTCCACCCTGGGTGACAGAGCCCGACCCTGTCTCAAAACAAACAGAAAAAAACAAAAACAAATATTGACTGACAGTTTGGCACGGCCAGGCCATGGGCTAGACCCTGGAGTTGATAATGACCTCAAAGCCTTTGTGCATGCTGTGCCTTCTGCCTGGAGCCCCTTCCTCCCCATCCTCACCTGGTTACTTCTACTCATCCCTGCAGGTCTCACCTTGAAAGTTCCTGCCTCAGGAAGCCTCTCCCCAACCCACTGCCTGGGCTAGGACCTCCTGTCTTGTGCTCCCCTAAAAATCCTGCCTTCTGCCATTACAAGTCATTACACATTATCTTGGCCACTTGGTCAAGGATGACTCCCCACCCTGTAACCGAGGCCCTAAGACTTTGAGCTTGTTGAGAGCAGCACTGTGTCTACCTTATTCTCTGCCATGTACCCAGTGCCTATCAAATTTTTGGCATAGGGCTGGTTAAGTTTTTAAAGCTAATATATGCATGGCATTAATTTGGGGCCAGGAGGTGGTTTCTCTTTTTTTTTTTTTTTTTTTTTTTTTGTTAGAAGCAGGGTCTTGCTGTGTCACCCATGCTGGCGTGTAGTGCAGTGGCATGATTCTTGGCTCACTTTAGTATTGAACTCCTAGGAACAAGCCACCCTCCCACCTCAGCCTCCTGAGTAGCTGTGACTACAGGTGCACACCACCACGCCAGCTAATTTTAAAATGTTTTTTGTAGAAATGCAGTCTCACTATGTTGCCCAGGCTGGTCTCAAATTCCTTGGTTCAATTAATCCTCCTTCGATCTCTCAAAGTGATGGGATTATAGGTGTGAGTCAACTGCACCTGGTGAAGGTGGTATTCTATGAGATTTACACATAATAATTCATTCCATCCTAAAAATCCTATGAGGGGCCAGGTGCAGTGGCTCATGCCTGTAATCCCAGCACTTTGGGAGGCTGAGGTGGGCAGATCACCTGAGGTCAGGAGTTCCAGACCAGCCTGGCCAACATGGTGAAACCCTGTCTCTACTAAGAATACAAAAATTAGCTGGGCCTGGTGGCGGGTGCCTGTAGTCCCAGCTACTCAGGGGGCTGAGGCAGGAGAATCGCTTGAACCTGGGAGGCGGAGGTTGCAGTGAGCCGAGATCACGCTGCTGCACTCCAGCCTGTTGACAAGAGTGAAACTCCTTCTCAAAAAAAAAAAAAAAAAAAGAATCCTATGAAAAAGATACTATTATCCATAGTTCAGAGAAGATAATTAGGCCTCAGGTTATTTAGCTGATAACAAATGAATGAATGGCATAAAATAAGCTTGCCACCTAGTGAGGGAGACAGGTAGTTGTTAGGATAGAGATAGACAAGTTGCAGCCCAGCAGCTCTGGGAGCCAGAGGAAGGCTCTAACCTAGGTTGAATGAGAGGTATACTAATGGAGACTGAGTGGCCTAGAGCTCAGGCCCCAGGCCCCAACAGCTGGTAGATCCTGTTCTGGCTCCTCCTCAAGGTGCTCATTCTGGTCCCTCTAGCCAGGAACAGGGTGGGGCCTCTCCTCTTCACATTACCCTGGTTCCTGCCCTCTTCCCTCCCTCAAAACCCGGGACCCCCGCGCTCCCGCCACCAACCAAAAGCCATCCTGCCCAGCCTAGGGGGTTCAGATCAGCCTTCCTGGGGCTCAGATTCCCTAACCTGCCCTGGCCATGGTCTCTACCCCTGCATCTTCCCTGTCTGCTGAAGACATCATGGGGTCAGAGCGCCTGGGCTTCTTGCTCCTTTTGCTTAAGTAAACAAGTAAACCAAAGGTTCTCAGCTTGGATGGGAGGAGGTATCCTCCCTAATCCAAGCCAATGTTTCTCTTTGGCAAGACCCCTGCCCCCCAACCCCTGAGAGTCTTCCTGCCCTCTCACCCCTTCCCAGAGCCCCTTCCCTTTGAGAGTCAGCCTTGGACTCCAGAACCTGAGATTTCAAATCACCAGAGGTGGTTCCCAAAGGACCAGATCAACAAGATCCGTCTGACAAAAGTCAAATGCCATGAGGACTTCCAGAGGTTGGAGCCAGGACTAGGCTAGGTCTCTCCCTGGGTGATGTCGCAGCAGCTGGGGAGGCCTGGAGGGAGGGCCTGCCAGGCAGGGGCTGGGCATGGTGCTCTTTCAAGTTTCCTCCAGCTGGGAATCAGAGGGCTCTTCACACTTGAGCTTGCACTGAGATTGAGGACACGCCCGAGTGTGTCTGAAGTGGTGTGCCCCAGCCGTGTGGACTGTGAACACGTGTCAGTGTGGGTGTGTGTGCCAGCTGTGGGTTGACATATACATGCCTGAGTGTGTACTCACGAAAGTGTGCTTGAGTGTGTAAGAGACTCTATTTTTTTTTTTGAGGCAGAGTCTCACTCTGTCACCCAGTGCAGTGGTGTGCTCTCGGCTCACTGCAACCTCCATCTCCTGGGTTCAAGCAATTCTCCTGCCTCAGCATTCTGAGTAGCTGGGATTACAGGCGCGCGCCACCACATCCGGCTAATTTTTGTATTTTTAGTAGCGATGGGGTTGCATCATGTTGGCCAGGCTGGTCTCAAACTCCTGACCTCAAACCATCCTCCCGCCTCGGCCTCCCCAAAGTGTTGGGATTATAGGCGTGAGCCACCACGCCCGGCTGTAAGAGACTAAGTGCCTCCCTAGGGTGGCTGTCTCTGTGTGTCCATGTGTGTTGGTACCTGGGGGGCACATGTGTGTGTTTGAGTGTGTGTGTGTGCATGTCAGTAACTGGAGGGAGCATCTCACATGGGTCTCTGTGTGCCTACAGGGCTGTGGTGGGGCGTGTTTGTGTGCAGTGAGATGTGACCGGGAGCTCTGGCAGCCTGACATTCACACCCTGCCCATCCCTGGCAGCCCTGCCTTGCAGGGCTCAGACTCTCGGAGAGCATTTTGGAAGGTTTGAGAAGGCGGCATCCTGGCCCCTTGCAGTCACCCAGACAGACACACTGGGTGGGAGGAAACCGGAAACCGGAGCCTTCGGAGGCTTCCATGGACCTAACTTGGTTACACGCTCATTACTCAATTTCCCCACTGTAAGCCCAACGCTGCTGGCACAGGGTGGGGTGCAGCATGCACCCCCTCCACCGCAGCTCTGCAGCCCTCTCACGGGGTGTGGGGAAGGCTGAGGGAGGGCCCCCAGCCCTCAGGGACCCCAGTGTGAGGGGAGACACGACCCTGCTTTGGGGGAGGCCTAATAAGAAGAGTGGTCCTAGAGGATTCCAGAGGTGGGCAGTTAGTCCATCCTGTGAAGCAGATAACATCAGCATGGCCTCATCTCACTAGCCTCAGCCCCAATCATCCCCTCGTCTCAAGGAATCCTCTCCCCTCGGACTGGCACTTGGTGCGGGTGAGGGCACAGCCATCTCCCGTGGCTGAGAGCCACCCGGGAAGTGGGAGGGGCCTGACTGCTCTCCCCCTCCAGGAGATGTGAGGTGCAGAGATGCGCAGTTCCTCACATCCCCAAACCTTCACCATTAGAGGTCCAGTTTGCAAAACCCAACGCCAGCCTAATGAGAAGCACATTGTCTCCCAGAAGACGCTGGGAGGAGAGGAGAGGGCAGCTCCCGCACCCTGCCATCCCGGGGAAGGCCTCCAAGCTACAGGGAAGAAGGCCAGCTGGCCCTTCTGCCCACCCCTTCTGGCATCCCCCGCCCTCCCTTGCTCTGTCTTCCCTTACCACAGGGTCCCCAGCCTTCGCCTTCCCTCCTGGGGGGTCATTTGGGAGCCAGATGTGGAGCTCCAGCCTCTGGGAGGGAGGAGCACAGAAGGAGAGAGAGGGAGAGTGGCCTTTGGAATCAAACAGATGTAGACATTGGAATGCGGGCTCCACCACTTGCTCACGAACTCTGATCTTGGGCAAGTTTCCGAAACTTTCTGGGCCTTTGTGCCAACGCACCCACCTCCAAGGATGGCCTGAGGATGACAGCAGATCCCTAAGGCCACACCTGGGAAGCAGTGCCTGGCACATCACAGGTGCTCCATGCTTGGAGGTGCTACGGGGATGTCAAGGAGGGAAAAGACATGGGGGAGTTTCCTAGCCAGTGCTGAGGAGGAACAGCAAAGGCAAAGGAGCAGGCCGTGTGGGTGGAGGCGAGAGCCGGGTGCTGAGTGCAGGAAGCCTGTGGGAATTCCAGCTCTTCCCCTGGTGCTCCCTAGGGCTTGGGGCAGGCAGAGCCAAAAAGAAGCTGCAGGGTGGGGGCCAACTGCCCAGGCTCAGCTCCCAGCTCCTCACTTACTGGGTGTGACCTCGGACAAGACAGTCACAGTCCCCTCTCCAAGCCAGGCTTGCCTCCTTTGCAAAATGGAGAGGATAATAGTACTTACTGCTACCCCAAAGTTGTGGTGTAAGAAGGAAAGGGCTATAGTGTGCTTTCATCTGTGCCTGCCTTGTAGTAAGTCTGCAAAGAAATTTCTCCTCTCCTTCTCGCTCCTTAACCCATGTAAGATGACCTATTTACTGACCCAATTACGTTACGCACAGTATCTTATTCAACCCTTAAAATACCCTATGAACAACCCAGAGGTCCATCAGTGGGTGAAGGGATAGCACACGGCCATCCACACTGTGGAATACTATTCAGCAGTGAAAAAGGATGAAGTGGGCCATACATGGAGGAATCTCAAAGCATTCTGAGAGAAGCCAGACACAAAAGACCACAGGCTGCATGATTTATTTTAATGAAGTGTCCAGAAAAGACAAATCTATAGAGAAAGAAAATAGGGCTGGGCACGGTGGCTCACACCTGTAATCCCAGCACTTTGGACGGCCAAGACAGGTGGATCACTTGAGGTCAGGACTTTGAGACCAGCCTGGCCAACATGGTGAAACCCCATCTCTACTAAAAATACAAAAAAAAAAAAAAATTAGCCGGGTGTTGTGGCACATGTCTGTAATCCCAGCTACTCAGGAGCCTGAGGCAGGAGAATCGCTTGACCCCGGGAGGCGGAGGTTGCAGTGAGCCAAGATTGCACCACTGCACTCCAGCCTGGGCACCAGAGTGAGACTCCGTCTCAAAAACAAAAACAAAAAAGACAAGTGGTGGCTCAGGATAGAAATGGGGAGTGATTGCAAATGGGCATGAGAGACATTTTGGGGGTGATGGAAAGGTTCTAGAATTGGGTGGTGATGATGGTTGCACAACTGTACACATTTACTCAAGATCATTGAATTGTGCACTTAAAGTGGGTACATTTTACGTGTAAATTTTATACCTGAAGAAAGTTATTTAAGAAAAAAAAGCTATGAGATCAACATATATTAGCCATTTGCCCTTAAAAACTTCATAGTAGGTTTCGGGAATTCAGTGCCAGGTTTGTTTGTCTCCAAAGCTCATGGTCAAGTTCTTTAGTTTGGGAGATAAAAGGAAAAACAACAACATGAGGTGAGCATTCTTTTTTTTTTTTTTTTTTTTTTTTTTTTTTTTTGAGACAGGGTCTCACTCTGTTGCCCAGGCTGGAGTGCAGTGGCACAATCACAGCTCACTGCAGCCTCGGCCTCCCGGGCCCAAGCCGTCCTCCCACCTCCACCTCAGCCTCTCAAGCAGCTGGGACTACAGACGCACACCACCACGCCCGGCTAACTTTAATTTAATTTAATTTTTTGAGACAGAGTCTCACTCTGTCTCCCAAGCTGGAGGGCAGTGGCACAATCTCAACTCACTGCAACTTCTGCCTCCCAGGTTCAAGTGATTCTCCTGCCTCAGTCCCCCGAGTAGCTGGGACCACAGGCACATGCCACCACACCTGGCTAATTTTTGTATTTTTAGTAGAGACGGGGTTTCACCATGTTGGCCAGGCTGGTTCGAACTCCTGACCTCAAGTGATCTGCCCACCTCAGCCTCCCAAAGTGCTGGGATTCCAGGCGTGAGCACCTGGTCAAGGTGAACATTCTAGGACTCCAGTTTGTTTTCCACTTAGTAGCCACGAATTGGCTCACAGAAGTAAGGTGATGAATACGGAAAAGGAGCCTGGACCCCAGAAACAGTCATCTCCAGGGAAGAGGTCCTGCAACTCAGAGTCCTGTTCTGCTCAAGGGCAGTGGGGGCTTCCCAGGCACCACTGAGCTCTCTCTGTCCCTTCTGCCTTCTGTCTCTCTGTCTATGCTTCTGATACTACAAAGTAAGGATTATTACTCCATTTTGCAGACGAGAAACGGAGGCTCAAGTAGATGAAGTAGCTTGCCCAAGCCCACACGACTGGGTACCAGGCGTGACTTTAAATGCAGTTGAAAGTCCCCAAACCTGTTTTTCCCACCATGCCAAGCTGCCCTGGACCTCTCCTCCATTTCTCTCGGCCTCTCTGTGTCTACCTCCTTCTGTATCTGTCTTCCCAGCTCCGTCTTCTATCTGTCTGTCTTTCTTTGTCTCTCTTTGCTTGCCTCTGTCTCTCAGCCTCTCTGTCTCTCCCTCTGTGTCTCTGTCTCTGGCTCATTTATTTTTTAATAACCACAATAATGAGAAAAGCTCCTTCCCGACCCTCCTGGGGAGGGAGACAAAAGGAGGGGAGCCCAGGGAAGAAGGGGAGGGATAACCTCCCCTCTTGCTCCTGAGAAATTTAATAAAGGGCCTGAGAAAGTGCTGGGCTCCACGGCCAGCCAGTACCCTGGGAAAGGGGGCGGCCCCCTCCCCCACCACAGACACCAGCTCTGCACGGGCCTAGGGTCAGGGAGGGAGTGTCTCGGTGCTGGGCCCCCCTTCTTCAGCTCACAGGCTTTATCTCTCCCCTCCCTGCTGGTGGGAGCAGTTCCCCCGGCTAATCCGTCCCTGAATATGGTCCATACCAGACTCCCTCCCCTTGACCCAGACCTGCGGCTTTCCCAGGAGAGCAGCCCAGAGGCTCCGAGGGGAGAATCAATCACAGAATCATAGCCTCTGGACTCACAGGAGGTCAGGCGGTGCAGCCGCCTGCCTCTGCTGTGTCCAGGGCAGCTCCCCATGAGGCCATGCCCAGCCCCCTACCAACATCAGTAGAGAGGGGGCTGGGCCTTCCCACCCCCATCCTGGCTTGCAAAGGCACCTGATGCCAAAGTGCCCAGTTGGCTTCTGGCCAGAGACAGCCCAGGATCCCAGGCGGGAGGTTACCAGGCCTCCCGCCTCTGCCTCCTTGAGGGCCAGCATTGGCCAAGATGGAGAAAGCGAGTCATAGCATCCTTCAGTCCGGCCCCGGCCTCACCTCTCCCTCCATGGGTGGTTCATTCGGACAGGGGCTTAGCAGGTCAGAGTGGAAGAATGCCCTGGTCCAACCTCTGGGAGAACCAAGGGGATGAAAGCTGCTGGTTGATAGGTGAGAGGGGGGCTTCCCAGGGGGCCGAGAAAGGAGGCCTGGCTGCTGCCAGGCTGCTGAAATGGACCCACAGAGAGGAGTCATAGGGTTGGTAAGACGAGGCCAACTCGTCAGACGAACACCGAGGCCAAGTCCCACAGTGCAGGGAGGCCAATCCAGCTCTCCACCCAGGAATGCGCTCTGGGCTCCTTTCTGCCCAGAGAGACTGTAGGCCCCGGGGCTGCCCAGGCACAGTCATCCTGCTGTTTCCAGGTGTCCAGACAGCCTTTCCCATGCTGAGAAACCACACTCTGGCAGAGCAGACAGCATCTCCCACCTGGCCAGGAACCAGAGGGAGGGGCTGAGGGCCGGGGCCTGGGACTGAGCATGCATTCACACGCTCATTTGCTGTGCACTGCACTCTAGCAGGCCGTGCTGAGTTCCCAGGATAGGGAGTAAGAACAACAGCTCATTCTCTGGGGGGCTTACAAGGTGCCAGGGACTGTGCTAATGCATTATCCCACTAGACCCTCACAGCAATGCAATGTGCCATCTGCACTTTAAAGATGAGAAAATTAGAGGTACAGAGAAGTTAGGTCACTTGTTCAAGGTTACAGCCAATCCATAAGAAAGCCACCGTTCCAATTTGGCATTGAATGGAGCACAGCATGTCCAAGGGACAACGAGACACCCTTTCTGCCTCAAGAAGCTCGCAGACAAGAGAAGTGAAGCAGGGTGGAGTTGCAGGGAAGGGACAGGCAGAAAAGTGGGAGCCAAGGTACAGAGGTTTCCAGAGATGGCCTGAGCTAGGACTTAGTCCCACCTCCTTCGAAATGGGAAGGCAGAGCAGTGACCTCACAGGCACTGCCAACAGATTCCAGCTGCTGACAGGCTCTGTGCAGACTAACTGCCTGTCCGCCCAAGTCCCAGGTGCCCAGTGGGCAGCCAGAAGCAGCCCACACTCCTGCACACCTGGGACCCCCTTGCCTGGGGCCACAGGCAGAGGAAGTGAAAAGGAGCCAAGAGATGGAACCGGAAGACAAACATTTGCAGCTCCCAGCCTGATTCTGCTCTGTGCCAGGGCCTGCATTGGGCATTGTGGGGGTGTTAGCCGAGGTCAGCTGGGCAGCGCCCTGCCCCACCTTGAGGAGCCAATGATGGAGCATCCTAGAACCTTCTCAGAGAACTGTGGCCGTGGGGAGCGGAATGCACTAGGCACCGAAAAGGAGGTAGCCAACCCCAGGGGTCTGAGCTCCCCTTGGGGTGTAGGGCAGTGCAGTGAGGGAAGGCCTAGCTACTTCCTTTACTACATCTGAAGAAGTAGAGGTGGCCAGCAAAGGCCAGAGGAGTAAGGCATTTCCCAAGTACCCGTCCCCACTGGCAAAGCACTTGAAGACCCTTCCTTGTCCTCTCAGATAATTTTGATCCTCTAGTCCTTAAAATAGGAGTTTAATCTCCATTTTAAAAGAAACTGAGGGCAAGCACGGTGGCTCCTGCCTGTAATCCTAGCACTTTGGGGAGGTTGAGGCAGGTGGATCACTTGAGGTCAGGAGTTCGAGACCAGCCTGGCCAACATGGTGAAACCCCCGTCTCTACTAAAAAAAAAAAAAAAATAGCCAGGCATGGTGGTGCACAGCTGTTATTCCAGCTACTTGGGGGGCTGAGGCAGGAGAATCACTTGAACCCAGGAGGTGGAGGTTGCAGTGAGCCAAGATCTCAGCACTGCACTCCAGACTGGGCAACAGAGCGAGACTCTGTCTCAAAATAATAAAAGACAATAAAATAGAAACTGAGGCCCAGAGAGGTAATGAGATTTGCCAGAAGACACACAGCCAGTGAAGAGCATCACACAGAAGCTGTGTTTCCCAGCTCCTTGCCTGGTTGTGTGGAGACCCCTGGTTTATGCTGAAGGTGGCAGAATCTGGGGGGAGCTGAACGGATTCTGACCCGCACTCTCCCCAGTGGGCAGCTGCAGGTGGCCAGGCACAGCTCTGCCTCCAGCGTAGCACCAGCCCCATGGTGGCTGGTGGGCAAGCGGAGGCTCTTTGGAACACGTGTTTCCACTTTCACTGGAGCTGGGAACTAATAGCAGAAAAACCTGTGAAGCTGCTAATGGGATAATGGAGAAAGTATTTATTTATTTTTCGAAGGAGGCCTGTGAGGATCTGGGGCAGGCCCAGTGTGAGGCCACAGAGGCGGGAGGTCAGCCCACTGTTAACAGGGATTAAGCAGACACCGTGGAATGAGGGGGTTTCCGGAGCAGAGGCTGGCAGCAGGGCCTGGTCTGATACTCTCAGTGATTGCTCTCCCTGGGGACAGTAAGGCTGGGCCCGAGGACTCCCTCCAATCACTTCTAGGTAGGGGGCTCCAGGCTCCGCGCTTTCCTCTGCATCTGCTTCCTGCTATCCCGCCCAAGGTGCAGGCGCCCGTAGGGGGTCATCACATGGGTCTCCTGTCCCCAGGCAGTGTGACCCCAGCAGCTTGCTGAGGGATGTCTGGGTAGCTGCCTCCCCACATGCCCAGCTCCGGGAGGGAGGTGGTTCATATTGCACCTTCGGCTGGAGCCATGTCCATCCCCGGGAAGCTAGTTCTCCTTGAGAAATGTCTTCATAAGCAAGGCACAATGGGTCTGCCCTCCCCTGTCCTCACTAGTGAGCCAGTTGTCATCTCTCCAGCAGATAGCACTGCCCTTGGACCTCCCAGCCCTAGCCCACCTGGAAACCCCTATTAAGCTTGAGGACAAGAAGTCCCTTAGCTGTCCTGCAGTGCCATGGCTCTCAGGCTGTGGGTGTGAGAGAGGCGCTCAGAGGCATAGGGGAGGCTGAGCAGGCAGGACCCCAGGCTCCCCCTGCTCCAGCCAGAGCAGTCCTGCTTTGTTTTACATGTTGACATTCCTCACATTTCTCTCCACAATACTAAGGTTTCTACTTCTTTAAAAGATTAAAAAAAAAAAAATAGGCCGGGCACGGTGGCTCACGCCTGTAATCCCAACACTTTGGGAGGCCAAGGTGGGTGGATCACCTGAGGTCAGGAGTTCAAGACCAGCCTGGCCAACATGGTAAAACCCTGTCTCCACTAAAAATACAAAAATTAGCTGAGCATGGTGGCAGTCGCCTGTAATCCCGGCTACTTGGGAAGCTGAGGCAGGAGCATCGCTTGAACCTGCGGTGGAGGTTGCAGTGAGCCAAGATCGCATCATTGCACCCCAGCTGGGCGACAAGAGCAAAACTCTATCTCAAAAAAAAATAATAAAATAAAAATAAAAAGCATTTAAAAATCTTTGCTCTTTGCCACTCTATGGAGGTGAAATAACTCAGGACTCAGAGAGATAGGACTTGTGAAGGTCACACAGAGCTGGAACTTGACTGCAAGTCACTGGCCTTCTGGCCCAGAGGTGGTCCCACCATCCTCTGCTTAGCGTAACCAGTGAGACTTCAGGAAAACCAGAGAAAGGCTAGAAATGGTCTTTAGGGAGTGGAGAGCTGGGAAGAAGGGTTTGGTTGGTGTTCCCAGAGCCCCTGGAAAGTTGTTTCATCTCTCTGGGCCCAGCACAAGGCCTGCATGGGAGAAGTGGCATTGAATATTGGGGGTGATGGCAGTGAGGTTGGCAGGGACCTGGGTGCAGTTGGGCTGGAGTGCTCCTGCCTTTGAGGCTGACCCAGACTGCAGATGAGGTCCTTCCTTCCTGCAGGGCAGCCCTGCTGGAGGCCCCTTCTTTCTGGCCTGTCCAATAGTGAGTAGTCCTGGCCCAGGCTACATGGTCCTTTGTTTGACCAGGCCAGCCTGGGTGTCTTCTCTCAACCCAGCCCAGGAAGGCTAAGGGTCTGGAAACCCCCACCCTGTCTGCTTCTTCCACAGTGCCTGGTAGGTATTCCAAGATTCCCGGTGCACCTGCCATACTTGAGGGATGCCTGGCTGCTCATGATTGAGAGCTCACCCTTCTTGGTGGCCAGCGCCTCTCCACTAGGAAAGCTCTTGAGTTTCAGATCAGATGCAGGCCCTCTTTGCCAAGCCCTGTTCACTACAATTACATTGTATTTCCTTGGGAACATGCACTCGACATCTGTCAGTTCAATTTCCAACCTGTCCCCCATCCTCCTCACCCTGCCGTGCTGGTTCCTTTTCCTTGGGGAAGCAAGGGGAGGCATTTGGGGAGGACACCCCTCTGCTTCCATGCTGCTTGACTCTAGGACAATTGGCCGAAGTTATTCCTGGAGATGTAGGCAGACATTGGGAAGAACTTCCTGACCAACGGGCTTAGAAACTGAAACGAGTGGGAGGAAGATGGTGAATTCATTGGCCCTGGAGACATTCTATGGGGCCTGTGTGGGGAGGCTTAAGAGGCTGTTTTAGATGGAGGTAGGTCACCTTTCAGGGGCCCTAGTCCTAAGCCCAGCTGCAGGCCTCAAGTCCATGCTCATTCCTTTGTTTGACAAATATTGGTCGAGCATCTGCTCGGTGCTGGGCATTCACTGGGTTCTGGAGAGCAGGGAACAAGAGACACAGTGCCTGTCCATCCCCAGTCAGGAACAAGTGACCAGAAAACCTCAAGATAGTGCATTGTCAGTGCTGTGATAGACAAAGAATCGGGTCCAGACACCTCACCTGGTCTAGAGGGGATGGGGGAAGACTTCTTGGAAGAGGAGAGGTCTCTGCTCAGGCTGGAAAAAGGGGGAGATGGTGAACAGAGCAAGAGCTGGACTCTAAAATCTCGGGACCTGTGTGCCATCGAGGTACACCCCAAAGCTCAGCTGGGGCAGCATCAATGAGCCTTTCATTTATTTATGTATTTATGTATTTATTTATTTATTTATTTTTAAGTGGATAGCCCAATAAAGAGAAAAATAAAATCGGCAGATCACACGAATATCCAGTAGCCAGGTAGACATCCCTGTCAATTCGACATATTTAGCTCAGTGCTTGGCACACAGTAGGACCTCCACAAACATTTGTTAGAGGAACAAGATATTTGGTCAGTCTGGAATTCAGTATTCTCGCTGGCCCTCTTTCTCCTCCAAACCTGCAACCTGTCTCAGCTTAGAGCCCTGCCAGTAGAGGATCAGCTGCCAAACCAACCCAAGTCATGTATTTACTAGGCCTCGCTCCAAAGCCATGTCCTACAAAGAAGTAAAAACAGTGACAACAATGTGCACCGAGGGCTTCCCAAGTGCAGGCACCGTTCTCATCGCCTTACCCGCGTTGCCCCCCTTAATCCTCACAAATGCCATATGAGATGGGCACTGCCATGATGTCATTTTACAGGTGAGGAAATGGGAGCACAGAGAAGTTACGTGCCTCACTCGAGGTCACACAGCTGGTACATGGTTGATGGAAGAAATCACATTCTGTGTAGCTACAGGGTGTCAGGCATTGTTGGGCCTTTAATTCTTAGCATAAGAGAAGCAGGTATCAATCTTCCCCTTTTACAAATGAGAAAAACCAAAGCTCAGAGTTAAGTATTAATAACTTGCCCAGCCTGGAAGCTGCTCCTCTGGAATTTGGCTCCCAAAACAGTGCTCTTCTCCGCCCTGCACCCCATCAGCACCCCAGAACCTTTCCTGAACTGGTGTGCAAACAGCTGCACCCTGGCGAGCTCTGGGAGGGAACCAGCTCCAGGAGGCGAGCTGGCCCAGTACTTGCCAGCAGGATTTATGTCCTGTCCAAGGAGGACAGTTTGGCTGCTGTATGAAAGGCTGAGCAGAGCTCCAAGATGGAACTGATTTCCATTAAACGATCGCAAATGTCAGGCAGCACGGCCTGGGAGCTCCTTCTGCACGCACCCAGGCGGCTGGAGGCCAGGCCGCCTATAACAAGCATGCCCACTGACCTCATGGTTACTCCTAATGCAATTAGAGCCCACTAAGAGACAGAAGGTTCCAACACGGAGCCTGAGCAGCATGCTCTCCAGGGCACGCAGCAGCGCCTCCCGCCTGAGAGACGGCACTGGGACAGAGGGTGTTGTTCTAATGAACTGAATGAGATCCATTCCAATGCAGATGGATGAAGAAATTACCTGCAGATGTGACTATGCACAACCATTGTGACTGTCCAAGCTGTCACGCAGGCTCGGAGAGTCAGGGCCTCATGGAGCAGGGTTCCTCCCATGCAGCCCCCTGTCTCTGGGCAAGGCAGACTTGTGCCAGTCTGGGCTGATGAGTGACTGCTGTCTCGCTTAGGCCTCCCGGCCATCAGTGCTTCTCGGGCCTGTGTTGTCCAGAGGCTCAGCTGATAGAATGTGACTCCCCAGGGGTCCTGGCTAATGGCCTTAGAAGGGCTTCTGCAGGGGAACCCGGGAAGCTGCCAGTGGTCCTCTGTGCACACTCCAGCGGGGCTGAGTCCTCCTCCATCTGCACTGCAAAGCCCTTTCCTTGGGTCTTTGAGTCCCCATGCATTTTTGGATTGTATAAAACCAGATAACACATTTTTTTAAAGACAGCTATAGAAAAGCTTCCCACATCGAAGACACAGGATCCATCAGAACATTGACTGATTGATTGATTGATTGATTCATTCATTCATTCATTCATTCCAGCACCCACAAGGCTCCAAACTGTTCCTGGCTGGGACAGAAAAGAGGAGCAAACCTGGCCCCTGTCCTGGAGGAGCCAGGGAAAGGAGATGGAAGTATAAATAGCCAGTTACCCGAAAGTGGGATGGGCTATTATACTGGAGTGTATGATACAGTAAGTCCTTACTTAACATCATCAATTTGTTCTTGGAAACTGACATTAAGCAAAACAATATATAACAAAACCAATATTTTCTTCATGGACATTGAATGAAACAAAATGCTGTTATTTGAGGACCTGCTGTATGTTGTTTCCCTTAAAGTCACAGTTTCCAAGAACCTACAAACAACGTTAAGTGAGGATTTACTGTACTCTGGGGACTCGGATGAGGGAGGTGACTTGACATGGTGGTCAAGGAAGACTTCATAGAGGAGGTGATGTTTAAACTGAAAGGTGAACGGAACCTCCCCAGATGGATGAAGGGAGAAGGCATCCCCAGCGAGAGATCCCCCGTGACAAAGGCATGGGGCAGAGGAGGGCATATTGCAGAGCAGGGGAAGATGAGGGGCTCAGGGGCTCACGAGGGGCCTTGGACACCAGGCTGAAGACCCAGGGAACCTCTGAAGGTCTTCTGGGGCAAGAGGACAACATGGCTCGATTTCCATGTCAGAGCAATCCTCTTGGCAGAGGGTGTACTGGAGGGAGAGAGGTTGGAGGCAGAGGCCAGCAATTGTCCAGGCAGGGAGAAGGGAGAGGAAAGGGCAGATTCATGAGATGTTTGGACAGTACCACCATCTTGGGGACTTCTATGCTGGGATGGGATGTAGTGGGGAGTGGTGAGGAGGCAAAAAAGAAGAAAGAGTCCAGAACCATGAGGCTGGTGGGTGAGAGGAAGCCCACATGGGGATGGGCAAAATGATCCTGCTCCAGGCATGGCTGCCCAGTGGTTAGGATTCAGGGAGCCAGGACATCCGTGTTATGATCCCGGCTGCTTCCCGAAGCGTTGTGAGAGCTCCTCTTCTCCACTGGGCACCTGTTTCCCCACAACAAGTCAGAAAGCTCATTCCCACACTTCTTCCATCCATCTCCTCCCAGCATGGAGAAGATAACTGGGAAACATTTGGGGAAGATGTGAGGAGCTCTTTGGATTTTCTGAGCCCACCAGGTTCATGATGGGTGAGGGACAGAAAGTCCCAAACCCAGGCTTGCTGTTGAGCCCAGCATCTTTCTCATCCAGCATCCTTAGGGGCCTTTCCCTACCTTCCCCACCCCTGGAGCCTCCGCGCCACCCTGGTATCCCTGGGCAAATGACCTTGCCTCTTAACTGCCACCCCAAAGACACTCCCACCCTTCAAACTCACTGTCAGGTTTCCGTCCTTCCCTGCCCTGGTCCTAAGCCAGCCTCTCCACCTGTGCTCGGGCACTCTGTGCCATCAACCATCCCTTCTCATGCTGCTGTCTTCTGCGCCTCAGCCGACAGAACAGGGTCCTGTCTCCTCCATTCCAAATTGCCCCCTGCATCTGCTTCAAGCTACTGCCTTCTTCCTTTCCCTCTTAAAGGGCTTTCTACATGCATCACTTCCATATCCTCATCTCTTTCACCCTTCAACCCACTGCAAACTAGCTGCTGTGCCCCCACTTCCAAGAAACTCTTCTTACAGAGGCCACAGCCTGTATGGACCTGTCCTCATCCTACATGTCCTCTCTTCACCTTTATCACCTCAAAACCTTCCTTCCTTCCTTCCTTCTTTCTTTCCTTCCTTCCTTCCCTCCCTCTGCACCTTTATCACCTCAAACCCTTCCTTCCTTCCTTCTTTCTTTCCTTCCTTCCTTCCTTCCCTCCCTCTGCACCTTTATCACCTCAAACCCTTCCTTCCTTCCTTCTTTCCTTCCTTACTTCCCTCCCTCTGTACCTTTATCACCTCAAACCCTTCCTTCCTTTCTTCCTTCCCTCCCTCCCTCCTTCCTTCTTTCCTTCCTTCCTTTCTCCCTCCCTCCCTCCCTCCCCTCCTCCCTTTCTTCCTTCCTCTGTCTCCTTCCTTGGCTCCTGCCCCCCAGTACCTGCTGGTTCTCCTCTCACCCTCTCTGCCGTCTCCTTGGGCAACATCATGCAGGTTGGGCTTCCCCAGTAAAGCCCCTCGGAAGCCTCTCCTTCTCTCTGCACACATTCTCCCGAAGCTTGATCCTCACTCCAGCCCTGACTTCTCTAGTGGCCTCCAAACCCATCTAAGAAGCCAGCAGATGTCCTCCACCCCATGTCTCATATTCTGTCTCCCCCACCCACCCATCCCCCACCTGTCCCCTGCCTTGTTCAACAGCCAGCAAACTGGAGCCATCTGCCTTTACTCTCCCTACATCCAATGTATCACCAGGTCCTGCCAATTCAACCTTCCAGATATCTCTGGGATCGACTTCTCTCCATCTCCACTGTCATCACCATAACCTGGTCTGGTATCTCACATCTGGACAGCCTCCCAGTCTCTCTGCCTGAAATCCTCCTCCTCTAGGTTCCTGCAGATCTGGTCTCTGCCTTCCCCTCTGACCTCATCTGCTTCCATCCCTTTCTCTCTTCATTCTAGTCCTCCTGCCTTCCTGCACTTCCCTGAATATACCAAGCTGGTCCCACCCCCGGACTCTCTGGAAGGCTCTCCTGCCAGATCAGCAGTTCTCTAACTTTTTGGTCCCATGACTCTATTACACTCTTAAGAACTGAGGGGCTGGGTATGGTGACTCACACCTGTAATCCCAGCACTTTGGGAGGCCGAGGTGGGTGGATGGCTTGAGTTCAGGAGTTCGAGACCAGCCTGGGAAACATGGCAAAACCCCATCTCTACAAAAACTACAAAAATTAACCACTTGTGGTGGTGTGCACCTGTAGTCTCAGCTACTTAGGAGGGCCTATAGTCCCAGCTACTCAGGAGGCTGAGGTGGGAAGATCGCTTGAGCCCGGGAGGTCAAAAAGAAAAAAGAATTGAGGACTCCAGGCCAGGAGTGGTGGCTCAGGCCTATAGTCCCAGCACTTTGGGAGGCGGGGGTGGGAGGGTTGCTTGAGGCCAGAAGTTCAAGATCAGCCTGGGCAACATAGCAAGACCCCATCTCTACTAAAAAGAAAATCGGCCAGGTGTGGTGGTGTGCACCTGTGGTCTCAGCTAGTCAGGAGGCTGAGGAGGGAGAACCACTTGAGCCTGGGAAGTTGAGGCTGCAGTGAGCTATGATTGTGCCACTGTACTCCAGCCTGGTCAACAGGGTGAGACCCTGTTTCCAAAAAATTTTTTAAAAATTGATGACTCCAAAGAATGTCTGTTTGTGTCTATATGGGTTATAGCCATCACTATTTACCAACATAGAAATTAAATTTGAGAATTTTTAAAAACAGAATACAAGCCAGGCTCAGTGGGGTGCGCCTGTAGTTCCAGCTACCTGGAAGGCTGAGGAAGTAGGATTGCTTGATCCCCGGAGTTCTAAACTAGCCTGGTCAACATAGTGAGACTTGGTCTCAGAAAACAATCAAACAAAAAACCCAAACATGAGAATGCTCAAGAACGAATCCCATTAGCTGTCAGAGCGATGACATCATCATACATCACAGGGCACCTGAAAACTTCCTTGCAGACTGGTGAGAGAATGAGAGTAACAAATAGCATCTTAGTATCATAAAAAGTTTCACTTGCAAAACCCCTGAAAGGGTCTTAGAGTGCTCAGATGGCACTGAGCACAGCTGCACCAGATCCACACGTCCCCGTTATTCACTTCATTTAGGTCTAAGCACAAAAGTCACCTCCTCAGAAAGCCTCTCTGCCCCCTCACCCTCTCCTCAAGTCATTGTATCCCATTGCTACTTGCATTTTTGTCTCTCTCTCCCTCCCCCCGACTCTCTCTCTCTGGAGACAAGGTCTTGCTCTTTCACCTAGGCTGGAATGCAGTGGCATAACCACAGTTCACTGCAGCCTCGACCTCCCAGGCTCAAGTGATCCTCCCACCCCAGCCTCCTGCATTGCTGGAACCATAGTTGTGTGCCACCAAGTCTGGCTAATTTTTTTTTTTTTTTTTTTACTTTTTATAGAGACAAGGGTCCCCCTATGTTGCTCAGGCTGGTCTTGAACTCCTGGGCTCAAGTGATTCTTCCACCTTGGCATTCCAAAGTGCTGAGATTACTGGTGTGAGCCGCGTGCCCGGCTTGCATGGTCTTTATAGAACTTATTACCATCTGAAATTGTTTTCTTGTTAATTTATTTTGTTCCTCCCCACTAGAATGCAAGCTCCATGAGGACAAAACCCAGATTCTTTTGTTCACCTTGGAACCCAACATAGTGCCTGACACACAGTGTCAAAGATCTTTAAATGAATGAATTGTATCAAAGCAGCTGTTCTCAGCCATTGCTCTCTATTAGAATCACTTGTGAGGGAGGGAGGGGATTTTTAAATTCCTGCATCCCAGCCAATTAAACCAGAGCCAATTAAACCAGAATCTCAGGGGGTGAACCTGAGTCTACCCAGTCATCAGTGTTTTATAAAGTTCTCCAAATGATTTCAATGCGTAGCCGAGAAAAGAACCACTGGTCTAGATTCTTAAATCCTCACTGATGGAGAGACTGTTTATTCCTCACTGGACCAGAGTTACACAGGATATAAATAAGGACAACTCTGTCTTGCTGGACCAGGCAGCCAGGCCCAAGGGCAACTGGACGGAGGAAGCTATTCAGCTCTCTGTGGGTGAGAACTACCCTCCTTGGTCCCAGGCTGTGGATCAAAGAGATGGGATGGGCCGCTTGCACAGATGGCACTGGTTATTCTCTCAAACACGTCTGCACGGCTTGCCGCACTGGGAGCATTTTCCCCCTTGCTGTGATGCAGGATTCTGGAGCTTTGGAGACTTGCAGGGAACAATGATGATTTCAGTGGACAGAGATAGAAATGATGCAGGTCCCCAGACTCCCCTAGGCAAGGAGGAGGCTCACGTTGCTGGCCTGGGCGCTGAAGTGTAGCCAGGAATTGACACACCTGTGCTCCCACCTGGGCAATGCTTCCTGCACTAAGCGATCACCAGAACTCCCCAGAAAGTCTGGAGTCAGCCACCGTCCAACCCAAAGCAGCTCTTAAGGCTAAGATACCTAGTGGGAATTCCTGATTCCAAGCAAAAGAAGAAAATTCACCCAGCACTGTGCCAGGTGCTTTTCACACATGGGTTCATTTCATCACAGTGGTTCTGAGAGGGGAATAATGGTGTCCATTGCACAGGAGAAGAAACTGAGGCACAGAGACGGTAGGTGATTTGCCTAGAGTCCTATCAGAGTTAAAATCTCAGATTGGCTATGTGACCTTTGAGAAGTCATTTGACCCCCACACCCCCCAAAGCAGCATCCTTGTCTGTAAAACAGGGGAAATAGCACCTGCCTCACAGGGTTGTTTAATGGATGTGAAAGCGTTAGGAGTAAGCATGAAGTTGAGAAACTTCCAGAAGTGGCAATTATAGTGTTATTCTTATTGGCTCCCAAATCCTTTTGCTTCTCAGAGGAAAATCGCTTCCATTTCTATGATATGGTTTCAAGTTTAAAACAACAACAACAACAACAAAACAAAAAACAGGGTCTTGCTCTATCACTCAAGCTGGAGTGCAGTGGTGCAATCATGGCTCACTGCAGCCTTGACCTCCCAGGCTCAAGTGATCCTCCCACCTCAGCCTCCCAAGTAGCTGGGACTACAGGTGTACGCCACCACACCCAGCTTATTTTTTATTTTTATTTTTTGTAGAGACAGGGTCTTGATATGTTGCCCAGGTTGGTCTTGAACTCCTGGGCTCAAGCAATCCTCCCGCCTCAGCCTCCCAAAGTGCTAGGATTACAGATGTGAGCCACTGCGCCCAGCTCTGATTTCAAGCTCTTTTACGTGCATTAGCCCATTTCATTTTTGCAGCAGCTGTATGTTGAAACCTTTGCCTACCCGCCCTCTTTGTTTGATGAAGACCCTGGGGTCTAGAGAGGTCAAGTCACACGCTCAGGTCCCACCGGAGTGGCACAGCTGAGTCAGGAACTCTGATGTCCCGACTCCCTGCCCAGGACCTTCACCACACAGCAGCAGCCACAGAGGGCTGTGGCTTACCTTGGCCTCAAGGAGAGGTTACACCCTGGGTTCTCTGGGAAGGAGGGAGGCGGGGAAGCCTGAGGTGGGAGGGGATGCTGAGAGGAGGGTGGAGCCGTGTCCTTGATGTGGTGGCTGGGCCTCCGTCAGGGCTGTCGCCACAGTCCCAGGGTTTGGCTCGAACAGTAACCACCATTTCCGCCAGTGTGGCAATGCCGGGTGGATCTAGGTCCGCCAGCCTTGCCAGGGAACCCAAGCCAGGCGGTCTGGGAAAGGGAGGATGCTCTGCCCAGCCTGGCCTGTGGGTCTTTGCTGCTGGGATGGGGTCATCTTCTGCCTTGTTTCACTTCCATCAGCCAGCCTAGCTCTTAGGTGGCCAGTGACTACACCCTCAGCCCAGCTGGCACCTGACAGAGGAGGAAATGGGCCTCAATCCCAAGTCCTCCTCCAGGGGGAGGATAAAACCTATAATTAATTAAGAACCTACTGGGTGCTGGGCTTCATCCTCTGTGGTTTGAATGAATTAGTTCATTTCATTTTCAAAATAGCTCAGTGAGTCGGGTCTTCTTATACTCATCTTACAGGTAAGAGCGGCAAAACACAAGGCCCACATCCTAGGTGGGTGGAGACAGGATTTTGCCGAAGCTCACAATCTTTCTAGGATACCGCAGCTTTACAGGAGGCCATGGCTATCAGCAGCCAGCCAGCTCTGTCAGAGACCACTGCCACCCCTTGCACCATCCCACTGGGTAGAGCAGAGCCCACCTTCTCCACGCCATGCAGCTGCAAAGGCCCCTGCACCATTTCTACCACTTGGGTCAATTCCCAAATGGGGCTGAGCCCCTTGCTGAGCTGGTAGGGATATAAGAATGGATAAGAAAAAAATAAAATCCTGCAGGAGCTGGATTTAAATTTAAAAAAAAATAGGCCGAGTGTGGTGGCTCACGCCTATAATTCCAGAGCTTTGAGAGGCCAAGGTAGGCAGATTTCTTTTATTTATTTATTTAGTTAGTTATGAGATGGAGCCTCACTATGTTGCCCTGCCTGGTCTCAAACTCCTGGGCTTAAGCGATCTGCCCGCCTCGGTCTCTCAAAGTGCTGGGATTACAGATGTGAGCCAAAGCACCAAGCCCAGCTCAGGTGGATCTCCTGAGCCCAGGAGTTCAAGACCAGCCTGGACAACATGGTGAAACCCTGACTCTACATTTTTTAAAAAAATTAAAAATTAAGTGTTAAAGGGAAGTACAAGTACTGTGCTGAGAAAGGAAGGGTTATTTTCATCTAGGGGTGTAAGAAGAGATAACAAAAAGGAGATGGTGTCTGAGTGGGGCTTGGAAAAATAAGAAAGTGGGTCTCTTTCCCGTAGCAGGAAACAATGTCTTGCCTTTGAGGTGGAGGTGGCAGTTAGGGGATGTTTTCTCTAGCAAAGACCCCAGCTCCTCCATAAGAGCAGGCAGCTTCTTCCAGGCAGAGTGCATTGACTAGAAATCTTTTCTGGAAAATGATAAGAAGGGGCCAGGAGCAGCTGCAGATGACTTAGGGAGTTGGGACTGACAGGCACCTCTTTAGGGCCTGTGGAGATACTGTCACGTAATAGGGATTGCCTGTAGCCAGAAGAGTGGATAACAGGGAGCCTTTGGGAGGGGGACAAGGCCAGAGGCCTCAATGACGGGTAACTAACCTGCTCTGCAAAGGCTCAAACTTCAACTTGGAGAAGAAAGGGTCTGTCCACAGTGCTGGGGCAGCTACAAGCAGTAGGACCAGAGAGAAGCTGGGCAGAACTGGCAACATAATTTGCAGGGCCCAGTGCCAAAGGAAAATCATTCGAAAACTGTTTAGAATTTCGAGAGTGACAGCAGAGCATGAAACCAACCTTGGGAACCCTTGTAAGTGTGGGTCACAGGCACATGAAGCCAGCCCTGAAGTGTGGGCTAGGGAAAGCAAGCAGGGGATAAGGCCACAGGAAGGGCAGCCACAGGAGCCTTCTGACCTAATGGTCTGATCAAAATGAAGAGAACCCATAAACACAGGTGGGTAATCCTGAGACACAGCCAGGGCCACACTCAACCATTCCTAGTTGCACCACTGAGGCCTTTGTAGCTCTCCCAATGACCCAGTCCACCCCAGCCAAACAGCATTCTCCAAGAGTCCAGGTCTCGCCCTATTTGGAGGACAGAGGGCATTTAAATTTCATCTCTCTGTGTTGGGGGAGCTCTAAATGCTGGGAAAAGATGTCATGCCTGGAGACCATCTGGGGAAAAGGCCTCCGGAGCTGTTTCTTTAATTTACAGAACTGACAACTGAGGGTAGGGGCCTTTGGCAAGTACAAAGGGTGATGGCCCAGAAAAGAATCAAAGTATTAATAACGGGCTCGGCTGGCACTGGCCTCCTGTCCCCCGCCCTGGGGTTCATGTGGCAGGGAAGCCTGATGTCTCTGTTTCAACAGTGGGATCAAAACTGGCTTTCAGAGCAACATAAGCCAGGGGTAATTTTTAGCACAGACGTAACTTTCTAGTTCCTTTTTCCTACCCCTCATTTTTCGGTTGCCTTTAAAGAGGCCGCAGAGAACTGAAAAACAAATCCAAGTTTAAAGAGACAAGTGCAAAAATGCAAACTGGGCAAGGGGACAGAGCCGCCAGCTGGACAAAATGTGCCTGGAAAACAGCATCCTCTGCTTGGCAGGTGCCAGGAATTTATGGTTGAGTTTTGCAGACGTTTCATCACATTACAAGCCAGCTCAGGAGACCCTCATAAAACTCTGCTTATATGAAAGAACAAACTAGCTGATAAAAGTCAGCTGTTGCCTATAAACGCACTGTGGGAATTGCAATTGAGTAGCGGATTTATTAGTCTGGGCTCTCTGTGCAAATTAAGAACTGCTCCACACGTTTCAATCAGAAGAGATGAGCCAGAGCAGAAAGGGTTGCTCCCCGCTCACATGATGGCCAGCAGGCCAGGCTGACCCCCACCCCCATCACTTACTCTACTAGAGACCAGAGGGAAGACTCTCACTGAAATTAAGTCACAGAGGAGCTAGTCTCACATTCCCCTATCTCGCCTCCCACAAAAACCCACAAAAACAATCAGTCACTCTCTCCATCCACTGCATTCCCCACACATCCTTCACAATAGCACTTCTCACGAAGAGCTTGCAGATCTGCCTGGCCTACTAAATCATGGACTTCTTTGATTTACCTCTGTATTGCTAATGATGAGTTCTGTGCTGGGCACACTGGGAGGCCTCAGAATGAATGGATATGGATGCGACAGACTCTAAAGCCCCATATACATAAGTTATGACTATCCCACCCCAAACAGCATGGAGGGGCCAGGGGAGCAATGCCGAGGTACCCATTGGACTTGAGGACTGGCAACAAAAAGGGGAAAAGAGGTGCAGTGAGGGAGTTATGAAGGCGTTTCTTCCCCAGAGAAGTGCGGTCTTTGTGGCTAGTCTACCCAGCCATCAATCTCTGTGCTAACTGCTGCCTTTTCTCAGGATGAAGGCTCTTTCTTAAGGAATGACTCTGCAACTGAACTAAGGGTACTTATTAAGGATGCAGATATCTAGCCCCTCCCCACACATACTAGACCAGAATCTCTGGGCTGGGGCCCTACAGTCTCGGAAAAATGACTTTGCTCTACGTGGAAACCAAGAAGGAGCCTTCCAGGAAGGATGGGGAGGAGGACAGTGCCTGGAAGGGGTACCCCTGTCATTCCTTCAGAATCACTGGCTTTCTCCTACCAGGCCCTGGCATCAAAGGCAAAAGTGTAGGACTCTGGTAGACCACGCCAGGATTTGCTCCAACCCTCTTGGCTATGGGGTCAGAAGGAAGGGTAACTGGCAAGGTTGCGGCTGTCCTGGAAGAGGCTTGGATACTTCATGTGCCACGGCCAAGTTGGATGGAGGTAGCTCTGCACTGCAGGATCCATGTCCTGTGCAGGGCTGGGTATCAGAAAACCTCACCCTTGTTACAGCTGAGTAGATGTTAGGCATGCTCTTGCCTTCTGTGGCAGAAAGGCAACAGTGATGTGGGGGAAAGCACCTTTCACCGGAACCAAGCAAGCCCTGGTGCAAATTCTGGCAACATTACTGACAAGCTGTGGGCATTTAGAAAGCTTACCAGGTCTCTGTCTCGGTCTCCTCATCTACCTAATGGAAGTAAGCATACTTGTTTCAATTCTCGTTGAGGGTTTAGAAAGATATTAAAGAGCCTAGCACAGAGCTATACACTTAGTGAGTGACTAATAAAGCTTAAGTGAATTTCAATCCCTTAAATGCTCACAAATGTACCCAAAGCCCTCACTATCTCCTCTCGCTTAAACCTTACAACCCTGTAAGGACATATCATCACTTCCACTATACAGATGAGGAAATAGACTTAGAGGAAATTACTTGCCCAAGATCACACAGCTGGCTAAAGGCTGAGCCTGAGACTTGAACCCAGGTCTAGGTTCCTTCCTTCCCCTCATCCCCAAACCTGCTCCCTGAAATGTGCACTCTTCCTCCCTTCTCATAGGGAAATGGAATTATAAATGATCCAGTGTTTGAGCAGGTTGGGAAGGTACCTGGCTTCTCGTCCCAATTAAAGTCTGGTGTAATACAGTCCCCATAAAGCCCAGGCTCTCCTTGGGCAAGCAGGAGACCTTCTCTTTAGGGCCCAGGCACCCCAGCACCTTGAGACAACACTTACTCTGAGAGAAGAATCTGAAGGTCAGTTTCTAGATGTGGATGGGGAGGGACAGGATAGAGGGAAACCAAAATTCTTCATTTCATCCCAAGACTGTCTTACACTGACAGAGAAAGGGGTTCTGACCCAGCTGAGGGAAAACAGAACAGAACTCACATTGGTGTCTTCATCCATAAGCCAGT